>NC_000020.11:20694538-21322741 GCF_000001405.40 Homo sapiens | reverse complement strand
GTATTTAAAGAAGTAAAGATAATACAAATATACAAATAATGTTTGTATAAATATACATTACACAGGTTTTGAAGTATATCCCTAAAATGAATTTCATGCCAACCCACTGTTCCAGTCAACCTTATGAGGAGAAACCACCACCAATAGCTCAGTAGATGCATTGTTTTTGTTTAAACCTACAAAGGATTTAACAGGAACATTAGAAAAACCATGAATCATGTCTGAGGTTCCAGGGCAACAGGAGTATCCCACTGATGGAAGTCATATGCCAAACCATACAACTCAGTTTCAGATTTCCCTTAAAGAAGCTTGGAACTATGAAAAGAAATTCAAACCATGGGTGATATTTTAGAGAGAAATGGCCAAAGGGCTAATGAAAAATTGAAATTACAGTATTTTGGCTTAAAAATTCAACCTATAATAAGACAATTTTAACACTTATGGGTGATTAGTATTTTTTCAAGTTGTACGTGTGTTAGATCTTCATTTTTATACGACGTTAGTGAATGAGGACTAATAATTAC
The DNA here is from genome assembly GCF_000001405.40 of Homo sapiens. Taxonomy (NCBI): domain Eukaryota; kingdom Metazoa; phylum Chordata; class Mammalia; order Primates; family Hominidae; genus Homo; species Homo sapiens. The sequence goes on along the minus strand of NC_000020.11, from coordinate 21,322,217 downwards.
CACTAGCATTTACGGAGCACTTAACGTGATAAGCACTGTTACAAGGGCTTTTACTCATGGATTATTCCATTCTATCCTCACAACAACCTTGTGAGGTCTGGAGTATCCCACTTACAATTAAGAACACAAATGCTTAGAGAGGTTAAGTGGCTTTTCCAAAGTCACACTACTATAGATTCAGGAACTAGGATTTAAAACCATGACTCAGAGATGGTACCTTAACCAGTATGTTAGACTAATTAATTGTAATTTCACTAGATTCAAAGTGATGTGTACCAAGGTCTATATCAGGTACTACAGAGGATACAAAATAGGCAAGGTGTGTGACATTGATCATCATTTGCTAAATAAAGTCTTATCAGAAGATTTTATTCTAACATGACAGCATGAAGAGCTTCAACGACCTGCTCCCCAGTGAAACTGGTAAATATTACTTTTAAAACAAAAACATTTAAAGCCTTTGGAAATGATCCTGAGGGCAAACAGCAAGCAAATCAAGAAAACCTGTAAAAATTTTAGAACAAAATTCATTTGCAAAAGTGCACAGTAAAGTTTAAAAAACAAACAAAAAAAAGCTGTTCTCAAGAACAGTGAAAGTAGAATGAGGCCCAGTGGCTCATGCCTGTAATCAGCATTTTGGGAGGCTGAAGCGGGAGAATCACTTGCACCCAGGAGTTCAAGGCCAGCCTGGGGAACATAAGAGTCCTGGAGCCCCATCAAGAATCAGGAAGGTACAGTGGCATGTACCTGTAGTCCCAGCTACCTAGGAGATTAAGGCAGAGGTCTGCATGAGCCCAGGAGTTGGAAACTACAGTGAGCTGATTGTGCCACTACTGCACTATAGCCTAGGTGACAAAATGAGACCCTACACACACACACACACACACACACACACACACACACACACACACACACAGCCAGGCACAGTGGCTCATAACTATAATCAGAGCAATTCGGGACACCGAGACAGAGCACTTGAGCCCAGGAGTTTGGGATCAGCCTAGGCAATATGGTGAAACCTCATCTCTACAAAAAATTAGCCAGGTGTGATAGCATACCTGTAATCCCAGCTTACTCAGGAGGCTGAGGTGGGAGAATCACCTGAGCCCCGGAAGTTGAGGATGCAGTGGGCCAAGATCGCACTACTGCACTCCAGCCTGGGCAACAGAGTGAGACCCTGTCTCAAATACAAAGAAACAAACCAAAACAGTGCAAGCTATGGTGAAGAGCAACTGGGAGGAGACTAATAGATCTAATGAAGATACAGGCCTGGACTACAGGCTAGTTTGCAGAAGAAAACTCGGGATTAAGATGGCTGGGAGGAGCCCTCCTGGTGTTAGCACAAATACCAAACACTGACGTCAGAAACTAATTCCTGGAAAGATCTACAATTTAGGAGTTCGAGATCAGCCTGGCCAACATGGTGAAACCCCGTCTCTACTAAAAATACAAAAAATTAGCCAGGTGTGGTGGTGCATGCCTGTAGCCCCAGCTACTCGGGAGGCTGAGGCAGGAGAATCGCTTGAACCCGGGAGATGGAGGTTACAGTGAGCCAAGATCACGCCACTGCACTCCAACCTGGGTGACAGCAAGACTCCATCTCAAAAATAAATAAATAAGGCCGGGCGTGGTGGCTCACGCCTGTAATCCCAGCACTTTGGGAGGCCAAGTCAGGCCGATCACGATGTCAGGAGATCGAGACCATCCTGGCTAGCACGCTGAAACCCTGTCTCTACTAAAAATACAAAAAATTAGCCGGATGTGGTGGCAGGCGCCCGTAGTGCCAGCTACTCAGGAGGCTGAGGCAGGAGAATGGCGTGAACCCGGGAGGTGGAGCTTGCAGTAAGCCGAGATCGTGCCACTGCACTCCAGCCTGGGTGACACAGCAAGACTCCGTCTCAAAATAAATAAATAAATAAATACATAAATAAATAAATACATAAATAAATAAATGATGCCAATAGGTAGTGGGATAACATAAAAAGCAGTAAAGAAGTGGAAACAAACAAACAACAACAAAAGAACCCTGTCAACCAAGAATTCTCAGTCCAGAAAAGCTATAGTGCAAAACTGGGGTGACATAAAGACTCAGATCAATAAAAAGCTGAGAGAATTATTGCTAACAGACCACACTGTCAAAAACTACTAAACGAAGTTCTTCAAGCTATAAAGTTACAAAAAGTTTACTAAAGTTACTAAAGCAAGTGACTCTAGATGGTAATTCAAGTCCATGCAAACAATAAGCACAAGTATATTTTCCCTCCTTTCTTCTCTTAATTGAATTAAAAAGCAATTGTATAAATATTACATAGTATAATGTTGAGCTTATAAGGCAGAATGTAATATATGTGTAATATATTTGCCCTAATAGCAAAAAGGGGTGGATGGAAACAAAGTTGCAGTGGGCTAAGGAAATGGCTACAGACGGTAAAGTAACTCTTAAAAAAATGTATTGTTGGATTATGTCAATATATGTAATATATATAACAATAATATACAAAGGGGGGATGGGAACTGAACTATATAGCAGTAAAGTTCAATAAATTTTAGCATGTATTACTGAAACTAAGCAAGTATAAATCTGAATTTGATTCTAGCAAGATACATAGGGTAAGCTCTAGAACAATGACTTTGAAAAAATATATAGTGGAAAAAATTACTAATGAATTTAGAATCCTTCTAGTAACTGGCCACTGAATAAGAAAAGAAAAAAATTTGAATGCTATATTAGAAAATATCCTCTCATTGCAAAAGAAAGCACAAAGGAGAAATAGAGAAAAATGACATGAGACATACAAAAAACAAAAAGTAAAATGTAACTCTATCAATAATTACATTAAAATGTGAATGGATCAAACAATCCAACAAAAAGGTAGCTTGTCAAAGTGGATTTTAAAAACATGATCTAACTCTGCGTTATCTACAGGAGATACACTTGAGATTCAAAGACCCAAAAGAGTAAAAGTAAATGGATGAGAAAAGATAATCATGCAGACAGCAACCACAAGAAAACTGGAGTGGCTATACTGATATCAGATAAAACAGACTAAAACAAATAAAAAAATGTTACTGGAGGTAAAGAGGGTCATTTTATAACGATAAAAAGTAAATCCATCAAGAAAAAGATATAACAATTAAAAATACAGGTGCACCTAATAACAGCACCAAAATACACAAAACAAGACATATGGCAATTCAACAATGATAGCTGGAGACTTCAATACTCCCCCTTCAATAATAGAACAAAACAGAAGATCAACATGAAAACAGATAATTTGAACAACACTATCAACAGAGACCTAACAGATATTTCTAGCACATTACACTTAACAGAATATACATTCTCAGGTGTACACGAAATATGCTCTCAAAAAAAGTAAAAGCATAGAAATAATACAAAGTATACACTCTGACCACAATGAAATAAAATTAGAAACCATTAAGAGAAAAAAAAATTGGCAAATTCACAAATATGTGGAAATTAAACAACACAGTCCAAAATAACCAAGGGATCTAGGAAGAAATCAAACGGGAAACCAGAAACTACTTTGGGATCAATACAAATGAAGACACAATATACAAAATGTTATGGAATACATATAAAGCAGTGTTCACATGGAAATTTATAGTTGCAAATGCTTAGATTAAGAAATATCTCTTCAGAAGTATTTGGCTCTGAAAAAGTTAATTAAAAAAAAAATCTCAAATCAATTACCTAACTTTCCACCTTAAGATACCAAAAGAGAGTAAACTAAACCTAAAGCAAGCAGAAAGAATAAAAGATGAGAGCAGAAATTAATGAAACGAAAATTTAAAAATAGAGAAAAATCAATGAAACCAACAAAGCTAGTTGTTTAAAAAGGTCAACAAAAAATGACAAACCTTCAGCTAGTCTGATGAAAGAAAAAAGAGGGAAGACTCAAGTTACTAGAATCAGAGACGAGAGACAGGACATTACTGCTAACCTTATAAAAACAAAAAGGATTATAAAGAAATACCATGAATAGTCATACACCAACAAATTAGATAACTTAGATGAAATGGACAAATTACTAGAAAGACACAAACTACCAAAAATGATTCAAGAAAGACATAAACTGCATAAACCCATAACAAGTTAAAGCAATTAAATCAGTAATCCGCAAACTACCCAAAAGAAAAGTCAAGTGTAAATGGCTTCACTGCTGAATTGCATCAGACATTCAAAAGAAGAATTTGTACGAATTCTTCATGAACTCTTCCCAACAATTCCGAACACATTTTATTGGGCCAATATGACCAATACCAAGACCACACAAAAACATAAAAGAAAAAACTGCAGACCAGCATCTCTTATGAGCATGGATGCAAAAATCCTCAACAAAATACAGTCAGCCCTCCGTATCTGTCAATTCTACATCTGTGGAATAGATCAATCATGGATCAAAAATATTCAGGAAAAAAATGGACAGTTGCGTTGGTACTCAACATGTGCAGACCTTTTCTTGTCATTATTCCCTAAATGGTACAGTATAACAACTATTCACACAGCATTTACATTGTACCAGGTATTTAAGTAACCCAGAGACTATTTAAAATATACGAGAAGATGTGCATAGATTATATGCAAATATTACACCATTATATATCAGAGATTTGAGCCTCCGTTGATTTCGGCATCCACAGGAGGTCCTGGAACCAATCCCTCACAGATACTGCAAGACGACTGGACTAGCAAACAGAAGCCAGCAATATATTAAAATATTATACACCATGACCAAGTAGGATTTATCCTAGAAATGCAAAGTTAGTTGAACATCCAAAAACCAATCAATTAAACACATCATATTAACAGATTGCAAAGCAAAATGACACGATCATCTTCATATAGAAAAAGCGTTCGAAAAATCCAACACTTTCATGATTAAAAAAAAAAATACTCATCTAGAAATAGAAGGGAAATTCTCAACATAAAGGGCATCTGCAAAAACAAAAACAAACAAACAAAAAAATAACCTAACAGTTAACATCATACTTGGTGGTCAAAGCCTAAATGCTTTCCCTCTAAAATGAGGAATAAGACAAAGATGCCTGCTCTTGCCACTTCTATTCTGGAGGTTCCAGCCAGGGCAATTAGGCAGGAAAAGGAAAAGGTATTGATATTAGAAAAAAAAGAAATTAAACTATATTTGCACATGACATGATTGTGTATATAGAAAATCCTAAGGGATCCACTAGAAAATTATTACGATATATGACTTCAGCAAGGTTATAGGATACAAAATCAATATATAAAAATCAATTACATTTCTATACACTTGCAATGAGTATTCCAAAAATAAAGTTAAAACATTCTCACAATAGTATCAAAAAACTAGGGCTAAATCTAACAAAGAAATACGAAATTTATATTTTGAAAACTACAAAACACTGTTGACAGAAATCAAAATAGTTCTAAACAAATAACATCCCATATTTATGGAACACAAGACTCAACATTAAGATGACAATACTCCCCAAACTGATTGACAAATTCAACGTGCTCTGTAATCAACAGTAATCAAGACAGTGCGGTACTGGGACAAGGATAAACATTTAGATCAATGGAATGGAATTGAGTCCAGAAATAAATGCACACAGCTATTATTAGCTGATTTTTGATAAGGTGTCAAGATCATTTAATGGGGAAAAGAACAGTCTTCAACAAATGGTGTAGGACAACTAGATAGCCAATGCAAGAAAGTGAAGCTGGACTATTACTTCACACCTTAACTCAACCCAAACAACTCAAAATGGATCATGAACCTACATTTAAGAGCTAAAGCTATAAAACTCTTCCGAAAAACAGGTGTAAATATTTGTGACCTTGAATTTGGCAATGGAATTCTTAGATATGCCATCAAAAGCACAAACGATAAAAGAAAAAAGCAGATGAACTGCACTTCATCATCAAAATTTTAAACTTTTTTGTTTGTTTGTTTTTTGAGACTGAGTTTTGCTCTTGTTGCCCAGGCTGGAGTGCAATGGCACAATCTTGGCTCACTGCAACCTCCGCCTCCTGGGTTCAAGCCATTCTCCTGCCCCAGCCTCCTGAGTAGCTGGGATTACAGGCGCCCACCACCACACCCGGCTAATTTTCTGTATTTTCAGTAGAGACGGGGTTTCACCATGTTGGCCAGGCTGGTCTCAAACTCCTGTCCTCAAGTGATCTGCCCACCTCAGCCTCCCAAAGTGCTGCGATTACAAGCGTGAGTCACCACAACCGGACAAAATTTTAAACTTTTATTCTTCAAAGGACACCATCAAGAAAGTGGAAAGACAATCCACAGAATGTGGGAAAATATTTGCAAATCATTTATCTTATAAGGGACTTATATTCAGAATACATTCTTTAAAACTCTTACACTTCAATAGGACAACCCAATTTTAAAAGGGCAAAGAGGCCGGGTATGATGGCTCACGCCTGTAATCCCAACACTTTGGGAGGCTGAGGGAGGTGGATCATCTGAGCTCAGGAGTTGATTCGAGACCAGCCTGGGCAATATGGCAAAACCCTGTCTCAACCCAAAATACAAAAAGTTAGCCAGGCATGGTGGTGCCTGCCTGTAGTCCCAGCTACTCAGGAGGCTGAGGTGGGAGGATAACGTGACCCTGGGAGATGGAGGTTGCAGTGAGCTGAGATTGTGCCACTGCCCTCCAGCCCGGGTAACAAGAGTGAAACCCTGTCTCAAAAAAAAGGGGGAAGAGGAGACAAAGAACCTAAATAGACATTTCTCCAAAAGATACACAGATGGCCAGTAAGCACATGAAAAGATGCTCAACACGACTAGTCATCAGAAAATGCAAATCAAAACCACAGGAGATACCACGTCACACACCCACTAGAATGGCTAAAGCCAAGTCAGATAACAAGTGTTGGCAAGTGTGGCATAGTTCTTTGGCTGGCCTTGGACTAACTCAGTTCCTTTTCTTGCTCATAGTTCTCAAAAGTGACTGTAGAATGTGATGGTAATGCAATATCCTGAAATAGGGAAGAACTGCCTGAAAATGTCCAGCCTTGCTCCTGTCCCTCCCAGGAATTTAACATCTTGAGTGAGGGCGCAACTGCCCGGGACAAGGTGGGCTTTGTTCCTTTCACCCCTGGAAGCAGGACATTTTTTAAAGCATTAGCTCAGTGTGTCACATAAACCCTGAGGTGTATAACCCAGAGTGGGCTGCCTTTCAGGGTTCCTCTCCCGCCATGTAAGTGTGGCCCCTGCAGTCAAGACTCTATCTGCCCCGGGCATGTTTCCTGAGCCATGGGGGACCCATTCAGAATGAATCCTAGGCTTCTGTTGTCCTTTACTGTCTATTTGTAAATAATAAACCCTCTTCATGTAACATTGTACATGGATGTCCTTGTCTCCTCAGACTCAGACAAGTTGGTAAGCAACACACAGTAAACCTGCTTCACAGCAAAAATGTGGAAAAATTGGAACCCTCATACACTACTGGTGGGAATATAAAATAGTGCAATCACTTGGGGCTAGGAGTTCAAGACCAGTAGGCAACACAGAGAAACCCCATCTCTTAAAAAAAAAAAAAGTTAGCCAAGCATAGTGGCACATGCCTATAGTCCTAGCTATTCAGGAGACTGAGGCAGGAGAATCGCTTGAACCCAGGAGTTCAAGGCTGCAGTGAGCTATGATCATGCCATTGCACTCCAGCCTGGGCAACAGAGCGAGAACCTGGGAAAGTGGCTGGCAGTTCTTCAAATGATTAAACCATATAATCCAGCAACTCTACGCCTAGGTATACACCCAAGAAAAACGAAAACATATCCACATAGAAACATAACATGAATGTTTAAAACAGCATTATTCATAATAGCCAAAACATAGAAACTGTTCAAATGTTTATCAACAGACAAATGGATGAACAAAATGTGGTATATCCATACAATGGCACAGTATTTGGCCATAAGCAAATAATAAAGTACTGCGACATGCTACAACATGGGTGAACTTTGAAAACATAATATTAAGTGAAAGCAGCCAGCCAGAAACGACCATATTCTATAGATTCCTCTCATGTGAAAGTCCAGACTAGGAAAAATCTATATAGACATAAAGTAGATTAGTGGTTGCTTAAGGCTGGGAGAAAAGGAGACAGCAGTTAGAGGGACAACAGCTAAAGGGTACAAGTTTCTTTTCAAGGTGATTAAAATGTTCTAAAATTGACTGTGGTGATGGATGCACACATTTGTGAAAATACTAAAAATCACTGAGTTGTACACTTTAAATGGGTGAATTTTATTGTATGCAAATCATATCTCAACAAAGCTGTTTAAAGAATGTGGTAACCAGCTCCAAAGAAATAATCATATTAGAGAAAATAGAATGTAGGGTCAAGGATAAATGTCCACCTTATGATTTTTCTCCCTTCCCTCAGAGTGATGCCTATCACAAAAGTAGTACTCAATGAAATGGAAGAGAGAAAAGAGGCAGTGGAGGAAACCTGGATTTCATTACATGAGAACAGTAAGACCACACTGTACACTACAACGCAGTATTACCAAGAGTTAGACTCAAAAACATCTCTGCCTTTACTTGGACACATAAACTACTAAACATTAATTTACCAAATAAAATTCTGAAATCAGATTTTCCAAATAGTTGCCATTTAGCAAATGCTTCTGTAACAGGATTGTAACTGGTATTAATACATCTAATCCACACAACCACCCTCTGTGATACATACATAGCCAATCTTCATTATTCATGAATCCCATATTTGCAAATATGTCTACTCACTGAAATTTATTTTTAACCCCAAAATTAATAATCATGGTACTTTCGCAGTCATTTGTGGACATGCACAGAGCAGCGAAAAATTGAGTCACCCAACATACACATTCCCAGCTGGCAACAAATGAGGACACGCAGCCTTCTGCTTTCAGCCCTTGCACAGAGATGACCAGAGGGGGAAACTGTAGGGAGCAGCACAGTGTAGCGTAGTGTGTTAACTTACACCAAATTTGGCCTGAGGATGGCTCCTTACTGATTCTTCACTTGAAGAACTGCAATATTACTTACATAAAGTCCACTAAGGAAAAGCCTAACTTAGGAGCATACTTCTGTAACAAAAAGCAGAGTCTCCGCCAATCGCAGCAGTCGAGCTTCAGTCAATCACAGGTTGCCAACTTATCTGGCCATGTTTAAATAAGCCAAAAGATTAAGCTGTTTCTGTACCTCACTTCTGTTTTCAAGAGCTCCCCAAACCTCTTCTGGTTCTGAGGGCCACTCAACTGGCAAACTGTTCATTGCTCAATTGAACTGTGTTATTTAATTTATCTAGGGCCCAGGCATGGTGGCTCACGCCTCTAATCCCAGCACTTTGGGAGGCTGAGGCAGGCGGATCGCCTGAGGTCAGGAGTTCAAGACCAGCTTAGCCAACGTGGTGAAACCTCTACTAAAAATACAAAAATTAGCCAGGCGTCATGGTGCACACTGGTTGTCCCAGTTATTTGGGAGGCTGAGGAAGAATGGCTTGAACCCAGGAGGCAGAGGTTGCAGTGAGCAGAGATTGCACCACTGCACTCCAGCCTGGGCAACAGAGCAAGACTCTGTCTTCAAAAAAAAAAAAAAAAAAAAAAAATCTTGGGGTTTGGTTTTAACAAGAAGCTCTGGCTCTCTAGAGTTTAGGCATTTAAGTCATTTTCCGATGGTCAGAAAGCTGATAAATGGAGGACTGCATGAGCCAAGCAGTTAAAGTATATGAAGTGAAGAAGCTGATGACTGAATCAGTAAAGAGTTCTTAATAAGTGAGCAAAGGGAATAAAATGAAATCATAAAAACACAACCTAAGGCCGGGCACGGTGGCTCACACCTGTAATTCCAGGAAGTCAGGAGATAGAGACCATCCTGGCTAACACGGTGAAACCCTGTCTCTACTAAAAAAAAATAAATAAATACAAAAACTTAGCTGGGCATGGTGGCAGGCGCCTGTAGTCCCAGCTACTCGGGAGGCTGAGGCAGGAGAATGGCGTGAGCCTGGGAGGCAGAGCTTGCAGTGAGCTGAGATCGCGCCACTGCACTCCAGCCTGGGCAACACAGTGAAACTCCTCTCAAAAAGACAAAAAAAAACACAACCTAAAAGAAGGCATAAGACTTAAGAAACTGAAACAATGAACAGATGAGACAGAAAACAAATAGTAAGATGACAGATTTAAATCTAACCATATCAATAATCTTTTTTTGTCTTTTGAGACAGAGGCTCGCTCTGTCGCCCAGGCTGGAGTGCAGTGGAACAATCTCAGCTCACTACAATCTCAGTATCCCAGGATCAAGTGATTTTGTGCCTCAGCCTCCTGAGTAGCTGGGTTTATAGGTGTTGTACCACTATGCCCAGCTAATTTTTTTTTGTTACTTTTTTAGTAGAGACGAGGTTTCACCATGTTGTCCAGGCTGCTCTCGAACTCCTGGCCTCAAATGATCCATCTTCCTTGGCCTCCCAAAGTGCTGGGATTGCAGGCGTGAGCCAACATGCCTGGCCATCAATAATCATTTTAAATATAAATGTTCTAAATGGCCCAATTACAAAGCAGACTAGAAAAACAGTTTGGTGGTTCCTCAAAATGCTAAACACAGAATTACATGATCCAATGATTCCACTCACAGGTACATACTCAAAAGAACTGAAAGCAGGGACTAAAAAAGATACTTGTACACCAATGTGCATAGCAGTGTTATTCATAATAGACTAAAGGTAGAACCAGCCAAAGTGTCCAGAGTGTGACATATACTCCCATATACAATGGGAGTATCATTCAGCTTTAAAAAGGAATGAAATTCTGAGACATGCAACAACATGGACAAACCTTGAAAACACTATGTTAAGAGAAATAAGCCAGACACAAAAGGAAAAATATTATGATTTCATTTACATAAGGTAACTAGAATAGGCAAATTTATAAAGATAGAAAGTGGGGAGGGGGACAAGGAGTTACTGTTTAACAGGTAGCGTTTCTGTTTGGGATGATAAAATTGTTCTGGAAATAGACATTGGTGACAGTTGCACAACAATTTGAACATACTTGGTTCCATTGAATTGTACACTTTAAAACAGTCAAAATGGTAATTTTATGTATGTTTTATCCCAATAAAAAGAGGGGGCAGAGATTCTCAAACTGTATAAAAAAGCCAGACCCGGACAGGCGCAGTGGCTCACGCCTGTAATCCCAGCACTCTGGGAGGCAGAGGCGGGCAGATCACGAGGTCAGGAGATCAAGACCATCCTGGCTAACACAGTGAATGAAACCCCATCTCTACTAAAAAAAAACAAAAAAATTTGCCGGGCGTGGTGGCGGGCGCCTGTAGTCCCAGCTACTCGGAAGGCTGAGACAGGAGAATGGCATGAAACCGGGTGGCGGAGCTTGCAGTGAGCCGAGATCGCGCCACTACACTCCAGCCTGGGCGACACAGCAAGACTCCATCTCAAAAAAAATAAAAAATAAAAAATAAAAATAAAAAAAAGCCAGACCCAATTGTTATGTTACCTACAAAAACGTCCACTTTAAACATAAAGATGCAAACAGGCTAAAATAAAAGAATAGAAAAAAACACACCATGCTGACACTAGTCAGAATAACTGGCTGTATTAATGACAAATAAAATAGATTTCTGAGCAAATATTAACCAAGAATAATGAAGGTCATTTCATAATAAGTGTATTATCCACCAAAAAACTAGAACAATGTTAAGCATTTATGCACCTAATAAAAGAGCTTCAAAATACACAACCAAAAACCAATAGAACTGAAAGGAGAAACAGAAAAATCCAAAAGTTATAGTCAAAATTTCACAGCAGCAGAAAATGTATCCTTTTCAAATACACATAAAACATTTATAGAGACCATATTCTGAACCAGTCTGATAAACTTCAACAGACCTCAAATTAAATATGATCTCTGATAAGGGAATTAAATTAAAAATCACGAACAGGAAAAAATACCTGGAAAATCTCCCATGTGTGTGAAAATTAAGTCACACTCTTAAATAACCAGCGGGCCAAAGGGAGTTTTAGAACATATTTTTAAGTGGATGAAAATGAAAATACAACATGTTAATATTTGTGGCACACTGTTTAAACAATATCTAGAAGGCAATTTATGGCACTCAAGATCTATATCAGAGAGGAAGAAATGTCTCAAAACAATGACCTCAGCTTCTACCTTAATAAACAAGGAAGAGAAAAAACAAGTTAAACCCAAAGTAAGCATAACAAATACATATAAGAGCAGAATCAAAGAAATAGAAAACAGAAAAACAATAAAGAAAATCAATGAAACCAAAAGCTAGTTATCTGAGAACAGTGTAGCCAGACTGATAATGGGACAAAACAAAGAAAGTAGAATTACAAGTATCAGGAATGAAAGAGGTAACATCACTACAGATTCTAACAATATTAAAAGGATAATAACAAGTTAACAGGAAGAAAAAAGAAAACAAAAGAGAAGTAAAAACAGGAGTGAAAACATTTTAATAACAAAAAAAAAAGGATAGTAAGAAAATACTATGAACAACTTTATGTCAGCCAATTCAACTACTTAGATCAGGGGTGTCCAATCTTTTGGCTTCCCTGGGCCACTTTGGAAGAAGAATTGTCTTGGGCCACTAATACTAACGACAGCTGATGAGCTGAAAAAAAAAGAAAAGGTCTGTGCATAAATCTCATGATGTTTTAAGAAAGTTTACGAATTTGTGCTGGGCCGCATTCAAAGCATCCTGGGTTGCATGCAGCTTGCAGGCCACAGGTTGGACAAGCTTGACTTAGATGAAATGGGCAAAATCTGTGAAAGATACAAACTAAAAAAGCTCATCCAAAAAATAAATAAATAAATAAATAGGTAACCTCAATAGTTCTAGATCAACTAAAGAAACTTAATTTGCAGCTTAAAGCCTTCCCACAAAACTCCAAGTCCAGATGGCCTCACTGGTAAATTCTATCAAACATTTTAGGAAGAAACAATACTAACTCTACACAAACTCTTCCAAAAAACTGAAGGAACTCAATTTGAGGTCAACATTATTCTGACATCTCAACTACACATTACAAGAATGCTACAAATATCTTTTGTGAACAGAGACACAATTCTCAAGAATTCTCAAGAAAACTTTAGCAAACTTTAGCAAACTTGAATTCAACGTATATAAAAATAATACAACATGATCAAGTGAGGTTTATCCAAGGAATGCAAGGTGGCTTTAGCATTTAAAGACCGATAATTCACCATATGACTAGACCAAAAAATGGAAACCACAGAATGAAGTAAAACTATAAAACTTCTCTAAGAAAACACAGGAGACCTTGGCTTTGACAAAGGATTCCTTAAATACAAAAAGCAGAAATATAAAGGGAAAAAATTAATCAGACTTCATTAAAATTTTTAAATGTTTGCTCCCAAGACACTGTTAAGAAGTAAAAAGACAAGCCACAGATCAAGAGAAAATATTTGCAAAAGATATATCAAACTAAGGATTTCTATCTAGAATATGTAACAAACTCTACATTTAAGTAAGACAACCGAAGATAAAAATGAGCAAAAGATCTGAACAGATGCCTCACCCTGCCCGTGATGATATACAGAAAGCAAATAAGCATCTGAAGGAAATGCAAGTTAAAACCACAATAAGGTAACAGTACACTGGACTACCTAAAACTAAAAGGGCTAACTATATCAAGTGTTGGTGAGGAAGTTGAGCAACTGGAACCCTGATATGCTGCTGATGCCAATGTAAAATGGCACAACCAGTTTGAAAAAAAAAGTCTGGCAGGTTTTTCTTTTTAAGTAATCACACACCTAATATACAATCCAACCATTTCACTCCTAATGTTTTTCCCCCAAACAAATGCAAGCATACGTCCCTACAATGACTTGTACAGAGATGTTCATAGGTTTCTTTTTCAGAAAGCCAAAAACTGGAAACAATCCCAATGTTCATCAATCATCTGAATAAATAAATAAAATGTGGTGTATCTACACACAGAATACTATCCAAAAATTAAAAGACGAGGCAGGCAGATACTTGAGGTCAGGAGTTCAAGACCAGCCTGGCCAACATGGTGAAACTCCATCTCTACTAAAAATACAAAAATTAGCCGGGTGTGGTGGCATGTGCCTGTAATCCCAGCTGCTTGGGAGGCTGAGGCAGGAGAATTGCTTGAACCCAGAAGGTGGAGGTTGCAGTGAGCCGAGATCGCACCACTGCACTCCAGCCTGGGCGACAGAGCGAGACTCCATCTCAAAAAAAAATAAAAACAAAAAAGAAATAAACTACTGACACATACAACAACGGAAGAATTTCAAAATAAGTATACTGAATGAAAGTAACTGAGGCAAAAAATGAGTATATACTATATAATCTCATTTATAAAAAATTATAGAAAATGAAAACTTATCATACGGTCAGAAAGCAAACCAGTCAGTGGTTGGCAAAAGACAGGTGGCAGGGAGGGATAGTAGAAAGGAACTACAAAAGGGCAGAAGGAATGTTTTAGAGGTCACGTTCACTGTCTTGGTTGTGCTGGTTTCACAGATGTATGCACTGTATTAAATTATATACTTTAAGCCCAGGACTTTGAGGCTGCAGTGAGCCATGATTGCACACTACATTCCAGCCTGGTGACAGAGCAAGACCTCAACTCGAAAAAAGTTAAAAGAAAATTGTACACTTTAATTACCTGCAGTTTATTCTATGTCAAGTATACCTCAACAAAGCTGCAAAAACACCAAAGGTTGGGGGAGGTTTCAAGGAAAGCCAGAGAATGAGAGAGAAAATAAAAATAAAAATACATGAGTCTAAGAGGACCAGTATCCTGAGTCTGGAAAGGGAAGAAAAAAAGGTCAAGAAATCATCAAACAGCATTCCCTAAAACCGAAGAACGTAAGACTCCAGACTCAAAGAGTGAGCCACGTACTGATCAAAATGAATCTGAATTTAAAATAACATCTATACCTGGGTACCTAATAATGAAAGTTTACACTATCAAGAAAAAGATCTTTTTAAAATCTAGGAAGGAAAACTGATCACAAAAGAATGAAAGCATATGAGCATAAAAATTAAGTCCTTCTGGTTTCCACACTAGCTCTGACATTTATCAGCTGAGTGACCTTGGGTATGATACGCGACCCTGCTGTGTTTCCATTTTCTCATCTGAAATAATAATAAACATAACAATAATCATTATTTTTCTGAGATGGAGTCTCGCTCTGTCACCAGGCTGGAGTGCAGTGGCGGGATCTCGGCTCACTGCAATGTCTGTCTCCCGGGTGCAAGTGATTCTCCTGCCTCAGCCTCCCAAGTAGCTGGGACTACAGGCGCGCCACCATGCGCAGCTAATTTTTGTATTTTTAGTAGAGATGGGGTTTCACCATGTTAGCCAGGATGGTCTGGATCTCTTGACCTCGTGATCCACCCACCTCAGCCTCCCAAAGTGCTGGGATTACAGTCGTGAGCCACCGCACCCGGCCAATAAACATAGTAATTATTATAACATAATAACAATATTGGTTGTCTCCAAATAACGTGCTTCTATTATTTGTATGTAATAAAAATAATTACAACAGTAGAAGTCATGTGGTTGTGAGGATCAAACAAGTTATAATAAAGTTCTTAAAACAATGGTAAATGCTATATAACTGCTGGTTAAATAAATACATCACATTAACACCGAACTTGTCATCAACACTACTAGATGAGAGAGTACAAAAGAACAATTTCTTTCAAAGTTCTGAGGGAACCTAATATTAAAACTGGAATTCCTGGCCAGGTGCGGTGGCTCATGCCTGTAATCCCAGCACTTTGGGAGGCAGGGGCTGGTGGATCACCTGAGGTCAGGAGTTCAAGATCAGCTTGGCCAACATGGTGAAACTCCGTCTCTACTAAAACTACAAAAATTAGCCGGGCGTGGTGGCGCGCCTGTAGTCCCAGCTACTCGGGAGGCTGAGGCAGGAGAACGGCTTGAACCCGGGAAGTGGAGGCTGCAGTGAGCCGATATCACACCACTGCACTCCTGCCTGGGTGACAGAGCTAGACTCCGTCTCAAAGAAGAAGAAAAAAAAAACACCTCGAATTCCATGCCTAGCTAATGATCATTCACGTGTATAAGGGTAGAATGGAGCTATTTTGGGTCCTACAATGACTCGGAAATCTCACATCCCACACAGCATTTCTTAAGAATTAAGAATAAGGAGGCCAAGGCAGGCGGATCAGAAGGTCAGGAGATCGAGACCATCCTGGCTAACACGGTGAAACCCCGTCTCTACTAAAAGTACAAAAAAATTAGCCAGGCGTGGTGGCGGGCGCCTGTAGTCCCAGCTACTTAGGAGGCTGAGGCAGGAGAATGGCGTGAACCCCGAAGGCGGAGCTTGCAGTGAGCCGAGATTGATTGAGCCACTGCACTCCAGCCTGGGAGACAGAGCGAGGCTCCGTCTCAAAAAAAAAAAAAAAAGAATTAAGAATAAAAACTAAGAAAACGATTTAAAGGAAGAAAGATGGGCCGGGCGCCGTGGCTCACACCTGTAATCCTAGCACAAGGGAGGCCCAGGGAGGCGGATCACGTGTGGTCAGGACAGAGACCAGCATAGCCAACATGGCAAAACCCCGTCTCTACTAAAAATCCAAAAAAAAAAAAAAAAAAAAAAAGGCCACGTATGGTGGCTCATGCCTGTAGTCTCAGCACTGTGGAGGCTGAGGCAGGCGGATCACCTGAGGTCAGGAGTTCGAGACCAGCCTGACCAACATGGCAAAACTCCGTCTCTACTAAAAAAAAATCAGCTGGGCGTGGCGGCGCACACCTGTAGTCCTAGCTGCTCTGGACGCTGTGGCAGAAGAATGGCTTGAACCCAGGAGGCCAGAGGTTGTAGTGAGCCGAGATCATGCCACCGTACTCCAGCCTAAGAGACATAGCGAGACTCCGTCTCTAAATAAATAAACAAATGAAGTAAGATGATGATCCAGAAAACAGTACCTCCCACTGAAGAAAGATATGATAGCAATAATAATAATAAAATCCCAGATGCAGCTTTCCAGCAAGCCTACAGAATAGCCAGGTGTGACAGCAACAAAAATAAATAAGACCCCAAGAAGGACTATTCAAGAAGAAAGATGACTCTTGATAGACTACCTGGTAAAATAGAGTCCGGGCGCGGCAAGATGTAAAGTGGAAAAAGAAAGACAGCCCCAGGGAAAAAGACAAAAGCAGCACAAAAAACAAAATCACAGTACATAACCTGAATCTACACAGTGTCAATAGTCAACTATCCTATCTGATTTTTCAGCATTTTAAATCTGTATAGTCAAAGCCCTGATCATTTAATTTTGGATGCCCACAACGCAAAAGTACAGCTGACAAACTTGAGGTGAAAGGGAAGAAAAGCTAAGATCGACCTTAGAAAGCATTGAGTCAAGGGATACGTTACACAGGCGATGGAATGAAAAAGGCAAATTACTTAGTTATAAAGCTTACCAATAAAAATATATATCTAGTGATTTACTCCATTAAGAGTATAGAGGGAGGGCTGAATAGGTGACTAAATCCTCTCCTATTCCAGCTAGAATTCAACAGATCTAAAAGTGATAACGTATAAGTATGATACTTAGAGACAGAACCAAAACAGTTAAAGGTGGAGAAATGGGATGAGAAGGGGTAGAGCAAGAACTGTTGCTTTTTGTTTAACCCACGTGCAAGTAAAGTTCAATAAAGTTCGATTAAAATTTTACAAAGGAAACAAGTATTCAATTTAGCAGTTGCTTTTTGAAAAAAACAAGAAATAGTGGGAATGTCACTAAGACAAGGCTTTTGGTTCCTCCTTGGATAGAAGCCAAGAAAGTTAAAAAAAAAAAAAAAAGCAGAAATAAGTTCACAGTGACAGGCAAGCACTGCCTTCAAAAACTAAGGAGTGAGGTACGCGTGATGTGCCTCTGAACGTTTCCAATCCAGAAATTCTAATTAAGAGCACAAAATCGAATCCGCATGGAATGACGAAAACAATAAAAACAAAACTCAATAATGGCCAAAAATCTACTTACGTATTAACTAACAACAAAAATTGTACTGCTCAAGTACATCCAGTAATCTTGAAATTTTCAACAAGCACCCACCCCGTTCAGTAGTCAGGGCACACAGAGAAGGGTAACTTCTCAGAATTCTATAGCGCTCATCCTGGACCTGACATACTGCTTTCAGCGTCCAATCTAACCAGAACAACAAATGGTCCTGAACACTAGGAGAAAACCTTTCCGGCACAATTGGTAAACAACGAAAAGGTCGCCGCCAGGGATTCCTTTACAAGGTTGTCAAAAAGCTGGCCTCCGAATCCGTGCATCCATAACCCGCTAGCTCAGCTGACCTGGCATGCATTGCTCAACAACAGCCTCTGAACCTCTTCCGAGACCCAAAATGCGCGGTCTGGAGAGGAAACAAAGCAGTGGGCGGGGCCTTCCGGTGCCGGGAAAAAGCGAGTAGGGGAGGAGCGACCCTCCTGCGAGTTCGGAACCCTATAGGCCCTTGCCCCGCCGAGGGTCCTGAATTCCTCGCCCCCGGGGTGCTGAATCCCACAGCCCGCGTCCCATCGCGTGTGGGGCTGCGACTGCTCGCGAGGCTGGCAGCAGGGCGCGAGCTCCGGCAAGGCTCCCCGGGGGCAGGCGGCGGAGCCCATGGGCCGCGGCCTAGACGTGCCGGGGGCCCGGGCTCGAGTGTGGCGGCCGCCTGGCGCCTCCTCACCTTCTCTTCCACGCAGTTGACTATGATGGACGGGTACTTGCGGCTGAGCCAGCGGAAGAACGCCGGGACTCCCATAGCGGCACACGGCTGGAGGCGGCGGCCGACCGGCTGACGAGCGTAACCAAAGAGACGGGAGCAGCGGCAGAGGGCACCAGCACTTCCTCCCACGTGCGCGCTGGAGAACGGAAGTGACGTCACGGCGCCGCCGCCGGGGAAGCTGGGAAGGAGGCTTCGCTGGATGAGGGAGCGGCGGAAAAGGGCCTTGCCGGGCTGTTTGTGGGAGGCGGAGTCCGGCGGCGGACCGGGTGGCGAAGGCTGCAGCTCGCCCTCGGTGGTCCCAGCCCCGGAGCGCGAGGCCGAGCGCGTCTGAGTTGCGGGGGCTCACGGGCGACTGCTCTGCCGGGGCTCCGCCGGGATCTCCCAGCCCCAGCCCTCCGGCTCCCTGGGCACAGAATCGCTGCGCTCTGCATGCCCGGGAGGAGGTCTCCCTTGCCCGTTTGGTCACCTCTTGTTTGGAAGAAAATGTCTTTTTTTGCCTCTATGCTCACCCGTCTCAATCTAGGGTAGAATCGAAGCATCCAAACTTACTCGTTACTTCCATTTCCTGGTTTCTCCTAGTTTTGTGCTGCAGTACGTACCTGGACTATCAAAAGGAGCATTTTAAAGCATTTTACAGTAATAATGGCTGCTTTGCACCAATAATTTGATTGTTATGCAAATAAATAATTATGATAGTTACCGAATGGAATCTAGCCGGTATTTAGCATCCAATACAATCTTCCAGCTACAATTACGGGTATAAAATAGTTGCTAATATGATTTTCCAGCATTTACTGAGCCTTTACAGTGTACCAAGACATTGACTAAGGGATTGTCCTATGTAATCTTCACTTGAACCTTGTGAGGGTACTGTTAGCACCCTCGTGTAAATGATAAGAAAGCCAAGTTACAGAGGAGTTAAGTCACTTATGCACATAGCTTCTGTTTCAGTTCAAGCAAAGGTCATTTTTAATCCATCCTTGTTCTAACACGATACTTTTATCTTTTGTTTTCTGGTGGTCCCAAACGAATTTTTTCCATATGAAAGGAGAGGTCTGGAAGAGGAGGTATATTTGTCCGTTTGCTCAAGCCTGGAAGTCTCCCTGAATCCCCTCTTGGTTTGACACACATCACACACGATGCTAAATGCTCACCTCATGAGGCCTCTGTGAAAGTATTTCGCCGAGTTACCTCACAGGCAGTATTTATTGCCCCCTCCTCTGTGGTCTGATGACTACTTTGTTTAAACTACTAGTGTGGAAATTAGAGAAATAGTCATCCCGTGTTTTACTTAAGGATAGCCAAAACTATTCCAAAGTATTATGTCTATGGTGAAATTCCTCCTTTTACCTGGAAGCAGCCCCTCTGGTTTCCCTGGGAGGTGCTGTTATAGGAACATGTACACCATAGGCAGTTCAGGGATAGACAGCTGGCCAAGTTGAGCCATTTAGAATCCTTAACCAGCATTTTGGCGGGTTGGGAGGGTTTATTGTTTTGTTTTTGTTTTTTCAGACGGAGTCTCAGTCATCCAGGCTGGAGTGCAGTGGCAAGATCCAGGCTCACTGCAACCTCCACCTCCCGGGTTCAAGCGATTCTCCTGCCTCAGCCTCCCGAGTAGCTGGGATTAGAGGCGCCTGCCATGACACCCCGCTGATTTTTGTGTTTTTAGTTGAGACAGGGTTTCACCATGTTGGCCAGGCTGGTCTCGAACTCCTAACCTCAGGTGATCTGCCCACCTCGGCCTTCCAGAGTGCTGGGATTACAGGTGTGAGCCACTGCACCCAGCCTTACCAGCATTTTTGAGCTTTGAACCATAAGAAATTTAAGACTGCATCTTTCCAGTGCGTGAACGCTAAAAGATAAGAATTGGGACTTGTTGCCAGTAGGCAATGAGAGAAGCAGGGTTAATTCCCTGGTTCCAGTTAAATCCCTCTCTTCCTGCAGTTTGATTA
The DNA here is from genome assembly GCF_000001405.40 of Homo sapiens. Taxonomy (NCBI): domain Eukaryota; kingdom Metazoa; phylum Chordata; class Mammalia; order Primates; family Hominidae; genus Homo; species Homo sapiens. The sequence continues at coordinate 21,301,482 of NC_000020.11, read as the reverse complement.
AGTCTGTCCTTTGATTCTGTGAGCCAAATTTTTTTTTTTTTTTTTTTTTAAGACAGAGTCTCACTCTGTTGCCAGGCTGGAGTGCAGTGGCACCATCTCGGTTCACTGCAACCTCCACCTCCCAGGTTCAAGCGATTCTCCTGCCTCAGCCTCCCAAGTAGCCGGGACTACCAATGTGCGCCACCACGCCCGGCTAATTTTTGTATTTTTAGTAGAGATGGGGTTTTACCATGTTGGCCAGGATGGTCTCAATCTCTTGACCTTGTGATCCGCCCGCCTTGGCCTCCCAAAGTGCTGGGATTCCAGGTGTGAGCCACCACTCCCAGCCAAAAGTTTCCTTTTGCCCTAAGCTGGCTTGGGCTAAATTCTTATCCCTTACAAAGGAAAGAGTCCAGTAACAAAATTTGGGGAGTGCAAGCTAATTCACCTGGGTGGTGAAATTGGTTTGCATAGAAGTACTAAAATTGGAGTTTTGGCACTCAGAGAAGGAGTGGGTAAAAGAGAGAAGAAACTTGAAAGGCGGCAGGAGGATATGGACTAAGTATTGTGACACTTTCCCTGGCCCAATGTGTCCAGTAAAGCCTGTCAGACTCAGGCTTGGTATGGGTTTTTCTTGTAGAAATCAAATAAAAAGTCTCCAGTTGGGGTCACTGTGGTTTGGAACCACCACGGGGTGGGCAACATAGCAGACCTCTAGAAGCAGAAGAGGTGAGAATTTATTAGTGTTGGAAATTAGCAGGGAGGCCAGGTGTGGTGGTTCACATCTGTAATCCTAGCAAATGGGGAGACTAAGACAGGAGGATCACTTGAGCCCAAGAGTTTAAGGCTGCAGTGAGCTATGATTGCACCACTGTGCTACAGCCTGGGTGACAGAGCGAGAAGCTATCTAAAAAAAAAAAAAAAAAAAAAAAGAAAATAAATTAGCAGAAATACTGAACCAGACTTTGGACTTATACAGGCAGAGAACCCAGAGGTTTTGAAACATTTTTGCCCAGATCTCAAAGGGAGAGAGGAAGGCCACAGCTAGTATCTGGATTACATTAATGTGAAAAACAATATGAAAAATATATAATATGTGGAAACTAGGATGTTTTTAAATATTCATCAATTCATTTTTAAGCCCCATTAACATTGTAATTATCATAGAAAAAAATTCTCAGTTTTTTTTTGCCTACTATTGGTCCTTCTACCAAGTGATTCCTTTCCTTCTTTATCCTTACAAAATTCATTGTGAATAACCTGATGTATTTAAAACAGTAATTGTGGCCATTTTGGGTTGAGATAAACATTTTTAATCAGTAGAGTAAAGCAGATTGCCCTCCATAATGTGAGTGGACCTCATTTCATCAGTTGAAGGCCTGAATAGAACAAAAAGTCTGGCCCCCAAGCAAGAGGGAATTCTCTAGCCAACTGCCTTGAGATGTAATCTGCCTCCTGAGTCCTGAATCTGCTGGCCTACACTGCAGATTTGGATTAGCCAGTCTGTATAGTTACGTGAGCCAAATCCTTATAATAAATGTCTTTGTATATGCCCACATGTTGATTCCATGTCTCTAGAGAACGCTGACAGCTACAGATTCTGGTACTAGAAGTGGTTCAAGCGGAACGGAATCTTAGGGATGCATTTTTGTAATTGGTTCTGAGGTTTCTGGAAGTGGTTCTCTAGTCTGATTAGATTAAAAACAGGAATGACTTTCCAGTAGTAAATAAAACACTTGATAGTCTATGGCATGATGAAGTAGTAGAATTACACAAAATATTACCAAAACTAAAAAGAAGCAGGATCTGGGTGACCATGCGTATGATACTTTATAACATATTTGCCAAAATAACAAGTATAATGAGATTGGTTGCCCCTAATGTTGCTGGACAAAGTGGGAAAAGAAAAGGATGAGCTCAGGGATTCAAATTCCCAGCTCAAGTATAACATAAGTGACCTGAAACTTTCTATTTCTGCCCTGAAAGAGACCCTTATCTCCTATAGCTGCAGAGCCAAGATTGTTAAAAATCAACTCCGAATCACATCCTGTAAGTGGCTGAATTAAAGTGCAGATTGAATTTTTGACTTTGCAGGTTGTCTACTTCTAAAGTGAGGGCATTGATTGGGAACGAATTGGATCCTGAAAGTTGGAATGGGGGCATATGGAAAGACCTTGATGGCACTGGGGACATTGAATTCATAAGTTCCAATGAGTCATCTTTGCCCGTAGAAGCATTTTCTCCACCCCAGTAGATATATCCTCTCCACCCCCACCTGAGGGAACTAACCTTTCATTGCTTAAGGAATCTATCATGACCTCACCTGATACAGTTGTCTCGCAAGACAATGCTGATTCTCCTCAGGACACACCCCCATTACCCCTCTTGGCTTCTAGAACTTTAACTAGACTCAAGTCCTAGCAGTCCCAAAAGGTGAGGCATGAAATGTGATCCATGAGGCATACTACACTCCAAAAGAACTACTTGAGTTTTCTTATTTAGTCAGAAATTCAGGGAATATGTGTGAGAATGGAAATTAAAGGTGTGGGATAAAGATGGAAGAAACATAAAATTGAATCAGGCTGAATATATTGATAGGGGCCGATTGAGCAAGATTTCTGCATTTAATGTTGCAACTCAGGGAGTTAGTGCTATAACTGATGGGTTGGTTGACTGAAACATGGACCAAAAGGTAGACCACAGTGAGTGAGTGAGAAATGCCAGGCCTACTTGGGTTTAATGTAGAGAAGAGAAAGCTCAGGGCTGGTTTACAGGTGGTTCTGCATGATGTGCAGGCACCACCTGAAAGTGGACACTGCAGCACTACAGCCCCTGAGACTGACCTTCCCTGAGCAAGAATGGATTCTGCCAGCAGATGCACCTCTTCCCTGGGTCTCCAGCCTGCTGGCCTACCCCATCAGATTTTGGACTCATCAAGCCCCCACAATCGTGTGAGCCAATTTCTTCAAATAAAACCTTCTCACATCCTATTGGTCCTGTTTTTCAGGAGAATTCTGACTAATGCATTTTCAAGATGCTTCACCTCTCTAAGCTTCAGTTTCTTCATCTGTAAAATGAGGATCATAGACTTCATAGGTTTTCTGTGAAAATTCAGTGATACCATGCCCAGTGCACAGGCCAAAACTTGCTAAGAACCAGGAAGTGATCACCATTGTATGGCTATCTGTTGTGCTCCACACTGTTTGCTTTGAAGAAGCCTCACAATTTTATTAGCATGTTCCACTTATTTTGGACAATTTAATAATCTAACAGGCCTCATTTTGCCACTCCCCAGCTAGTATTAACTTTCTTTTCTTCCTTCTTTCCTTCCTTCCTTCCTTCCTCTCTCTCTCTTTCTCTTTCTCTCTCTGTTTCTTTCTTTATTTCCTTCTTTCTTTCTTTTTCTTTCTCTCGTGCGTTCATTCTTTTTTCTTTTTCAGACAGGATCTTTCTCTGTAACCCAGGTGGAAGTGTAGTGGCGCAATGCAACCTCCATCTCCCAGACTCAAGCAATCCTCCCACCTCAGCCTCTCAAGTAGCTTGGACTACAGGCATGCCACCACACTGTTACGGTGTTAACTTTCTCATATTGACTCTGTCTTCATTTTCCCTCACTTATATTTCCTGCTCATTCCCACTTTGCTGAGACTCATAGTCTTCCCACCACCTTTTTTACAACTCAAATTCTACTCATTCAAATTATCTCTTCCCCTCTTCTCCATAAAGTCTGTCCCAGCACATGAGCCCAAACTGACTCTTGCCCACTCCCATCTTCCACATCACTCCTGACTCTTTTCGTACATAGTATTGTGTCTTACATTATTTCCTATTTCATTTATGGACATTCTTTTTCCACTAATATTCCAGGATAAGGTAGGCTTTGCTGTAGTAACAAGTAATGCCTGAAACCTCATTAGCTTAGTTTATGTGGTATCAGGCTACTCTCCAGAGCGGTCTTCCATGTGATGACTTGGGCATCCTGCTGTTTTCATCCTGGGATTCTGCCAGCTCAACGTGGCCACCACAGTCACTACCAAAAGGGAAGACAGGGCAGGAGGGCCGCACTGGGTGTTTTTAAGGGTCAGGCTTCGTGGTGACTTATATTCTGCTGGCCCAAACCCAGTTACATGGCCCTAACCCAATTGCAGGAGAGACTGGGAAGGAGTCTGAGTGCTCAAGAACAGGAAAAGGAAATAGGATTGGTGAGCACATAGCTTTGTCTCTGCCACACTCAATAGTTGCAAATCAAACTACTAAATACCGGTGTAAGATCCACAGTCTTCACTACTTACCTTGAGCACCATAAGTAAAATAAGTTATTGCTCTGAAAGAGCCTACCATCAGTAGCAAGGACAAAATACAACCACAAAATATGAACTATTAATAAGTCACAGTTTGATCAATAATAAGTCTCCCTCTGTGGTGTTTGATCAAAATCCCAAATGAATTGCACAGATAATAATTGCTACAGACACTTAGGAAAAAAGTAGAGCTCTTGTCATCTAATGGGATAAAAAAATGACAAGGAGGAAGTATTATGGAATGACACTGAGTCTTGGAATATTAAGATTTGGTTGGAAATGAGGTGTGGAAGGGGACACTGCAGGTTCCTTGGAGGCGAGGACATGTCTTTGTATTTATCTTGTGGTGAGCATCCAGTAGGTTCTCAATAAATATAATACTTTTATTGAATTGAATTCTTAGAGCAGTAGTTCTCAAAGTGTGATTCAGAGACCCCAAGGGCCTCAGAGACTCTCTGAGAGGGTCTGTGAGGTCATAACTATTTTCATAATAGTAGGATGTTATTTACCCTTTTTGTTCTCATTCTTAAGTGTAACAGTGAAATTTTTCAGAGACTCTGTGACATGCAGTATCAGCAAATTGAATCAGAAGCAGATGTGACAATCCAGTTGTCTTCTACCAAACCAGACATTGAAAAGATTTCCAAAAATGTAGAACAATGCCAATATTCTCACTGATCTTTTTGCAAAAATATAGCTATTTTCACAAAAATGTTGCTTATGGTAAGATCTTATGGGTTTCTTATTTTTAAGATAATAAATTTGTATTTTTAAATTTTCCCAGGTTTGATTTCTAACATAGTAAAAGTTAATAGATATAATCCACTTAAACAAAAGCTCCTTGGGATTTTAAGAGTATAAATGAGTCCTGAGACCAAAAATTTGAGAACCTCTGTCTTAGAATGTAAAACTGGAAGTGGAATCTACGAGTTTCTCCTCCTAGAACCCACCCAAAGCTAATTTTTCACATTTCCAGGATTTTGTTATATTCAGATCTTGTCTCAAATGTTCCTTGTTACCTAAAACAGTCTGCAATCATTATCACCAAGTATAATTCACTGGTACAAATGAACATGACATTGGTGAGCAAATGTACAAAACACTTTTGTGTATATCCAGTTCTATCCTCATTGAACTTTAGAATATAGCTCAGAAGTGTACAGAAATGTAATACAGATATATAGACACAAAAATGTGCTTTTTTAGGGCCTCAATAAGTGTACTTTGATAAATGTAGAAAGATTATTTAATTCTGGCTTGGTGCCGTGGCTCATGCCTATAATCCCAGCACTTCAGGAGGCTGAGGTGGGTGGATCACTTGAGCTCAGGAGTTTGAGACCAGGCGAAACCCTGTCTCCACAAAAAATGCAAAAATTGCTGGACATGGTGGCACATGCCTGTAGTCCCAGCTACTTGGAAGGCTGAGGCAGGAGGATAGCTTGAGCCCAGGAGGTCAAGGTTGCAGTGAGCCGAGATTGTGCCACTGCACTCCAGCCTGGGCAACAGAGCAAGACCCTGCCTCAAATTTAAAAAAAAAAAAAGAAAGAAAAGATTATTTAATTCAATTCTAAACTTTCTCAATCTGTGTTAATGCCTTAAGTCACTCAAAAACATTTTTGTGAGTAGTGTATCCAAAAATACGTGAAAAGGAGGTTCTGTGGTCAAATAACTTTGAGAATTCTGGATTAAATCGAGCTAAACAGACTACATTTCTGCAACCATCTTAGAGCCTTTTTGATTGTGCATTTCTAAATTTCTCTAACCATGAAAATCCTTTTTTGCAAACCATACTTGTTATTACATGGATTTAGATGACCAATCCCATGCTCTAAACCATAACCCCAAGCAACCAAAGCCTGCTAGAACATGATTTGCTTGTAAAGCAGGTACAAGATCCTAGATCCATTACTATGGAAGGTGTCCTAGATCCATTACTATGAAAGGTCTTCCTACATTTCATTCTCTAATATGACATTTGAGAAAATTCTGGCAGATTTCTGTTTAAGGCCACAGGTTGTATTGTTCCTTAAAGGAAAAGACAGGGAGTTGACAGGAGCCATATGTTTCAAAGAGCTGAACAGTAATAATTCCCTGGAAGAAGCTGGATGGAAAAGACCTCGTTTAAAGGATAATAAAGTATAAAGCACTCTGAGAAGTGTTGAAGGTAAGACCTCAACCCTACAAGCTGATAAGCAGGCCCAGACTTTTATTTATAGTGACATGAGTGACATTTATCTGCCTTTCACCAGAACATGTAATCCACTTGTCAAGTTGTGTCTTAAACGGAGACCTGATTTCTGGTCAGAGTTGGCAGGCTTCGAATACACAAACGTGACTGCCCTGGCTGAAATTCCTGATTGGAAAAACAAAACAAACAAAAAATTGACGTATAAAATCATGGGATGGGGTAACTATATCAACTCAATTTCAGTTTGCCTCACAGAAGCCTTTGCCTGAAGAGGGTCTTGGCTTTGTGATAGAAAGTATGGTCTGTCAATTAAAGGAGGAGTGGAATGAATTACCAACGGGTTCACAAACCACAATACCTCCCTACTTAGTCCCTAGGTACAATCATAATAGAATTGTAGGTTTATCTTCCTTACCCCAAAATGTTAACCCAGTCCAGTTTTAGTAACTGAAAATTGATGAATCAAGAACATCTACAAAAGCTGCCCAGCTGCTGTAGTTAAGGAACTATGGGGAGATCCAAGGTACAGGACTCTCTTAAGGAACTTGTGTTCTAGATATTAGATAAGGCATAAGCACATTTGAAATTAGCACTAAGCAATTTGAATAGCAGTTCAAGAGAAAAGAGGCCATTTACACATAAATTAAACAGCTATTAAAGAGCTATTTACACATAAATTAAACAGAACTTACTATAAGAGTACAAAAGAGGGAAAGATGAAAAGGTTGCTGTGGGTAGGGACTCAAGCAAGAATTTGCGAAGAAAGTGGGATTTGAACAGGCCTTGATGGAAGAGTGAAATAAGTAAGACCTTCTCTAAAATGATGTATCATTCTTTAACTCCAGGCCATGGTGGACCTACTCCCTCACCTCTCTCTCTCTGTCTCTTTCTCTCTGCCTCCTTCTGTATTTCTTGTCCATAGGCTTCTTTGGCCACTTAATCCATTCTGCCACCCATTGTTCCTAAGCGCAGGGCCTTGTGCCACGGATCTGCACCTCAGCTTCGTACTAAACCATAAACACCCTAGGAAAGTCTCTTCTGTTTCCTCCCCTTGGCCTTGTGTAAAGCTATGCCCAAATATAGTTCTCTTTTTTTTATAACCAGTCAACTTTATTGTGGTATAATTTGCACATATTGAAATGCATCCATTTTAAGTGTACAGTTCAATGAGGTTTGACAAATGTATACATACTCTTGGGCAACCACCACTACAATCACAATATACAACAATTTTTTCACCCCAAAAGGTCTCTTTTGCTTCTTTGTGGTAGAAACTACCTCCCTAGCCCTAGCCTCAGGTGACCGTTGATCTGCTTTTTGTCCCTATACATTAGTTTCATTAGAGTTTCATGTAAATGAAGTCATACTACTTATAGTCTTATATCTGGCTATATTAAGTATAATGTTTTTCAGATTCACCTGTGTTGTGTGAATCAGTAGTTTTTTGGTTTTGGGGTTTTGTTTTGTTTTTGTTGTGTGGTATCTCATTGTATAGATGTAACACAATTTGTTTACCCAGTTACTCACTGATGGTTATGTGGGCTGTTGGATTTTTTGGAATAAAGCTAGTACGAATATTCATGCACAAGTCTTTTTGTGGAAATACATTTTCGTTTCTTTGGAACAAATGGGAATAAAGGATGCATAATAGTGTATATTTGACTTTGTAAAAAACTACCAAACTGTTTTCCAAAGTACTCGTGCCATTTTTCCTAAATATCTGCTTGGTGATTATAGGAGTGGCCTCCATGAGCATTATTGCCATTGTCAAAAACTGTGGAAGCCGCTGGGCACGGTGGCTCACACCTGTAATCCTAGCCCTTTGGGAGGTCGAGGCAGGCGCATCACGAGGTCAGGAGATCAAGACCATCCTGGCTAACACAGTGAAACCCCGTCTCTACTAAAAATACAAAAAATTAGCCGGGCACGGTGGCAGGCGCCCGTAGTCCCAGCTACTTGGGAGGCTGAGGCAGGAGAATGGCGTGAACCCAGTTTGTCCGGAATGGGTGGGTTCTTGGTCTCACTGACTTCAAGACTGAAGCCGCGGACCCTCACGGTGAGTGTTACAGCTCTTAAGGTGGCGCATCTGGAGTTTGTTCCTTCTGATGTTCGGATGTGTTCGGAGTTTCTTCCTTCTGGTGGGCTCGTGGTCTCGCTGGCTTCAGGAGTGAAGCTGCAGACCTTGGCGGTGAGTGTTACAGCTCATAAAAGCACGGTGGACCCAAAGAGTGAGCAGTAGCAAGATTTATTGCAAAGAGCAAAAGAACAACGCTTCCACACTGTGGAAGGGAACCCGAGTGGGTTGCCACTGCTGGCTCGCAGCCTGCTTTTATTCTCTTATCTGGCCCCACCCACGTCCTGCTGATTGGTAGAGCCCAGTGGTCTGTTTTGACAGGGCGCTGATTGGTGCGTTTACAATCCCTGAGATAGACATAAAGGTTCTCCACATCCCCATCAGATCAGTTAGATACAGAGTATAGACACAAAGGTTCTCCAAGGCCCCACCAGAGCAGCTAGATACAGAGTGTCGATTGGTGCATTCACAAACCCTGAGCTAGACACAGGGTGCTGATTGGTGTGTTTACAAACCTTGGGCTAGATACAGAGTGCCGATCGGTGTATTTACAATCCCTGAGCTAGACATAAAAGTTCTCCACCTCCCGCCAGACTCAGGAGCCCAGCTGGCTTCACCCAGTGGATCCCGCACCGGGGCTGCAGGTGGAGCTGCCTGCTAGTCCCCCAGTCCCCCGCCGTGTGCTCGCACTCCTCAGCCCTTGGGTGGTAGATGGGACTGGGTGCCCTGGAGCAGGGGGTGGCACTCGTCGGGGAGGCTCAGGCCGCACAGGAGCCCATGGAGCGGGTGGGAGGCTCAGGCATGGCGGGCTGCAGGTCCCGAGCCCTGCCCCGCGGGAAGGCAGCTAAGGCCCCATGAGAAATAGAGCGCAGCGCCGGTGGGCTGGCACTGCTGGGGGACCCAGTACACCCTCCGCAGCTGCTGGCCCGGGTGCTAAGTCCCTCATTGCCCGGGGCCAGCAGGGCCGGCCGGCTGCTCCGAGTGCGGGGCCCGCCAAGCCCACGCTCACCGGGAACTCCAGATGGCCCGCAAGCGCGCGCAGCCCCGGTTCCCGCTCGCGCCTCTCCCTCCACACCTCCCTGCAAGCTGAGGGAGTGGGCTCCGGCCTTGGCCAGCCCAGAAAGGGGCTCCCACAGTGCAGCGGTGGGCTGAAGGGCTCCTCAAGTGCCGCCAAAGTGGGAGCCCAGGCAGAGGAGGCGCCGAGAGCGAGCCAGGGCTGTGAGGACTGCCAGCACGCTGTCACCCCTCACCAGGAGGCGGAGCTTGCAGTGAGCCGAGATTGCGCCACTGCACTCCAGCCTGGGCGACAGAGCAAGACTCTGTCTCAAAAAAAAAAAAAAAAAGGAGGGATAGCATTAGGAGATATACCTAATGCTAAATGACTAGGTAATGAGTGCAGCACACCAACATGGCACATGTACACATATGTAACAAACCTGCACGTTGAGCACATGTACCCTAAAACTTAAAGTATAATAATAATAAAATTTTTAAAAAAATGTGGAAGCCTCTCTGGTTATCTGTAGGGTGGAATTCACACTCCCGAGTCTAGCATCCTTGGCTCTCCACTGTCTGCCCTTATTTCACTTTCCAGACTTGGCCTTCCACTGACCTGGTAAATGCTTGCTTCACTTGCTCACTCACCATTGAACCACTTGCTTATCCACAACTGAGCCATACATGACAGTGCTTCCAGGGCTGCAAATGGACTTAGGCTGGCCCGGTGCTGCTTTTTGCCTGGCTTTCCATGTGGCCAATGACACACAATGACCAACCAAAAGGTCAGGGTTAGGATCAACAGGATCTAGGTTAGGCATCAGCATGGATGTGTGACTCACTACCTTCTTAAGACAAATTTCACAGACATTATCCATCTTGAAATTTTATTTGTCTCTAAGGAGAGCCATACCAAACATGTTTCTAGGATTTTAGAAATCCCCCTTTTCTTTTTATTTATTTTTATTTTACTTTTTTTTTTTTTGAGACGGAGTCTCGCTCTCTCGCCCAGGCTGGCGTACAGTGTTGTGATCTCAGCTCACTGCAGCCTCCCAGGTTCAGGTGATTCTTCTGCCTCAGCCTCCCAAGTAGCTGGGATTACAGGTGTGCGCTACTACGCCCAGCTAATTTTTGTGTTTTTAGTAGAGATAGGGTTTCACCATGTTGGCCAGGCTGGTCTTGAACTCCTGACCTCAGGTGATCCACCCGCCTTGGCCTCCCAAAGTGCTAGGATTATAGATGTGAGCCACCTCGCCCAGGCAGAAATCTTGTTTTTTGAAAGGAGGGGAGTACAGAGGGCATTCTCTCTTCAAAGATTCATTCAACAAACATTTGGTGAGCATCTACTATAAGCAAAGCTTTGTAGGAGATACAAATGTACTGTCTCTGCAGGATGGCTGAGAGTCACTGCCTTTGAAAAGGGAGGAAACCAGCAGAGGCTCTTAGAGAGCCTGAAGAAACTCAGTGGACTGATGTGATTTTAACTGAAGCACAAACTGGAAAATTGGAATGTATGGTTCATGACAATTACAAAGAGAAAGAAAAAGAAAAATGCAACCCATCCCGTCTCATTATTCATTCATTGCTTAAGCAAACAACTTAAATCATCTATTTGGGTGATGCTGAATTTGAATGAAGTCTGTGCCTGTTAGTAGTATCATCATGGGCAAGATTTGGTTCCATAATGTCTCCTGGGCTCAGCTGTGGTTTCTTCAAGGTAATGCTAGTCATGAAGATTAAAACCAGATAGGAGGGGGGTGAGGGGAGAAGAATTATGCATTTTTTAAATCACCGACGGCCAATTTTGCTTAGTAAGACAATGATATCAATTTGAAGGAGAAAATACATTAGGAATTTAGTATACAACGTGTTTAAGCACCATTTCTCATTTCTTCTATTTTTTAAAAACCTGATTTGCACTGTTCTGTGAATCCCCATACTCTTTTCTGAAATGAGTCTTCCACCTGGACTAGTGTGTTTCTTTGTCCTAACACATGTTACTTAAATAGAATCAGTCAATAAACTTGAATAATAACTAAAACAGGGAATGGGACACTTGTATTATGCAAAAATGAGTCATTATCTGGCTATGGTTGACAATGTGGGAGCTGCTTATAGTGTAGAATTTAGTCCAGCACAATAGAAGAATGCCTTAAATTAATGAGTGCTCTCAGAAATGTAACAAAGGTTCCAGTGAATGGCAGGAACACGTTTCTATCTGTTTATCATGGAATCACTTGCTTAAAGAGAACCAGCTTAGAAATCACTACCTTTTACAGAGAGCACGTTAGCCTATGGTTAGAAAAAAAAAAGGGGATATTATGACACCCAAAGATGAGGAATATTTTTATGTGGCTGATCCTACCACAAAAGGTAAAACAAATGACCTAAAACTCCAAAGAAAATGCATTTTCCTTCTGTCTAGTACAAAGACAACCCTCAAAGTGTGAGCCTGACTTTTAACATCCAATTCAGAGTCAATATTGTTTCTGACATCTCATTCATTTCTACCTAACTGCACTGCCAGGCTAGGAACACTCCTTTCCTAAAAGATGCTGCACTTGACGGAGGAGGCAGCCCTGCTGCAGAAGACCGAGAGCCTGGAGCTCTTGCTAGTGACCCATGTCACATGGCCTGCCTTCTAAGCCTGCTGCTGTATGTCCTTGAACGAGCCTCTCATCTTCTTTAGATCCCACTACCCTCACCCAGAAAATGAGGAGCTAAACCGAGTCACCTCTAAGGAGCCTTCCAGCTCTCATGAGTCAGGATGAGATGCTCTCTCCCTTGTCTCAATGCCTGTGACATTGGTGATCTGCATTTAACGCACTGATAACTGTTATTTATCAATGGTCTGATTGCCACTGGTTTTCAGCTATGTAGGCTCCGCCTCCCTTCCTGGAGTTACTCCATTCATTTAATTACCTTCAACAACTCCTGACTAAGCAGCTGATGTGCATCAGATGTGTTTGTAGGTGCTGGGTGGACAGCACAAAGTGCCTGCTCATATAGATTTTACAGTCTTCTTGGGGTGGCAGGTTGGGGGAGAGAGAGACAGCAAACAGGTGGAAAAGACAATATATCATGCTGTGACGGGTTGTGATAGGTGCTACGAACTAAAATAAAACAGGGCAAAGGGACGGGGAGTGACCATAACTGGGGAGTCGAGTGCAGTTGTGCAATCACAGCTCACAGTAGCCTCAACCTCCTGGGCTCAGGCCATCCTGTAGTCCCAGCTACCGAGTAGCTGGGACTACAGGCTTGTACCACCACGCTCGACTACATTTAAAAAAATTTTTTTTTGTAGAGATGAGGTCTTGTTTTGTTGCCCAGGCCGGTCTCGAACTCCTGGGCTCAAGCAATCTTCCTGCCTTAGCCTCCCAAAGTGCTGGGATTTCAGGTATAAGTCACTGTACCTGGCCCATTTTTCTATTTTTATTTATTTATTTATTTAGAGATGGAGTCTCATGCTGTCACCCAGGCTAGAGTGCAGTGGCACAATCTCAGCTCACTGCCACCTCCACATCCCAGGGTCAAGTGATTCTCCTGCCTCAGCCTCCTGAGTAGCTGGGACTACAGGTTCCCACTACCCTGCCTGGCGAATTTTTGTATTTTTAGTAGAGATGGGGTTTCAACATGTTGGCCAAGCTGGTCTCAAACTCCTGACCTCAAGTGATTCACCTGCTTCAGCCTCCCAAACTGCTGGGATTACAGGCATGACCCACCACACCCAGCCCCATTTTTCTATTTTTTAAATTGGAGTGTAACTGACCTACCATATGATGCACAGTTAAGTGTTCAGTTGACAAGCTGTGACAATTTTACAGACCTGTGGTGGTTTTAAAACATGTCTGAAAATTCTATGACACTGTTCCCATCTTTCCCACTATTCCGATCCCGTTCCTTGATTTTATTTTATTTTTATTTTTTTGAGATGGGGTCTTGCTCTGTCACCCAGGCTGGAGTGCAGTGGCACAATCTTGGCTCACTGCAACCTCTGTCTCCCAGGTTCAAGCAATTCCCCTGCCTCAGTCTCCCGAGTAGCTGGGATTACAGGCGCACACCACCACGCCTGGCTAATTTTTTTGTATTTTTAGTAGAGATTGTGTTTCACCATATTGGTCGGGCTGGTCTTTAACTCCTGACCTCAGGTGATCTCCCCGCCTTGGCTTCCCATAGTGCTGGGATTATGGCATCAGCCACCATACCTGGCCCCATCCCTTGATTTTAGACTGGTCTTGGCAACTTTTGACAATGCATACAATGTACGTGATATGATTTCTGAGACTAGGTTAGACAAGCAAGACAGCTTCCACCTGGCACATGCTTGCCTGTGCTTCCTCTCTCTCTCTCTCTCTCTCTCTCTCTCTCCATCCACCCACCCCCCCACCCCCCCCGCCCACACCACCACCAACCTCATGCTTATCCTCAGAACCCACCCAACTGCACTGTGAGGAAGCCAAGTGGCCCTGGACAGGCCATGTGTAAGTAGGTGTTCTGGCCACAGCTGAGGTCAGCCGACAGCCAACACCAACTACCAAATATGGGAATAAATGAGCCTTTGGATAATCGCAGCTCGTAGCCTTCAAGTTTTCTAGCTGAGGCCCCAGACATCACAGAACACTCTGTCCCCACTGTGCCCTGTCCAAGTTCCTATACTGCAGAAATCCCGAGAGGTAGAAAATAATGGTTTTCTTCAACTAAATTTGGGAGCAATTTGTTACGCAGCAATAGACAACAGAAAAAAATCCGTGTAATTGCCACCCAAAATAAAATGTAGAACATTTTCATTACCCCAGAAAGTTCCCTCAGGTCCCTTCCAGGCAATTTCTCCTCCACCCAGAGACACCGCATTCTTCTCCTACTGGCATTAATTAGTTTTGCTTATTCTAGAGAGGAAAGGCCCTTTGGATGAAATGCTCTTTGATTAGACGCCTGTGGGAAGTAAGGAAGTGATTATGCGTGCCAAGGTCCATGGGATTCAGGCAGAGGAAACAGCCACTGCCAGGGCCTCCAGACAGGAATGTGAATGGTGAAGTTGGGAAACAGTGGAGACTAACGTGGACTGCATGGAGGAAGCAGGAGAGAGGGGCCAGGAGAAGGGGCAAGGGTCAGATTAAGTTGTCTAATTAGCCAGGAGAGGAGAAGCTGTTGATGAGCTCTAAGATTTATGTTTTATTTTTGTAGGTTTTTTTCTTTTCTTGAGATCAGGGTCTTGCTCTGTCGCCCAGGGTGCAGTGGAGTAGTGTGATCAGAGTTCACTGCAGTCTCAAACTCCTGGGCTCAAGTGATCCTCCTGCCTCAGTCTCCAGAGTAGCTGGCATAATAGGTGTACACCACAATGCCTGACTAATTAAAAAAAAAACTGTAGAAATGTGGTCTCACTATGTTGCCTAGGCTGGTCTCAAACTTCCAAGCTCAAACGGTCATCCCGCCTTGGCCTCCCCAAGTGCTGGGATTAGATTACAGGCATGAGCCACCACACCTGGCCAGGGATTTATGATTTTAAAAGGAAGTGTCTAGAAGTTATGTGGGGTAATGGTAGAAGCAGAGAGACCTGTGTGGTGGACTAATGATGACCACAAATTCTTTGCCTCTTTCCATTGAAAGCTGGATACTATTTCTCACTACTTAACTTTGGACAGATTCTGTGACTGCTTTGACTAAAGGAATGTGCAGAAGTGGTTCCCTAGTCTGTGATTTAAGAAATATGCAGTTTCTCTTTCAGTGCCTGGAATGTTCCCACTTAGAACCTAGCCACCATGCTATGAGGAAGCCCAAGCAGTTATGTGGAAAGGTGACACCCAGGTGGAGAAGAATCAAGGTCCCTGGCCAACAGCTATAGCTGAGCTTCCACTGGATAGTCATCCTCAAATCCCAGCCCTGAGAGTGAGGCCATACTCATCCTTCCAGCCATCCTAGTGCACCAAATGACATCACATCAAGCTGTGTAACTACCTGATCAACCCACAGAATCATGGGAAATAATAAATGAAGTGTTGTTGCTTTGAGCCACTAAATTTCAAGTTGTTACACAGAAATAGCGAACTGAAACAACCTGTGAGGAGATTGTTAGTCTGGGTGGGAGATAATGGTGGCTTGGACTAGGTTAGTAGGGGTGGAGGCAGTGAGGAAAAAGATGACAGGATTTGTAACTGTGGAATATGAAAAAAAGAAAAAGGGATGAAACCAACAATTTAGGCCTTGATACTTGGAGGAATGAAGTTGTCATTTACTAAGACGTGAAGAATGACAGAGGCACAGGCTTGGGGGAGAAATCAGGGATTCAAAATGGGACTTGTTAAATCTGATATTTAAATTAAACTTCCAAGTGGAGATGCTGAGTAGGCAGGTGGATCTGTGAATCTGAAATCCATGGGAGGAATCTGGGCTGGACACTTAAATTTGGAAGTCAGTAGCATATAGGTGGATTTAAAGCTACAAATATGGATGCAATTACTTTGGTTTCACGTTAAAAAGGAAGAGAAGAGTTCTGGAGACTGAGCCCCAAGGTACTCCAGTATTGTGAACTCTAAAGGATAAGGAGAGGCGGGGAGCGGTGGCTCACGCCTGTCATCCCAGCACTTTGGGAGGCTGAGGTGGGTGGATCACGAGGTCAAGAGATCCAGACCATCCTGGCTAACATGGTGAAACCCCATCTCTACTAAAAATACAAAAATTAGCTGCACGTGGTGGCGTGCCTGTAGTCCCAGCTACTTGGGAGGCTGAGGCAGGAGAATCACTTGAACCTGGGAGGCGGAGGTTGCAGTGAGCCGAGATCGCACCACTGCACTCCAGCCTAGAGACTCCGTCTCAGAAAAATAATGATTATTGTTATGTTTATTATTATTACAGATGAGAAAATGGAAACACAGCAGGGTCGAGTATCATACCCAAGGTCACTCAGCTGATAAATGTCAGAGCTAGTGTGGAAACCAGAAGGACTTAATTTTTATGCTCATATGCTTTCATTCTTTTGTGATCAGTTTTCCTTCCTAGATTTTAAAAAGATCTTTTTCTTGATAGTGTAAACTTTCATTGTTAGGTACCTAGGTATAGATGTTATTTTAAATTCAGATTCATTTTGATCAGTACGTGGCTCACTCTTTGAGTCTAGAGTCTTAGGTCGGGAGTTCGAGACTAGCCTGACCAACATGGAGAAACCCCGTCTCTACTAAAAATACAAAATGAGCCGGTCATGGTGGCCCATGCCTATAATCCCAGCTGCTCGGGAGGCTGAGGCAGGAGAATTGCTTGAACCTGGGAGGCAGAGGTTACAGTGAGCCGAGATCGTGCCATTGCACTCTAGCCTGGGCAAGAAGACAGAAACTCTATCTCAAAAAAAAAAAAAATGGATAAGGAGAAATCTCAGAGGAGACGAAGAAGGATAGCCTGTGAGATGGGAGGGAAATCAAGAGCGTGTCCTGGAGGCCAAGAGAAGAACATGTTTCAAGAAGAGGGTAGGCTGGGTGTGGTAGCTCATGTCTGTAATCCCAGGACTTTTGGAGGTCGAGGCAGGAGGATCACCTGAGGTCACGAGTTCAAGACCAGCCTGGGCAATATAGGGAGACCCAGTTTCTATTAAAAAAAATTAAAAATAGGCCGGGCATGGTGGCTCACACCTGTAATCCCAGCACTTTGGGAGGCCAAGGCAGGCAGATCACCTGAGGTCAGGAGTTCAAGACCAGCCTGGCCAACATGGTGAAACCCTGTCTCTACTGAAAATACAAAAAAAAAAAAAAAAAAAAAAAAAAAAAAATTAGCTGGGCGCTGTGGCACGTGCCTGTAATCCCAGCTACTTGGGAGGCTGAGGCAGGAGAATCGCTTGAAATCAGGAAACAGGTTGTGGTGAGCTGAGATTGTTCCACTGCTCTCCAGCTCAGGGGCAACAGAACAAGACTCCATCTCAAAAAATAAATACATAAATAAATAAAAATTAAAAAATAAAAATTAGCCAGGCTTCACAAAACAGGGATGCCCTCTCTCACCACTCCTATTCAACATAATATTGGAAGTTCTGGCCAGGGCAATTAGGCAGGGGAAATAAATAAAGGGTATTCAATTAGGAAAAAAGGAAGTCAAATTGTCCCTGTTTGCAGATGACATGATTGTATATTTAGAAAACCCCATCGTCTTAGCCCCAAATCTCCTTAAGCTGATAAGCAACTTCAGCACAGTCTCAGGATACAAAATCAATGTGCAAAAATCACAAGCATTCCTATACACCAATAACAGACAAACAGAGGGCCAAATCATGAGTGAATGCCCACTAACAATTGCTTCAAAGAGAAATACCTAGGAATCCAAATTACAAGGGATGTGAAGGACCTCTTCAAGGAGAACTACAAACCACTGCTCGACGAAATAAAACAGGACACAAACAAATGGAAGAACATTCCATGCTCATGGATAGGAAGAATCAATATCATGAAAATGGCTATACTGCCCAAGGTAATTTATAGATTCAATGCCATCCCCATCAAGCTACCAATGACTTTCTTCACAGAATTGGAAAAAACTACTTTAAAGTTCATATGGAACCAAAAAAGGGCTCGCATTGCCAAGACAATCCTAAGCCAAAAGAACAAAGCTGGAGGCATCATACTGCCTGACTTCGAACTATACTACAAGGCTACAGTAACCAAAACAGCATGGGACTGGTACCAAAACAGAGATATAGACCAATGGAACAGAACAGAGCCCTCAGAAATAATACCACACATCTACAACCATCTGATCTTTGACAAACCTGAGAAAAAGAACAAATGGAGAAAGGATTCCCTATTTAATGGTGATGGGAAAACTGGCTAGCCATATGTAGAAAGCTGAAACTGGATCCCTTCCTTACACCTTATACAAAAATTAATTCAAGATGGATTAAAGACTTAAATATTAGACCAAAAACCATAAAAACCCTAGAAGAAAACCTAGGCAATACCATTCAGGACATTGGCATGGGCAAGGACTTCATGTCTAAAACACCAAAAGTAAAGGCAACAAAAGCCAAAATTGACAAACGGGATCTAATTAAACTAAAGAGCTTCTGCACAGCAAAAGAAACTACCATCAGAGTGAACAGGCAACCTACAGAATGGGAGAAAATTTTTGCAATCTACCCATCTGACAAAGGGCTAATATGCAGAATCTCCAAAGAACTTAAACAAATTTACAGGAAAAAATCAAACAACCCTATCAAAAAGTGAGTGAAGGATATGAACAGACACTTCTCAAAAGAAGACATTTATGCAGCCAACAGACACATGAAAAAATGCTCATCATCACTGGCCATAAGAGAAATGCAAATCAAAACCACAATGAGATACCATCTCACACCAGTTAGAATGGCGATCATTAAAAAGTCAGGAAACAACAGGTGCTGGAGAGGATGTGGAGAAATAGGAACACTTTTACACTGCTGTTGGGACTGTAAACCAGTTCAACCATTGTGGAAGTGAGTGTGGCGATTCCTCAGGGATGTAGAACTAGAAATACCATTTGACCCAGCCATCCCATTACTGGGTATATACCCAAAGGATTATAAATCATGCTGCTATAAAGTCACATGCACACGTATGTTTATTGTGGCACTATTCACAATAGCAAAGACTTGGAACCAACCCAAATGTCCATCAGTGACAGACTGGATTAAGAAAATGTGGCACATATACACCATGGAATAGTACGCAGCCATAAAAAAGGATGAGTTCATGTCCTTTGTAGGGACATGGATGAAGCTGGAAACCATCATTCTCAGCAAACTATCGCAAGGACAGAAAACCAAACACCACATGTTCTCACTCATAGGTGGGAATTGAACAACGAGAACACTTGGACACAGGAAGGGGAACATCACACACCGGGGCCTGTTGTGGGGTGGGGGGAGGGGGGAGGGATAGCATTAGGATATATATACAATGTAAATGATGAGTTAATGGGTGCAGCACACCAACATGGCACATGTATACATATGTAACAAACTTGCATGTTGTGCACATGTACCCTAGAACTTAAAGTATAATTTAAAAAAAAATTAGCCAGGCTTGGTGGTGTGTACCTGTAATCCCAGCTACTCAGGGAGGCTGAGGTGGGAGGATCGCTTGAGCCCAGGAGTTCAAGGCTGCAGTGAGCTTTGATTGCACCACTGCACTCCAGCCTGGGCAACAGAATAAAACTCCATCTCAAAAAAAAAAAAAAAAAAAAGGAGGAATGGTCAGGTCAACATGGTATGTTAATATGGAAATACTCTAGCAATTTTTGAAAACCAAGGTAGATCTATAGATAGTAATTTTGTAATTTGTAGCACCTTTGTAACAAACCATGAAACTTTAAATTCCTAAATGTAAGCATATGTTTGTAAATGCACACCAAAACCTCTCTAAGGATACTTAGCTATTTATCATTTCAATATTGTAGAACAAGAATCTACTCATCTAACATGTGAGCATTTAAAACAAAATTTTGGTAGAGAAACTAGAAGAAAATGAAGCCAAATATTTATAGCGCCTGCTTGGAAAGGTAAGACTTTTGTGTTCATTTTCCCCTGTGTTTTTATTTTTCCACTGAGTACATTTTCAGAATGATTATCTATATGGGAGAAAAGACAGTGGTGAAATAACAATGGGTCAAGAAACAAGACCACCAAAAAAAAAAAAAAAAGATGTGCCCATTAAAGGAGATGAAATTGCGCAGTGAGAGTTCCTGAGCATGTTTTAGACTCTTCTCCTCATTAAGTATAAATCTTTCCCAGAGAGTTTGTATATGGCAGCAGGAGTGCAAAAGGATCTAGGGGGCCTCTGAAATCATTGTTCTTTGTGGACCCAGAATTGGAACAGTAGCCTAACATGGCCAGGTGGTAGGAACATCTCTATGGGACCAGTTGTCTTGATCCAGAGAGAAAACAGGTTCCACAGACAACAAACTGTGTAGTTAGGACCAGCCTTGCTTCAGTGCAAAGCTGTTGGCCACAGGGAGGACTGATCAACACCATCTCATTGTGGGTGGATGGAGTTGCACCTCCGCCCACGGCCAGGCTGCTAAGGTTTCCCTTCCTTCTCCCTCTGCTTCTACTCCTGCCTGTCTGCTCAGCAGGCAGGGTTGCTATGCAAGCCAGCGAACTGCCTGCCCCTGCACAGGGATGACATGCTCTGTCCCTCTCTGTTCCCTTCTTGTAATGCTGATCTTCTGAGATCAGGAGAAGTAAAGCCATGTCCTCCCTTGAGTGAGGGCTGCCCACTTTTTCACTAGCACTAGTTTGAGGTCCAGGCCTCCACATTCCCATCT
This sequence comes from Homo sapiens, assembly GCF_000001405.40. NCBI lineage: Eukaryota > Metazoa > Chordata > Mammalia > Primates > Hominidae > Homo > Homo sapiens. The sequence continues at coordinate 21,280,667 of NC_000020.11, read as the reverse complement.
CTAGTTTCCTCATCCTCTGGATTCTAATGGTCCTGGTTACACATTAGTTGACCAATGGCCTTGGACTCTGGTATCACTCAAAGGTGAGAGTGCAAGACTATGGGTGTGTCTGGACAGTGTAAACAGAAAGTGAGATCTGAGCATTAACACCCATTTGTTAAGACCTGGTTTCCAATCTAAGCCAAAGATCTTGGATGGGACCAAAAGAAAGAAATCCTGAATTAAAACAGAGCTTACACTCAAGGCTAGAAAGATTCAAGGTGGAAGGAGCACAAACAGTGCCCTGGGGGAAGGCAAAGAAATTGCTTTGCCGTCTGAATAAAATAGTTTGCGCATTGATTTTATCTGGGAGTGAGGAGATACTGACGGTGACCTCTGAGCACAAGAGGGTTAGTGGTGTCCCACATCAGGAAAAAAGAAAACCTGTGCTTTGAAAAACTTGTTTATTTTGAAATAATTTCAGTCTCTCAGAAAAATTGCAAGAATGGTGCACAGAATGCCCATACACTCTTTATTCAGTTTGATGACGTGTTAACACTTTGCCACATTTGTTTTGTCATTCTCTCTCTCACACACACACACACATACACATATTTTCTGAACCATTTGAGTAAAGTTAGTGCTATAGTTCAGATGTTTTTCCTCCAAACTTCATGTTAAAATTTGATCCCCAGGGTTGGAGGTGGGACTAAACAGGAGGGGTTTGGGTCATGCACGAGGGAGAATCCCTCATGAATAGATTAACGTCCTGGGAGCAGGGTGAGTGAGTCCTCACTGTTAGTTTCCACAAGCACTGATTGCTAAAAAGAGCTGGTCTCTGCCCTTCTCACTCTCTCTTGCTTCCTCTCCCGCCAGGTGATCTCTACACAGCCAGCTCCCCTTTGCCTTCTGCCATGAGTGGAAGAAGCTTGAGATTCTCCCAGAAGCTCAGCAGATGCTGATGCCATGCTTCTTCTACAGCCAGCAGAACAGAGTCAAATAAACCTTTTTTCTTTATAAATGACCCAGCCTTGGTCAGGTGCAGTAGCTCACACCTGTAATCCTAGCACTTTGGTAGGCTGACGTGGGTGATTGCTTGAGCTCAGGAGTTTGAGACCAGCCTGGGCAACATGGTAAGACTCTGTCGCTACTATAAATACAAAAAAAAAAAAAAATCAGCCCGGTGTGGTGGCACACACCTGTAGTCCCAGCTACTCAGGAGACTGAGGTGGGAGGATCACTTGAGCCCAGGAGGCAGAGGTTGCAGTGAGCCAAAATTGCACCATCCTGGGTGACAGAGTGAGACCCCATCTCAAAAAAAATTACCTGGCCTCAAATATTCCTTTATAGCAACTCTAAACAGACTAAGACAGATGGATCATGTTCCCCATTATCCCTGAGTATCTGACAGCATTTTCTAAGAACAAACAAATTCACTTACAAAACCTCTGCTCAGTTATCAAAATCAGGAAAACTACTGATACATTGTTATTACTAAACAGTCCATGTTCAATTTTTGTCCTTTGTCCCCTAATAATGTCCTTTACAGCAATGTTTCCAGTCTGGGACCTCAGGGTCACACATTTACACTGAGCTGTTGGGACTCTTTACCCTCCCTCCATCTGGGACTGTTCCTTCTTCCTTATTTGCATTTCTTGACCTTAATGTTTTTTAAAAGTGCAGAACAGTTCTTTTGTAGGCTGTTCCTCAATGTCAGCTTGTCTGATATTTCCTCATGATTCATTTTAGATCATGCATTTTGGGGAGGAACAGCACAGGAGTACACTGATCTCTATACAGTGCGTTGAAGATCGATATGTCCCATTGCTGGTGGCACCAACATTGATCTCTTGGGTAAGGTGGTGACCACCAGGTTTCTCCACTGGAAGGTATTATTTTTCTGTTCGTAATTAATAAGTAATCTGAGAGTGAATATTTTGAGAATATGTAAATGCCCTGTTCTTAATCATATGTTCATGCACTACTTTTAACATCCATTGATGATTCCTGTGTGACTCAATATCATGATGGCTGCAAAATGGTGATGTTTCTTTTCTCATTCTTTCTTCTTTCTTTCTTTCTCTCTCTTCCTTCCTTCCTCCCTCCCTCTCTCTCTCTTTCTTTCTTTCTTTCTTTCTTTCTTTCTTTCTTTCTTTCTTTCTTTCTCTCTCTCTTTCTTTCTTTCCTTTTCTTTCTCTTCCTTTCTTTCCTTTTCTTTGTCTTTCTTTTTTTTTTTTTGAGACAGAGTCTCGCTCTGTCACCCAGGCTGGAGTGCAGTGGCAAGATCTCAGCTCACTGCAACCTCCGCCTCCCAGGTTCAAGCGAGTCTCCTGCCTCAGTCTCCCAAGTAGCTGGGATTACAGGTGTGCACCACCACACCTGGCTAATTTTTGTATTTTTCAGTAGAGACGGGATTTTGCTATGTTGGCCAGACTGATCTCGAACTCCTGGCCTGAAGTGATCTGCCTGACTTGGCCTTCCAAAGTGCTGGGATTATAGGCATGAGCCACTAAACCCAGCCCCAAATGGTGATGTTTCTAACTTCATCATTCCATCTACATTTATTACTTAAATAGGAGAGAAAGGAAAGCTTTGTTTTGTTTTGTTTTGTTTTGTTTTTCTGAGACGGAATCTTGCTCTGTCGCCCAGGCTGGACTGCAGTGGTCCTATCTTGGCTCACCACAACCTCAGCCTCCCGAGTTCAAGTGATTATCCTGCCTTAACCTCCCATGTAGCTGGGATTACAGGTGTGTGCCACCACGCCTGGCTAATTTTTGTATTTTTAGTAGAGACGGGGCTTCACCATATTGGCCAGGCTGGTCTCGAACTCCTGACCTCAAGTGATCCACCTGCCTTGGCTTCCCAAAGTGCTGGAATTACAGGTTTGAGGCACTGCACCTGGCCAGAAGGGAAAGCTCTTCATAGGAGAATGCCAACTAATAATGTATAACTGCTATATACAAATACACACAAATATACATATATTCATAATATACTAAAATAACACACATGTATACCTATTCATAATATACAGATTTATAATATATTAAAATATGAATTTAGTATACCATAATATACTAAAATACATTATGTTATGTAGTATAATACTATACACACATATATAAAATACTGAAAATGTATATTTATATTTACCATTTATATATAGATTACATTATACTATGTAGTATAATGCAGTATGTTAATGTATACTACTATGCACACATAAATAATATACACAATATACTAGTAATGTATATGTATGTATACTTTATATATATTTGTTATTAGTTGCCATATACACACACACACACACACACACACACACACACACACAAAGAGTGTATGTGTGTATAATCAGGGACAGATGGATTCTTCTTTTATTTATGGGTTGTAATCCTTTGCTGTCATTGTTTATTTTGATTTTTTTTTAATTTTTTTTTTTTTTAATAGAGACAGGGTCTTGCTCTGCCATCCAGGCTGGAGTGCAGTGGCACAGTCATAGCTCACTGCAGCCTCCAACTCCTGGGCTCAAAAGATCTTCCCACGTCAGCCTCCTGAGTAGCTGGGACTATAGGCATGCACCACCATGCCCAGCTAATTAAAAAAATTTTTCTTTTGTAGAGATGGGGTCTATGTAGCCCAGGCTGTCTCAAAGTCCTGGCCTTAAGGGATCCTCCCACCTCAGCCTCTCAAAGTACTGGGATTATAGGCATGACCCACTGAGCCCGGCCTTATTTTGGCTTATGTTAATGTTCATATTGTCTCAAATGTGGTAAGTGGAAGCCCCTTCAGATTAGCTCCTGCATCCTTTCAATGTTTCCAACCTTTTTAGAATTTGCCCTTTTCTTATGGCACCATAAGATGTTCCAGGCTCATCTTGAACTTTCCCTGTGCCAGCTCTGGAATCAGCCATTTCTCCAAGTTGCCCTAGAAGTCTACATGTTCAGAAATGAACTTAGTCCCTGTCTAAAGCTCTCAAAAGTGTGCTGGCTGCTCTGGTGGGATATCCACTAAGCTCCCCAAATTACATTTTATCTCATTTAATTTTATCTTAATTATTTGTAATATGACACATTGTAAAATGATTGTTTTTTAAAAGAGAAACTTTTTTCTTTTTCTTTTTTTCTTTTTTTTTTTTTTTTTTGAGGTAGAGTCTCGCTCTGTCACCCAGGCTAGAGTGCAATAGCTCAATCTTGGCTCACTGCAACCTGAGTCTCCTGTGTTCAAGCGATTCTCCTGCCTCAGCCTCAAGAGTAGCTGGGATTACAGGCATCTACCACCATGTCCAGCTAATTTTTTGTTTTTTGTACTTTTAGTAGAGAAGGTATTTCACCATATTGGTCAGGCTGGTCACGAACTCCCGACCTCAGGTGGTCCACCTGCCTCGGCCTCCCAAAGTGCTAGGATTACAGGTGTGAGCCACCATGCCTGGCCTAGAAGGTAAACTTTTGATTTACTCTATATGTTTAAACATCTTGTGAAAGTTAGAATAAAATTTAGTTTCCTACTTTTTGTTTTTGTGCAAAATTAGGAATTGCAGCCATGTTATGGGGTGACTAAGCTTTTGTGAACTGATCTAAACATTCCATTAGCCATCACGTAGAACCCTGATTGCGTGAGATGAGTTCTGAGCATGAAACAACCAATTTATAAATGGACTTTGGGAGATGGGATATTTATAAGATGGGTTCACAGGTAGTTAAACTAGACAGTGAAGTTTAAATTCTCCTTCATTCCTAAAATTCTTTTTTTTTTTTTTTTTGGAAACATAGTCTTGCTCTGTTTTGCAGTGGTGTGATATTGGCTCACTGCAGCCTCTGCCTCCCAGGTTCAAGTGATTCTCCTGCCTCACCTTCCCAAGCAGCTGGGATTACAGGCATGCGCCACCACTCTCGGCTAGTTTTTGTATTTTTAGTAGAGATGGGTTTTCACCATGTTGGCCAGGCTGGTCCTGACCTCAAGTGATCTGCCTGCTTTGGCTTCTCAAACTGCTGGGATTATAGGTGCGAGCCACCACGCCCGGCCATAAAATTCTTTTTTTTTTTTTTTTTTTTTTGAGACGGAGTCTCGCTCTGTCATCCAGGCTGGAGTGCAGTGGCGCCATCTCAGCTCACTGCAAGCTCCGCCTCCCAGGTTTACTTACGCCATTCTCCTGCCTCAGCCTCCGGAGTAGTGGGGACTACAGGCGCCCGCCACCACACCCGGGTAATTTTTTGTATTTTTAGTAGAGACAGGGTTTCACCGTGTTAGCCAGGATGGTCTCAATCTCCTGACCTCATGATCTGCCCGCCTCGGCCTCCCAAAGTGCTGGGATTACAGGCGTGAGCCACCGCGCCCAGCCTATAAAATTATTTTGCTTCCATTCATCTATGATTACCTTTGACCAGAAACCAATTCAAAGCTCAACTACTGCGGTTGGTGGCAAGTGTTATTTTAGCATACAACTCAGCACTTGTATTCCTTTCCACGTTCCACCAGGAGTCAATTCAGAAAACACCTGTGAAATGAACTCTGGAGAGAAAAGAGTCCCATGGTTTGAGATCATAGTTTGCTCACAGTGTGAGGATGTCCTCAGAAAACAAGGAGACAGAGGGTAATTACTCGATACCGCAGAGATCTAAGCCAGTGGTTGTCAAAGTGTGGTCCCTGGTCAAGCATTAGTATTTCCTGGGAACTTGTAGGAAATATTCATATTCTCAGGCCCCAAACCTGACTTCTGGATTGGAATCTCTGGGGTGGGTCCCAGGGATCCAGGTTTTAATATGCTCTCCAGGAGATCCCAATGTCACTCAAGTTTGGGAACTGCTGCTCAAAAAATTGTGGCAGAGTCAGGGCTGCACCCTCTAACAAGCCAGCCGGCGTCCCAGCATGCAGCCAGCCAGGGATCTGGAAAGGGAAGCATCTTCTACCATGGGGACTGGGACTGTTCCTGCTTCAGGTCTTGGCCACTCCCAGGTTTGCCCAGAGCCAAGTGTTCAGGTGACCCAGGACCTGCAGGAGAAATCACCAAGAAGAGGTTATGTGCACAGAAAATTCACACTGGATGGGGCAAGCCAAGATGAGTGACTATCTGCTGTCTCCAGTGGTTCCCCATGCTACACCTGATTCTGTTTTCAGAGCCATCTTCTTGGGATATTGGTTCTTCGCCTGATTATGTCTCATCTGACAGGTGAGGAGGCAGGGAATTCAAAGCAAACAACTATGCAAAGCCCCACAGAACATCCTTTTGGGGAGAGGGTCAAGGGCTCAGGGATGGTGGGTGGGGGCAAAGAGGGAGGAGCTTCTCCTGGACCCCCACCCCACAGTGGGAATGTGGCCACCTCAGAACTTATGTTTATAACCACTAAGTTGGCCATGATCCCAAACTGCAGCTATAATAATATTTGATATCTATTTTGAAATCTCAGAACAAAGCTTTGGCTGCCCTAGAAAAGGGACTGGCTGTGTTCAGCAGATGGAGGCTGAGTTAGCATGGAGGGGTCAGGAGTGGTCACAGACAAGCCTTGTGATCAAGCTATGCAAATAGGCACCCATGTGCTATTCTGGACTCAGGGCCAACATCATTTCCCATTTTCTGAAAAGAGAGCCTTGGAATGACTTTCACCTTAGCCTCTTTAGGAAATTAAAGCCTGGAGCTGTGACGAATGCCTTTCTGACCAGGGCAGCACAGGCAGCGTAAAGATCTACGCGCTTCTTATTTAATGATGAGCTCAGGCCAAGATCAGCCTTCAAGGGGAAACCACTGCGTCTCCTTTCTGCTCACTCCAGAGCAGGGCTTGAGAGTCCTACTGGGCTGAGAGGCTCTTCAAGGATCTCAAGTTTACCCAGCAGAGATGATATTGACCTTCCGTTTTTAATCAATGGTTCGTCCCCTGAGGCCACACAGAAGATGGAGACTGCAATCTGTCCTTTCGCCTTCTTTTTTCTAAGTCCTTTCCCAGGTCTGACAATGCTGTTTCCTTGGGAAAAAATAGGTAAACATTTACATCAGACTCCCAAGGTCCTAGTTATAGCCAGTGGGGTCCCACAGCCTTCTGTTTTCTTATGGTCTCCTGGGGGAGAGCATGGAGGAGGGGAGCCATCTAAACCAAGGGTCATAGTTCCTTTCCCTCCTTAGAGGACTGGCAGAATGGGGACTCACAACATAAAAGGATTGAGATCACCGTCAACCTTTGCATATCTTTGTGAACAGTTTAACGTTTATTACAGTAAAATAATGACTTTCACACCATGTAAAGGCAGTATAAACTCACCAGTAACCTTCAGCATCCTCCCCTGCGATGTCAATAAGAAGCTTGTGAATTTACTCAGCTTGGGAGCAGATAATGCCCAAACCAAGGAGAATTAGTGTGTGTATGCCCGGTTCTTCATGCAAACAAAAAATTGATTTCAATGCCATGACTAGCGTTTCTAGACTCACATATCCTGGACTCCTCTGGGTTTCTGGAAATGTCCTACTGCCTCTTCCACCAACAGGGGCAGGAAAGGCCTGTGTTGAGTTACTATCCCTCTCTCCTGATACTGCGCTGCAAAAACTGTTTTACTTTCCTCTTCCCTTCTCCCACTCCAGGTCTCACTCCTTCTAAGCAACACCCTGCAGAGTGATGCATCTCTACCCAGAAAAGGTCCACTGAAGGAACCAGACGTTTCCACAGGAGAAAGGCACAGCATGGAATTACTATACAGAGAAATACATGAGCCATCAAGAAATAAAGTGAGAATGTGGATGAGGCCCATGAAGAAGCCAATATGCCAAACAGTGAGCACACCAGGTGTGTATGTGTGACCAGAAATGAAAACAGTTTCTGTGAAAGCACATTTTAAAATAGACAAGAACAGTTAGAATAGTGTTCGCCACAAGTAAATGACTTTTACTGAAACTTATAACCTGAGAAATAGGTAGAACAGGTGTTGTTCCCAGTTCAGAAAGGAGCAAAGAGTTGCCCAGGTAATAATCACACCATGAGACAAGGTCTGGCTCTGTCACCCCGGCTGGAGTACAGTGGCACTATCACAGCCACTGCAGCCTCAACCTCCTTGGCCCAAGCAATCCTCCCACTTCAGCCTCCTGAGTAGCTGGGATTACAGGCATATGATACCATGCCTGGCTAATTTTTGTATTTTTAGTAGAGATGAGGTTTCACTATGTTGGCCATGCTGGTCTGAAACTCCTGGGCTCAAGCAGTCCTCCCACTTCTGCCTCCTAAAGTGCTGAAATTACAGGTATGAGTCACTACTCCCAGCTGACTTCTAGTGAGGATCTTTTTTCTTTAGTGAAATAAATGCCTTTCAGGAATTCTTCACATTCATGAAAGCCAAATGCAATGAGGAAGCCTTAAGTAGCTCCTTGAGTTAAAAAAAATATGCTAGAATAGAAGATGTTTGTACAAACTGGGAAATGTGAATGGACTATATATTGGATGGCATTCTTGAGTTAGTGTCAATGGTCTTCATGCGATGATAGTGTTGTGACTAGGGAGGGGCCATCCTTGTTCTTTGGAGATGCTGGCTGGGGGACTTAGGCCATAAGGAAAGAAGTGACCACAGAGGAAAGGAGGGTGAAGGCATCAGGGGACCTAGCTGGTCTGCTCAGGACTCCACTCAGCCAGATGGAAAACGCAGTTCTGAATATCTATTGCTGTGTAATAGAGCAGCCCAGAACATGGAGCATAAAAAACAACAATTGCTTCTTTGCTCCAAGTCTGCGCTTCGGGCAGGTGCTCCTCTCTGGTCCTGTGGCATCACCTCTGGTGCTCCAGTGCTGGGGGCTGAAAGGAGTCACTTGCTGTTGCCTGGGTTCCTGGGTTCTCTCCACATGTCCTCTCCATGTGGTGAGCTTGGGCTTCCTCACAGCATGGTTGTCTCGGAGTAGTTGGCCTTCTTACGTGACAGCTGGCTTCCCCTAAAGTGCAAAAATAGAAGCTGCCAGAACTTCACAGGGCTTAGGCCTAGAACCAGTGCTATGTCACTTCTGCCACAGTCACAGAGCCAAGCCAGCTTCAAAGGAATTAGATACAAGGAGAGGCTTATGGGGGTTGGGGGTCACTAAACAGACAGCTTACCACACACAGGGATAAGGAGCTATGGTTAGTGGAAATTTACCGTAGGCCAACATCCACAGGAACAGGGTACTTGATAAGACCGTGTCTCAAAATTATTTGCTCATTGGCCACATCAAGGCACCTCAGTTGAATGCAGTGATCAAACCGTTCAATGAAAAATGGGGAAAACAAGAGTTTCCTTATTACAGGACTACTCCAAGAATTTAAGAAGCTCGCACACGTTGGGGGTATAATAAAGAAAGGACTCCCTATTCAATAAATAATGCTGGGATAACTGGCTGGCCACATGCAGAAGATGGAAACTGGATTCCTTCCTTACACCATAAACAAAAATCAACCCAAGATGGATTAAAGAGTTAAATGTAAAACCTAAATCTATAAACACTCTGGAAGATATCCTAGAAAATATCATTGTGAACATAGGCCCCGGCAAAAGTTTCCTGATGAAAATGCCAAAAGCAATTGCAACAAAAACAAAAATTGACAACTGGGACTTAATTAAACTAAAGAGCGTCTGCGCAGCCAAAAGAACTATCAACAGAGTAAACAGACAACCTACAGAATGGGAGACAGTATTTGCAAACTATGCATCCAACAAAAGCCTATTATCCATCATCTACAGGGAACTTATTAACAATCAGAAAACAAAGAACCCCATCAAAAACTGGGCAAAGGACATGAACGCTTTTCAAAAGAAGACGTACATGCAGACAACGAGCATACGAAAAAATGCTCTACACCACTAATCATTAGAGAAATTCAAATCAAAACCACAATGTGATACCATCTCACACCAGTCAAAATGACGATTATTAGAAAGTCAAAAAATGGAGAGGTTGTGGAGAAAAGGGAACACTTAGACACTGCTGGTGGAAATGTAAGTTAGTTCAGCCATGTGGAAAGCAGTGTGGCAATTTCTCAAAGAACTTAGAACTGCCATTCGACCCAGCAATCCCATTATTGGATATATACCCAAAGGAATATAAATCATTCTACCATAAAGACACATGAACACGTATGTTCATCGCAGCACTATTCACAATAGCAAAGAACGAGATCATGTCCTTTGAAGCAACATGGATGGAGCTGGAAGCCATTATCCCAAAAAAACAAATGCAGGAACAGAAAACCAAATACTGCACGTTCTCACTTATAAGTGGGAGCTAAATGTTGAGTACACATGGTAACAAAGAAGGGAACAACAGATACTAGGGCCTACGTGATGGTGGAGGGTGGGAGGAGGGAGAGGATTGAAAAACTACCTATTGGGTACTACGCTTATTACCTCGGTGACAAAATAATCTGTACGCCAAACCCCCAGGACATGCAATTTACCCATGTATTTTAATTCTAAAATAAAATATTTTAATTCTAAATTCTAAAATAAAATATCTTAATTCTAAAACAAAAGTTAAAAAAGTAAAGCACTTGCCAAACCTATCTGACTGCAGTGCACACTTTTTAAAAAAGACTATCATTTGAGACTTTAGGATTATAAAGACTCCAGTTTGGATTCTTATCCTCCAAGACATGGAGGATGAGTTTCTCATTAGATCATAGTCCTGGGTTTTCTACTGTCTGTCCTCAGTTTCAGCACGTTCCTGCTCACTGATTCTCATGATGTATGTTGATGGTCTCTCTTCTCTCTCATCCTCCCAAGGGGATTTGCTGAGGTTCAATGTTATTACAAGGTGAGAATGTGAACCTCAGGAGCCTAATATGAGCTCCCTTGGTATGAGAAAATTCTCACTGCTCACAGGTAAAAATAATATCCTGGTCACACACTTCCCTTGGCACACCCATGCCCAGAATGACTGAACCCCCAATTGTGCACGAGCTGAACTCTTGCTGGACCTTCGAGACTCAGCCCAAAGCTTACTTCCTTATCTAAGCCTAACAGGAACCACTCATAGGCAGTCTATCCGATCCAAGTGCGTTTCCATGGAATAGTAAAAACAATGCTGTCAGCTAATAACTGTTGGGTACTTACTATGTATATGACACTGTGTTGAGTACTGCGATTTGAATGTAGATTTGTCCAACTCCTGAACCAGACTGTTTAACCATTGCATGGTCTGGCCTCTCCTGAGCTGTTCCCGTCAATATTTAGCACATAGCATTGTGTGACAAAGACTGCCAGTTTTCCACCAAAATTCACATTGCTCTTCTTCCTGAGAATATGGCTGCCCAGGTGGTGAATGTTTCCTGACCTACCCCATGGCTAGGTGTGGCCAAGTAGCCAAGCATTCACCCATGGAACTGGAGAAATTCCCATGGCCCTCCTTAAAAGGACATCTCTTTCCTAGGACTTCCACACTCTCTCCCTTCTCCAGTGCCTGGAACTTGCTTGGCCATGCAGACCAGGATGGTCCCCTGGGGTTGGTGGAGGGATGAAATGGAATGAAATGGAAGGGCTTCAGAACGTGCGGAGCAGAGCCACCTGCCAAGCTGGAGGCTGTTAACGAATGAGAGCAAAATGAACTTCCCTGTTCTCTGAGCCACTGTATTTTGGGGCCTGTTTGTCACAGCAGCTGAGACATTGCCCTAAACAATTCACCTTGAGATGATCTGGTTTTTCCCTACAAGACAATGAAGTCCTTGAAGTCAGGGATCATGCCAAACTCATTTCTCCATGTATCCAGCCTGGCATGGTGGCTGGATCACAGCAAGTATTCCCCAGTGATGCTCCTGTTGAATGTGTGAATAAATAAAGTGCTACTTCTTATGTTGCTGCAAAAATCCCAATGAGAAATGTGTGTGCATTGAGACTAGATGCAGGTATATCTGAACAGAGAGAAAGACTGGTCCTCGGTGAGAATTGGGACCAGGAGGCAAGACTGACAGCATTCCCAGGGGACTGGAGGGAGAGATGCATCCGATTTCGGTTGATTTCATACAGTGGCAATGAGTGTGCTCGCAAATGCCAGGAAGGCTTGGCCAGTGGCACCCTGTGTACACCATTTCATGAACTACTGTGGTGATTAAACCGCAGGGTGCTCCAGAGAGGCTTTCTAGCTTTTTTCCCTGGCACATCCCCTCGCTTGAGTAATGCCCGGCTTTAACTTTAGGAAGGCAGAAGATGGCAGTCGGGCTGTCTGTCAGTGTCATCATGTGTCATCATCTTTGGGCTGCCAGTGGGACAGCTGGGGAAGAGCAGGATCAAGTTGACTGGCAGAGGGTTTTACATCTAATGAGTTTGTGTGTAGTAATAGTGTAATAAATAAGGCTCTGGAGGAACTCAGCTATCACTCGCATTCCAAAAGTGAGATATGGCCTTCCCAGAAGCTCACGGAACCATCTGTCACCAAATATTAGTCTGTGTCAGTGGCTGGACTGGCCTGAGGACATGGAAGATGTCAGTAGAAGGAGGCAATTGACAACACCATGTCATTCAAAAAGATTTAAAGGGAGCCGCCTTAAGGAGCTGGAGATTTCCAGGTGATTTTTGAAATACACATATGAAACTACCACCAAAAGCAGTTAGACTTGAAATCTCGGCTGCTGAATGCTAAAGAGTCTTTCCTTAGGAGGAGTTCAGTTTCTGTCACTTAGGGTGAGTTCTTGAGTCATATCATCCTTATCTGCTTGGATTTGGGGCTGGAATTAATGCGATCTTCTTTAATGTGTTTTTGCCAGTGTGATCCATCAAGATCTGATTGTCGCCGAAGAAGTCCGCTGATGACACAGCCGTTAGTGACAGGAATATCGAGAGTGGACGAATGCTTGAGTATTGGATAAAAGCTGTCAGGATTGGTAGCTGCTTGGTTTCCTTGTTTTTTTGCTGAGGAAAAGGAGGAGGAGGCTTAAAAGCTGTTACAAATAAAGAACTGGGGCCTGAATAAATCTTGTGTTGGTAACACAAGTACATGCTGAGCTATTAAAGCACATGGTAACGGGGAAAGTCAGGAGGACAGAGGGGCATGGTGACCCTTTAAAAAGGAGGCAAAATTAGGAAAAAAATTCCCTGTGCTCACTTGAGCAGCACATATAGCACATTTAGAAAAGCAATTCATCGAAATGAAAAGTTCAAGGATAGCCAAGTCCCAGTGGTAGCAAATGCAGGAGATTTTATGGGCCTTCTCTGTGTAAGGTAAGGTAAACCCACCGAGATTTGCCTTGGTGTGTTTATGCCTGCAGAAAGTGTGCTTCCCCATGTTAATGGAAGACCCTGGATTGGCCTCTGCTGGGGAGTTGAAGGGATGGGTCCCTAAGGACAGAATTCAGTGAGGTAGATTTTAGTGCTTCAAAGTCACAGAATTTACCCCTCATTCTCTGTTGAGAACAATCCTTCTCAAGTGTATTCCAGGACTAGTACTGTAGATTTCTGTGGTGGATATGGTAGAATGGTACTCCACATCCATTCCAGCCCCTTCTGGTATGTCTAGCTATACTGCAGAGCATGGAAAGCAAATCACTACGTTTCCTAGACTCCCTTGCAGCTAGGGTTCTGGTGTGCTCTAGGTAGGTCCTACTAACCAGATGTGCTTGTAAGAGATTTGGAGAGTGGGAAGCAGGCAGAGCCGTGCCACTGCTCCTGGGGCTGCAAGCTTGCTTGTGGCAGTGTCAGTGGAGGACCCAGGGCATTGAATCAGAGCACACAACATCTGTTTTGCCCTGGACAGCTGTGACAGTGATGCTCAATGGCTCACCTCGGGTCACCCTGGCACAGGAAACCCAGTAGTGTGGGCGGGACTGTGGATTTGGTTGTAGCTCTCACACACCAGGGCTTCGGACCTGAACCCTCCACTTCCCCATGTGCATCTCAAGCCTGACTTGAGACTCCGTATTCAGTCTCTCCTTTCACTGGGGCCCACATGGAGTCTTCCTTGTGCTTAGCTTGGTCCCCTCCCCAGGTTGCCTCCCCTCAACCTGGTGCCAAGCCATTCTCCCAGAACCAGCCCAGTGAGGCCTCGCCTCAGCACCCCCTCCAGGCCAATCTTGCCATCTCTCACATGCTTCAGCACTTTATCCTGTCTTGTCACCTGGTGCATTTGGTCACTTGTGTATGTTTACATGTGCGTGTATCTTGTCTCTCCAAAGACCCTGGGGGAGCCTGCCCCAGCCTTGTTCCACAGCTCCTGGCACGGAGCTAGGTTGCTGACAAAGGCTCAGCTTGCTCTTACTTGGATTCAGTGTTGGACCTGAAGCCCTGGGGCATCAACACTAGGATCTGCTCAGGAAAACCAGCTGGTGTTTCCTCCAGGCATGAGTGGTCTGGTGAAAGATGAGGTGGGAGCTCTGGCCAAAGGCCTTCCCACACTGAGCACTGGGTGCAGCGATGGGGTTTCTCCCCACCGTGCGTCCCCTGGGGCACCAGGAGGTCAGAGCTGCGGGTGAAAGCCTTGCCGCATTCAGAGCACTCACAGGGCCTCTTGCCTGTGTGGCTCCTCTGGTGCATCAGGAGGCAAGAGCTGTCTGTGGCTGAGGTCTTGCTGCACTCAGGGCACATGGATGGCTTCACGCTGTGTGCACACCTGGTGCACAGTGAGGCTGGAGTGCTGACTGAAGGCCTTGCTGCATGTGCTGCAGATGAAGGGCTCCTCCCCCGTGTGCACCCCCTGGTGCCACCTTCGGCACATGCATAGAGATTCCTGCTGCGGCGGCCAGGCTGGGGCTGTGGCGGACAACTTCCCCGAGCTCCAGACGGTTCTGGCCTCTCTCCTGGGAGACATTTCTTTTCTTTTGCTGGGGCCTGCCTGGTGTCTTTTCATTTCTCCCCATTTGCTCGCCTGTAGGCTGTTCCAACAGCTCTGCTCCTCTGTTCTCTGCTTCTCGGGCTTCCCCAAATACACAGGCCTCTGGAATCTCACCCTGGAGTCTTCAGAGAATTCTTCTTTCCAATTTGTTTATTCCAGAATCGAATCCTCCTTTTCAACTTTAGTCTCAATATCCAGCCTGGCTGAGGCCTCTCTACTCAGCCTTAGCAGAACGTCTCCAACAGTAGCCCTCAGGGCAGGGAACAGATGGGTCCCAGGCAGCAGGTGGCCTCAGAGGGCTGAAGTCAGAGGAAGCCCAGGCCCTGCTCTCATGGTGGCTTTCTCATCCACAGCTCATGCTGCTGTCACCAGACCAATTCTGAGACTTTCTGCTGTGGCACACCAAGTTCCTGTGGGAAATGCCCACACTGATTTGGTGGGGGAGCTGACCCCTTTAAGTCAACTTCATAGAGGCACAATTTACATGTCATAAAATGCTCTATGTTAAGTGTACAGTTTTGATAAATGCATACACCCATGTGATCACCACCACAATTAAGAACAGTGGTGAGGCCCGGGGCTCCTCCTTCAGGCTCACAGGGCTCTCCCCATTTGTATGCACCTCATTCACATTTGACCCCAAGCGACTGGAGAGAGGAAACCCCGATGTGTTCTATGGGATCAGCGAGTGTCACCTGAGCAAGCCTGGCAGAGCCTGAACCCCATATCCTTAGCGTCTGTTCACTGCTCTGTCCAAAAAGTCTTTAAGCCATTTTATGGCCTATTGTTGTAGAGAATCTCCAAATACAGCTCCATGATAGTTTCTGTTGTATACACATGCAACTCTACCCATTAAGAGGGGAGGTCTCATACCCCTCCCCTTGCTGGTCCCAGTGACTTGCTTGACCTGCAGAATGCAGCGGAAGTGACTTTCAATGCTCGGTCATAAGAAGCATTGCAGCTCTGGTTGGGCCTCTTGGAATTCTTGCTCTTGGAAGACTGAGCTACCACACAGAAAGTCTTGCTGCCTTGAAGCCACCATGCTTTGAGGAAGTCCAAGATGGCCATAAGGGAAGCCAACCGCAGTCAGGAGATAACTTGCCAAGCAAGAACGGAGCAACGGGAATGAGTGGGTGGCATTTCTGTGATGGCAGTGTGCATTCCTCCCCACTAAACCTAATATCCATGCCAAATGAATCTATTTTATACACTGGCTGGGAATATGGAGAAGACACATTACAAATACTTGCTTGTTAGGCTCATCTTTTTTTTTCAGCTCTTAAAGGCAGCGCGGATCCAAAGAGTGAGAAGCAACAAGATTTACCGCGAAGGGCGAAAGAACAAAGCTTCCACAGCATGGAAGGGGACCCAAGTGGGTTGCCCTAGGCTCCTCTTTTTAAAAGCCTATGCTGACTGTTCTTAAGTGTGGTGGTGATCACATGGGTGTATGCATGTATCAAAACTGTACACTTAACATGGAGCATTTTATTACATGTAAATTGTGCCTCTTTGAAGTTGCCTTAAAGTTGTCAGCTATCTCTCTGGAGGCCAAGTCATGCCACAGGTCTTGAAGGTGGTGGGGTGTGTGGTGACGTCTACAAATGTCTTTGATACTTGGCTTCATGGAGCCCAAATATTGTAAATTATCAGAGATCTTTAGGGAAAAAACATCTCTTGAGCTATAAGTGTCTAATGTATTAGGTTGGAGCAAAAGTAATTGTGGTTTTTGCCATTTTTATTGCCAAAAACCACAATTACTTTTACATTAACCTAATAACAAGTTTATATACTGTAGTCCTTGTGTGATTCATTCAATGAATCCTTTGGGAATGAAGTCAATGTATAAGTAAACTTTCTCCCTTAAGAACTGGGGGAAAACTTCATAATGCAGACCCAGCAGAGCTTGGATTTAGAATGGATAACAACTCCTATTTGTCCTATCTTGCTAAAGGTAACAGGCTCTCCTATAACAAATGATGAATGGGGAGGTTTTGTCTATTCCAGCCTTAGTCCCCTGCTTTGTCTGGTTCCTTTTCTTCCTCTAAGGTTGATGCTTCCTTCACTTCAGATATCCAAGAAACCCTAGTCTCTTCTTGGGACCCTGTCTTATTGAAGTTGAGAAAGATATAAAGTTCACTATTATATTTATGCCTTCTTCTTCTCCTTCTCCTCCTCCTTCTCCTCCTTCTCTTCTCCTCCTTCTCCTCCTTTCTCCTCCTCCTCTTCCTCCCCTTCCCCCCTCCAACCTCTCCTCCTCCTCCTCCTTCTTCTTCCTCTTCCTTTTCTTCTTCCTCTTCTTTTTTATTTTTATTTGAGACGGAGTCTTGCTCTATTGTGAAGACTGGAGTGCCATGGTTGCAGCCTTAACTTCCCAGGTCCAAGTGATCCTCCTACCTCAGCCTCCCTAGTAGCTGGGACCACCACACCCATCTAATTTATTTTTGTAGAGACAGGGTCTCACTATTTTGCCCAGGCTGATCTCAAACTCCGGGGCTCAAGTGAACCTCCCACCTCAGCCTCCCAGAGTGTTGGGATTACAGGCGTGAGCCATCGTGCCCAGCCTATTTATACTTCTTGATTCATTGTTTATATTTTAGCTTGTGTTTCAGTCCAGGAGTTTGGCAGCTATTGTTAAGTTTGCCAACTCAACTCACATTCCTGTTTCAATCCCTATAGGATTTGCCTGCCTATGTCATAGAGGTGAGAGTATGTAATATGATCTTTTCTAGACTCCTATGCAGCTATGATGCACACATGTGACCTCGAACCTCCCAATCATATGCACCCCTGTAAGCCCTGAATGTAGAAGCAAACTACAGGACGATCCCTCTGTAGAAGAACTGGGCCTTCCAGCAAGCACAGCAGCAGAGGAGTCAGGTCTTCCCAAGCAGTCAAGGCCAAGTTTGTGACATCACAGTTGGCAGGCAGTGGAGGCAGAAGCATTTTCACTAGAACAGGAACTAGGCACTTTTTTTCTGGTTTCATTGTAGTGACTATATGAACACACAGCCTAGTTGGCTAGTTCTCCTGGAGATTCTGGTGTTGTCAAATATTTTTCAATAAATCCCTTTCTGCCTAATCTAAGCTAGAGTGGACCCTTTTGTCTGCAACTAAGGACTCTGACCATTATAAGTGATGACGGTGACCAGGCAATTGTATTTTAAGTGTTATCTCTTATCATGAACCAAGAACCTTTTTATTCAGTGAAAGAAATTTCAGGCATCTGTGACAAAGGAGTAGAAAAATACAGGGGGTCAGTCTAACAGTTTTCTGCAATAACAATAGACTAGGGCTGGGCAAGGTGGCTCATGCCTGTAATCCCAGCACTTTGGGAGGCTGAGGCAGGTGGATCACTTGAGGTCAGAAGACCAGCCTGGCCAACGTGGTGAAAACTCGTCTCTACTAAAGATACAAAAATTAGCTGGGTGTGGTGGCACACACCTGTAATCCCAGCTACTTGGGAGGCTGAGCCAGGAGAATCGCTTGAACTCAGGAGGCAGAGGTAGTAGTGAGCTGAGATGGTGCCACTGCGCTCCAGCCTGGGTAACAGAGTAAGACTCTGTCTCAAAAAAAAAAAAAAAAAAAAAAAAAGAAAGAAAGAAAGAAAGAAAGAAAAAGAAAAACAAAAAATGACAACAAAAAAATAGGCTAGGTCGACTAGATATAATTTGACTATTTGGGGTGAAAAGTGAAGAATCAATTGGGAATGTATGTGGTCGTCTTTCACTAAAGAGGTAGTGAACCCCCTCCTTCTTTTCCTATGAAGGATGATAGAATTTTAAAAAATCTTTAGAGCAAATGCATACTGATGCACTGTCTCCTTTTTGCTTCAGTTTTTGACATTATCCCAAACTTCTACTTGCTGAAGTGAAATTATAACTGTTTATTCCTACCTAAATTTCAACTATTCTAATTCATTTGATATCATATTTGGATTCAAAATAATTTCTTATTTAAATATATTTTAAGTCTTACATTCTTATGTGTTCAACATTCTTTCATTTATATAAATATTTAAAAATTATCTCAGTCCATTTGACAATAGTTCATTAAATCATCCTCTCATTATAACCATTATTTAATTGAATCTAAAATGCTATTAATGGCCAGGCATGGTGGCTCATGCCTGTAATCCCAGAGCTTTGGGAGGCTGAGGTAGACAGATCACTTGAGGTCAGGAGCTCAAGACTGGCCTGGCCAACATGGTGAAACCTCATCTCTACTAAAAATACAAAAATTAGCCAGGCGTGGTAGCATGTGCCTGTAGTCCCAACTACTAGGGAGGCTGAGGCAGGAGACTTGCTTGAATCTGGGAGGTGGAGGTTGCAGCGAGCTGAGATCACGCCACTGCACTCCAGCCTGGGTGACAGAGTGAGACTCCATCTCAAAAAATAAAAAAAAATAAAATAAAATAAATAAAATAAAATAAAATAAAATGCTATTAATTGTAAGTTTTAATGTTATTTTATGTACCACTAAGAAGGAAAAAAAAAACCTTCCACTTAACCTGTGATATAATGCTTCCTTTTCTCTTAGAATATTTGTTTTATATTTGTTGAAAACACTCTTTTAGGCTTAAACATAGATTTAAAAAATCATTCCACAAAAAACCAAACATCTTGATTTAAAAAATGGGCAAAAGACTTGAATAAACATTTCTCCAAAGAGGCTATACAAATGACCAATAAGCACATGAAAAAATATTCAGTATCATTAACCATTAAGGAAATGTAAATCAAAACCACAATGAAATATCACCTCATGCCCATTAAGATAATAATATGGTTTGGTTGTGTCCCCACCCAAATCTCACCTGGAATTGTAATAATCCCCAGGTGTCAAGGGCAGGGCCAGGTGGAGATAATAGAATCATGGGGGCAGTTTCTTCCATACTGTTCTGGTGGTAGTGAATAAGTCTCACGAGATTTGATGGTTTTATAAATTGGAGTTTCCCTGCACAAGCTCTCTTGCCTGCTGCCATGTAAGACGTGACTTTATTCCCCATTCTCCTTCTGCCATGATTGTGAGGCCTCCTCAGCCATGTGGAACTGTGAGTCCATTAAACCTCTTTCCTTTATCAATTACCCACTCTCTGGTATGTCTTTATTAGCAATGTGAGAACAGACTAATACAGATGGATACTATTTTTTTAAAAAAAAGAAAAAAGTGTTGGTGAGGATATGGAGAAATTGGGATCTGTGCACTGTTGGGGGGAATGTAAAATGGCAGAGCCATAATGAAAAACAGTCTGACAGTTTCTCAAAAATTAAAAATAGATATGATTCATATGATCCTGCAATTCCACTTCTGGGTATATACCCAAAAGAATTGAAACCAGGGTCTCAAAGAGATATTTGTACACCCATATTCATAGCAGCATTATTCACAAGAGCCAAAAGGCAGAAGCAAACCCAGGTGTTTATTCATGGATAAATGGATAAGCAAAATGTGGTACATACATTCAAGTATTTTTCAGCCTTACAAAGGAAAGAAATTCTGACACATGCTACAGTGTAGATGAACCTTGAGAACATGATGCTAAGTGAAATAAGACAGGCACAGAGGAACAGGTATTGTATGATTCCACCTAACTGAGGTACCTAGAGTAGGCAAATTCATAGAGATAGAAAGTTAGGGGGCCGGGTGCAGTGGCTCATGCCTGTAATACCAGCACTTTGGGAGGCTGAGGTGGGCAGATCACACTGAGGTCAGGAGTTCGAGACCAGCCTGGCCAACATGGTGAAACCCCGTCTCTACTGAAAATATTTTTAAAAAAATTAGCCAGGTGTGGTGGTGAGTGCCTGTAATCCCA
Organism: Homo sapiens; assembly: GCF_000001405.40. NCBI lineage: Eukaryota > Metazoa > Chordata > Mammalia > Primates > Hominidae > Homo > Homo sapiens. The sequence continues at coordinate 21,260,118 of NC_000020.11, read as the reverse complement.
GCTACTAGCAAGGCTGAGGCAGGAGAATTGCTTGAACTCAGGAGATGAAGGTTGCAGTGAGCTGACACAGTGTCATTGCACTCCAGCCTGGGCGATAGAGTGAGTCTCTATCTCAGAGAAAAAAAAAAAAAAAAAAGGAAAGTTAGAATGTGGTTGCCAGGGACTGGAGGAAGAGGGGAATGGGCAGTTATTGCTTAATGGATGCAGAGGTTTAGTTTTACAAGATGAGAAAGATCTGGAGCTGGATGGTGGTGATGGTTACACAACAGTGTGACTACACTTAATGCCACTGAACTGTACGCTTGGTAATGGTTAAGACGGTACATTTTATGTGTATTTTACCATAATTTTAAAAAATTAAGAAAAAATTTTTCACTCTTATGCATGTATATAAAAGAAAACACAGGCCAACGAAATGAGTTAATGCTTTTCCAAAGCTCCTTCACGTATCAAACTTGCCTCTTCCAAATCACTTTTTGATTCTGAGTGGCAGATGTCACTTTCCCCACGTGATGTCATCCACGGTGCCATGAAGCACACTGGTGATGCAGCATGTCAGAGTTCCCCACTATTGTCCCCAGGACTTCTATCGAAGCAGCTGACACCCATTCTGCAATGACAACAATGCCACGACTGTTGTGTGGCCAACGAGATGCATTCCAATTCCGGAATTGTTAAAATGTGAAACAAAGTGGCCAGAAGCAATGAAATATGGTGATTTCTGTTCTTGACTTTTACTAGCTGGTGGACTTGATGGGCCTAAAATGAGACTGTCAGAATACAAATGCTCTCTCAACATGGAAATCTCATCCCCTGTTTAAAATTCTTCAATGGCTTCCAAATATTGGCCAATAGAATAAAGTTCAAATTCCTTCACATCAGTATAGCACTCTTCATGACCTGTTTCTTTTTTAAAATTATGAACTATTTTAAACCCACAAAAATTCAGAGAAAAACATAACAAATAACATGTGGCCACCACCCATATTTGACAAATATTTGATAAATGTTGATGCTTTGCCATATTTGCCTAGACCATATAGATTTTTTTTTTGCTATGTAAACATAAGTAACATTTACAACACTAGGTTTCAAAAAGTCAGGGTAAATGATAAGTAAACATATTAAAACTGTTCCAAAAAATATACATTGGAAAAAAGTCTAAAAGAAAATAAACCAAAATTACAGGGTGAATAATATATATACCATTTTACATTTTTATAGCAAGCAATCATTGGAAATTTGTTTAAAAATTAGTGGTTATCAATGATATAACTGAAGAATATCTGTCTTATGTCTTTCTACACTCACAAGTACATGAAGTTGAGAGAGTATTTGGGTTTTTGTTGTTGTTGTTGTTGTTTGTTGTTGTTGAGACAGGGTCTCATTCTATTGCCCAGGCCAGAATGTAGTGGCGCAATGTCGCCTCACTGCAACCTCTGCTTCCCAGACTCAAGTGATCCTCGCACCTCATTCTCTGGAGTAGCTGGGACTACAGGCCTGTGCCACCACGCCTGGCTAGTTTTTGTATTTTTTTTTTTTTTTTTTTTTTGTAGAGACTGGGTTTTGGCATGTTTGTCAGGCTGCTCTTGAACTCCTGGGCTCGAGGGATCTGCCTGCGTCAGCTTCCCAAAGTGCTGAGGTTACAGGTATGAGCCACTGTGCCCAACCAAGTTGCTTAAAAAAATAAGCCACTACTGATGCATTGAAGTTCTCTGTGTACCACCCACCCTAATCTTTTTTCTTCCCCAGAGCTAATCACTTTCTTGAAGCGCTCACAAATCCCTTCCATCCATGTTTTTATACTTTTATTCTATATGAGTCCTTTCCTCTCTATCTTTAAGTGACTCATTGAATTACTTTGTTTTTAATTGTACACATTATTTTTTTCTCTTTTCACTTTTACATATGTTTCATTAGCTGTATAAATCCTCTAGCGATGTGTTTCTTATCATTTTCCTGTCCGTGGGCCCAAATGCTTCCAAATTTTTCCTATTTCAAACAATCCACAATTAAATTTTGGACATGTCTTTGTGTACAATGGCCAGAATTCTCTATAGCAGCTTCGGCCAATAGAAATATAATAAAACCACAAATGCAGATCATATATGTAATTTTTAATTTTCTAGTAGCTACATTAGAAAATGCAAAAAGAGGCCAGGTGTGGTGGCTCATGTCTATAATCCCAGTACTTTGGGAGGCCGAGACGGGCGGATCACCTGAAGTCAGGAGTTCAAGACCAGCCTGACCAACATGGAGAAACCCCATTTCTACTAAAAATACAAAATTAGCTGGTGTGGTGGCGCATGCCTGTAATCCCAGCTACTTGGGAGGCTGAGGCAGGAGAATCGCTTGAACCCAGGAGGCGTAGGTCGCAGTGAGCTGAGATGGCGCCATTGCACCCCAGCCTGAGCAACAAGAGTGAAACTCTTTCTCAAAAAAAAAAAAAAAAAGCAAAAAGAAACTGGTAAAAAAAGAAACTGTTGAAATTAATTTTGATGCTATATTTAACCCAATATATCTAATATATCTATTTCAAGATATGAACAATATAAAAATTAATAAAATAGTTTACATTATTTCTTGCAGACCAAGTCTTCAAATCCAGTGTGTGTCTCATAATTTGGACTGGCCATGTTTCAAGTGCTCAAGTTCTATGTGGCTGGTGTTGACTGTGCTGGGAAGCGTGGCTCTAGAGTATACATTTAGAAATGGAGTTGCTGAGTCAGGACATGCCCGTCTATAACTTCACTTGATGTTGCAAACGGGCTTTTCACACTGTGTCAAAGTCCCTCTTCCCTGAAGTCCTTCCCAATTATCAGTGTGATCTGCCTCTCACTCTCTGCCAGTCTGTTGGGTATGGAATGGCACCTTATCCTCTGTCACTTTCACAGTTTATGCTAGTGAGTTCAAGAACCTTTTACATTTACTGATCATCCGGATTTCATTTTCTACTAACTTCTCATTCTGATCCTTTGTGTTTTTCTACTGAGTTGTATTTTTCTCAATATGTATTTCTTTTTTTTTTTTTTTTAAGACAGAGTCTTGCTCTGTCACCCAGGCTGAAGTGCAGTGGTGCAATCTCGGCTCACTGCAAGCTCCGCCTCCTGGGTTCACGCCATTCTCCTGCCTAAGCCTCCCGAGTAGCTGGGACTACAGGTGCCCGCCACCACACCCAGCTAATTTTTTGTATTTTTAGTACAGACGGGGTTTCACCATGTTAGCCAGGGTGGTCTCGATCTCCTGACCTTGTGATCCGCCAGCCTCAGTGTCCCAAAGTGCTGGGATTACAGGCGTGAGTCACGGCCTGGCCCTCAATATATGTTTCTTTATGTATTCCAGATACAGGTCTTTGATGGATATATATCCTAGAAATGTCACCTTCCAGCCAATGATTTGTCTTTTTTTGTTGGTATTTTTGTCATTTAAAAACTTACTTTCTTTTTCTTTCTTTCTTTTTCTTTCTTTTTTCTTTCTCTTTCTTTCTCTCTTCTTTCTTTCTTCTTTCCTTCCTTTCTCTCTTTCTTTCTTTTTTCTTTTCTTTTTTCCCCTCCCTCCCTCCCTCCCTTCCTTCCTTCCTTCCTTCCCTCGTTCCTTCTTTCCTTCATTCTCTCTCTCTCTCTTTTTTTTTGTCACCCAGGATGGCAGACAGTGATCTCACTTCACTGCAGCCTTGACCTCCCAGGCTCAATCGATCCTCCCACCTCAGACTCCCTAGTAGCTGGGACTGCAGGAGCACACCACCATGCCTGACTAATTTTTCTATTTTTGGTAGAGACGGGTTTTCGCCATGTTGCCTAGGCTAGTGTCAAACTCCTGGGCTCAAGCCATCTACCTGCCTCAGCCTCCCGAAGTGCTGGGATTATAGGCATAAGCCACTGTGCTCAGCCACAGAAGTTTTAAATTTTAATGTTGTGATATTCATCAATATTTTTATGAGTTTTTGCTTCTTCTGTCTTGGCTGAGAAATTCTTCCTTGCTTCAAAGTCATAAAGATACTTATTTTTTTCTTTAAAAGTTTTAAAGTTTTCTTTTTCATATTTAGTTCTTTATTCCAGCACGAATTTCTTTCGTGTTAGGGATGAAGTCGAAATTTAATTTTCTATTTTGCCATGTGGCTTGCCAGTTGGTCCAGCCCTGATTGGGAAGGTGGTGATCACCTCACTGATTTCTAATACTACATCGGTCCCACACTCAGTTCTCATGCCTGGGAATATTTCTAGAGCCTGTATTCTGCTCCATGTTTCTATCCCTGAGCCAACACCACATGGCCTAATTACTGCTCTTTATAATAAATCTTGATTTCTGCTATAGCAAGACCCCTTCTCTTTATTCTTCAAAATTGCCTTCAACATTTTGGCCTTTTAAATTCCTTCTGAGTTTTATGACCAGCTTGTTAAGTACCTGGAAGACCTGTTGGGATTTTGACTGAAATCGCATTGGCTTTTGGATCAATTAGGAGGTAACTATGATTCTTTTTTTTTTTTTTTTTGAGATGGAGTCTTGCTCTGTCGCCCAGGCTGGAGTGCAGTGGCGCAATTTCGGCTCACTGCAAGCTCCACCTCCCGGGTTCAAGCGATTCTCCTGCCTCAGCCTCCCGAGTAGCTGGGATTACTTACAGGCAACTACCATTACAAAACCACCCTGTTATTGGTGTATAAGAATGCTTGTGATTTTTGTACATTGATTTCGTATCCTGAGACTTTGCTGAAGTTGCTTATCAGCTTAAGGAGATTTTGGGCGGAGACAATGGGGTTTTCTAGATATATAATCATGTCATCTGCAAACAGGGACAATTTGACTTCCTCTTTTCCTAATTGAATACCCTTTATTTCCTTCTCCTGCCTAATTGCCCTGGCCAGAACTTCCAACACTATGTTGAATAGGAGTGGTGAGAGAGGGCATCCCTGTCTTGTGCTAGTTTTCAAAGGGAATGCTTCCAGTTTCTGCCCATTCAGTATGATATTGGCTGTGGGTTTGTCATAGATAGCTCTTATTATTTTGAGATACGTCCCATCAATACCTAATTTATTGAGAGTTTTTAGCATGAAGGTTGTTGAATTTTGTCAAAGGCCTTTTCTGCATCTATTGAGATAATCAAACAATAGAGCCAAATCATGAGTGAACTCCCATTCACAATTGCTTCAAAGAGAATAAAATACCTAGGAATCCAACTTACAAGGGACGTGAAGGACCTCTTCAAGGAGAACTACAAACCACTGCTCAGTGAAATAAAAGAGGATACAAACAAATGGAAGAACATTCCACGCTCATGGGTAGGAAGAATCAATATCGTGAAAATGGCCATACTGCCCAAGGTAATTTATAGATTCAGTGCCATCCCCATCAAGCTACCAATGACTTTCTTCACAGAATTGGAAAAAACTACTTTAAAGTTCATATGCAACCAAAAAAGACCCCACATCGCCAAGTCAATCCTAAGCCAAAAGAACAAAGCTGGAGGCATCACACTACCTGACTTCAAACTATACTACAAGGCTACAGTAACCAAAACAGCATGGTACTGGTACCAAAACAGAGATATAGATCAATGGAACAGAACAGAGCCCTCAGAAATAACGCCACATATCTACAACTATCTGATCTTTGACAAACCTGAGAAAAATAAGCAATGGAGAAAGGATTCCCTATTTAATAAATGGTGCTGGGAAAACTGGCTAGCCATATGTAGAAAGCTGAAACTGGATCCCTTCCTTACACCTTATGCAAAAATTAATTCAAGATGGATTAAAGACTTACATGTTAGACCTAAAACCATAAAAACCCTAGAAGAAAACCTAGGCAATACCATTCAGGACATAGGCATGGGCAAGGACTTCATGTCTAAAACACCAAAAGCAATGGCAACAAAAGCCAAAATTGACAAATGGGATCTAATTAAACTAAAGAGCTTCTGCACAGCAAAAGAAACTACCATCAGAGTGAACAGGCAACCTACAAAATGGGAGAAAATTTTCGCAACCTACTCATCTGACAAAGGGCTAATATCCAGAATCTACAATGAACTCAAACAAATTTACAAGAAAAAAACAAACAACCCCATCAAAAAGTGGGCAAAGGATATGAACAGACACTTCTCAAAAGAAGACATTTATGCAGCCAAAAAACACATGAAAAAATGCTCACCATCACTGGCCATCAGAGAAATGCAAATCCAGACCACAGTGAGATAGCATCTCACACCAGTTAGAATGGCGATCATTAAAAAGTCAGGAAACAACAGGTGCTGGAGAGGATGTGGAGAAATAGGAACACGTTTACACTGTTGGTGGGACTGTAAACTAGTTCAACGATTGTGGAAGTGAGTGTGGCGATTCCTCAGGGATCTAGAACTAGAAATACCATTTGACCCAGCCATCCCATTACTAGGTATATACCCAAAGGACTATAAATCATGCTGCTATAAAGACACATGCACACGTATGTTTATTGCGGCATTATTCACAATAGCAAAGACTTGGAACCAACCCAAATGTCCATCAATGATAGACTGGATTAAGAAAATGTGGCATATATACACCACGGAATACTATGCAGCCATAAAAAAATGAGTCATGTCCTTTGCAGGGACATGGATGAGGCTGGAAACCATCATTCTCAGCAAACTAACACAGGAACAGAAAACCAAACACCTCATGTTTTCATTCAAAAGTGGCAGTTGAACAATGGGAACACATGGACACAGGGAGGGGAACATCACACAACGGGGCCTGTTGGGGGGTGGGGGACTAGGGGAGGGAGAGCATTAGGAGAAATACCTAATGTAGATGACAGGTTGATGGGTGCAGCAAACCATCATGGCACGTGTATATCTATGTAACAAAACTGCACGTTCTGCACATGTACCCCAGAACCTAAAGTATAATTAAAAAACAAAACAAAATAAAACAAAAATCTCCTTTAATTGGCGGTGGGGGGTGGGGGAGGACTGCAGAATGACCAAATAATAAAGCTGTATCTGAACTTCAGTAGGGAGTTGGTGGGGAGTGGCTACCCCAGATCTAGAGCTGAGTCCTAAACTCTGTGAGTTGTGGTGCTTGGTTTCACCAGTTCACAGGATCCACATGTTAATCAAACTCACAAAAGTTTGATTTATAAATGGGAAGATCGGGTTATTAACTTATGCTGTGATAGTGATAGTGCTTTCACCTGGGAAACAGGACTAGCCATGGGCTCCATGTGTGACCTCCCCATGAAGCCTGATCCTCTGGAAACCCCAAAATACATCAGAGAGGTATTTAGTGAGGGTAACAGAGCAACTTTCCCCTCCTTCCACTTGGCCGTGCCCTCCTAGCACTTGTTCTATTTTTTTTTAAGCTTATTTTTGAAGGTCAACTTTCTTTTTCCCTAAAATGTATTTTAAAAGGGAACTTTATATCACTGCTATCCATTTTATTTTATTTATTTTTATTTTGTCAGGGCCTTATTCTGTTGCTTAGGCTGGAGTGCAGTGTCATGATCATGGCTCACTGCAGCCTCGACCTCCCTGGACTCAGTGATCCTTCCACCTCAGCATCCTACGTAGCTGGAATTACACACACGAGCCACTGTGCCTGGCCACTTCTGTACATTTTAAACCAGAGCCATTTGAGATAAATAGAAAGTAACTAAAAAGAAAAAAGAAAGGTTAAATTGTAGCTGGAAAATTTTGCTTGCTACTAGTGTGGGGTCCTAGGCCTACTCTATTGCTACAAAGTAAGAAAATGGTTAGCAAAGTTTTAAAGACTAGCAGCAAACCTAGGCTTTCTTCTGGACTATCATCAGTGCAGCATGTGATCTGTAGGTAAAAGATGTTAAGATGTAGGACTCTGTATACCCCATCAGCATTGCTGACAAATAGCAAGTTAGTGCCCTGGTTGAAGGCCTGTTTTGTTTTCTTAGTGGGTATCAATCTTTTAAGCCTGGTAACATTGAGATTAAAAATAGAAACGTTTAAGAGAATGAAAAAGCATATGTGCACAGAAAAAGTGTGAAAGGGTATCACCCAAGTGTCAATAACATTTATTGATGGAGGTTAGTTTATGTGGAATAATTTTAGATTTGTTGCAAAGATAATGCAGAGTTCTTATATACCCCTAGCCCAGTTTCAGTTGCCCTTAATATTATCATCTTACATTGCTGTGGCACATTTGTCAAAACTAAGAAACCAACATGGTACATTAATATTAAACTCCAGACTTTACTCACATTTCACCAGATTTTCCGTGAATGTCCTTTTTTTGGTTCGAGGATCCCACCAGGGCCCCACAATGCATTTTAGTTGTCATGTCTCTTTCTCCTCTGGTCTGTGAAAGTTTCTTAGTCTTTCCTTGGTTTTCATGACACTGTCTGTTTTGAGGAGTAATGGCTGGGTGTTTTGTCAAATGTCCCAAGGTTATCTGATATTTTTCATGATTAAGCTGTGGTTAAGATTTTTCAGAAAGAACACTATAGAGGAGAAGTGCCCGTCTCCCGGCAGCATGTCAGGGTTCCAGATATCCACACGAGTCATGACTCATGGGTGTTAACCTTCATCACGTAAGGTGGTGTCAGGCAGGTTTCTCCACTGTACCATTACTATTTCCCCCTTTCCATCTCTATTCTGTGGAAGTGAGTCACTAAGTCCAGCCCACATTAGAAATGGGGGGAGGAGGGAGAATTCAGTTCTACCTCTTGGGTCAGATGGTTGGAGGAACCCAGTTCATTTGCTACTTTCCAGTGGAGATACATACAAATACCCAGGGAAATGCTCCAGATGCTGTGCCTGCTTTCCAGAAACCACAGAGGGCTTCCCCGCAGGCTGTGGTTTCTGGAGGTTTTCCTGTCAACAGACTCCCGTTTATTGACTACCACAGCTCAGTTCTAAAAATGTCCCCCAATCCCTGCCCCAAGGTGTGCAACTTGTTCCTCACCTTCTGCAACTGTAATTGTTACCACTTCATTTAGAAATAGTCTAACCACAGATACTTGAGGTTCTTAACTGGAAAAAGGAAAAAATATGTTCTTTATTCAGAATCAAATTTTCTTTAAAAAAATCTCAAAGGTGTAATGTTTATTCAGTGAGCATTTAGGAAACCTTGCAAGTCTCACCACTCCAAAATTAAATTACACGTGGCCTAATCAGAATATACATAAATAGCTGGGCGTGGTGGCTCATGCCTGTAATTCCAGCATTTTGGGACGCAGAGGCGGGCAGATCACTTGAGGTCAGGAGTTCGAGAATAGCTTGGCCAACATGGTGAAACCCTCTCTACTAAAAATATATAAATTAGGCATGGTGGCGCATGCCTGTGATCCCAGCTACTCGGGAGGCTGAGGCGGGAGAATCACTTGGGAGGTGGAGGTTGCAGTGAGCTGAGACCCTGCCACTGCACTCCAGCCTGGGCCACTGAGTGAGACTCTGTCTCAAAAAAAAAAAAAAAAAAAAAAGAGTATACGTAAATGGAAGAATAGTATATTGGTCAGGATAGACCAGAATTTTCCTGTGGTAACAACCTGCCAATTCCAGTGGTGCAAACATGATTAGCAGGGGAGGTCTGCTCTTCCTAGTCACTGATGCAGCCAGGCTGATGGAGGCTCCACTTGTCCCATGCTGCCATGGCTGCTGATGCAGGAAAGAGGAGAGAATCACACATAGCACTAAAGCTTCTAACCAAAAGTGGCATTGGTTACTTGTGTTCACATTGCATTGGCCAATGCAAGCCACATTTTTCCATTTAACTTCAATCCTTGCCAGGCACGCTTCTCTTTGTCTTCTTAGTGTCTACTGACAAGTTAGTATCTATATTGCTCTTCACTTAGCTGCCATATTTATGTATCACTTTTGACCAAGTTTTCTAAAATGAGAAGTTTTGATGAATAATGTCCTTTTTGACTCTAAAATTCAAAGACCATGTGATCTCTAAAAGCTTTTCCAGTCCTAAAATAGCGTGATTCTAAATCTTTCCATCGTGTGCTTTGAGCCATAAAGTACCCCCTTTATTTATGTGGAGAATTACCATTAGAGTCAACTCCCATTATTTAATAATTGTGGATAGGGAAGAGAGAATATAGAAAAATAACGCTGTAGTATAAAGCTTAAAAGTTTTAAAAACCAAAGAATGAAATATTTTATTAGAACAACTAAGCCAGAACAACATAATGAAGAAAAACAAAAAACAAAACAAAACAAACAACAACAACAAAAAACCAAACAGCCAACATTCCTTGCCTCCCATCAAATGGATAAAAACATGGATTTCAGAGTTGGATTTATTTCCTCATAGTAGATAGCTGTCTTTCTAGAACAGTGATTCCCACAGGAATCACTAAAAATGCAGATTCCTAGTCTCTACATCAGCTTTGAGTTGGTTTCTATGCTGAGCAAGCAAAGTGTCTGGGTTATAATAGGGTGCTCAATAAATAGCAGCTATTTTATTATTAGCAAATTAATAATACCCAAGTTATACCTTTTTAAGAAGAAAGAAAAAGGAAACCCATGGCAGGATTTTTCTTAGTTGCCAAGGGCAATATCAAGACACCTGCTGCAGAAACTCAGGTGTGAAGGCTCAGATGGGGATGGTGATGATGGCAGGGAAGAGATAGGAAAGGCCTTGGTAATTTGAGTGGAAAGAAGGGAGAATAAAGGAGTGAATCAAAGACATCTCCCAAGTTCTTGAGTAGGTAAGTGACAAGCAGGAGGTGATTTAAAAACAAAATACACACAATGCTTTAAAAATCATTTCAATTTCAGAGATTCTGAGGGCTCAAAGGAAGCCAGAGTAGTCACATGACCCACCATGAGTCCCAGGCTCCTGAGTTGCACAATTAACTTCTGACATTGACTAAAGTGACCATTTAAAAGTGAGAAAGTGTTGCACCAAGAGTTGCCTGTAGTCACTACACCCCAAGATGTATGAATTACCAATTTCCTTTTTCTAAACAGTATTGACATGTAATTTACAGAGCATATAATTCACCTATTTAAAGTGTACACTTCAATGGTTTTCAGTGTATCCACAGAATTATACAATCATCAGCACAATGAATTTTAGGACATTTTCATTATCCCTGCCAAAATCCCTCATATCAGTAGTCACTCCTCTCCCGACCCCAGGCCTAGACAACTACTCATTTGTCTATGGATTTTCCTGTCCTAGACACTGCACAGAAATGAATCTGACATTATGTGGTCTTTTGTGAGTGACTTCTTTCACTTAGAATAATGTTTTCAAGGTTCACCCATGTTGTAGCATGGATTAGTACTCCATGCCTTTTTATTGAGGAATGATATTCTACTGTATGGATATTCTGTTTATCCATTTATAAGTGATGGACATTTGGGTTGTTTCTACTCTTTGGCTCTTATGAATAATTCTTCTATAAATATTCCTGTACAAGTTTTTGTGTGGATATGTTTTTGTTTCTCTTGGAGTAGAATCATTAGGTCATAATCCCTCTATGTTTAACCTTTTCAGGAACTACTAGAGTGTTTATCAAAGCTGCTGCACCATTTCACATCCCTGCCAGCGATTTCTCCACCTCCTCACTACTTCTGTTACCTGACTTTTTGATTCCAGTCATGCTAGAGGGCATGAAGGGGTACCTCACTGTGGTTTTGATTTGCATTTCCTTGAAGACCAATGATGCCATGCATCTTATTGGCCATTTGTATATCTTCTTTGGAGAAATATCTATTCAGATCCTTTGCCCATTTTCAAAATCGGGGTTTTTTAAATTATTGAGTCATAAGAGTTATTTATGTATTTCTGGATACAAGTCCATTTTTAGATGTATAATTTGCAAATACTTTCCTCATTCTATAGATTGTCTTTTCACTCTTTTTTTTTTTTTTTGAAATGGGAGTCTCACTCTGTCACCCAGGCTGGAGTGCAGTGGTGCTCTCTTGGCTCACTGCAACCTCCGCCTCCTGGGTTCAAGTGATTCTCCTGCCTCAGACTCCTGAGTTGCTGGGACTACAGGTGCGTGCCACCACGCCTGGCTTTATATATTTTTAGTACAGATGGGGTTTCACCATGTTGGCCAAGCTGGTCTCGAACTCCTGATCTCAAATGATCCACCCACCTTGACCACCCAAAGTGCTGGGATTACAGGCATGAGCCACTGCACCTGGCCTTAACTTTCCTGGTGGTATCTTTTGCAACCACATCTAAGGCTTTGCGGTCATATCTAAGAAACTGTTGCCTAATCCAAGGTGAGAGAAACTTACACCTATGTTTACTTTTTTTTGAGACCAAGTCTCGTTCTTGTCGCCCAGGTTGGAGTGCAATGGTGCAATCTTGACTCACCACAACCTCCGTCTCCTGGGTTCGCCCAGGTTGGAGTGCAATGGTGCAATCTTGGCTCACTACAACCTCCGTCTCCCAGGTTCAACCAATTCTCCTGCCTCAGCCTCTCAAGTAGCTGGAATTACAGGTGCCTGCCACCATGCCTGGCTAATTTTTGTATTTTTAGTAGAGACAGCATTTCACCACGTTGGCCAGGCTGGTCTCAAACTCCTGACCTCAGGCAATCTGCCTGCCTCAGCCTCCCAAAGTGCTGGGATTACAGGCATGAGCCACCATGCCTGGCCACCTATGTTTACTTCTAACACAGTTTTGTAGTTTTAGCTCTTACATTTAGGTTCTTGATCCATTTTGGTTAATTTTTGTATACAGTGTGAGGTAGGGATCCAAGATCATTCTTTGGCCATGTGGCTATCCATTTGTCCCAGCATCATTTGTTGAAATGGCTATTCTTTATCCCATTGAGTAGCAGAAATTGTTACCCTTGTCAAAAATTAATTGACTAAATGTGACAGTGTTTTTGTATTCTCAATTCTAGATACATATGAATCAACAGAGTCAATATTCCATTGATTTCTGTTTATCTAGTACCACAGTATCTCAATTACTGTAGCTTTTCAGTAAGTTTTGAAATAAGGAAATGTGAGAAATCTAACTCTATTTTTTTTTTTTTTTTTTTTTTTTTTGAGAAGGAGTCTTGCTCTGTCACCCAGGATGGAGTGCTGTGGCGTGATCTCGGCTCATTGCAACCTCTGCCTCCCAGGTTCAGGCAATTCTCCTGCCTCAGCCTCCAGAGCAGCTGTGATTATAGGTGCATGCTACCACGCCCAGCTAATTTTTGTATTTTTAGTAGAGATGGGGTTTCACCATGTTGGCCAGGCTGGTCTTGAACTCCTGACCTCAAGTGATCCACCCGCCTCGGCCTCCCAACTGTATTTCTTTTGCAAGATTGTTTTGGCTATTCTGGGCCTCTTGAATTTCCATATGAATTTAAGATCAGCTGGCTAATTTCTAACATAGAAACCACCTTGAATTTTGATGGGCATTGCATTCATCACTTTGCTTCATGATGAACTTAAAAATGAATATGCAAGTTCATATTTATGTCATAAAATTTCACTTGAATAGCAATGTAGTCCTAAGTTTTCCCATAAAACAGTGAGAAAACTTAAAAGAACATATTTATTTTGGACATCACATATTAACACAGGATTTTAGTTTGTTTAAAGACTTTATTTGAAACCAATGTCACAGCACGTTAGTCATAAAAATCATCAGAATCATCGGTGTTATGGTTTCTGGGGCGTAAAGCAGCCTCAATTTCTGAGTTACTGTCATCAGACTCATCCCAGAGGGCTGGAAAATAAAACCAGACAGTTATTTAACATTTTTGCATTCTGGTTAAGAGCTTACAAAACAGCACAGCACGGAAGGACTGGTTAAGCAGAGTGTCAGTCTGCAAAATGCATAACAGGGACACCACATGATGTACCTGACCAGACACACCCAAATGCATGTCATACTGCACAAATTACACATTGCAAAGTGTGTCCTCTGCACTGTTATGGAAAACAATTTGCAGAATACTTCCTTTTCCCTTCTGTTGTGCCCAACTCTTTATTATAGGATAGGGATTTAAGGTCAGGGTTACATGGAAGCAGGGTTCCCTGGGGTGTTGTATCAGCCTGATGCCGCCCCACCTCAGCTGCCCCTCCACTTTCATCTCCCATTCTTCTTTATGAGAGCAGAGAGGAGAAGGGAAAGACGTGGCAGAGGAATAAGCAGAGATGGTTACCCTGAGACAGGACTTTGGTCCACATCATTTACTTGAGAGGTGATCCCAGGAACCATGGGGACAGTGACACAAGGAAGACAGGAAGCCAATGAAGGGTATGATGACGAGTGGGTGCCTGGCAGTGAGTGGACAGGCAAGGCTCAGCCTGCTGGGGCCCCCTGAGAGACTGCAGAACTCTCCCCAGATTGTCCCAGTGAAGAGCAAGGGAGTGGGGTTACTGATCCACCAACTTGCCTCTGTTGGTTGAGGGTTGCTCTCAACCCAGGGCATCAACTCCCTGGTACTTTGGGCTGCCTTGTGAGGGCTGAGCACGCTCCTGCAGCCAGAGAAAGCCCTCAGGCAGAGAGACACAGCTGCTTGGTGCAGGAAGCTGTAGGCGCGTCTGTGAATTGGAGCTGAGGTGCCCTGCAGGTGGTCTGGCAAGGTGTAGTGGAGCGGACCACGTCTACTACATCAACAATCCCTTAACTCTGCTGACACCTGCATGGCACCACCTGCCAGCTCTGTGCTGACTTCTCATACACAACCCCATCTCATCCTCGCACCAGCCTGGCAAGGTAAGTATTAATGTTTCCATTTCACTGTGCAAACAAACGGACGCTGAAGGGGGTTAAGAAATTGGCCACAATCACAATGCCAGTGAGTGGCCAAGCTGGGAGTCCCATCCAAGTCATCTGACTCAAGCCCATACTCTCCATCACAACCCACTGGGTACTTGTCTCCCCCACAGTAGGTAGCTGTCCTTCTAGAAGAGTGATTCACAGTGGGGTGCTTGCTAAAAAGGCAGATTCCTAGGCCTAGGTTCTACAGCAGCTCTGAATCAGTTTCCATACTGGGTTAGCAAAGTGGGACATACTGGGGCTAAATAAACAGCGAATATTTTTGTTATTGTCAGTAAAACTATTAATCAAATTATACCTTTAATTTAAGGTATAAGGGGTTTAAGGAGACAGGAGGTGAGAGAGCCCAAGCTGGGCAGGGGATATGCCACAGTGTTATGGTAGGAGGGCTAGATTTTTCCCGTGAGTTGGGTGTTGAAGGATGAATAGGAGCTCACTGGGCTGAGGAAAAGGAAAAGGAACTCCCTACAGAAGGAACAACATGGGCAAAGGTACAGAGGCATAGGTGTGCTACAGCTGAAAAAAGCTGACTGTGGCTTGACCCAAAGAGGCGACCTTGGGAGGAATAAGCTGGAGAGCAGGGCTGGGGCCTCCCAGGAATGGAGAAAGCTCAGACTCTACCCTGAAGGTACGGGGAGGCATTGGCCGTCCTTACACAGGAAGGTCGGGGGAAGCCAGGGTTTGGAGGCTGGTGGCCAGGTGGAGGAGCTGGGAGTTCCCAGGAGCTGGGAGGAACTGGGTATGAGGAAACCAGTTAGAGTTACTCCAAGAGCCTGTCCGGTCATGAGCAATGGGTGCTTCTGAGGATGAGGAGAGAGGCAAGAAACATTTCATTGGTAAAATACAGGGTGCTGATAATTAATTAGACATGGAGGCCAGGATCCCCTGCAAATTCATACTTGCAAATTACAATGCTCTGCCCCTGTGGTCCATGGCACCCGTGTGGTCCTGTCTGTGAAGAACTGAGCCTCCAGAAGCCCTCAGGTTCCACCCCAGGGACAGCTGCAATGGCAGTCCCTGTGAGCATGCCCGCTTCAGGACTCACATGAGGGTGCAAACAACAAATGCATGTCACAGAGTTTTTTGGTTAAAACAGAAAAAGAAAATCTAGTGTCCGATTATCTCTCTCACCATTAGATTTTAAATTGATCACGGGTTTCTTTTTGTTTTCATGCCTGCAAAATAAAGAAACAGTCTAAGTTCTGAAAAAGAAAAGACAATGAGACTAATATTTTCATAATGAACGCATTAGAGAAGAAGCACTTTGATTCACTGGAGGCCAGAACTTTACACTTACTTCCCAGAGTTTAAAAGTAAAGGGAAAATATCGGGATGCAGCGTGGCCTTGTCGGGAGGGTCGCTACTCAACAGCATTGCTCCCGTCCTGCGTGTGTCCCCTCGGCAGGTCTGCATGGCCCACCCCGCCCTGCTGAGCTGTGCCTGTGTGGGGCCACGTGTTCTTGGGGGAGGATGATCGCATGTTCCCCTGAGGCAGGGGACCGGTTTCCCTCAACAGTCTTCTGGAAGACAGTGATGCATCAAACTTCAGTGCTTTCAGGCAAGCTAAAAATGAAACACTTGCAGTAGGGAATTCAAGATGTTGGTAAGGAAGTTAAAATACTTAGTCAAACCAGTGGCAGCAATACTAACAGTTAAGAAAGGAGTTCAAAACAAACACCTGGTAGAGGGCCCTGCAAGTGTCACATAAATGCTAGTGTTCGTGGCGTCCAGGACCGTCTCGACTGAGGCCAATATGACAAGAAAACTGGCTCCACGGGATATGATTTCTCTGTGTGCCTTTTCAGGAGCTTTTGCAATTTTAATGAATTTAAAAGTCTCCTCAGGGAGTGTCACTCGAATGTTTTATGATGCTGAGATTCTTTCAGAATTGCCTGAATGGTCACAGGAGATGTTGGGAGAGAAACCATTCTTGGTGCATGGCTCGACACTTTGCCCTACCCCACGCACCACCACCGCCCTTCTCACAGCCAGGGCCTTGTTCTTCTGGACACAGGAAACCCTGCAAATATATCTTTTCCTTCCCTTTGGGCCAAGTGTGGTTGACTTTTGGCTTAAAAATCTACGTTTTGCTATAATTTACTTTTTTTTTTCAGAAAAACATGCTCCACTAAGGTATCATTTTCTAGGCTACCTTTCAGTGTTCCCTTTAAATTTAGTGCCTGTTTCTTTAATTGCCATGACTGAGTAGTGCTCACAGCCATTTCTCCATGAAGCATGGAAGACCCCTACGAGCATCTGGAAAGGCCAGCAGCTGACTGACAGTCCTGGAGCTGCCAGGATTGTGGGGACCTGTCAGTGAGGTGAGCCTGCAAGAACCCATTTTACAGAAAGTGACACACACATCACACACACACTAAATGCAACTGCAGGGATGTCTATTATTTCCCCACCTCCCCCTACCTGAGGACACTGGGCTAGGTGCTGCAGGGGAGGGTGGATTATAAAAATGCTAGGAGGGGTGGAAAGAGGCTAATTTGCCAGCCGCGGTCCATACAAGAAGAGCCACAGGGGGAGCAGGAGAGATCTCTGCCAGCTGGGTGGATGGAGAGCACTGTGGCAGGTGATTGGGGGAGCTGCAGGACCACAGAGGAAGCCCGGCACCTCCAAAGGCAGAGGCCTTCACAGGACAGGACTGGGGAACAAGGTGTGGCGGGGTGGGGCAGCAGGGAGCCCCTGACACAGGAGAAAGGACACAGTGGCAGGTGAGCTCAGCTCCTCCCGTCTCAGCAAATGGCACCCCTGACCCACTAGTCTCCCCAAGCCCCTCTCCAGTCTCCACTCCTCTTTCCTTCACATCCAGTCTGGCCCTCGGTCCTGCCAATTCCACCCCCACCCCTCTCGACCCCCCTGCAATACTTCCTGCAGTCCTCACCAGTTCCCTGGGCACTGCCAGTACACTGGTCAACAAAACTATCAGCTCTTGCTTCTCTCTCTGCAACAACCTCCTAACTGGTGACACACACTCATCTTGTCCCCTACTATCCATTTTCCACTAGGCAATGAGAGTGAGCTTTCTGAAATGCAAATCTGGTCGCTCCACTTCCTCGCTTAAAATTCTTCAATGCCTTTCCATTGATTTCTGCACAAAGACCTAAATCCCAAGCAGTGCCTCCAAGGTGGATCCCCCAGGAGTGTCGTGCTGTCCTGCTGGAGCCTTCCCACTTCTGACTCCCTATCTTTACCACTGAGTCCTCGTCAAGTTGCTGTTTCACATCCACTTGTGCAGCCAACTGACGTGCCAGTCCTCCCCCTCTGAACTGCAAGATCCATGCGGGTAGTGACCACACCTGTTTCAGCTCACCTGGGTAAGGCGGTGCACAGCACTTAACAGGTGCTTAATGAGTATGTTCACTTGGAATGAACAAGCGAACTTCACTAAGCATAGGGCCCTGCTTAAAGGCATTTGATCAATATTCAATTATATAATACTTGATTTACATATTTCTATTCAATATTGCACTTCAGAATCAAGTTTCTTTGGCTTCCCTGCTGGCAAAGAAAAAAAAATAAAAACCCAGAAAAGCTGAAGCAGAAAAAAAAAGGAAAAAGTCATGCACAAGGCTGTAAACACAGACACATGAGAACATCTATGCGAGTGTGTGTTAGTCGTCACTTAACTCATCAAAAGCAATCAGCCAGCAATGCTGAGTCCCACCACGGAGGTGACCCACTGAGCATTTCAGGGACCTCACTTCCGCATGTGGCACTCTAGGAAAAAATGATTTCCTGAAGCCATGTCTCTATGAGGCCACTTGAACTTGCTTTTTCTGTTTGTCCTGTGGTTACACAGTGTAGCTTTGAGAACATTTAAGCCACAGGGAGCCAGTAAACATCCCAGTGAAATGTGAATTAATTGTGTAATGCAGGGAGCCAGTAAACATCCTAGTGAAATGTGAATTAATTGTGTAATCGTTCTTAATTGTCTGTGTGATTGGTTTTCTCACAGGAAACATGTTTCAGAGCTAAATGTGCGTGGTGCGTGGCCTACCCACGGAGAAGGGCAGAGCGTACTTTCCAGTGTTTTGTTCTCCACTCTCGTATCTAAGGAGCAATTATTTTTCCTTTTGGGAAAATCTCTGAAAGTAAATGTGACCCTGCAATTCATAGTTGATTTTTTATTATACAGAATTCTTGGGGCCAACATTTTTTTCTCTAGGTCATACCTAATATGTAAAGCTAAGGCAAGGCTGATGGAGAAGCCTGAGAACTTTCTATTGTGTGCTGGATAGAGCCAACTACTTTGGCTACTAGAGTAGATGAAAGAAAAACAAAACTGCATTTCAGAAAGTAAAAGAAATCAAAGAGTTAAGGTTGTAGGCCATGAGATATGGTCACCATGTGGTCTTATGTGCTCAGAATCTAACTGTGTAATGTTTGCTGAGAGTGTAGAAGTAATGTTTCCATCTTGTAAGGCAGACGTTGGCAAAGGTTTTCTGTAAAGAACCAGGGAGTAAATAGTTCAGGCTTTGTGGGCCATATGGTCTGCCGCAACTACTCAACTGTGTTTGTAGCACAAAAACAGCCATGGACAATTTGTAAACTAAAAGATGTGGCTGTATTCCAATTAAACTTCACGTATAGACACGGAAATTTGAATTTCATATACCTTTCAGGTGTCACGAAACATTATTCTTTGAATTTTCTTCCAACCATTTAAAAATGTGAAAACCACTCTTAGCTTGCGGGCCGTATGGACTGAGGCAGTGGCCTGGGCACGGCCCAAGGGCCACCATTGTTGTAAAGAACTGCCTCACATGAGGCCCATGCTGCAAGCCAGAGAGCCTGCCTTTCCCCCGCACCATGGCTCAGGAGCGACTCTTGGAACCCCAGAGGGCAGACTTGGTATTTTTTCCCTAGAAGTTTACAACTGGACTGGAGGTCCTACTTCAAAATAAGCCATTTTCAGGCAAGACACTGCAGATGATTAACTGAGTAAATTAAAATATAACCATGTTCCGCCGGTCTCATTTGAATGGGACAATCGGCTGGGTGTGGTGGCATAAGCCCAGCACTTTGGGAGGCTGAGGCGGGTGATCACCTGAGGTCAGGAGTTCGAGATCAGCCTGGCCAACATGGTGAAACCCTGTCTCTACTAATAATACAAAAATTAGCCAGGCATGGTGCTATGTGCCTGTAATCCCAGCTACTTGGGAGGCTGAGGCAGAAGAATCGCTTGAACCTTGGAGGCAGAGGTTACAGTGAGCTGACATTGCACCACTGCACTCCAGCCTGGGTGACAGAGCGAGACACCGTCTCAAAAAAAAAATAGTTAATTAATTAGTTTTAATTAATTAAAAAGTAATGGGACAATTATCTCTGCAGAATTTCCCAGTAGCTTTGGTCATTTTTTCTCCCAGCTCTACCAGGAATGTCCCATTCCCATTAGGGAGATGCTCACTTGTTACCATTCTGCTGTACTGACTTCATCACATCTCTCCCCTCTGCCTAGCCATTAAGCCATCTTATTTTGGATGCATTTTGGTAACTGCTTATAAATTCCCCTGCTACTGATAAACCAGATTAGGACAATGCTAATCAAAGTCACTTGTGTTCTCAACCTTGTTAAACTTAAAAAGTTAGGGCCAGCCAGGACTTCAACAGAATAGGTTTTATCCGAGAGCAGCCCTGGCACACAGTGAACACTCTATACGTGGAGTCAGGATGACACAGTGCACTATGGAAAACAGTAACAATTACGTGTCAGTTGTTCATTTTATATGAACAAAAGGCTAACGTAGCTAGAATTGGTCTACACAGTCAACATCAATATAAAGTTAGTAAGAATTACTGACAATAGGTTTTGCTTTGTGGAGCCAACAAGTAAAGACAAAAATGAGACACAGAATACCCAAGGCCAAGAAACCCACTATTTAATTAGAACACAGCATTCACAGATTATCAATCCAGAGCCTTCACTGTGCAGTGGTTGAGCCCAGAGAGGTTAAGAGATGTGTCCTAAGACACACAGAGCGAGCCAGCAGTAGAGCAAAAGTGGAACAAAATGCTCCTCCTGGGACACTCCTACAAATGTACACGTTGTAGACACCCGCCCCACAGGGCCTCCTGAGAAGCAGTAAAACAGTAGGGCAGGGAGAACCCTGCCACAGCATGTGCCTGGCTATGTGAGCTGCTTTCAGAAGCTGAGACAGAATCAGCTCTGGGGCCAGAAAGACTCTGCTCACTGCATGATCCTGGGCAAGTTCCCTACCTCTCCAAGCACCAGTTTTCTTGTCTGTAGAATGGGGACAGTAATGCCTTCCTGGAAGTGTTCTGATAAATTTACAGACAATCCTGTGTGACAGCCTGCAGACAGCAGACTTCAGTAAGCAGTGCCACTGCACTGTCAGCACATTTGGATCAACAAAAGCATGTACTCAGTTTGCTGATGTGCAGCCGTGGGTTCTAAGTGGAAGTGATGAGTACTTAGGCACAGGGGTCAAGGAATGGGAGGTTTGGGGACAGATGGAGGGAAGGCAGGCCTGAGATGCGTGAAGTTTCTTCCTCGAGGAACCTGATGAGTGGGTGCCCTTGAAATGGGAAGAGACAGGGAAACTGCCTCAGCCAGGCCTTCCAAGAGCAGGGGCAGAGCAAGGCATCGGACTCTGTGCTGGGGCTGCAGCAGCAAACAAGACAGACTCGCTCGATGCCCTTGAGGTGCCCACGCTCCGGTGAGGAGACTGACACCAGAATAAACACCATGAAATTGGCTGAAAAGGCAACAGTGGGGTTGGCTGAGAACTGATGACAGTGGAACTGTGGGATGACATTCCAGGCCTCCAGCATGTGCCAAGAGCTCTCATCAAGGTCAGGGCCCGAAGCCAGACACCTTTCCATCAGCAGACAAGACAGCAGCCAGGAAAGAACCCCAGTGAGGCTCTCTGCAAGTGTGTTCACCCAGGTCCTGCTTCCTGAAACTGGGGATGCATGAGCAGAGGGCATATTCACAGTCATTACCAGTCTCCCTTTGAAAATGTATGTGTCCACACACACATTCACACACACACACACTCTCTCACACACTCACACCCTCTCACACACACACACACTCTCTCTCTCTCTCTCTCACACCCTTATGCAGATAACTGTACGAAATGCATGATTCCCTGCAGCTCAAGTACATGATGCCATACAGAAGTGAGGGAACTTGTACAAACTGACTTTTATTTAAAAAAAAAAAAAACAAACTAGAGTGAATGGTGGAGCTATATATCCATGCTTACTCACTCAGGAAGCACAATGACTATCCAGCACTGGTGATTAAGAAACCTGCCGCTGGGCATGGTGGCTCGCCTATAATCCCAGCACTTTGGGAGGCCGAGGAGAGTGGATCACCTGAGCTCAGGAGTTCAAGACCAGCCTGGGCAACATGGCGAAACATCATCTCTACCAAAACCACAAAAAATTAGCCAGGCATGGTGGCATGTGCCTGTGGTCTCAGCTACTTGGGAGGCTGAGGTGGGAGGGTTGCTTGAGCCTGGGAGGCAAAGGTTGCAGTGAGCGGAGATCGTGTCACTGTACTCCAGCCTGGGTGACAGAGCGAGACCCTGTCTCTAAATAAATAAATAAATGAAACGAAGCCTGCCCCACTGCGGGAGGGAGGGTACTGGGAAATGGCTTCTAGCCCTGACTACAGATGATAACAGAAATAGCTAGGGGGACCACAGGAAGGGCATGCTGTGCAGCCAGGTCTCCGCTTAGGAAACGTTCAGAAGGTTAAGCCTTGAAAAATCTAGAAGGCCTTAACCAGGTAAAAGAGTGGGGCAAGAGCATTCCAATAAAATCCAGGGACATGAAATAGTGGGTCATACGCGGGCATGACATGCGGTCTGGTTGTTAACTGTTCTTCAGCAGGGGGACAAGGGGAGCTGGCTGGGAAGGGTGTGCAGTGTGCAGACTACCCGTGCTTGACAGAGGTGCAGGCAACAAGGGTCTCCTGAGAGGTGTGTGGCAGCAGAGGTGGGTGTCAGATACTCATTCCTGGCCCAGGGCGGGAGCAGGGGGTGGAATTTGGAGGAAAGAACAGAGGGAAAACCTAATGTTAGTAACACATTGACTCGATTTCATGGTCAATATCTATTTTTTTTTTTTTTTTTTTTTGAGACGGAGTTTTGTTCTGTCACCCAGGCTGGAGTGTAGTGGCACGATCTCGATGCACTGCAACCTCTGCCTCCTGGGTTCAAACGATTCTCCTGCCTCAGCCTCCCGAGTGGCTGGGATTATAGGCGCCTGCCACCATGTCTAGCTAATTTTTGTACTTTTAATAGAGATAGGGTTTTGCCATGTTGGCCATGCTGGTCTCGAACTCCTGACTGCAGGCGGTCCACCCACCTTGGCCTCCCAAAGTACTGGGATTACAGGTGTGAGCCACCGCACCCAGCCATCATTTTTTTTTTTTTTTTTTTAAACAGAGTCTTGCTCCATTGCCCAGATGAGTGCATTGGTGCAATTTCAGCTCACTGCAAGTTCTGCCTCCCAGGTTTATGCGATTCTCCTGCCTCATCCTCCCAAGTAGCTGGGATTACAGGTGCACACCACCACACCTGGCTAATTTTTTTTGTATTTTTAGTAAAGATAGGGATATTCACCATGTTGGCCAGGCTGGTCTTGAACTCCTGACCTCAAGTGATCTGCCTGCCTCGGCCTCCCAAAGTGCTGGGATTACAGGCATGAGCCACTGCGCCTGGCCTGTCATATCATTTTTTTAAAAAAAGAAAAAATAGCCATGGCCCATTAACAAATATACCCAAGTTATTGTGACTCTGAGGCCTCACCAATTGAGTGTGGCAATGAGACTCAGAGGGTCCTGCCAGGAGCACTGTCTATGATGTCCAGGATAAGGAGGAATGGCTCCCGGCAGCAGGAAGTATCCTTCCAGTTCTGGAGTCTTATTAGAAGGCTGAAAATAGCTAATTTATTATAAGACATAGTCTTTAGACTCCAAATTCTAAAATTTGTAATAATTTTTGACTGCTAGTGGAAATCAGTATTACAATTTCTAAAGGAGCAATTTCAGCTTGAACGTTCCTCAAAACAGACATATGTTTCTGAAAAACAGAAGGCAAAAAATAATCCAGAAAGAAAAAAATCCCAATGACTATGCCAACAAATCTCTGTAAACACTAATTTTAGGTTTTAAAGGCCTACCAGTAATTTAACAAAGTCTGAGCGCCCCCTGATGGTTAATCGGGGTTCCTACAGAAGATGCCACTTTCAGCTGCCTGAGGTCAACTTAACTTTTTCTCTTCAAATAATCAAGCGATTGTTCTTATTTGCTTTGTGCAGAAAAAACAACGTATGTAGGCTTGTGATAAGAAACGTGACATATTTAGGAAGCTGCTAATTCAGTGGAATTTAAGAATGGAGATGTGCCAAACCCAAGACAGAGAAGAGTGCTTTTATATAAGAACCTAAAGGACTTTCAGGAAAAACTCATTTTTATTTCACTGGACTATTGGTTCCTTATAATCTTTATGTTATCCTGGGGAAAATGGCACAGTGACCAGGCAAAGACAGAAAATGCCACCGCCATCAGAGCATCAGCTGCAGGCTGGCGCCCTCCACTGGCCGCTCTGGTGGCTGCAAGGCTGGCACAGAATGCCACCCACGGTGGCCCTGCCAGGGTACAGTGGCGGGGTGACTTCTGCTACCTTTCCCCCAGGCAATTATGTTGCAAGCACACACCCTTTCCTTTTGGTAAAACATTATCTGGTCCAACCAGTAAGCTGAAGTTACAAGGCAGGAACCAGTAAGCTAAGGGCAGGCTTTTAAAATATACTCTCCATTGAACAAATGGATCCGGGAGAGTGAAAACCGCTTGCTGGGGAAGGTAAAGCGAGACAATGTTTGCAGAGGAGAGGAAGCTCTGGCATGCACCCCTGAACAAAAGGGAACAAGTGGTCTTTACTTGGAGAACGGCTTCCTATTAGGACTCACTCCTTCGTACATTATGCTTTTCATCCCCACTCAACCACAAAATGATTTTGCTGAAGCAAATACAATGGTAGAAAAAGATTTACACTGAAAGAATCTTTAATAATAAACTGTTGCCAATCTGCCTACTTGCCCGTGATTTATAATACAATAAACATCGGATTCTATTACGGCTCATGCACTGAAGCTGCTGCTCTGAAAAACGGAATATGAAAGCACCCGAACCCCACCACCATCACAATGAAATGAGCATGTATAAATGTGCTAAGAGTATCTCTTTGCATCTTTTATAGCTTGTGTGTATTAATCTGTAACGCTTATTAAGAAAGTCATTGCTATGCAAAGCAGCACCCAATCCCTTTCTCTGGCTTTTCAACAGGAGTGCACTGTTTAGCCAATAGGACGGACCCTCTGGCCCTCATTCTGCATTCATCACAGGCAACATTTGCACAATGTATCTCTCAAAGGCGGCTGAAAAGAAGGCCTTAATACTCATGTAAACAACTGCAAACCAATTACTTAATGAATCAGGCCCACACATAATGAGGTGCAGACAAAGAGCTATAAATGCATTTTTGCGCCCAAGCCGCTGCTTTAAAGTAAAATCCCTCAGCTGTAGTTTGGGCTTAACTAGCACATCATAATTATTGTCTCTAGGACATCAGAGGAAGCCATTTTTTTTTTTTTTTTTTTTTAGGTCCAGTGGGTTTTTTTTTTTTCTTTTTTTGAGGTTGCTCATCAGCTCACTGACAAAATAGAGCAAAGAAGAATTTTAAAAGTGCTACAGCAGCACTGCACTGTTATGTTTATTCTCAAGTACCGGGTTTCGAGACCACTTGTAAAAGCAATAAAGCACAAGGAGTGACTGCAGTAAGTGGGATCCTTAAATGTAAGCCTCTAAGAAATTTCAGTGAATCCAGCACAAACAGCAAAACTGGAGCTCTCCAAAGCCCAGGGTGGCATATGAACAACACCAAGCCCAGCACAAGAACCAAACCGTGACAAACAGCACGCCAAACCCACGCACTCTGGACCCAGACCTTTTCATCACTGGATTATTATCAAGTGCCTAGAACCAAGAGTTCCTTCAAGGCCTTTTTGTGTGGTTTTTTTTTTTGTTTTCTTAAAGGGGATGATGAGATTACTTGTAATTTATTAGGAAATTAATTTCATACGGAAACGATACTAATAACAAAATACCTCTGTCTCAATTTGAAGGAGGAAAATGCTTGATTTTAGTTTAGTAAAATATAGACAAGATGTGAAATTATTAGACTGAGAAATGTTTTACAAAATCCAATTGCTTTCTCAATGTCTTTAAAAATTTCCCAAAGAACCTACGTAAAGACTGTTTAGGAAGAAGTGAGTTTTTTAGTGCCTCTATATATTATTAAGCCAAATGGTAACATTCGGCCCTGAAAATTATCTGTAGAATTTACTGTCTTTTAAACTTTCTTTTAGGAGACCTAGAACTTGAATTTATAATACAATCATAATAACATAATACTTTAACACTCTTCCTGTCCCATTTACCTCCCACTTCCTTCAAAAATATGGACGAAAACTCAGGCATTAAAAATAATAACTTCTGAAAATTAAATGAGTTATTTCTCTAAAACTTAACTTGTCAAGTTTCTAAAACTTATAATTTTAGAAATTCAATCTCATTTTAATATACTCCAGGTTCTAAAAACATTGTATTGTTTATAAAATATGAATAAAAATAGGATTTTTTTCATTTAAAAAATTCAGCATTTCTGGTTCAAATCATTTTCTCTTATGGAACATTATATGTTATACTAGAAATGTAAAGTTCCTGTTCTAAAATTTCATCAGAGACAAGCAGTTAATTCAAATGTAATATAATCATCTGAAGGACACCTTTTTACTGAGCAATGCTGTTCCAAAAGGAAAGTTGCTATGCCATTTTAAACAATATTTAGCTCAAAGCAAAAGAGTAGGGTATTTCATCAGGTGATGGCTTATATTCCCATCTATAAATTCTAAGTGACCTGAAGCTACTGTGATTAGTATTTTATGTTAATGACAAATTCAGCACACAACTCTCTTATCACAGCTCAAAAAACCTACAAGAAGCGAGTGCTACAGTTTGACAAATGTGAAAAGATAAATTTTGTTCTTTATGGAAAATAAGCAAGAAAGTATTAGAAAAGGAAAGAATAACCTAGCCTAAACACTTGGTTAAAAAAAAAGAGGAAAATAAAAATGAATATCCAGCAATTACTAGTTTATATATTAGCCATCACAAAAAGAAGAAACATGCCACTTTATTTCTTTTAAGGCCTGATGTTTTCTCTCTGCCCTTTTTCTGACAACCTCCATTGTGTGGTCTCTAAGCAGTCCTACTGCGAGCAGCTGTAGACGCTAATTTGTGGTTCACTGAGGTGTCAATTGAGTCTTAAACCAAGGAAACAACAGCTGCAAAACAATACTTGGCTCTGGTGCAAATATTTTCAAAGGTAGACTAAAGTTTCAACTGTTATTTTAGATAAACAAAAACCCAAACCATAACCCTCCAAGTCATACAACAAAATAATACGCAGCCAGAGTTTAATTCATTGCGCTGTGACATTTCTCATCTTGTTGCTGCTATTCAGAAAGGCTTTCACAACTTTACCTTGACAAAGGACTTCCTTCACTAGATGAAAAACTAGCTTCCGAAGCAATTTTGTTAGCTGTCTTTGTCTCGAATGCACCGCTGCCAATATTCAAACCTGTGATAAGCGTAAACATGGAGAGTGAGGGTTAGCTGTCATGCAGCCATGGGACAAAATGAATAAAGTGGCCTCACAGTAAGTTTGGTGAAACAAACGCCAACAGAGGAAGATGCTGTTCAAGCCACAGAAGGCAAGGGAGCTTCTGAGGCAGAGAATGAAATGCTGGTAGAATACCGAAAGGGAGTGAGGCACTTTCCTGTGATACCGAAACACAAGCCACAAAAAGTGAAAACTGAAATCATCCAAAGAGTTCAATTTTAAATGACTAAGATGCACATGTAGGCATATGGATCTCTACTGTGTCACAAAGCACTGGATAATTCCCATTGTTATAACACACGGGCAGCAAACCAGGGCTCAGAAATAATTGAGACCCATGGATAACAGTCACCCACCTTATCCACTCTTAAGCCCCTCTGTAAAATCCTCTATTTTCCATCCCACAGAGGAGAAAGAATCTCCACTGAAAATCATCAAGGCCACTCTTTACCAGCCTCTAAAGGTTGAGGAGGAGGATGCACACTCCACCTCTTTCTTTGGAGCCAGAGACTTGGATATTCCCACAATGCCCCCAGTTTGCAGGGCAATCCCTGATCTTTGCCTCTTGGGAGTTCTCAGCCTTGGATGTTTCTGCTACAGGTCTGCTTCTTAACTGGCAGTCAAAATCACAGATACAGCATGCATGGGCATCTTTGCAAAAAGCATTTGCTGAGTTTCTAACCTGTAACCTGCCTGCTTGCATGTACACTCTGCAGCAAAGTGATTATTTTAAAAATGTGTCCACATTCAGCCCAAAGAGGGTGTCCACATGCTTACCAGGAGGAGGTCTTTTCAGACATGAAAACTAAGCCTCAAGGTTTATTTAAGTGGCTTTCCTTCAGGTCCAAAGACTCAGAAGTAAGTGAAACATGCACTGCTTCTTCATTAGTTAGATGTGGGGTGGGCTTCTTGAGTGCAGAGTACACCACCACCTCCCATCCCTGCTACTTCTAACAACACTGTGAAGCTGCCCTACACCCTCCCAGCCCACTTTCTGCTTTTCTTTGGGGCTCAGATAAGTCCTTAGGATCAGAATGAGAGTAAGGGTAAAAGACAAAACACAGCCAAAGGATCTGACTACAATGACAGTGACAGCAAACATAGGCAGGAGCACTTCCATGATTCTACTGCCAGAAAATTTGGAATCTTGCAAAACATGTAGTGTAATTTTGAGTATGGGGCAAGGGAAATGAATTTAGGGGTGCTTGACTACACAACCTAGAGTGTCATTTCACTTATGAATAAATTAATAAAAATGCATTAAGTACAAGGTTATTAATAGTACCATAATCCATAATTTCTGATACACATCGAAGGGACTAGAACTTATATGTCAAATTTACTCATCTTTTTGTTTGTTTGTTTTTTGAGACAGGGTCTGGCCCTGTCACCCAGGCTGGAGTGCAGTGGTGTGATCTCAGCTCACTGCAACCTCTGCCTCCTGGGTTCAAGCCATTCTCCTGCCTCAGCCTCCTGAGTAGCTGAGGCGCCTGTCACCATGTCTGGCTAATTTTTGTATTTTTAGTAGACAGGATTTCACCATGTTGGCCAGGCTGGTCTTAAACTCCTGACCTCAGGTGATCCGCCTCCCTTGGCTTCCCAAAGTGCTGGGATTACAGGTGTGAGCCACAGTGCCCAGCCAAATTTACTCATCTTTTGCATTTGTCCAATTAACTACTGAAAATAACACTTACCAGAAACAGACGTGTGGAGTCACTTGCCAAAGTGTGTGTGTCAGCTATCCAGCTGAAAGGCTCTGAGCACGGTGTTACTCTCCTGGGGCCTCATTTGTAAAATGGGAGTGTTGAATACATTCTTTCTAATATCCCTCTGGATTCAAATTCCATGACTCAAATGTGAAGAAGGTCATGGAAAGCAAACAGTTAAGAGTTTGCAAGTGACGACAACCTCCATCAGGACAGAGGCCCTGTTTTATAACTCAATAAACTACAATGTCTTATGTTTGCTGAGTTCAAATCACCACTAACACCACAATGGCCGGCTCTCCCAGGGGGCTTTTCACTATTAGGCACTGTGCTGGGCACTTAATGTGCATTGGTCACCAAATCCTCAATACCACCAAAATAACTGAATTTTGCCGCAACTGACTTTAACCACTAATATTATCTAGGAATCAGCTCTCCAAACACAGCTAAGTCTGATGTACTGTAAGTATGTCCCTTGAAAATATCTGTCTGAAAAAGACATTTTTTGTTTTCCTTTTTAGATAGGGTCTTGCTCTGTTGCCCAGTGCAGTGGTGTGATCATAGCTTGCTGCAGCCTCAAACTTCTGGGCTCAAGTGATCCTCCCACCTTAGCCTCTTAAATAGCTGGTAGTATAGGAAGATGCTAACACGTGTGGCTAATTTTTAAATTTTTTGTAAAAACAGTGTCTTGCTATATTGCCCAGGCTGGTCTCGCACTCCTGGCCTCAAGCAGCTCTCTCACCTTGGCCTCCCAAAATGCTGGGATTACAGGCATGAGCCACTGTGCCTGGTTGAAGAAGACATCCTTGAGACAACTGGGAAATCTGAATATGGACTGGGAATTACATGCTATTTAGAAATCACTGTTCATTCTGCTAGATGAAATTATGGCATGGTGGCTAAGAAAGTCATTAATGTGGATTTCCTTCTGTATTAATCCATTTACTCTCACAAAGGAAACTGAGGTAACTTATACTCTAAAAACTGGTGTAATGAAAGGAAAACCACTGAAAATAATAGACATACAAATAACAAAGTATAAAAAAATTACAATTAAAACAAAATCTTAAATTGAAGGAACTATAATTAAGCTTAAAATTTAGCTTTCCTCACTGGGCATGGTGGCTCACACCTGTAATCCCAACACTTTGGGAGACCAAGGCAGGTGGATCGCTTGAGTCCAGGAGTTTGAGACCAGCCTGAGCAACATGGCAAAACCCTACCTCTACAAAAAAATACAAAAATTAGCCGAGTGTGGTGGTGCGCACCTGTAGTCCCAGCTACTTGGGAGGCTGAGGAGGGAAGATTGCTTGAGATTGGTAGGTTGAGGCTTCAGTAAGCCATCATGCCATTGCACTCCAGCCTGGGAGACAGAGCAAGACCCTGTCTCACAATAAAATAAAATGAAATAAAATAAAATAAAATAAAATAATAAAATTTAGCATTCCTGGGATTTATAATCCTTTCAGTAAAAGAACTCAAAATCCCCCAACATTCTGGTGAGGGAAAGCAGCCCAGTACAACACTGCCCACTGAATGACTAAGACACTAGTAGCTGTGGGGAAGAGAAGGAATTTGGGTGTGTCTTCTCAGGGTCACTGGTGACAAGTCACTATCATGACATGCTTGGCAGAATCCAGGGCCTGGAAGGGCCATTGCCATGCTGGCCAGCACATGTCTAGGACACAACAAAAGGGCTTTTCCACATGTCCATTTGCTAAGGATAAAAAAGTACTAGCTCATTCTGTCCTGGTGACAGCTCGTTACAGAGCAAACTCCAGAAACCTTCATAAAGAATAACCACCCTTCCCCGAACACAGCCCTGCCTGCCACTCTGGGCCCCTGGACACTGCCATCTGCTCTTACTTACCTGACAAGTGTGACACAGAAGCATCTGTCTTTTGAAACCTGTTTTCAGTTTGATTTGTATTATCCTGAAGGGTGGCCTTCTTCAGCAACTGATAGGCTTCTGTTTCTGTTGATTAAAGAAAAACACAGAAATATTACATTTTTTACTGGCCAGAAAGAAGCTTTTTAAATTCTTCCTATGAGATTAACACTTCTTAAATGCATGCAAATTATTATTTTTTGAACTGTCACTTTTTAGACATTCTGAAAACAAACAAAAAACAATTTAGTTGAACCCGGGTTTCAAGACTCAAAGACAAGCTGTATGAGTTTATTTGAGGCAGCCAAATCACAGTCATTATTTTGAGTGGGTCTGTGGATAGGTTCCCCATCACAGCAAAACAGTTTCACTTCCCTCGGGGCCTTGTAGAGACAGCTACGGGAATGAACCAGAAGAGAAAGCAAGTCTTCCTAGGTGGTCAGGTCACTTAGAAACTCTCTTTGCTCTGGCTCTTGGGCTCTCACACTCAAGTGCAGGGGCTCTGGGACAGGGCTGGGGGAATGGGGAGAGGGTCAGGAAGGGTGGTGACAGCTGGATGAGCTCAGAGTCCCAAAGCTGAGGAAATCTAACCAAGTCTTGCCATGGGGAAGGAGCGAGAACGGGTTTGTAGAGAGCAAAGCCAGGTGTCCACAGGGATCAGTGGCAGCCTGCACCTGCTCATGTTCATAGGATGCTCTTGGCCATGCAGGGCTTCTAATGGCATCTGCTATAAGTGAAATTGGGGAAGACTGTTGGGAAAAACAGTAAACAAAAATACGTAAAGAACCTGAGTGACACAACCTTCCCCATTACTCTAAGTTTCAAGGGCACCCAGATGAAATGCAGGATGAAGAATCAGAGTTTCAGCACAGACATAACAAAACAGCATCCATGTCTGCATCTTCAATGTAACACAAAAGGAGTCCCACTGTCAATGCTAGGGGCTGGCAACAGGTTGGATTCCTGCTTTTGCTGGCTTCATTTAAGAACTTAACCATGAGACCCTATTACTGGATTAAAACTACCATCACACTGAAGAATAAAAATACAACTTACCTTGCCCTACTGAAAATCAGTCAAGATAAAAATGAGTATTTAAAATGAACATTATACTTTGGAATATTAAATAGTATATAATTAAAATATATACAGATCAGGGATTCTTTGCTCTGAATATAATAAATTCTAAGGCAACACTTTTTTAACATTGCTGGATTGTGAAATCAGTTTAGGTCGCTGAAACTAGTATTTTGAAAAATCTGATAAAGAAAACATCAGACACAGTGCATACAGAGGGGAAAGTACTGTTTTGTGTAATGTGTGTATGTGTGGGGGTCGCTGGGACGAAAGTGTTTCCTGATGAGGCTGGTCGCATTGTCCTAGGATGGCTCCAATGGGATGGTGTTGTGATGACCTCCGGCTAATCCTAACATCCATGTTACTTCAAATATACTGTAAGGTAACTGTGAAAGAGGGATAATATTAATAAAATCAAAGACAGAGTGTCTGAATTCTAAAGGTAAGGAGTCAGTGTAAAAGAGGTAAAAATGCCCTGTTTTGTTTTTATTTTATAAAAATCAACCAAAAAGTTTTTCAGCTCTCAAGATACAAGTCCAGATCTTAATGACCACGTTATTTCTACATTCAATTAAACTTATTTCGTCAAGGAAAAGATAGCAAAGATGGAAATTTGAAAAAAAAGGAGCAGCTTCTTGATAAACAAAGCCTCCTGGCCACTGGAAGCTGGAGCGGCATGCTGCAAATTCATTTCTCCATTGTCTGAAGGTAAATCACTTGACTCCAGTGAGACGGCTCTCCTGCTTCTCAGAAACCAGGAAAACGTGTCACTGGCAATCAGAAGGGGATTTCTGTGAGAAATATCAAGCTAGTAGTCCTGAGGTAATTTCAGATTTGGGGGGGATTAAGCATTCTGCCCAAACAGGAGAAGGGCTGATAGTATTACTGGTTTGAAGTTAGCAAGGGAGGAAATTACCAATGTGAAGTGAGATCACTTCTAGCAACAAGGGACCATTTTGATACTCTGGAAAAGATGAGCCCTTTCTATGCTCCACACTTTCCATTCTGGTCCCCCTCCCTTCCTTCCTGAAGAGTGTGGGCTCAGGAGCTTTTGGCTAACCACCCATCCTGAGATGGCTCACTCTCCTGCCCCACGCAACCAGAGCCCACCACTTCCCAATCACCTCACTGGTGTTTCATCCTTAAGCCTCTGTGGCCCTTCTCCAAGGAGAGTCACCGAGGCCCACCTGGGCAGTTTTTATTTGGGATGCAGCTGCCCTGACCTGAGTCCTAAAGGGCTGGCGAGATCAGGCTGAGGACTGCTGGGCACATCACTCACCCCCAATCCCAGTGTGATTCCCTCCAATGGTCTAAAGGCAAAGTGAAGTTTAAAAGGTACAAAGATGAAGTGCATTCACCCAGAGGAATGACACTCACTGAGGCAGGACCACAGACGTCAAAGTTGCGGGAGAGGGCAGAGCGCCTAGCACTGCTGCCGCCCAACTGTGGATCAGATGCATGGGAGATGGAGTCGCTCTCCCTATGCATCACCCCCCTATTTAGTCAGAATTGTTGCACAAACTATTTATGAAAGACTGAGAGATGATCTACACAG
The DNA here is from genome assembly GCF_000001405.40 of Homo sapiens. Classification (NCBI taxonomy): domain Eukaryota; kingdom Metazoa; phylum Chordata; class Mammalia; order Primates; family Hominidae; genus Homo; species Homo sapiens. The sequence continues at coordinate 21,226,465 of NC_000020.11, read as the reverse complement.
GAAAAACAAAATTAATAAGGGTTGGCTAAAACAAATTAGAAGTGATTAAAGAATACATAGTCTGCATAGAACAAGGTTGGAGAAGGGAAGGAAAGTTCAGATATTGCAAACAGACTGGACAGGGTGGGCATTGTGGATCCAGATGCCTCTAGGGCCAACCAAGCAAGTACCTCCAATAAGTGACTATGGCCAGGCAGGAGCAGCAGGAAGGGCCTGCCCTGTAGCAGGCAAGGAGGCACATGACTTGTCTATAGAGCACAGCTGCTCCTTGGCTTCAGCCAATTGCTGCCTGGTGGGAAAGTGGTCCTGGTCTTGCCAGACTTCTGCCTTTTCTTTCTTCTTTTTAAAAATAAAACACTGCACAGACAAAACAGAACATATTTGTAGCCTCCAAACTAGATGGTAGTGAGCAACTTTTTGTGTTCACTGAAAGTGGTACAAGAACACTTAGGGAAAAACTGCAGCCAAAGAATACAAGCTAGATGTTAGGAAAAGCTTTCTTGTTGAAAGGGTTGTTGGAACATGTTACCCAGGGAGGATGCATCAGCTGTATGAAGATTTTTAAGGGGCTGTCTGTATCAAACAGACCAGGTTTCAGACTGGAGGCAAGAGTGTACTTTTTCTAGGAGTTCTCAAACAAATCAGACATCCTCCTGAAACAGCCCAGAAGACTTGGCCAGGATGCTAGTTTCATGAAGCAAGAGTGTAAAGTTATGGACATGAGGTGTGTGGCAATTCAGGCCCAGGATTTTTTTAGAAGGAAGAAAGACAGTGATGAACCAATCAGTTAAAAGCTCCACTTTGTTGCTGCTCTGCAAATTCATAGTTATTAAATGAATGAACAAATAAAGGAGCAAAAGTAATGACTCTAGAAGTTCAAGTTAGTCTGTTACAAACAAGGTAGGGACAAAGTCGATATATTTCCAAGGTGAAAAGAATTTAGTTTTCTCAGCTGCAAGTAAACTGTAAGTCTGAAAATTTGAGGATTGGGTGGTTGCTTTAAAGGTTTCACTTTCTAGCCTGACTTAGAAATCCAGGGAAACACTTCCCCCCATTAGTAAAGTTAAACTCTCAGAAAATACTGAGTAGTGAAAATGTTTAGATAAAACAAGCATTTCTAAAGAATACAATCATTTTCGGTTGGAATGTTCTGATACACACAGAAACAAACACACACGCATGCTCAAGGTTTCGGTTCTGAATCTTTCGTTCAAGCATTGATTATATACTCAAATCTGCGTCAAGATTTAGTTTAAAAAGTAGAAAATATTGTAGTTTAAAATGTAAGGCAAGGCAAGGGGGGCCATCTCATGCAGTCTACAGCTCCAGAAGGTGAAAATCTATCCTTGTCTATTCACTCCTGACTGATGACATGAGATAAATGTATTTTCCCTTACTTTGTTACATAAGCTGCCTGAACCCAATCATCTATCTTTCTGCAAAGTGCTGAAGGATTGCTGAGACTGTTTTTTTTTCTTTTTGATATGCGTTTTGTGTATAGAAAATAGAAACAGCTACAGAAAGAAAGTGAAAACATGCTGAATAAAGAGGTGGGAGAGAGATGATGTTAAGGAGAGGAGAAAGAAAAAGCCTCAACTTCTTATCTTTTTTCTCTTTTATATGCAAATGTACACCTGCTAAAATACTTCTAAATCTACAAATAAAAAGAAAATATCTGATGAACAAGTGCTTTTAACACCCCATTACAAGAGCCAGACAAACACGTGGTTCACCAGTCTCTAAGGGGTGTCTTGGAGGCAGGGAATCTGCCCATTGCTTTTGCAGAAATCCTTAATGAAAAAAAGAAGAGTTGGGCTCAGAAAAAAACAACAAAGGGAGATGCAAACAATACTATCACTACAGCTAAAAAACCGACCTTGAACCAACAGAGAACTGGGTATGTTTGAGTAAGGAAGGATAACTGCTATTTCTATATGAAGTTAAAATGAAATCTGAAAAATATTCTCTGTCCACTGAATTTCTCAGCATTGTTACTTTTCACATATTTCTACACCTAAGTGCTTTTTCAAATTGTACTAGGTGTGTTGCTGACACTGCAAACTTGGTCATTTTTGCAAAATAAAATAAAAATTGTGAGATATATTTCTTAAGTTACTTCAAAAGATAAATATTATCACTGAGAATCCAGAAATCATTTGCCTAGTAATCTGCTTAAATAAAAATAAGGGCCGGGCGGGGTGGCTCAAGCCTGTAATCCCAGCACTTAGGGAGGCTGAGGCGGGCAGATCACCTGAGGTCGGGAGTTCAAGACCAGCCTGACCAAAATGGAGAAACGCTGTTATCTGCACCACTGCATGGTGGCGCGTGCCTGTAGTCCCAGCTACACGGGAGGTTGAGGCAGGAGAACTGCTTGAACCTGGGAGGCGGAGGTTGCGGTGACCCGAGATCGCGCCATTGCACTCCAGCCTGGGCAACAAGAATAAAACTCCATCTCAAAAAAATAAATAAATAAAAAATAAGGAAATAAGGCCGGGTGCAGTGGCTCACGCCTGTAATCCCAGCACTCTGGGAGGCTAAGGTGGGTGGATCACTTGAGGTCAGGAGTTCAAGACCAGCCTGACCAACATGGTGAAACCCCGTCTCTACTATAAATACAAAAATACAAAAATTAGCTGGGCATGGTGGCGGGCGCCTGTAATCCTAGCTACTCAGGAGGCTGAGGCATGAGAATCACTTGAACCTGGGAAGTGGAGACTGCAGTTAGCCGAGATCACATCACTGCACTCCAGCCTGGGTGAGAGAGCAAGACTCCATCTCTGAAAAAAAAAAAAAAAAAAAAGAGAGAGAGAGAAAATAGGATATGGCTGCTTTTGCAATTCTGAAAATACAGAAAAGTCATCAAATATATTTAGGAATTTTTTTTTAAAAAGGCAGGAAGATACACAAGTTTGGGTCCGTAACCAGAATCACTTTTCACATCCAGACTTTCTGCAATAAACTCCACTCCACCTGTAGACCTGGGCCTGCAAATTCCATTGTCAAGGTTGCTCTCTGCACTCTCAGGAAGACGGCTGATGCACGAGAAGAGACCCGCCTAATTCAGATGAGTTGTCTGGGGCTGCTTCAGAAAATAGAAATTTATATCATAGTCTTAACTTCTATGGGGCAACTCAACAATTAAACCTGAAAACAAATTCCAGGCTTGAAACTGACCTTTAACCAACATTCCCAAAACGAGCTGAAACACTTTTGCGTCTTGCCATTTAACACTGTTCAGTCGTGAGAGGTGGATTTTCAACTCTCAACCTCAGGAAACCTTTAACTTTTCAAAACTTGAGTAATCTTCATCAGAAAGCTGTATTTTATTGATTTAAATAGCTTTTTAAAAAACAGTATATTTTAGCCATTTGTACTCAATGATTTATTTAATGAGAGAAATTAGAAATGGCAATCTTATCTTTACCATTATTTATAGTAGGTTCAGGAATAATTACTGTAGAAGATGAACTGGATGCTAAAAATGTAAAATATGAAGAAGTCCTTCCTCATTCCCTGTAGTTGGTTGAATAATGTTGTTCCCCTCAACCCGACAAACTCATGTCCTCCCAGAACCTCAGAACGTGACCTTATTTGGAAATAGGTTCTTTACAGATATATTAGTTAAGGTTCCCTAGATGAAATCATTCTGCATTTACAGTGGCCCCTAAATCCAATTTCTGATGTTCTTCTAAGAAGAAGAGCAGACACAGAGACACAGAAGAGAAGGCCAAGTGAAGACAGAGGCAGAGACAGGGCTTATACTCCCACAAGCCAGGAGCCACTGGCTAGCACCTTCAGAGGCAAGGGCCCTGCTGACGCCTGGATTTCAGACTTCTAGCTCTCAGAACTGTGAGAGAATGCATTTCTGTTGTTTTAAGTTTGTGATACTTTGTTACAACAGCCCTAGGAAAATAATACACTCCAACCCCTCATTTTATTAAAATATTTAAAGCCTGATTTTGTCTCTGAGTCTCCTGTGTAAAATGAGGGTGCTTCAAAACAGGACCTACAAGGGCTCTTTTGAACTGAGACCCCTGCTCCACAGTTCTCAAACCTAAGAAGTTATCTGGATGTGTTATAAAGTACTTATGCCTGGGTGCCACTCCCAGAGGTTCAGAAATAATTGCACAAGGGTGTGGCTGGGGCATGGGTATGTTCTAAAACTCTACATGGGATTCTACCATGAACCGCTGGGGAGAATTTCTCTTGGCATTTATGAGTTCATCTCTCTGAATATAGAAGCATCCAGTCCAGAAGACCCTTCAGAAAAGTACCTTTTATCCTTTAATGACCATGTTAAATAAACAGCACTGCCCTGCAATATAATGAGGACTGTTTTGCTACCGCAAGTAGCAGGCAGCAGGCTCCATGGGTGAAGCCCCAGCAGGCTGACCCCTGGCACAGAGACAGGGCCACGTGGACTTTCAATGGACAATCCAGCAACACACAGTGGTTCCCCTGGTTTTGCACAAGCTGGGGGTTTCCCGTTCCAGGCACAACAGGTAATATGTCTTGACTGAGTCTTGTCAGGAAAATGCTTTGGGATAGGACAGGTGAAGCACATTCTCGGTAAAACCTCAGTACTAGTGGTGTTATGCCACTGTGCTTTGGGAGCCCAAAGTCATCACTACAGTCTTTCCTCCCAGGATAAATCCAGTCACCAGTGACAACCTAGCCACTATATCTTTCCAGCCCTTTTCCAAATTGATGTAAAACTCAAGCAATCATGTTTTGGGAAGCACTGCCTAGAACTCCAAGTGGCACCCTCCAAATCTATACTGACCTCCTGGAAAGACTCTAAATGGATGTCTTAGTATTACCCTGCATATTTCAGCTTGCCAAAGAATATCCACGAGGAATGGCACAGTCAGGCAACCACTTTCAACACAGCTTGACCAAGAGAATTGGTGTCAAAAGAATGAGAGTCTGAATGGACATTCTTAGAGGCTTAATCCTCTTGAGATAAAAGCTGAGAGCCCTTTTCACATGGAGCTTAAGGAGACTAGTTTTGCCAGGATGGGCACGTGGGGTGGGAAAAGTATTGGTGGAGTGCATGACTGAAAGAGATAGTATTCTATCCTGAATCATCAAGCATTTAAGAAAATTCCTTAATATCCCCATTTTTATTCATTTGACAAATTAAGTGCCCACTCTGTGCCAGATACTGTGCTAGGTGCTGTATTTTTATGACATTTAGCATAGCTGCATCATCTGCTAAAGCTAAAACTCACTTAATGCTGAAAGGTAAATTTAGTGTGAATACAAATAAAATTGTCAATGTGGGAAATTTTCACTTTGCGGATGTAAGTAGTTCAAAAGGCAGACTTTCTCTCCCAATCTAGATAAGCATCACTTTCCTCATGGCCTGAGTGTTTCAGGCAAACTGACCTACATAGTAGGTCAGGAAGTGTTTCAGGGAAACCGACCTCCCAGCAGCCCAGCTGGGCTCAGGTTTGCCCCACTTTATAAAAGGCCTGCCTCTCGGGATGAGCTGCATTTGAAAATCCTTGCATGCTGCCCACCTCTCCAGGCCTAACCCAAGAGAAAGGAAAGGCAAGCTTTGTTTATCATTGCTCTCAGAAGCAGCCTTGCAAAGCCCATCTTCTGTTATGATGTACACTGATGTTTAATTGATCCGGACATCCTGATGCAGTTGTCTTTTTGGTAAAATAAAAAAGGCAGGGTAGGCCGGGCGTGGCGGCTCACGCCTGTAATCCCAGCACTTTGGGAGGCCAAGGTGGGTGGGTATCTTTAGGCCAGGATGCGAGTACAGCCTGGCAAACGGGGCAAAACCGTCTCTATTAAGAATACAAAATTAGCCAGGCTTGGTGGAACATGCCTGTAATCCCAGCTACTCAGGAGGCTGTGGCACGAGAATCGCTTGAACCCGGGAGGCAGAGGTTGCACTGAGCCAAGATCGTGCCACCGCACTCCAGCCTGGGTGATGGAGTGAGACTCTGTCTCAAAAATAAATAAATAAATAATAAAAAAACAAAATAAATAAAAGAGGCAGGGCAGTGAAATGGAAGGAGTTCAAGAGCCCAAATCCTAAAGTCTGAGTTCAATTCAAGATCAAACACACCAGCTACATGGCCTTGAGCAGGATACCTTTCTAAGTTTCTGTCTGACCACTTGTAGGGTGAGTACTAATGTTTACCCTATAGGACTGTTGTAAAGGTTAGAGATGAGGGAGGCTTAGTGAGGGCAGGGATACCATCTTTTGTGGTTTCTGGTATCCCAGGATTCAGCCCACGTAAAAATATTAATTTTATTAACTAATATAATTAAGGATTTTATATATAATCATCTATAATGATATATGATATATAATATATAACTAATATATATTGTATCAATACATCTAATTATATACTACTTATTATATACAGAAAACCATACATTTATAGATATAAAAATTCATCTTTGATTTCCACCTGGATTCTTTAGTGAACAACAACTAGACTAATAAAAGGGGTAGATTATATTCACAACAACAGATCATACAGGCTATGGAATACTGACTCTGTGTTTGTGGGTGGGGCATCAGTGTGTGCCCAGGAGGGTTTCTATGTAAATCTAAACACAGAAAACTCGCATGCTCCATAATAACGATTAGCAAAGCAGATGCCTTCAAAGTGATAGCAGACTCTTTAAGGAGGAGCCCCAGCCAAGAAGACCTCCGTTTTGTGGTGATAAGCAAATGAGAAAGGGAAATGAAGAGATGAGAATGCTGGCACACTGGATTCCATTAGCATAGAGGAAGAAGCACAGTCCCTTGGCATTAGAAGGAATGTCAGGGGTCACAGAAGCAATAATTCCTTCCACAATGCTCTTTTAAAGAGCCACAGGGCCAGGCAAGGTGGCTCATGCCTATAATCCCAGAACTCTGGGAGGCCAAAGTGGGCAGACTGCTTGAGGTCGGGAGTTGGAGACCAGCCTGGGCAACATGGTGAAACCCCATCTCTATAACAAATACAAAAATTAGCCAGGCATGGTGGTGCATGCCTGTAGTCCCAGCTACTTGGGAGGCTGAGGAAGGAAGATCACTTGAGCCCAGGAGATAGAGGCTGCAAAAAGCTGTGATCACAACAATGCACTCCAGCCTGGGTGACAGAGCAAGACCCTGACCCTGTTTCAAAAGAAAAAAAAAAAGTCATGGTTCCTGCCATGGTTCAAGCACTCACCCCTGGAAGATACTGAACTTGGTTTTGCTGAAATGAAGAGCTAGAAAGTTGTTTTGTTACTGAGCTACGCTCTATAATTAAGCTCGATAAATATTCTACCTGGTATATGGCAGCTCCTCAAATATTTAAAGAGCTACTGTGCCCTTCTCAGGTTAAACATCCCCAGGACCCCCTCATTCTGATAAAGGTATGACTTCACAGCTTCCCACCCCCAACCTCTTGTGACTTCCCAGATTTCACCTCAGCCACGTCTTCTCTTATACTTCTTCTGAAATGGCTGAAAAGCAAATAAAGACGCACAGAAGGATCCCACACTGAAGAATAGCACTTCTGGGCGCCTAAAATTACTATTGTAACCTTACTGTCAATTCAAGGAACAGCTGTAACAAGCAGCTGTCAGTCATAACATCTGGGTGTAGTTACACTAAGGTAGCCCAAAATCTCATTATAAAGCAATCTCACGCACAAGGGAGCTCCCCACAAAATGAAATCACAGAAAAATGCTGAAGATAATTTTAGCATATTGAGGAAACTGGTGCCCACATTGGACTCACTGCTTTAAAAGTGTTCCACATACATGTGTGTATGTTTCACAAAGTATGTTCCACAGAACATTAATTCTGTTGGCTATTAACAGAAAGAATTCCATTTTCAAATAAATGATAAGTTATCTGAAACTCTAGGCTCACATTTTTAAACAATTCCTTTGCTGAAAGTCTTTTCCAAGTCTTCACTATGCTTCTATGCATTATGCATACTGCAGAGAGAGAGAAGGATCACACAGGGCTGGGCAACAAAATATGTATTAATTGATGTATTTTCTGGGTGGAGCATTGCAAATAACACATTTTGGAAAATGCTGCATTAGCTCATCAATACTTGTGGGGCAGCACACACATCAGGGGAGGTCTGCTGCCTGGTAATCAGGTACCCTGCAACATCATCCATTGTGAGCACATAGGGTTACTAAGGGCACATAGGCACCCCGAGACAGAGATGTCTGGGCCTTGACCAATGAGATCTTCAGGAGTACTTCAGCAGCTGTTTCGGATTTTTCTCTGTGGATGTCCTCATGGGACTAAGTGGAAATTGGAAAAGTATCATCAAACTCTTCTTGAGATTCCTTTTTGATAAGGTAACTATCCTGGATTTGAATCTCAATTGTGTTCTCAAGTGGCAATTTCTTGCAGAAACTAACATAGCAGTACTATTGGGAAGCACTGTCTTGCAGGTATTGCAGCAGTACTGTGCTTGTGTGGGTCTTGGTCCCAAGTGGCCACCACAACTCAAGGAAGGTATGCAGGTCCACCAGAACAGACTGAAAGTGTCCACTCTTCCAGGGGCTCGTCTCACAATGGCACTTTCTGTGATGCTGCATCCTCATTCTCTCTACTTATGTTCTTCTTTGAGTTTGCTTTGTGAGGCTCCTCATAGCTGGTTTGGAAATGCTGGGGACTGTGGGGGCCCACACAGAAGACCAGGAACACTAATAATGTTCACATGAATATTATTATACTTCACAGATAAAATTGAGTGTCTAGTATCTGCTTGGCACTTTCACAAATGATTTCATTTAAACTTTAAGACAATCCTATTGGGCAGTATGTCTGCTTTCCCAATACAGAGGCTCAGAGAGGGTAGAGAAACAGAGCAAGGAGTAAAAGAGCTGACACTGATGGCTGGTTGCAAAGCCCCAGCCCAACTGCTACATTTCCTCAACCTTCAGGGGACAGCCTCTGGAATATTTTCTTTGGAATATTCTAGAAGGAATGCAGCCCACACAAACACAACCAGCATGCACCCACACAAACAGGACACCCCAACAGAACTATTATAAAGAGGCAGACAGACTCTGTCTTAAATTAAACTACATACTTGCTTTACTCTACCAAAAGTGAAATCTCCAAATAGTTATGCCAAAGTCACAAACATTTAATAAAGGGATGATGGTCAAGAACTTAGAGATCAAAGTAGCTGCAATGATGGACAAAGCAACAGTATTAGTAGTGCCAAGGTGCGTGAAGCTCTCAAACATGAATTTCATGGGAGGTCCCTGGGTGGGGATAGTACACTGGCAAGGACAGAACAGTAACACCTTAACAATGTGTATGGCTTTGCTAAGTTTTTAAAAAATTTCCAAAGTACTTTTTTTAATGTCTAATATTCTGGCACAAGGCATTTTTTTTAACTGCCAACTATTGATGGATCAATGGCAGGTTGCTGGAATTACAATTTCTTTTAAAATCTTAATGGCAAACAGCCCAAGTTGCTTCTAGCCATATTGCACTTCTGCATGAGAAGGGATTTGAAACCCTGGTACTTAATTATCCGTTTTCTTATAAAGAAAGTATATGAGAAAATACATTTGCATTAACTTTGGGGAGAGTCAACTACTCCCAGCAAGGGATGATTGTAAAGAATACTGAAAAGAGAAGAATGAATGAACAAGGTCATTTCCTGGTTTCTCCTCAATAATCCTTTGTAATTTTAATTGAAATAAATTCAGAGGCCATTAGATACTTCTGCATCCAAAAGTAAATGCAAGAGAAAAGTATCCAAATGACTTCATGGTTATCTGTAGTTTGGGATCATCTACATTTCTATTAATAAAAATAGCAGGGAGCCATACCAGAGTTTGCAGAAAATGCAGACTAAAAACACAATAAACATATCATTGGTGAAAATGTTTAAAATAAAAAAACTCTGCATTTTAGAGTGAAATATTATCTGAATGCATAATATATACAATAACTGCTCTACCATAAACTGCTTTTTCAAAACCAGAGTTCATCACAGAAACATGAGTTTAAAAAATTAATCATGCCAGGAACTGCACTGCCATAAAAGCAAGCCATTCTTTTCTGCTTATAAACAACAAAACTACCACATATGCAGATGCATGCCTCAGTACCTTGGTGCAATGGTGTATTTACTTGTGTAAATATTTAAAGTCAGACCTTTGAATTTATAATGAAGTAGTACACCACTTCACAAAATAAGGTACTAGTAAATTCAGATGTATGACAAGTAGAACTCTGTACAGAATACTAATTGCTGCTGTTCTTATTCTAAAAAGAAAAAAATAATGATATCGTTCAGATTCCACCTAAACAAGCCTAATACATGTGCAGAAATCTTAATAGGTCTTGATGAAGCCCGATTGGTACAATTTTTAAATTATCAGACAGGCTTTGTAACTGAGGCAAACGCAAGCTTCCTATCTGACATTTTTTTATTATCTGCTTATTTTAATATACATATGCAATTACTACAGGAAAGAAAACAGTAAAATCAGAAACATCTATAGTTTGCTGTGTAATGACCGGGTGTTCCCCAGGGAGATGGACCTTTTTACAGAGACGCAGGTGCTGAAAGGGCACATGATGGAGGATGTTACAGGTGTAAATATATAACATGGTGATGAAGAATTCAATAGACACGGTGATTTTCCACCTTAGTTTATGTTAACATAAGTATATATGTTCTGCTCTTAGGATTAATCTCCTGCTCCAGCATGCAGTAGCTGAATACATGTGCTCTTAGTGGGGTCCACAAACCACTGACCCAAAATGTTCCGCTTATATAATAATGCTAAATCTTGTGTCTGAAACTCTTAGGCAACCATAGCTTTACCTGTGATTGGGATATCTGCAGCCACATTTTCTTTCTTGCTCTTGTCTCCACAGCCACTTGAAACTTCTAAAAATTGAATGCATAATAAAAAAAAAGTATTTCAAAGTTAAGGAATAGATCCTTTGGGTGTTTGTCCTTCCCTTTATGTTCACTTTTTTTTTTTTTGGTTAATGTATTTCTTGTCTGAAACAATACTGTTCCTAAAAGGAAACCTATTCTAAAATTAAGGTATCTCATAGACAAAAATTTAAAAATAAAATTGAATTAAGGTACCACTATGCTGCTTTCACGCAAAATAACTGGGCCTGACATCTATCAAATTTAGGTGGGACATAAAATAAGTGAGTCTCACATCCTGCACATGTACATCAACTCGAGCAATTCCTGAGGAATTCATAGCTGTCTTGGAAAACCATTAAAGCAGTTAAATGGCATGTCTTAGCAGTAATGCTTAAATAATCACAGTTTCTGGGTGCTCAAAATGGGTTATTAAATTTGGGGAGCATAAATTCATTGATTCTTAATCAACTGTTTAGACACTGATAAGGTTCTATTATAATTAAAAGTAATGTTTACAATTATGAGAAAATTCTATTAGGTGATATCAAAAACTTCACAGTACTTTATGGAATCATCTTCATCTTTGAGGGATCAAAATTATCTACTGCCAAGCGATTAGTTTTGTTAAGATTTCGTAACTTCTTCATACTTATTTTATTAGAAATAAATTCACTAGAACTACAGACTTACAGTTAGATTTCCCATTCCTGTTAGACTAAAGGAGAACATATATATTTATTGGAAGGTGGTATAAAACAAATACTATATTATGCATATTAAAATCAGAGGTATTCACTAGTCAGTGATATTCTATAGGTGTACCTTGAGAAAGATGATGATGACCCTGAATGCCTTTTTGCTGTGGACACACACTTTAACAATAGTTACCTTGTTCCCTTGTAGGAACACTGTTGAGCCATACAGCAGGTTTGGCTTCCTTTATTCCACTATTGTCATTCAGAATAGATGGCAAGCTGCAAGATGATTCACTACTGTGAATAGCTGACCTACGGCCACACTCTTCTGTAAGGGCTTTTCTCAATAATGCTGTTGCCTACAGTGTTTCAAAAAAAGCACAAAGAAATAAAAACAAACTGTAGCCACATTCCTCTTGGTCTCAAAGATAGCCTTCAAATATAATTTTAAGTTAAGCTTTACTTAGGATTTAATCTGTTTCCCACATTTAAATGAAATTAAAATGTCAAGAAAAAAAACACCTGGTTATTTTCTACTATAATCTAATTCTTTACAAGTTACCCTCACAATAATACACTTTTTGAGGGCTGAATCTTATGTAATGCAGAAATATTCTTCTGCTTGTTAAGTATGTATATGAAACGTGACCACCTCTGTTAATCTGGGCAGGTTTATCCTCCCTTCGATATATACAAAAGGTAGAGCCTCAGACCTCCTTTCTGAAGGAAAAATTTATTCTTTGATTACATGAATCCTATTTTCTAGGCATGTCAGACAGAATTACTTTCAACTGAGAAAAAGATCCGGAAAGATGTGACCTTGCCATATCCCCACCCTCCTAAAAATGACCCATGAATTTCCCCTAAACAGGAAGATTGCAGAAAAATTTGTGGCTGAAGAGGATGCACTGAGAAGAAAGATAACTGCCCTTATTCTAAATCCCAATCTTCAATCAAGTACTAAGATGGTCTGCACTTTGCCTGTAAGTCGTCTGGGGATCTGGGGAAACTCACCCACCACACTGCCTATCTTTTTTCAAAGGCATTGTCTTACTTAAATGCCTCATGTGTCCTGAGCAAGGAGGAGGACACAGGTTTTTATCAGAGCCAACCTTAGAGGTGGAGAAAAAGGGGCAATTCACAGGACTGGGGTTAGTAGCCAAGTCTTTTGATTTTCAGGTCAGTACTTTCCCCTAAGAAATACAAATATGCTGGTAATAAGAGTTAAACTTTTAGTAGATAACCATTGGTCACATTATCCCGCTGCCAGAGTGTATGTTTCTCTCATTTCCTATTGACAGGTGGCGATTTCCTTAGGTAGCTGGAGAGGAAACCTCGGTGGTGGTGGTGACCCACAGGTAGCTGACAATGACAGTAAATACTGGGTAGTGTTCAACCCAATTGTGGGAAAATGCACATGACAGTTTAAAATTAATATAAAGAGCAGAAGTGGACAAATGTTCACAGGTCATCATTAGCCAAGAGTGAAGTGTTAACAATGTAACTATCCAGTGAACAAGGTGGAAAAAACAACCTTCCTTGTGATTAACATGAAACAAGGTGAAGACACTCCGACAGGGAGAGTCAGAGCATGGAAGGTCCGGTCGGAAGGCCCGGACGGAAGGCCCGGTAAGAAGGCCCGGACAGAAGGTCTGGATGGAAGGTCTGGTCTTGCATGTTTGGCATTTCAGACGCTTCAAGGCAACTGCCTTTAGTCCTGACTTCCCTGCAGAGTTCTTGCCTTCTTCCCTCCCTAGTACTGGCTGACCTGGACCCATGGCCTACCTGAGGAGCTGGAGTAGCTGATTGGGGGATTTAAGGAGTTCTAGTCCCCTTGGCCAAAGAACTTGGTGTCAAGTTAGCCTTGCAGCCAGGACCTTTCTGTGGTGCAGTTCTAGTGACCAGGGGCTTTTCCTCTATTTCTAGAAACTAGTCCCTAGATTTCACTCCACTGTGATAACTCTGTTGGGATGACTTGCTCAGTATTCCCATTTCTGCAGTCTAGGGGTAGGGTCCTGCCCTTGAAGGCCAGGCCAAGGCTGGTTCCCATCACTGCCCCCATCCCAACTGCCTACACAGACCACTGCACTGCACCTGCTTCTGGAATCTACTACAAACACCTTTCTAATGAGTCCTTGTAGGCTTGACAAGAATACTGCCATTGCCAACAGTTCTGCACTGAGCCCTCTTTTCCACGGTGAGGTAAATAATGTGGTGGGCATACTGCACTGCTAGTTCAATTTACTTTGTACACAGACGCTCCTTCAATTTATGAAGGGAGTTACATCCAATAAACCCACAAATTGAAAAAATTGTAAGTCAGAAATGTATTTAACACACCTAACCTACTGAACATCATAGTTAAGCTTTGCCTACCTTAAACTGCTCAGAACACTTACATTAGCTTACAAATGAGTAAAATCATTTAACACTAAGCCTATTTTATAATAAAATGTTGATTTTCACATGTAATTTATTGGATACTGTACTACTTGTAGTATGGTTTCCACTGAATGCCTAACACTTTCACACCACTGTAAAATCAAAAAATTGTAAGTTGAACCATTGTAAGTTGGAAGTCAGGGACTATCTGTATTTTATCCCATTTATCTTCACTACTCAATACTTATCTCCAGGATTTCTGTTACTTTTTTGATAGAAATGTTTATAAAAGAACACATCTTTTAAGATAATTCCACAGATAATTTCTCAAAGATGATAAGCAGGGACGAAGACAAAAGTTAGTCTCAGACAAGGATAGACAAGAACAGGTCACAGATTTCTAGTCAAAAACAACTTCTTTTTGAGACAGAGTCTCTCTCTCTTGCCCAAGCTGGAGTGCAGTGGCGGGATCTTGGCTCATTGTAACCTCCACCTCCCAGGTTCAAGTGATTCTCATGCCTCAGCCTCCCAAGTAGCTGGGATTACAGGCGTGTGTCACCAAACCAGGCTAATTTTTGTATTTTTAGTAGAGACGGGGTTTCACCATGTTGGCCAGGCTGGTCTCGAACTCCTGTCCTCACGTGATCTGCGTTCCTGGGCCTCCCAAAGTGCCGGGATTATAGGCGTGAGCCACTGTGCCTTGCAAAAACAACTTCTGCAGTCAGGAAAACGTCTGTAACACATTCTCAAGATGTACTGTTTGCAGATGTTCCAGAAAAGTGTATTTCTAAGGAAACCTCCAATCTGAAGGAGTTTGCAGTCTGAGACTGATGACACTAACACAGAGAGAAGCTCAGAGAACAGTTAACAGGTTGCTTTATTACATCTCATGCTGGGACTAAATGGGTTCTGCAAATTGGAGCTAATTCTCTGAAAAAAATGCCATTAGACAACAATTTTACCACAGGCTTTCTGATAGTGCTTATGATTGAACTATGCTTGGGTTTCAACTTACCTGTTATTAATAAAGGCTCTCTTTTCGGAGGCCAGAAGAGAAAACTAGAGATTGTTCCATTGGTCTCAGCAGTCTGAAGGCTAAGTCAGTACGAACAAACCACCCCCTCACTTTTCAGCCTCCCCAGGAGCCAGGAGAAAGGACTTGGAAATTAAATGCCAGGGCACAAACTATTTGTGGAATGACTGATGTTGACACCTCCATATTTCAGACATTATGGCAGATAAATCGTTCTATGAGTTACACCTACAGTACTATTCCTTTATTAGCCCAGTTCTACTAGAATTTTCCTCCATGTTCAGTTTAAATATTAATCTTGCTCTATCTAGAACCCCAAGAATCATCTAAGCTGACTCTTAAATTATATCCAAAAACTTACGGTTGTGATATTCAAATGTATAAACAGACAGATGTAAGACATTAATAGAAAAGACATTGTATCCAAAACACCATTAAGAAAATTAAAAGACAAAAATTAAACTGCTAAAAAGATTGCAACAAAATGTCCAAATTTATATTTAAAAAGTTTTTGCAAGTCAATAAGAAATAATATTACTAACCTAATACAAAAATGAGCAAAGAACATGAGCTGGCAAATTATGAAAAAAGAAATACAAATAGCTAATAAATAGGTAGAGAAAAGTTTGACCTCAATTGTAATAAAAAGGTCAAATTAACAAAAAAAATTGGATGTCATTTTCATCTCTCAAATTGCTGCCCCTAAAAAAAAAAAAGCTGATAGTATCTAGTTTCATAAAGAACTCAGAGAAATGTTATTTTCATCCATTACTGGTAACTCTGATGACCCTTCCAGAGTGAGATCTGGCCATGCATAGCAAAAGCCTGAAAGATATACCCACCTTTTGACCTACTAATTCTATATCTAGGAATTCGTTCTAAGAAAATATTACAGATATTTGTAAAATCTGAATTGCACAGATATTCTTTGAAACTTTTTTACTAGAGGAAAAATTAGAAACAAATGTTGAACAACAGGTAAATGACTGAAGTGACAGTGGACAGGGGACCTCTGTAAAGCCATTTGAAATGATGTAAATAGAACATGTAATGGTATGAAAGAGTTCACTTTGCAGCAAATGGGGGTAAAAAAAAAACAAGGTTATGTATTTATGTATACAAATAATGCAACCTATGTTTTTCAATATATTAGTCATTATTATTATTATTAAAGACGGAGTCTCGCTCTGTCACCCAGGCTGGAGTGCAGTGGCGCGATCGAAGCTCACTGCAACCTCTGCCTCCCAGGTTCAAGCAATTCTTGTGCCTCAGCCTCCCAAGTAGCTGGGATTACAGGTGCATGCCATTACACCTGGCTAATTTTTCTATTTTTAGTAAAGACAGGGTTTTACCACATTGGCCAGACTGGTCTTGAACTACTGACCTCAGGTGATCCACCAACCTCGGCCTCTCATATCAATATATTAAATATTTAAAAAAACATACACCATAATGTTAACAGGGTTATATATAAATAGTAGAATAGTAGGAAAATGGCCAGTTTTCTTTTTATCTTACTATTTCAAGATTTTTAATGCTTGTTTTTAAAAGAAAACATATGCTCGCTCTAAAGAAATCCAATTTCTGCTATCAGTGGTACCAATACAGAGAGAAAATGAATGTAAATGCATCTGATAAAATTAAATTCCCTTCTATATGCAAACCAGTGCTACTAACACAGACACAGAAAAGCAAGAGAATTAAAAATAATGGATGTGGACAGCAGATGATATTTTCCCCTAATATGCAGATTTAACTGACTCTTCCTCAAGGTTCAAGAGTATTCCTCTTGGACACTGGAAGTAATTTCTTGGTGTTTAAAGAGAAATGCAAGCATCAACACTTAAGTTCTACGTTAAAGGGAATGAAGGGATTTTACCTGTGTAGCAATTTTTTTTTTAAATGAGAAGATATTCATATGACCCAGCAAATGAGTATTCAGGAGATAAGAACAAGAAAACAGTCCAGCATTTGGGGAAAGCATCTTCCTGGTGAATAAAACTGGTCTGTGTGTATGGTGGGGGCAGGACCCCGATCTACTCTATGAGTGTCACCAGCATATTGCTCTGCTGTGATAAAGTTCTCCAGGGCAGAAACAGGTATCACTTGGGAGAAAAGTAATATTAAGGCATCTTGTATTTTAATGAAGCACCCAACTCATTTTTTTTCCACAAAAAGTAATTACAAATTTTTCCAATTTAAAAGCAGGCAGCTCAATTATGTAATTGCCTAATAGGTTATGTGGGCACTGCAGACCTTATCTGGTCTCCAGGGAACATAATCTGAGTTTCTGCGGCTTTGATGATGTATTTACTCAAGAGAAGGGATTGACTCGGGCTGACAGCACAGGGACTCACAGGGAAACATCATTTACATGCGGCTTTTTAATTAGCCATTTACCCAAGAGATCAAAGTAAATATTTCTGAGCTTCATTAGACTCTTAACCAAGTAGTTTCTAGTAGAGCTTTTTTAAATTTTGAAAATCACTTACTTTGAAGATTTTATCTAAAGAGAAAGATTTAACCCGTAGTATTTACCAAATGTGTAGATGGTTTCAATACACAGAAACAACTCAAAGACACTTGATTTCACTAATCGGAAAAGTATGACATGCAAACCAAAACAGTTCTAGGACTCACAAAAGCATTTTGTCCTTCAGTTCACAAGGCTTGCCCCGCCTGCATCATTTTGGTAATATTCTTTGGGGCTGTGCATTTCTTCAGTCACAACCTAACTGGATGAGAAATTACCTGTTTATTCCATTTTTTTTTTTTTTGAGATGGAGTCTCGCTCTGTCCCCCAGGCTGGAGTGCAGTGGCGCAATCTCGGTCACCGCAAGCTCCGCCTCCTGGGTTCAGGCCATTCTCCTGCCTCAGCCTCCTAAGTAGCTGGGACTACAGGCGCCCGCCAGCACACCCGGCTAATTTTTTGTATTTTTAGTAGAGACGGGGTTTCACCGTGTTAGCCAAGATGGTCTCGATCTCCTGACCTTGTGATCCGCCCACCTCGGCCTCCCAAAGTGCTGGGATTACAGGCGTAAGCCACCGCGTCCAGCCTATTTCCATTTTTAAGGATAGATTTTGTCATTAATCTATTGGTACTTTTTATGATTGTCACTAAAATGAGATCAGAATGATTTAAAAAGGAACAAAGATCTATTAGGGGAAACAGAATATAATTTGATTCATTAGATATTAGCTGGACAGCACCCCCTCCCATTATTGGAAAAATTGAGTAGATTGGTTGTTTGGGACTTGGACCATGTTTTCTAATATAAACAATATCATTTAAAAAAATATTAGATAGCAAAGGACAGTCGATCAACACTTATTTCACCCTTAAAATGCCTGAATGTGATGTACTTGCAGTGAACAAGCATGGGAAATAATGTTGTTACAAGACAGTGCTAACTCAAAGGGACAATAAAACCCAAACAGTATCTTTCTTAAGATCTACGTTCATCGGCTGGGCGTGGTGGCTCATATCTGCAATCCCAGAACTTTGGGAGGCTGATGGGGGCGCGGATCACCCGAGGTCAGGAGTTTGAGATCAGCCTGGCCAACACGGTGAAACCCTGTCTCTACTAAAAATACAAAAAAATCAGCCGGGCATGGTGGCACATGCCTGTAGTCCCAGCTACTTGGGAGGCTGAGGCAGGAGAATTGCTTGAACCCAGGAGGCAGTGAGCCCTGGTGGCAGCGAGCCGAGATTGCACCACTGCACTCCAGCCTGAGCAACAGAACAAGACTCCGTCTCGAAAAAACAAACAAAAAAGATCTACATTCATCAGCAAAGAAGGAATAGATCTAGGTTATCTTTGAAAAGGGGCATGAAATCTGTGAAAGGCATACGGGGGGCTGTATCTATGTTTGTAATAATTTATTTCTTCCCTCTAAGGGAAAGGGGGGAGGGAAGGAAGTTTGAGGAGAAGAGGGAAAAGAGAGAAAGAGCAGAAGAGAGAGAAGGTGGGTGAAGTGGGGGGAGGAAAGAAGGAGAGGGAAGGGAGGGGGGTACGAAGATGGGGGAAAGGAGGAAGATGAGGAGGAGGGGGTCTGAAACAAATATGGTGCAATGGTAACAACATATGTGAATTTGGGTTGTGGGCATGGGATTAGTGGGTCCGTCCTATCACTGAATATATGTATGTTTGAAATGTTATAAAAAAAAAGTCCTGCTACTCTCTTAATTAGAGCAGCAAGGAAAGAGGGGTCTGAGGAGGACTAAAGGTGCTCTGGAAGGCTGGAGGGGCAAAGCCAGAGTCTCTAGATGGCACAGCCACTTGGGCATGTGACTTCAAGACACAGGCAAGGCTTGATTCCAGAAGGTGCAGATATACAATCCTTGAACTATGAGCATGGTAACAATAATTTTAGAAACACCTTAAAAAGAATCAAAGCCAGAAAATCCTGTATTATATATAAAGATGAAAAAACATGCTTTGAAACAAGACACATTCCCAAGATGTTCAACCTAGGAGAAGAAAGGCTGTTTCCCTGAATGTGGCTTTTCTAGGGAATGAGGAAGGAATATGCCAATGGACATGCTCTAAAGTTGGGCTTCCGGTTCCTCCCCTCATGATTTCCTTGGGAACTTGCTCCATCCATTTCCATTTTCTGTTTAGCATCTTCGAATTCTCTCTTGGCACCAGCTCCCAAATCAGGCCCCTCCCTCCTCTTGCCTGAACCAGGGCAGGGCTCCCTCCTTCAATGTCTCAGTCCCAAACCAAACATGAAATTCCCTAAGGCACTGCAGAAATCCTATCACAGCTCTGTTCAAAAAGCTCCAGTGGCTTTTCAAAAGGTACAAAACTAAACACATTCTCCCTGGCCTGGCATCGGATGCTGCACACTATGGCCAGCAACTACTTCTTGTGCTCCTTCTCACCATCCCCAGACTTGAGCCCATGCTTCAGCCTCAGGATGGCTCTGTTGCCTGAACATGTGTTGGGTTTCCCAGTGTGCTCTTTGGCTCATAGCAGCCATTTCTTGTCACCTCTGCCCCCACCCCCAACTCGTACCATCAAAAGCCTATCTTTTAAAGATCACCTCTCATGCCACTGTACTCCCTCCATCATGACCTCCGCCTTCCTTGCTTCTCCAGGAGTCTTGGCTTGGCTCTCTTTCCTGAAAGCCCACATTTTTGACATTTTCTTATTACATGCATCCCATGATGTCACACCCCAGAAGGAGGGGGTCACATTTTATTTGTCTCTTTCCCTCCAACGGATCTGGGCTGATATCTGTGTACAGTAATGGACCGATAGGCATTTGCTGAATTGACATGAATGACTATAAAGTATTTCTAAAGTACGGAGTGGAGACGGAAAACTAGAGTGTTATAAGATGCTTTGAAATTTCTTGGAAAATAAATTCCTACATAAAACATTATGCAAAAGGCCCAAGGTCAGAAAGTTAAAAACCAACCAACCACAAAACCTCACTTACTACTTTTCTTATCGTTATTTTTTTCAAATACATAACATTTCCTCAAATGAATAATCTGCACATCTTGAGACTTTTTTTTTTTTTGAGATGGTGTCACCAGGCTGGAGTGCAGTGGCGTGATCTCGGCTCACTGCAACCTCTGCATCCTGGGTTCAAGCAATTCTCCTGCCTCGGCCTCCCAAGTAGCTGGGACTACAGGTGCGCACCACCACATCCAGCTAATTTTTGTACTTTTAATAGAGACGGGGTTTCATCATGTTGGCCAGAATGGTCTCGATCTCTTGACCGCGTGATCCACCTGCCTCAGCATCCAAAAGTGCTGGGATTACAGGCGTGAGCCACGGCGCCTGGCCAAAACTTTTTTTTTTTTTTTTTAAATAAAAATTACTAACCTTACCCTGTGGTCCACATTTGTGATTGGGAAAACTTCAGACAGTTTAGCTACCTACCTCTTCTTTGACAGAATTATCATGTTCTTTCAAGGTGGCAACATGCTGACCCACCTGTGCCCTCGGTACGTCTGAGTCTGGTGTTTGTCCAGGTCTATAAAACAGAAACAGGACACTCACTATAGATTTGTAATATTATAAGATTCCCACATTTTTAAAGGCCTCAATTACGTTAGTAGAAGATGGTTTATCCAGAAGTCTGGAACTCAACATATTCTGGTCTAAGGGAGTTTTGAGTCCAAGTATCCTTTTTTTTAAACTTTTAAAAACTTTGGTTATTTCATTGCTAAATGAGCATTCTCAACTTTTGCTGCACACAGAACAACCTGGGGAGCTCTGCACAATCTGGGTGCCTGGGGCCACCTCTACAGAGTCCAGGAAAAATGGTCTGGGGTATGGCTTGGCCAGTGGACTTTTTAAACATTTTACTTTAAAATTTTAATCTATTTATTTATTTAGTCTCATTGGATCATGAGACTGGCTTTCATCATGTTGCCCAGGCTGGTCGTAAACTCTGGGGCTTAAATAATCCACCTGCCTCGGCCTCCTGAAGTGCTGAGATTACAGGGGTGAGCCACCACGCCTGGTCTGGTCAGTGGGATTTTTAAGGCTCACAGAGTGATTCTAAAGCACAACAATGGTTTTGAATCACTGCATAGATGGTCAGTCTCCCACATGTAGTGAAGAGAAAAAGATCACATTTTCATCTCAACAGCAGATGTTTTGTTGTTGTTGTTTTGTTACACTCTTACCATGGTCTACTTACAGTTTTTTAAAAATTAAGATATTAGGAAAGAGTTAAAAAATAAGCCTATATTGCTGCTCAGGCTGTGGTATTTATGTACTAAAAGGAACCAAAGTTCATTAAAGAAATGCCCTATTCAGGTCTGGGGCAGGAAACGCACAAGATGAACCTGAAACATCTTGTTGTACCAGAAAGTAAGGAAGCTCTCAAAGTTGTATCAAAAGAACTGAAGGTGGGGAGGGGATATCTTAGGAAGCTCCCACTGTCAAAGATGGGACAATTTAAGCACCTAAAGGATACTGACTGCAATGGACTGAAACACAGGGAATACATGAAAATCCTTGAGTTCATCTAAAAATAAATAAATTAATAAAATTTAAAAAATAAAAATATAAACCTTTGGATTCAGCCTTAAAAGGAAGGAAATCCTGTCACATACTACAACATAGATGAATCTTGCACTTTGGGAGGCCGAGGCGGGCGGATCACGAGGTCAGGAGATCGAGACCATCCCGGCTAAAACGGTGAAACCCCGTCTCTACTAAAAATACAAAAAATTAGCCGGGCGTAGTGGCGGGCGCCTGTAGTCCCAGCTACTTGGGAGGCTGAGGCAGGAGAATGGCGTGAACCTGGGAGGCGGAGCTTGCAGTGAGCCGAGATCCCGCCACTGCACTCCAGCCTGGGCGACAGAGAGAGACTCCGTCTCAAAAAAAAAAAAAAAAAAAAAAAAAAAACATAGATGACTCTTAAGGGGATTGTGCTGCTAAGTGAAATAAGCCAGTCAGAAAAGGACAAATACTGTATGATCCCACTTAAATGAGGTACCTAAAACAGTCAAATTCATAAAGATAGAAGTTGAATGGTGGGTGCTGGGGCCTGGGGGGAAGGGAAAATGGAGAGTTGTTTAATGGGTATAGATTTTCCATTTTGTAAGATGAAAATGTTCCAGAGATCTGTTGTACAACAAAGTAAAGATATTTAACACTACTGAACTGCACAGTTCAAAATGGTTAAGATGGCTAATTTTATGTTTTTTTTTAAACCACAGTAAAGACAAAATAGAAATAAATTTTAAAACCTTTGGAGGCTGGTAGGGCAACAATTCATTATTCTGCAAATTGGTAAATAAAGAAATAGAATAAAGCATTTATCCTGCTTTTGTGGTCAAAAAATACATTTCAGAGTCACCAAGTAGCTGACAAGGAAAAGTTCTTCCAATAAATGCAGAAGAAATGATCAAATTAGAAAAGTCACCATTTTGTAAGTCCAAATTAATGATGTATCTAGGAAATGGTCATAATTTTGTGAAAATTACATAATAGTAAACTTCTGTCCTGAAGTCATCAACCTTTCGACATTTGAACCCACAGATCGGTCTTAGTATCACTAACCATGGGGTAACAAAACATTATGTGCTGCCCGGTTTTAAATATCAGCACCACCCATGACATTTTCTTGCTAAAATAACTGGCCTGGAACTTAATCACATATTTGGATCTAACCACCAGTTTACAGGTAATAAAGAGTAAAGAGGAACTGGTTAAACATACCAACCAAATAGAGCATGTAAATTCTCCAGGGTAAGTGACCCAATTCCTCCAACAAATCAATAGCATAAAAAAAGGAGGGAGGGAATGTCACAAAATTAAAAGAGGTTTCAGAGACATAGCCAATTGTAATATGTGGACCTTATTTGAACTCTGATTCAAACAAAACAAACGCAGAAAAACAATTTTTCA
Organism: Homo sapiens; assembly: GCF_000001405.40. NCBI lineage: Eukaryota > Metazoa > Chordata > Mammalia > Primates > Hominidae > Homo > Homo sapiens. The sequence goes on along the minus strand of NC_000020.11, from coordinate 21,203,100 downwards.
GATAAGCAAGGCAAACTGACAAGGACTAGGTATTAGATAAACTGAAGAATTTTGTTGATTATGTTAAATGATAGTATTTTAAATCCTTATATGTTAGATGTATAAGTATTTGTGAGTGAAATGATATGTTGTCTGTTTTAAACTACTCAAGAAAAAAAGCGTTAGGGAGAGAGATAAAACAAGACTGATGAAATGTGAGCAGTTGGTGGATCTGAGTAGTGGGTATATGAGACTTCGAATGTTTAAAAATGTCAAAGTAAAAAGTTAAATGTATATTAGTGTCTGCAACTTACTTAGAAAAGTATAAAAATAAAGGATTGATGGAAGGATGGATAAACAAATATGAGAGGGCAATAAAATGTCAGGAGTACAATCTGGGCGGTGTGTATATGGATGTCCACCCTATGATTCCTTTTACTTTTCTGTATGTTTGAAAAATTTCATAATAAAATCTCTGGAAAAGAAAGTAAGTCTAGGTACAGTTCAGAACCTTCCTCAATAAATCTTAATTGTTATTACTTGTGCCTGACCTAACCCTATTTTTTTCCAGGACTTGAATAAAGTGAGATGAGTCATTGGAATCCTTTGATTCTAAGGCCTCTGACTAGTTTGATAGAAAGACCTTTCAGCAACTTGCCTTTCTTGGTTGCCACCGTACCGCAATGATGTCATTAAACTACCCAATTCCTTTGTTTTGACCTTTGCATCTATATTTGGTTTCTTAACAGACTGCCCTGCTGGGAAAATGCACTGACCAGTCATCAGCAAATTCTAGCCCATTCAGCAGGTACATTTCTTATAATAAGTAAGTCAACTATGCTTTTGGCTTGAAAGCAAGTTTAATTTGGATGAATTAAATTAGTTAAATAGCTAAGTGAGTGAAATTATCAAAGAACAGTCCCTCTGGTGGCTAATACACAAGATTTTCTGCAGAAGCAAAATGAAGGCAAGACTCTTGTTACTAATACACCACCCAATTGCATCTATCCTTTGGGTCCTAGCATGAAAAACTAGCTAAGGTTTCCTATAATTATTATATTTATTTCCCACAAAAGGATAAAATTGATTAATTGACTTGCCCAAGTCAAACGGAAAATGAGCTGTTGAAGGAGGTACAGCACCTAGGGTTTGTGACTTCTGAACAACTAAGGCAACCCTTAAAGCACAAAAGGAAGCTGACTTGCAGATTTCTTTTGGGATAGATCAGGCAAGAAGTGCAACAGCCATGGCTTCCCTAAATGGAGCTTCGCCCATGGCTCTACAAAAACATACCACATCAGAAAATGTGCAAAGTGGTACAAAGGATTTAAAGGAGATTTTTCTGTTTTGTCTAATTTACGTTGGAAAATTTATAACATTGATGACACATAAAAAAACAAAGTTTAATGTCAGGTAATTCTTTAATTAAAAATGTAATAAAGGAATATAGTTTGAATTGTCTATAATTAATTTCATGTACTTGAAAGGGCTTTCAATCAGAAAGGTGAAATTTAAACAAATGTATCCGTATTTCCTAACTTTAAATGCAGAGTAATAAATACCCTGAATTTAATTCTGAACACAGGCAGACTAAAATAGAGATTTTCATATACTATAATCCAAACAATACAAAGCCGACTCAATTTTTCAGTATGAGCATAAGAACACAATTGGGAAACGTATCTGAAAGTAGCCACTAATATAGAGAATTAGTTGCACCTGGAAAAAAATAAATGGATAGTCTCATTATGTTTCTCATAAAATACTTATTAATCATTTTTATATTAAAATGTTTTCCAGAAGACAATAATGAGCAATTTTTAAATCAATTTCTCTAAATCACATGAATCATATTTTTATAATTCATAGTTGTCAAAAACAATAGCTTGGTCTTCCACATGATAATAGTAAACTTTGCATATGACTTTTTGTTATTTTTTTTTGAGACAGCATCTTGCTGTGTCACCCAGGCTGGAGTGCAGTGGCACAATCACAGCTCACTGCAGCCTTAACATCCTGAACTCAAGCAGTCCTCCTGCCTCAGCCTCCTAACTGACACTATAGGTGTGCGCCACCACACTTTGCTAATTTTTTTGTATTTTTTTGTAGAGATGGGGTTTCGCCATGTTGCCCAGGCTGGTCTCGAACTCCTGAGCTCAAGCAATCCACCTGCCTCAGCCTCCCAAAGTGCTGGTATTACAGGCGTTAGCCACCTGGCCCATATGAAGGTCTTAATCCTTGATATAACATAAATCAATAATGATGACAAGCGTGGTTTGTTCTTTTTTTCTCTTAAGATGCTTTATTTTGTGAGCAGGAATTCAGAAATCTTCACATTATCTTCTAGAGCAGGGGTCCCAATGCCTGGGCCAAGGACTGGTACTGATACGTGGTCTGCTAGGAACTGGGCCACAAAGCAGGAGGTGAGTGGCAGGAGGGCGGAGCATTAGCTCCACCTGAGCTCCGCCTCCTGTCAGATCAGGGGGAGCATTAGATTCTTATAGGAGCATGAACCCTATTGTGAACTGTGCATGCAAGGGAGCTAGGTTGCATGTTCCTTATGAGAATCTAACGCCTGATGATCTGTCATTGTCTCCCATCACTCCCAAACGGGACCATCTAGTTGCAGGAAAACAAGCTCAAGGCTCCCACTAATTTTCCATTATGGTGAATTGTATAATTATTTTATTATACATTAAAATGTAATAATAATAGAAATAAAGTGCACAATAAATGTAATGTACTTGAATCATCCTGAAACCATGCCCCTGCCCACACCTCCCTAAACCCGCTCCATGGAAAAACTGTCTTAAACAAAACTGGTCCCTGGTGCCAAAAAGGTTAGGGACTGCTGCTCTAGAGTATGCTATGGGGGCAGGTGTCTCATTTTACAGATCAAGATTAAAGAGACAGATGTGAGCTGCTGCTACACCAAACAATCCTTTAAGGATTTTGTAACCAGTCAAAGCCTTTCCTGCCTGGATTAGAATTCTATGACACTAGGCCAGTGTGATGGCTCATGCCTGTAATCCCAGCACTTTGGGAGGCAGAGGTGGGCAGATCACTTGAGGCCAGGAGTTCAAGACTAGCCTGGCCAACACGGTAAAACCCCATCTTCTGCCAAAAATACAAAAAATTAGCAGGTTGTGGAAGTGCACACCTGTAGTCCCAGCTACTCAGGAGGCTGAGGCACAAGAATCTCTTGAGCTCAGGAGGCAGAGGTTGCAGTGAGCCAAGATCACTCCACAGCACTCCAGCCTGGGCGACAGAGCAAGATTCTGTCTTAAAAAAAGAAAAAAATAATTCTATGACACCAGAGTTATTAACCATTAAAGAACAAGAATAAATCATTCTCTCCAAACCAGTGTTTCTGCAATGGTTGATCAAACTGGCCAGGTGATGATCACAAAGCAGATAGGTCTATTTCACTTAGATTTGGAGTTCCCAGCAGGGACTTCTGGGTGCTAAGGGGCACAAGAGGAAGCTAGAGCAAGGAGGGCAGCGGGGCAGCCTGGTGACTAAAATCCATTAGGAAGAATCTGTGTTTAAAGACCTGACTGCTGTCTCTCAAAGGTCACAAACACTTGGCACTTTTTTCAAGGCTAGAGAGTGAACCAGTGATAATCAGTGTGTGTTAAACAGCATACCCAGTCACAATGTATACAGCAATTCTAGCTGTAGCAGAACATAATGCTGACAGCAGAGAACATTCTTGACTTCTTTATCTGGCTCTAAAAAATGACTGTGGTAAAGAAACAGTTTTGAAGACTCCAGATATTAATTTTAAAATTTGTGGTGGTCATAAAGAAGGATCATTTCTTATGGAAGACTGATTTACACATAACTGTAGATCAATAGTCATGTAAAACACAACCTTTCATAATGGAAATCAATGCTCTATTATGAATGCTGAGAAACTCTAACAATCGTTAGTCTAGTAGGTGCAGACATCATGGCTTATCACCCATAATCACAGTTGGGCAGCCTAGATTAAGAGAGTCACAAAATGAATCATTTAGTTTAACAACTCAGTTTGCGCAGAGAATTATAAATGCATATATCCTTCCCATGCTATACACCACAACTGTGGTTTATGCCAAATAGTATACAAACAGATATAAAAGGCAGTGAGAAAGAAACGGGAGATTAAAGAGCCTTCTAACACACAATCACCAAATGACCTAGAGAGCGCAGAAGGACTCCTCCCAAACCAGCTTCTTCCACTACGTTGTAAAGGATTATTTTAAGACCGTGGTTTTTATTCTGCAGGATAAAAACTGAAAGAGGGTTTTCTGGCATTGCCCTTTACTGCCTTAGGTTGAAAAGCTACTGACCAGGAAGGTCATTTCCAGCATTTCCCATAGCTTCAAGATTACTAGTACAGACGCAGAAGGTAATGTAAAACAAAGCCACTTAATCCGGTGAAGTTTTCTTGTGACAGGGTCCCTTTAAAGACTATTATCCTGATTTCCATCCACCCTTTGATAGAATCAATGTGTACTAGATTTAAGCAGAATCCTGTAAATATCCTCCCTATTTATATCTTTAACATAAAACAGCCTAAGTGGCACATGACAGGTGAGGAGAACAGCACTATGTTGTAGGCTAAGCAGACCCAAAGCCACTCACTCACTCACTCAGCCAGCCAAACAAGGTCCCTTCAGAGGGGCTTTCACAGACATGCATCTACTGACCACTCCTGAGTAATAATCTATTCTCTGCTAGTAAACAGTGCAGATGTATTTTAATAAGAGGATTGCGGCCTGGCACGCTGGCTCATGCCTGTAATTCCAGCACTTTGGGAGGCCGAGGCAGGCGGATCACGAGGTCAGGAGATCGAGACCATCCTGGCTAACACAGTGAAACCCCGTCTCTACTAAAAATACAAAAAATTAGCTGGGCATGGTGGCAGGCGCCTGTAGCCCCAGCTACTCGAGAGGCTGAGGCAGAAGAATGGCCTGAACCCAGGAGGCGGAGCTTGCAGTGAGCTGAGATCACGCCACTGCACTCCAGCCTGGGCAACAGAGCAAGACTCTGTCTCAAAATAAAATAAAATAAAATAAAAAATTAATAAGAGGATTGCAACTTTGTGATCTTTTTGATTTTGGAGCATTCGGAAACAAGAATGGCCATCCCACCACGACAGCAATGTCAAGCCAGTAAGCCCTGACTTGCTTTTCATAGCTGCCACCCCCAGGTAGGAGTCCTGGGAGCTGGTGAAGGACAGCTGCTCTGTGAGCTTCAAGGTCTTCTTTCAGAATGCCATTGTGATTACAGAGCCTATAAAATAAAAAAGATGCTGCAGGAGATGCTTATTTAAGCACAGATCACCAGCTTCTAGAATCTATGATGGTTCTTCATGGTTTACTGAAATATATCTGTAATATAATCTGGACATTAAAATGCAGCAACTATACTGTCTCTCAACAAAGACATAAAATGGGGCAGTTTGAAAAACTTGTTTGCGTGTATGCGGCAATTTTAAATCCATCAGAGGAAGTAACTTTTAACCCTTTGTTGACTTTAATGATGTTCAAATCCACAGCTGGGCAATCTCGTTCCACATTCCACCTGAATGACAGGTATGCTAGATAATCTTAACAGCAGAAAAGGCTAATTTTATATTGTCAATCATAACAAAGTTAGATCCCCACAACTCGTATGAAATTTACTTAAATTGTCACTGCTAAGAAATTGAAAACTTCTGGCTGAAGTATAGGTTACATCCTCTATTTCTGAATGTAGAAAAATGACTATTAGTTTTCCATTCAGATCCTATTGCAGTCAAATTTTCTTTATTCTTAATCAGAATAGGAAGGCATGGAAAGAGGGATTTATCTTTTATTATCTATATCCAGTCTACTGAGTAAGTGATAAGAGTCTAAAAATTTGGTCACTGTTTTAGGTTAGGTCTGTCGTTGTATCACAGTAGCCTTCAAATAGATTAGTTACCATCTTTTAAAAAATGACTATTTTGAGGGATGCATGATTCTAAAAAGCTATAGGAGAAGACAAAACAGTGTTTCTACTTTAAAGGAGCTGTTCACATTTGTAGTTGGGAATATTCAACACACACCCCAAAAAGAAAATGAAGATTAGTTACAAAGCAACTTATAAAGCAATATGTTAATTTGCAAGGTACTAATTTGTAAATAGCACTACAGTTGGTGAAGTTACTGGACCTAGTTGATGGCTATGTGCCTGATGTGATAAGGATGAAGGAGATGTGGTCCATCTATTGGAGGGTGAGTGACAACTGCAGACTCAGGCTTAGCCCTACTCTGAAGTGTACCTTTATGCTGGGAAGGAATAATAACAGGCACACAAGATTCAAGTGCTATTCCTGACCCTTATCCACACTGTTGGTGCTCCAGCTCCTTGCCAATTCCCAGGCTTCTGTCTAAACTCTAAGCCTGGATTCTCAGTTCTTGTAGGTCAGACCCCGAGTTGGGTCCTTCACTCCTGGGTTCTGCTGCCCCAAAGCTTCCAGACTTCAGGCCTATCTGACTTATAGTACCTATGAATACCTCTTATTGCCTAGGCAAAATCTGGATCCTAATTCTTCCTGGAAGCCTTTATCTTGTCATCACTCAATTTCCAGAATAACAGCTGCCCTTAAGAGGTCCCACCAATGGTGAGCCAATTTCAGAGTAGTAAAAGAGAGCCTGTAATCAACGGTGAGAGGTATAGGGCAGGCCATCAGACAATCAGGAATTATGAAGCGGTAAAGACACAGAGAGATCACTGGAGTCTCAGGGGCTTCACTAAGGAGGAGGAACGTGAGCCAGGCAGGTTTTAGAGAGAAGGGGAGATGACATTTGAAACTAAGGAGAGACACAGGCAAAGGTGATGGGAAATGACAGGGTAAGAGTGGTGTGGGGACCAGCAAGGGAGACAAGTTTGGCTGGGTAGGGGTTGCTGTTGGTCATAGTAGGATAGCAATGGAAAATTAAATTCAATATGAAACTCTGGAAAGAATACAGCAATAAGCTTGTGGATTTCTGAGCCATTGCTGGTTTCTCGAAAGCAGTGTTTTTCAGAGGGTTAGCCTGGCAGCCTTGCAAGGATGGAGTTGGTGAGGAGAGAGACCTGAGGCCCAGAGACCAGTCAGGAGACTGACTTTGTGCTGTAGGTGGCAGAGGAAGAGCAGGTAAGTGGGTGAGGCAAGGGAGGAAGAAACAGTCCTTCATCGCTCACCTGGGGAGCACTCAGCTGACTACAGGGAAGGTAACGGAGACCATGCTGGCTGCTGGTGGGGTGGGGCTGTGGAGAGCTGGGGCCAGTGCCTCCATCAAAAGCTCCCCCTGAGGAGTGTGTGTCCCAGTGAACCTAGATCTTCTCAGTTTTTAAGAGAAGCTGGAAGTTTATAATTGCAAGTTTTGTTTTTATTTAACAGCTCCCAATTTTTAAAATGTGGTGACTAATTCAAAAGGTTGCCTACCCACTGACAGGACAAAGAGAACCTATCTGCAGCCCAAGGTAGGCCTGCAGGCCACCAGCTTATGATCTCCAAGCTTAGATTCCCTTTAGTCCCACTTCCCAAACCAGGATGCAAACCTGGAGCAAGGACCATGGCTTAATGTTTTTGGATATCTTCTAAAAGGTTAGTACTGTGCAGTACTGGAAACTGGCTGACACTCCATGGTGCTGGTGGATGCTGCAGTGGGAGCAGGTTCCCTCCATGGTAAGGTGTATTTTATCTTTGCCATCCTTAGGAATGGTGACAACAGAAGGCAGACTGACTTTTAGTGGTCTCGTTATTGTTTTTAAATTCTTCCATAGAATGCACCTACTTATTACCTGCATCTGCACTCCTCCGACATCCCCTCACTACCACCATGGCATGCATGCCAGTGCTCAGTAATGCTTGATTGTCCTGCCAGGACAAATCCCAGATAACCTTTCTTCTTTGCCGATCTTATCAATATAAGTGTCAGGCTTACTTAGACTAGCTCATCTCATCACCCTCTAGAAGCTTCCCTGACTACCTTACTCATAGGGATCTTTCTTACCCCTGAATTCTTTAGCACAAAAGAGACACCATCTTACCTCTTACCTTGTGCTATTCCATAGTTAAGTCACCTCTGCCGAGTCTTCTCAACAAGAGCAAAAGCCTGGTGAGAATAGCAACTGCACTTCTAAATTTTTTACTTTTATTTCTCATAGCATTCGGCACAATGCTGAGCATACAACTTAATGATACTACATGTCAAATGACAAGCTGAAACTTAAACCCAGATGAAAGAAATTCATATGACACACTTATCTTTACAGTATTTTTTTTTTTTTAATAAAAATGAGATGGGGTCTTGCTTTGTTGCCCAGGCTGGTCTCAAACTCTTGAGCTCAAGCAATCCTCCCACCTTGGCCTCCCAAAGTTCTGCGATTACAGACATGAGCCACCACACCTGGCTGACAGTATTTTTATAATGGTTGTTGTTACACCAGTCCAGGGTTTCCCCCTTGGTACTGGGTGATCAATCAGCTGGCCACAAGCACTATGCACAGAGCTTATGATCTACTCTAACTCAGAACTTTCTCGGACTAAAAGATGAGCTGGTTTATGCTGAGGATTTCTAACAGTGCTCTTCCCAGATAGCAGACTTTAGTTTATAAAATATTCATCAGTTCTTTTGCTCAAAAGAACTCAACTAAAGAATTCAAACGCTGTATGGAATTAAATATTAAAGACTATGTGTTATAGAAACACTGTAACTATTTTAGAACTCAAGACCTCAATTCCTTTTTCTATGTGCGTTCCTGCCAAAATCATTCCAGCTAGAAGGGCACTGGCCTGAGGAACCTGTGTCCAGTCTCTGGCACCAACATGCTAGCCCTACCATCACCTTGTTCTCTGTGAGGTCTGGCAGGTGGAGGAACCTGCTGAATGACAAGTAACTTGTGGACACAAATGGCACTTTAAAGATGCATAGCTTATCTTATCCAACGACAGTTAAAGCACATAATAAATGTAAAAAATTTGGCCAAATTAAAAATAATTGCTTTCTAGCTTCATTTTCAGTCACACAGGATTTAGGAGACAACTCCACTCCAGGCTATTGGGAACACTGAAATTAAGGTACAGGGATTTTTTTTGTTTGTCTAATTTTATTATTATTATACTTTAAGTTTTAGGGTACATGTGCACAACGTGCAGGTTTGTTACATATGTGTACACGTGCCATGCTGGTGTGCTGCACCCATTAACTCGTCATTTAGCATTAGGTATATCTCCTAATGCTATCCCTCCCCCCTCCCCCCACCCCACAACAGTCCCCAGTGTGTGATGTTCCCCTTCCTGGGTCCATGTGTTCTCATTGTTCAATTCCCACCTATGAGTGAGAACATGCGGTGTTTGGTTTTTTGTCCTTGCGATAGTTTGCTGAGAATGATGGTTTCCAGTTTCATCCATGTCCCTACAAAGGACATGAACTCATCATTTTTTATGTCTGCATAGTATTCCATGGTGTATATGTGCCACATTTTCATAATCCAGTCTATCATTGTTGGACATTTAGGTTGGTTCTAAGTCTTTGCTATTGTGAATAGTGCCGCTATAAACATAGGTGTCCATGTGTCTTTATAGCAGCATGACTTACAATCCTTTGGGTATATACCCAGTAATGGGATGGCTGGGTCAAATGGTATTTCTAGATCTAGATCCCAAGGTACAGGGATTTTTAAAGTGAGTAAGAGAGAAAAAGTGCTGGGCTCAGAATTGCAAACTGAGAATTACTTCTTGGCAAAAATGACCCTGTATGAGGGCTACAGAAAATAAACTTTTCCTTAACCCTATCAGATAACTTTTACATATTCCTGCCAGTGTTATCTTTTTGGTGAGTTAAATTTTTGTGTTTCAGTTGCGGCACAATAGGCTTGATTTGCAGATTTTATTTTCTCCAAGGAATAGCAATCTCAAAATGGTGTGATCTCTGATCATAAATAGTAACAAATTTGCCAACATTGGGGCTCAGAAGCTGATATCCCAAAATACAGCATTTTGAAATGCTGGGCTGAAGCAGAGATGCAAGGTCTCTCTGACCTTCCCTCCCCCACCTCCCTCCTGTCTCTCAAAGCACAGGATGCAATTGTTCTCTGAAGTTCCTTTATCTGCCTAAAGTCTGGACCTGCTGGAAGAAGAAAACAATCACCTATGGTCCCTTCTCTGAATTTTTATTAACTCAACTTACACTGCAGAAAGAAGGACTAAGGCTGTCAACACATCTGGACAGATTTCCTCACAAACCACTGTCTACTCTGCAGGCCACACAGACTTTGTCCCAGGCCACTGTATGTTCTTCAAGTCCATTCATTTTCCCCTAAAAATCATTTACTATGCCCCAAATTGCCAGCTTTCCCCATCTCCCCTCCCCTATGAAGAAGGGTAAAAAAGTATCCATACCCCAATGGGTTACTGGATAATCATTCTTCTGCAATTTCCCTGTGCTGTGCATATCAAAACAAATTTTGCAAGTCTTTTCTCCTATTAATCTGCCTTTTGTCAGTTCATTTTTCAGGGAAACTTACACTTACATAATTTACATATTACTTTTTAGAAGTTTTATAAAATGTTGTCACTATATTTTTAGTGAGACTGAAGGTCACAGAGCACTGTAGTTGATCACATCCAGAATAAAATTTTAGGGAAGGAAATTGTATTTCAAAAGAAGCAAGCCAGGCACGGTGGCTCCAGCCTGCAGTCCCAGCTACTCAGAAGGGTGAGGCAGGAGGATCGCTAGAGCCCAGGAGTTGGAGTCTAGCCTGGGCAACATAGTATAACCCAGTCGCTAATAATCAAACAAAATAACACCCTCCCCCGCAAAAAAAAAAAAAAAAAAAAAATCCAGAAATGAACAACAAAATGGTATCATTTGGAGAGGTGGTCCCTAAGTGATGAACATGTAATTCAGAAATACCTTGTATTCAGAAAGGTGGGAAGAGGCAAGGCAGCCAACCTTTGTTTCAAATTCCAATTGTTTTCCAGTGACACAGAAAAACTGGCTAGGAAACTCAACTTCTGTCTTTTCATGGGGTTGGCCCTACCTTCCGTCCTGATCCTGCTCCTTGGAGCCCTGGTTTCCCTTCTTCCAATCCCAGTGTACCCCTCCCCGCCGGCAGAAGCTGGGGTTGGACAGTTCCCAACAAAGAGGGTTTGTGAGTAGAAGAAACTAAAACATTCTCGATAAGGGAGCTCCGGGCTGCTTTACTGCCTTCTCTCACTAAACTCCTTTTACTGTTACACTGGTAGAGTTTGGGGCTGCTTTTTTTTTTTTTCTTTCTTTTAAACAAGCCCTACCTCCTCTCCAAAAAACAAAACAAACTTGTTGGTTAACCTCATATACTAAAAATTCTTCTCAGGTACAAATCAACTAAGGTGTAAGTTCCTTTCTGGATGCTTCCCCCCCTGTTCTCTTTTAGCATGTGTACAAAGATACATTAAAGCAAAATGAACAGGCTTCCTTATTTCAGTTATTTTAATTTTTAAACCATGACGATTTCTTTAGCCTCTGTGAGGATCAATGAGCATCCAGTCACTGCCTCAAAATTTTCCAAAGTTAAAAAACAAAAAATAATTTAGTTGTGGTTGCTTTCTTGGAATACCAAAGCCTTTGCTGTGGCTCACCTCCCCAGGAATGGCTGGCCTGGCTTTCGCCATAGACTCAAAACAACCTTTCCTGGGGAGTTCCCCAAAAGCCCTTCCACCCAGTGCATTCAATTTCTTTAATGTTTCTTAAAAGGGCAATATTTATTTATAAGCAGTTGTGTCTGCTTTCCTTCTGCCTGGCATGTCTATTACATGGAAAACTTGCAGGCTGCAAAGTCTGTTTAAATTATATTTACCATCCTGACTACTCTCAGCAACCAAGACAATTCTTTTTACTCCACGTGCAATAATCACTAAATTCAGTGGCTAACACTATGCATGAGATGGATACCTAGTAACTATTTGTTGAATAAATGAACAAATGCTTTATGAGGGAAAAATGGTGGAAGTGGTGATAAGGTGGTCATTAAAATGTCCCAAGCTTTGTTTTCATTCCAACCAAGCATTCCAAACTCCCTCAATTTTCATCCATTTAATGTAGTTTAATACCCTCTCTTCCTGCCATGCTCCTGACCTGCTAGTTTCCCTCCCTGTCCACCTCCCTCCTCCTCCATCTTACAATTAGAATTCACTCAGGCCTAGGCTGAGCATCTGAAACTGATGTGTAGTTCCAGCTTTACATTATGAAAAGACAATTTCATCTATTGTCTATTGACAGGGCAATTCTAAACATAAAAAGGCTTTGATCTTTAAAAACATATGGTCTGGATAGAAAAAGATTACTTTTAAAACTATCACGTTCTGTTTTTTGTTTTGCATATAATTCCCAAGGAAATTTGCTACTTACAAATAACAACATTTAAAATCCTCCTAAGACCCATGAAAATTTTTACTTGAAACAGATGTAGAAGAATGCATCCAAGTACCAAATACTCAAGGACCACAACTGCTATAAAATATAACTAATGAACCAAAGCAGACTATTGTCTGTCAGTTGGAACCTGAGAGGCTAATTCAATATTTGTGGCATACCGGTTATCCCGAGGCAATTTAGCACCTTCATCAATAAGAGAAATCTCTAGTGACTCTCCCATCCACAGGTACACAAATTCAACTGGGAACCAGAGAGGTCTGTAGAAGCTCTACCCCCATAGTGATGCAAATTAAGATTTAAACAGTGTAACAATTGGCTAGCGCTAATCCTTTTACAGAGGTGTAAATGGCTATTGAGAACTGAATTCCGGGCTGCTAGCTTTTGTTAAGCAGCATTACAGGCAAATTTCACCCAGGAGCAATGCCCAGCCGTCAACTGTGAGGACTACTGATAAAATAGTTTAATAAAGCCAGCGCAATTTGCTTGTTTTGATATCACATTTCTTGGCCATAAATCTAAGCATGTAACTAGAAACTACATCAAGAATTAGTGTCCTGGGAAAATAAACTGGAAGCGACTATCTCAAGCCTGACACCCGATGGCTGGAACAGCTGTATGTGAGGCCACAGTGAAGTTTGTATACAGGGTTTTGTTTGCCACACAAAACAGTTGTAGAAAGGACAAACACATACATAGTTAAACAGTATTTTTCTTTTAAAGGGCTGTCTTACAAAACCTGTGTTTTTGTGGCTACCTCAATCTCCATTGTGCAGCCCCCTGGGTGGTCCCTTCCAGGGGGCCACTTGAAGGGAGCACAATGCCAAAAAGGAGGGAAGGAGGGGACAGCAACACAAAGGCCAGCACAGCGAGGCGACCACGGCAGGCTGTGGACCAGGGGTCAGCAAACAACGCTCCTTCTCTTTACCCAGGAAACAAGGGCTCCTTCTCTTTACCTGGAAACAGTGTGATGAAGCTGACAGCTTGAATTATGGGCTACATTTGGTAGGGCACCATCCGTCTGTACTAAGGTCCTCTTCATTGTAGCACAGGCTGCACAAGCAAAACCCTTGCCTTTTCCCCACTTTGGCCTCTGAATAGACCTCATCATTCTGTTCCATTTTAATTTTCAGAACGAACCCTCTCCCATATGACTTTTTAAAAAAGTTTCTTAATGAAGAGCTGGAAGGCTTGGGAGAATTTTTAATAGGTATTTCCATCCACCCTTAAAGAGAGAACCCATCACGCATTTGTTCCTCCACCCTTAAACCGCCTGAACCAATCACCCATTTTTAATAGCCAAGGATCATTTGTAATGGTGGCAGACATCCTTTATGAAATGAATAGCATTCTCTCTTTGGTAATTCTATGGATCCCAAACTTAACCCCTTTAACCGAATAGGGGTTCTGTTTTTTTCAGGTTGAAAAAATCCTCCTGACTGGACAGGTAAAGATTGGGAAAATTTACTCTTGCTTCCCTGGGTTTCTTCCAAATCAGCAGCCATAGAAGGGTGAAGTCATTAGGGTGCTGGCTGAGTTCTCCAACTGAGATGCATAAACAGCATGCAGGATGGTGGCTCATACCTCTAATCCCAGCACTTTGGGAAGCCAATGTGGGAGGACTGCTTGAACCTAGGAGTTTGAGACCAGCCTGGGCAACATAGCAAGACTCCGTCTCTTAAAATAAAATACAAAACAGGCTGGGCGGGGTGGCTCACACCTGTAATCCCAGCACTTTGGGAGGCCGAGGCAGGTGGATCATGAGGTCAGGAGATCGAGACCATCCTGGCTGACACGGTGAAACCCCGTCTCTACCAAAAAAACACACACACACAAAAATTAGCTGGGCGTGGTGGCAGGCGCCTGTAGTCTCAGCTACTTGGGAGGCTGAGGCAGGAGAATGGCGTGAACCCAGGAGGCAGAGCTTGCAGTGAGCCCAGATCGTGCCACTGCACTCCAGCCTGGGTGACAGGGCAAGACTCCGTCTCAAAAATAAATAAATAAATAAATAAATAAATAAATAAATAAAATAAAATGCAAAACAGATCTCCAGGGCTTATTATGGAGCCAGCTACCTAAAGTGACCGCTTTAAATATCTACTAAAAAAAAAAAATGTGGAGGGTGTAGGGTCAGAAGGGGTGATCCCTTTCCTCCTCATCATAAGGGTCACAGTCAACACCCTTATAACAAACAGGTTAACAGAAGAAAACAAAACAAATTTTATTTGATCATTGTTTTCTGTGACATGGCAGCCTTCAGATTGAAGACCTAAGGATATTGGGAAAACTTTCCATTTTTATGCTGAAGTTCAGTGAAGAACAGACAACCATGTAGAACTGTGCTTGGCCAAGAAGGTAAGTATGATTGAATGCTAACAGACTGAGTGGGGAAACTCTGCCAGGCCTGTCTGTTCATTCTTCTTGGCGTCTCTGTGCAGTGTTCCTTCCTCCCTGGTATGGGGCAGGACCCTTTCTGAAATGGGGAGTCTTACGACTCACAATCAAACAGGGTAGGTTAGAGAATTTCTTTACGGCCAACTCTGCCACAGAAATACAGGAGGGAAATTCGAGTAATATTTTTAGGTTTTATGGCTGGCTTTGGGGAAAATGGGTTCAGGTTTTTATGATTCACTTTGAGGAAAAGGAATTCTAGTTTCTAAAGCTTACCTCTGAGAAAATGAGGCTGAGGTACAGGAGAGTGGGAGAAGATCAGAGAGAAACTTACTTCTGGGGCCTTCCCTTTGGGGTGTCATTTTCTGAGGCCCAACGAGGGTAAATGTCTTATTATCATACAACTTTATGCCTTCCCCAAATTTAATACAATTAGGCTCTGTATTTTCAAAAAGTTTTAAAATACTACAAACATATCATAAAGAATTTACTAGACATTATAATCAGTTCTATCATTAAACTCTAGAGGTTAAATGATGATGATGAAAAGGTATCTGGTGTTGTCAAGGTAGAATTATCTTTGTGAGGATTAACGGCTGACGCAGGACCATAAAACAAAACATCAGACTCTGCTGTGTTGTTCCATGTCTGTCTGTCTGTTTCTATCCATATATACACGTGTGTTTAAGAGAGGAGACGAGGAGGCTCAGACTGGGCTGGTGAGGGTTACACTAGGTGAGCGGATTCAGGGAGAAGGGAAACAAGAAGGCATGATGGCACGGTGGATAGGCTTACTGAATTTCGGCTCAGGCAATGCTGAGACCCTGAAATAAGCTGCCATGTCACTTCTCTAGGATAAGTGAGTCTCCACAGAGGCCAATTTAGTCTGATGAATGGGAATGGGTCTAGTACAGAGTTATCCTCCACTGAGGGGGCACTCAGATGAGTAGGGCAGGTCCCATCCTGGGTTCTGACTTTGCTCGGGGTCTACTTCCATGATAACAGTGAAATGCCTGGCTTATGAATATCATGCCTCCTGCTCCCTGAGCATGGTAGACACCAAATATAGGATGGCTGAAAGGATTGGGCTGGTTTGCTGTTGAACCCTTAGAGGATCAATATAGGTTGAGTATCCTTTATCTGAAATGGTTGGGAATTTGGATTTTGAATTTTTTCAGATTTTGAATTGTGTTTTTTTTTAATTTTTATTTTTTGATTTTGGAATATAAGTATCCCAAATCTGAAATGCTCCAATAAACATTCATCATGTTGGCACTCAAAAAGTTTCAGATTTTGGAGCATTTCGGACTTTGGATTTGGGGATTTGGGATGCTCAACCTGCCCTGTATTAAACTGAAGATGCTGAATCAATTTATTATTCAAGTGCTTGTTTGTCTAAGAAGCTGCTAAGAGGAAGCCAAAGACAAAAAGAAGAAATAAGAAAAATGAAAGTGGACAAGAACAAGTATTATGAATGGATAAATGGATTAAGTGTGGAAGAAGGGAAGGCGGGATGTAAGCAAGAAAACAACAAAAGCTAACTGGCTCTCCTAGGACAGCCTGTTAGATTTGAGTTTGTTTTCTTTACTGTAGTGATTCTCAGATATATTTTAGTAGAATTATTCTACATTTGAGTAAAGTGGTCTTTTCTAAGTTCTTAGGAAAATTACTCTTTATAATTTTGAGAACCTTCCCAAAATTGGTTTACTAAAGCTTTGGCATCTGCTATCTAGTTTGCCTACTAGAAGATAATAAAATGAATGAGAGTACCGAATGAAAAATAATGGAAAGTATGGAAGTAGCTGGGAACCAGATGCAATGACCTCTTTTGTCAGTGTCAGAGTTTAGGGGATGTCAGACAAGTCCCAATTCCGGGTAAGTGGACTTTTCGAAACGGAAGAAACGGATTCCAAGTGTACTCATGATTACAGATGCCAGTCATGCTCCTAAAACAACCATGCCCAGTCCAGTCCATCACATGGACATCATATGTCCATGTGATGTGTGACACAGCTGATCAGTAAGGATAATCAGTCTCATGACCAGAAATTCTTTTAGGGATTTGGCTATCCTGGAAAGCAGTGCTTTTCAACGTTTAAGGTGGCAGAACACCTGAAATTCACAAAAATTTTTGCCATGAAGTATTGATATATTCCATTTATCACATAAATTAGAACATTTTTTACTAGTAAACAATAAATATATGTACACAATATAAAAATCAAACCATTAACACATACGTCCATGATTTAAGAATCTGTCGAGATCAGCAACTTCCATACTTTCCATTATTTTTCATTTGGTACTCTCATTCATTTTATTATCTTCTAGTAGGCAAACTATATAGCAGGTGCCCAAGTTTTAGTAAACCAATTTTGAGACGGTTCTCAAAATTCAAAGATTAATTTTCCTATGAACTTAGAATGTAGAATAATTCCAGCAGGGCATGGTGGCACACGTCTGTAGTCCCAGTTACTCGGGAGGCTGAGGCAGGAGAACTGCTTGAACCTGGGAGGTTGAGGCTGTGGTGAGCCAGGATGGCGTCACTGCACTCCAGCCTGGGCAACAGAGCAAGACTCTGTTTAAAAAAAAAAAAAAAAGTAGGGTTGGGCGTGGTGGCTCACGCTTGTAATCCCAGCACTTTGGGAGGCTAAGGTGGGTGGATCACTTGAGGCCAGGAGTTCGAGACCCTGTTGGGCAACAATGGTAAAACCCTGTCTCTACTAAAAGTACAAAAATTAGCCGGGTGTGGTGGTGGCTGCCTGTAATCCCAGCTACTCGGGAGGCTGAGGCAGGAGAATCGCTTGAACCCAGGAGGCAGAGGTTACAGTGAGCCGCGATCATGCCACTGCATTCCAGCCTGGGTGACAGAGTGAGAATCCGTCTCAAAAAAAAAAAAAAAAAAAAGGTAGAATAATTTTACTAAAATATATCTGAGAATCACTACAGTAAAGAAAACAAATTTGAAACTAGTACTGTTTTCAGATTTAAAAACACATTTCCAGTCCATCAAAATAACAAGCAAATCAAAATGAATTTACACTGACAAAGGAAAACCGTCAGAAAAAAAGTGAGAAAAATAGTTGAAAGCCATAAAAGATAGGGGACTCAGAACTATTCCTCACATCTCTCTTGTAGGTTAAGGTAATATTCTAAAGCTTCCAACCCAAATTCAAAATAGATTCAGTATAAAAGTACAGAAAGCACGTGCACGTGCATACACACACGTACACACAGACACACACACACACAATTATTTTTTTCCTTTCCTTGAGACAGGGTCTTGCTCTGTTGCCTGGGCTGGAATGCAGTGATGCAATCATAGCTCACTGTATTTCCCAACTCCTGGGCTCAAGCAAGCCTCCCACCTCAGTTTCCTGAGTAGCTAGGATTACAGGTGTGTACCATCATGCCTGACTAACTTATTTTTATTTTTATAGAGCCAAGGTCTTGCTATGTTGCTCAGGCTGGTCTCAATCTCCTGGCCTCAAGTAATCCTCCCACCTCGGCCTCCCAAAGTGCTGGGATAAAAGGCATGCCACGACACGAGGCCCCAGGAAACATTAAAGTCTTATTTCCTGCTTAACTTTCAAGTTTTAGGGTGTCTCATTCACCTGGCCTACCTGCAGACACTTTTCCCTCACTGAAGGGAAGCTTTCCCACTCAGTTATCAAGCTTGAAGGTTCTTTGTCAAATCCCACCTTAAAACAAACTTGGTTTTTCCAAAAGTCTGTCACTAGAAGCTCAACTGCTATTCTTCAAAGGTGAGAACTATAAGTTAAAGATAATTAAAGGGAAAGTATGCCACATAGAACTAAAGAAGGAAGAATGAAATGGGCAACAACAGGCAGTAATGAAGTCAGGGGACCGGGCGTGGTGGCTCACGCCTGTAATCCCAGCCCTTTGGGAGGCCGAGCAGGTGGATCGCCTGAGGTCAGGAGTTCGAGACCAGCCTGGCTAACACAGTGAAACCCCGTCTCTACTAAAAATACAAAAAATTAGCTGGGTGTGGTGGTGGGCACCTGTAATCCCAGCTCTACTTGGGAGGCTGAGGCAGGAGAATCACTTGTACCCAGGAGGCAGAGGTTGCAGTGATCTGAGATCGCACCATTGCACTCTAGCCTGGGCAACAACAGCGAGACTCTGACTCAAAAAAAAAAAAAAAAAAGATGTCAGGGATGCAGAGAAGGAAAGTGTTGGGTCTGCCACCTGGCAACCATTAACAGAACCCAGTTTTATTCTGACGAACCACTACTCCCCTATCCTAACCCATACAGCTTGAGTGAAGCATGAGATCCAGGTAAAAGCCAATGGACTCTGCCCTTGCTTCAGTGATTGTGTAGGGGATGGGCATATGATGTGGTCAGAGCCAATGACAGCCTCTGATTCAGCATGCCAGGGAAAAATTCTCCAGCTGCAGGGCCTAAGAACTGAGTTGATCCAGACGGAGTAGATCAGAGGGAAACAGAGAAGTCAGAGCCCACTGGTACCATCTGAGGCTTGGGCAAAGCCAGCCTGAAGACTGTCTACCACTGGGCTGCATTGACATATGCAGTGAATGAGTCCTACTGCATAAAAAGAGAAAATACACTTTAAAAAGGGTTAAAAGGGACAAAAAAAAATCCTGTAATTTACTGTTTCTGTATCAGTTTTATTTTTATTGTAAGCATGCTAATTCTTTGATTATAAAATGTAAAATATTTTGCATGGCCTGAAAAATATTTAGCACATATGTAAAAAGAAATGGTCATTAAAAGCATTCCCATTATGGGAAGATTTCCAAGGCCATCCGTGAAAGCCGTGAAGCTAGCCACACAGCCAAAGGCGCCCTTGCCTCTAAACAGCAAGCACCACAGAGCTGCGGTCCATGGTTTTTAAGCTTTGGAATTCAAGAGATTCTTTTTTTAACTGCTCTACTGAGATATGACTCACATGTCATAAAATTCACTAACTTAAAATGTACACGTCAATGGTTTTTATTAGTATACTCAGAGTTGTGCAACCATCACACAATCGAATTTTAGAACATTTCTGAAAGATGGTCTTAATTTTTTTTCTGATTATGAAAGCAATACCTATTCATCACAAACAACTTGCCTGTTGCATTCCCATTTTAACCCACCAGTCACAGGACAAACACCTTGCTGGGGTAGAGTTGTCTCCAGATTCAGTCCCTTTGGCTGTTCTCTGCATCTACTAACCTTTCTTTGGACCAAATTTAGCAATCGTGCAGTTGCCTACTCAGTGTCCATCTCCCTTCTTCCTTTTCATGGGACCCCAATTTTGTTTAGTAATCAACCTCTCCCTTGTATAACTCATGGGGCAATAACCCCTTGCCTCATTCCAGAGTAGACTGTGATTAATCTAAGCCAGGAGTGACCAAATCCAGCCACAGCCTGCTGTTGTATAGCTCTTGAGCACATATTTAAAGAGATAAAGAGCAGAGAGAGGGAGGGGAGAGGAGAAAAGAAGTCTAAAATATTTACTATTTGGTCTTTTTTTTTTTTTTTTTTTGGTGGGGGGACAGTCTCATTCCGTTGCCCAGGCTGGAGTGCAGTGGCACAATCTCGGCTCACTGCAACCTCTGCCTCCCGGGTTCAAGTGATTCTCATGCCTCAGCCTCCCGAGTAGCTGAGATTACAGATGCACACCAACACGCCCAGCTAATTATTGGTATTTTTAGTAGAGATAGGGTTTCGCCATGTTGCCTAGGTTGGTCTTGAACTCCTGAACTCAGGCAATCCGCCCACCTTGGCTTCCCAAAGTGCTAGGATTACAGGGCTGAGCCACTGCGCCTGGCCTTACTATTTGGTCTTCCATAGAAAAGGCTTCCTTAGTCTAGAACAATTATAATAACCCTTGCCAGTAATTAGCTTAGGAATGGGTCTGTGAACAAATTTTAGTCAACAAGATGCAAGGGGAAGTCTATTGAATACTTTCCTTGCTTCTAACAGAGACTCAAGAAGAGAGTCTCTTTCTGTCTTTGGAAGCTATATAAGGCTGTGGTGTCTAGATGGGGTCCTTGGTATTTATCCACCTTCTGACTCCTCACTGTGTCCTCAGACGGTGGGGGCGAGACAGAGCTCTCTTGTGTCTCTTCTTATAAGTGCATTTAATTCTATCATGACAGCCCTACCTTCCTGACCTCATCTAACCCAAAGTACCTCCCAAAGGTCCCTTCTCCAAATATCACACTGAGGGTTACAGCTTTAACATATGAATTTTAGAGGGACACAAACATTTAGTCCATAATAGCACTGCTGCTGCCACTTTGCTCCTGGCTGTAGGAAGAGGTCAACACTGAGGATGTCAGAGCAGGGAAATGGAAAGGATCTGGGTCTTTGACAACAAAAGTGATGGGCAGTACCAACCAACTCCATGGCCTGCTCTACCTCTGGACTTCCAGAAATGAGACAGAACAAATGCACTTCTTGTTTAAGCATCTGTGTTTCAGACAGTGTTCCTGTTATTGGCAACCAACAGCATCCTGATATATCAAGATAATAGCTGAATGTTCAACAATGCCAGAAAACTAAGTTTTAAAAAAGAACTCAGAAGCCAGGTGCAGTGGCTCACATCTGTAATCCCAGCACTTTGGGAGGCCGAGGAGGGTGGCTCACTTGAGGTCAGAAGTTCAAGACCAGCCTGGGCAACATGGTAAAACCACATCCCTACTAAAAATACAAAAATTAGCCAGGCATGGTGGCGCATGCCTGTGATCCCAGCTACAAGGGAAGCTGAGGCATGAGAAACGCTTGAACCTGGGAGGTGGAGGTTGCAGTGAGCCAAGATCACGCCACTGCACTCTGGTATGGGTGACAGAGTGAGACCCTGTCTAAAAAAAAAAAAAAACTTGGATAGATGGCTTTTCAGTAATTCAAATTTGTGTTTCATTGAAAAGAATTTAAGGAGATATTTTAAAATGACAAATGTGCATCCTGCCCCTAACATGTCTCCTCTTTGTCCTTTTAAAAAATCTGAGTTAACAATAGAACCCTTGCCATTGGTGTGGCTGGGCCAGCATGAGGCAAGACCAGGTGGCTGCTCTTGTGTGCGGACTGGAGAGGTGAGGAAAAGACACTTTGCAGACCCTGACTGCATCCCCTGGGCCTACAGTGGTGCTGTTTGCTGGCATGTGAGCCACTCCTTCAGTTGGAGAAACAATAGTTCCCAGATACGGGCCATGCTTGCTTATCTCCAGGCCTCTGTTCATACTGCAGCCCTCAAAATCTGGAATGATGAATCTCCTTCAACTAGCCAAACCAGTCATCATGGTTATTCCGGTTACCTACTGCTGTATAATAAAATACTACCCAAATTTAGTGGTATAAAACAACAACCAACAACTTTTTATAATCCTCATGGCTTCTGTGGTTCAGTAATCTGGACATGGGTAGGGCTTGTCTGTGCTCCATGATGTCTGGGGCCTCAGCTTGAACATCTGAGGGTGACTTGGAATAAAGGGACTGGAATTATTTGGTGATTCCTAAACTCACATCTGGAGCTTGGGCTAGAACTACTGGGCTCAGCTGGGACTACTGACTGGAGTACCTATACCTGGCCTGTCACTGAGGCTTGAATGCTATTGGGCTCATTTTCTTGGAAACCTGCCTATGTCCTGCTTTCTCCTGCCTTATTTGGGTCTTGAACAACCAGGGCTTGACTCTCAGAGTCTCCTCTCTAACTTCTGAAACCATGGGTAAGCCTGCTCCACCAGAATAAACTACTCTTAGATCTCAAATTCGTATTGAAAGAAGTTGAGTTTTGCTACACCCGTAGTAGGATTTGGCTTGACTGCTGGTTCCCTTCCCAACAGAGGCTGAAGTCGGCTCTATGCTCTCAGTAGCCTTCCTGACTTTTCCTCCCCTTGCACCCGTCCCTCGCCCCACCCCCTACCACTTATTTGGCTCCAAGAGAGTGGGGGTAGGGCACCTTAACACTTACTTGGGAGACTGCCCCAAAATGTCATAATTTACTTAAATATAAAATGGTGAAAAAAATTCTAGGAAAAGAGTTGTCATCGTCATCATCTTTTTAAAAAACTGCCTGAATTTCCTTATTAAAAAAAAAAAAAAAGGAGCAAAGAGCAAACCAAAAACTCACAGATTTTTGAGTTTGAAAATGAGGAGAAATACATAGCAATATAATACTGGTGGGAGACTTCAGTATTCCATTTTCAATAATAAATAGAACAACCAGACAAAATCAACAAAGAAACAACAAACTTGAATAACAGTACTGGTCAAATGGACCTAACAAACATATACAGAACACTCCACCCAAACGCAATAGCATTCTTCTCAAGTGCTGGCAAAACATTCTCTAGAACAGATCACGTGTTAGCTTACAAAACAAGTCTTACAAATTTAAAAAGACTGAATCATACCAAGTATTTTCTCTGATGAAATGGAATGAAATCAGAAATCAATAGCAGAAGCAAAATTGTAAAATTCACAAACATGTGGAAATTAAACAACACACTAACAACTAATGGATCACAAAATAAATCAACAGGGACATTAGAAAACATCTGAGACAAATGAAAACAAAAATACAACATACCGAAACTTAGAAGATGCAGCAAGACCAGTATAAGAGAGAAGTTTATAGCAGTAAAAACTTACATTTAAAAAGAAGAAAAGCTTAAATCAACAACCTAACTTCACACCTTAAGTAGAAAAACAGAACAAACCAAGCACAAAGTTAGTAGATAGAAGGAAATAATAATGATCAGAGATAAATGAAAAAGAGAATACAAAAAATAGGAAAAAAAATCAATAAAACTAAGACTTTTTTGAAAAAATAAACAAAATTGACAAACCGTTAGCTAGACTACTTAAGAAAAAAGAGAGAAAACCCAAATACATAAAATCAGAAATGAAAGAGGAAACACTGCAATTGATATCACAGAGATTAAAAAAGATCACAAGAAACTATATAAACTATTACAAACCAACAAACTGGATAACCTGGAAGAAATAAATAAATTCCTAAAAACATACACATACCAAGACTAATTAATAAAGAAATAGTCTGAACAGACCTAAAACTAGTAAGGAGACTGAATCAGTAATCAAAAACCTCCCATCAAAAAAAAAAAAAAAACAAAAAAACCCCAGGACCAGATAGCTTCACTGGTGAATTCTACCAGACATTTAAAGAATTAATGCCAATACTTCTCAAACTCTTCCAAAAAAACTGAAAAAAAGGGAATACTTCCAAACTTATTTTATTAGGCCCGCATTACCCTGATGCCAAACCCAGGCAAAGATACCACAAAAAAGAAAACTACAGACCAATATGCCTAATGAATATAGACACAAATATTGTCAACAAAATACTAACAAACCAAATTCAGCAGTACATTAAAAGAATCATAAATCATAACTAAGTGAGATGTTTATCCCTGGGATGCAAGAATGAATCAACATATAAAAATCAATGTGATACACCACAGTAACAGAATGAAAGATAAAAATCACATGACCATCTTAATAGACACAGAATAACTGTTTGACAAAATTCAACACCCCTTCCCAATAAAAACCTCTCAATAAACTAGACATAGGATGAAATTACCTCAGCTTAATAAAGGTCACATATATAAAGTTCACAGCTAATATCATACTCAATGGTGAAAGCTGAAAGCTTTTCCTTTGAGATCACGAACAAGACAAGGATGCCCACTCTTGCCACTTCTGTTTAATACAGTACTGAAAGCCCTAGC
Organism: Homo sapiens; assembly: GCF_000001405.40. Lineage (NCBI taxonomy): Eukaryota > Metazoa > Chordata > Mammalia > Primates > Hominidae > Homo > Homo sapiens. The sequence goes on along the minus strand of NC_000020.11, from coordinate 21,178,587 downwards.
CAGAATAATTAGGCAAGGAAAAGAAATAAAAGCTATTCAAATCCAAGTAAAATTGTCCCTGTTGCAGATGACATGATATATAGAAAACTCTAAAGATCACATACACACACAGATGCATACTGTTAGAATTAATAAATGAATTCAGTAAAGTTGTAGGATACAAAATCAACATACAAAAATCAGTTGTGTTTCTATACACTAACAACAAACTGTCTGAATATGAAATTAGAAAAATATTTCCATTTACAATAGCACCAATAAGAATAAAATACTTAGAAATAAACTTAATTAAGGAGGTACAAGACTTCCATGCTAAAAACTACAAAACATTGATGACAGAAATTAAAGAAGATACAAGCAAATGGAAAGAATTCCATGTTCATGGATTATAAGATTTAATATTGTTAAAGTGTCCATACTACCAAAGCAATCTCCAGATTCTATGAAATTGCTATCAAAATTTCAATGGCATTTTTTTTCAGAAATAAAAAAACAAGACTAAAATTCATGTGGAATCACAAAAGACCCTGAACAGCCAAGACAATCTTGAGAAAGAAGAAAAAGCTGGAGGCATCACACGTCCTGATTTCAAAATATATTACAAAGCTACCATAATCAAAACAGTATGGTATTGGCATAAAGACAGACATATAGACCAATGGAACATTCAGAATAGAGAGCCCATAAATCAATCCATGCATATGCAGTCAACTGATCTTTGACAAGGGTATCAAGAATATATGATGAGGAAAGGACAGTCTTTTAACATACGGTATTGGGAGAAACTGGAAATCCATATGCAAAAGAATGAAACTGGACTCTCATACCACACAGAAAAATCAACTCAAAATGAATTAAGGATTTAAATATAAGACCTGAAGTTTTAAAACTCCTAGAAGAAAACATAGGGGAAAAGCTTCATAACATTGGCCTTGGCAAAGATTTCATGGATACGACACCAAAAGCACAGGCAACAAAAGCAAAAATAGACAAGTGGGACTACATCAAACTAAAAAGTTTCTGCATAGCAAAGGAAACAACTAACAGAGCAAAAAGGCAATCTACTGAATGAGAGAAAATATTTGCAAAACACATATAAGGGGTTAATTTCCCAAACATGTAAGGAACTCCAACAGTTCAACAGCAAAAAAACTAATAACCTGATTAAAATACGGGCTAAAGACCTGAATAAACATTTCTTCAACGTCTCCATAAAACATATAAATGGCCAAGAGGTATATGAAAAGATGCTCATCACTAATCATCAGGGAAATGCAAATCAAAACCATAGAAAAATTTCAGTTCATACGACTATTCACAAAAAGAACAAAAGATAACAAGCACTGGCAAAGATGTAGAGAAACTGGAACTCTAGTACACTGTTGGTGGGAGTGTAAAATAGAAAACAGTACAGAGATTCCTCAAAAAATTAAAACTAGAATTACCATTTGATCCAATAATCTCACTTTTGGGTATTTATCCAAAATAATTGAAATAAGGATCTCAAAGAAGTATTAGCACTCCAGTGTTCATCACAGCACTATTCGCAATAGCGAAGATCTAGAAACCACCAAAATGTTCATCAATGGATGAATGGACAAAGAAAATACACGTACAATGAAATATTATTCTGCCTTAAAAAGGAAGGAAATTTTGACACACATCTTGACATGGATGAATTCTGAAGACAACATGCTAAGTGAAATAAGCTAGACATAATTTCTCTACCAAGTCCAATCTACTGATAAGCCCACCAAAGGCATTCTTTATTTCTGTTACAGAGTTTAATTCTAGCATTACTTTTTTATTCTTTATTATAATTTCCATCTTTCTGTTTACATTACCTATCCTTTCTTGCACGTTGTCCTCTTTTTCCTTTAGAGCTCTAGAGCCCTAGAGCCCTAGCATATTAATCAGTTATTTTAAATTCCTAGTCTGAAAAATCCAACATCTGCCATATCTGAGTCTGGCTCTGATGCTTGCTCTGTCTATTCAAACTGTATTTTTTTTTTTTTTTTGCCTTTTTTGTGCCTTGTAATGTTTTTTGTTGAAAGCCAGGCATGATGTACTAGGTAAATAGTCCTTTAGGGTGAACAGGTACACAGGCCTTCAAGCTGAGGTTTTATGTTCATCTGGTTAGAAGTTAGGCTGTGTTTATTGTCTGTTGCAGCTGCAAATGTAGGTATCAGAGGCTAAACTTTCCTTGGGTGTCCTTGTTTTTGTCTCCTTCCCTTGTCTTCAGCTTTCCGGATTGATTGATTGATTGATTGACTGATTTGAGACAGAGTCTCACTCTCTCACTGAGGATAGGGTGCAGTGGTGCGATCTTGGCTCACTGCAACCTCTGCCTCCCAGGTTCAGGCAATTCTTGTGCCTCAGCCTCTCAAGTAGCTGGAATTACAGGCACCCGCCACCACACCCAGCTAATTTTTGTATTTTTAGTAGAGACAGGGTTTTGCACTGTTGGCCAGGCTGGTCTTGAACTCCTGACCTCAGGTGATCCACTTGTCTTGGCCTCCCAAAGTGCTGAGATTATAGGCGTGAGCCACCGTGCCCAGCCTCCATTTTTTTTCAGACAGGGTCTCACTCCGTTGCTCAGGCTGGAGTGCAGTGGCACCATCTCAGCTCACAGCAACCTCCACCTCCTGCATTTAAGTGATTCTCCCAACTCAGCCTCCTGAGTAGCTGGGAATACAGGCGTGTGCCACCATGACTGGCTAATTTTTGTATTTTTTGGTAGAGACCAGCTTTCACCATATTGGTCAGGCTGGTCTCAAACTCCTGACCACAAGTGATATGCCTGCCTCAGCCTCCCAAAGTGTTGGGGATTATAGGCATGAGTGAGCCACCATGCCTGGCCTCCTAGAGACTTAACTAAGGTCTGAGACATGTGGTTCATTCAGTTGTATAATTGTTTCCTGCTACTATACAGGATCCCTATTGATGTGGTGGCAAGGTATGGGGGAGGGGAAGCCTTTTATGGTACTTGGATTAGGTTTCAGTCTTCTGGTGACCTGGGCTGTGACCTTCACCAAGTGCTTCTCAGTTCCTATCTAACTCCTGCCTTTGCTCCATGTCACTCATGTTCTTCTGACTGAGGCTAGAATCCCATATGGTGAGATGGCTGGCAAAGGATGGAGACCTGGGTTCATTCCTGTTGGCCAATGGAGACTTCTTTTAATATCTCCTATACACCAAGTGACAATGGCTGTGACTACGATTATTGCCTACTTTGCTGAGGATCAGGTCTCAGGACTATTCCCTTCTTAGTAGGTTTGGATTTTTACAAATTTAGACCAAAATAAGGATAATGAAAGTCTTAGATTTTTCAGAAACTAGGTGAGCTAACAGGAAAAGCAAAGGCAAGATTAGAATGAAGTGACAGGTAGAAAACAAAGGGAATACCCTGACGGCCACATCTACTGCCACTGGGTTATTTTTCCAGAAGTATAATGCATAGCCTTACTTTGGGAACAAAGGACAGAATCTGTGTGGTGGCAAGAAAAGGCTCAGGGGCCACCAGTATTGAGGTGCCAAAGGTCATGTTCAAGAGAAACAGGCAACTGTGCTGATGAAAACAGACAGCTGAGAACAGACATCTGAAGGCATCATCACATCTGAAGGAATGCTGAATTTCTAAATATGCTTCCAGCTCCTTATAAAGTGAATTCAGGGTAAATTCTAAATGAACATAGTTCAAACCTATTATTCCAGGCACATGACTTTCAGCAACAAATTTTTCTCAGATGCAATAACTTATTTCCTACACTTAACTTTGAAGAGGAGCTAAATTAAAATCACTGGATGGGATTCAATCTGTGTGATCACATTTTTATGACCTTGAGAAACCAAGGCTTTCATGTGACTTAGTTTAAAAGGCAGCATTACATTCTGTTTTCAGTCACACTCCAGGAGGAGACAGAACAAAGCAACTTTGCAAGTACTTTGTTCAAGCCTGAATAAAGGCACATAGCACTTCATTGGCCTATTTGAGGTTGGAAAGCACAAAAATCAATATGGACGGAGTAAGAGGTCAAATTGCCACTGCTTAGTTTTCTTTTCTTTTTTCTTTTTCTAATTAAAGAATTTAATTTGCTTTTTGAGCTTCCTATTTAACCTTATAAAATATTATCTTTGATGATACTCCAACTATCCAGGTAGTAAAGATTCACTGGGAGACAGCATAGGGTACCAGTTAACTCTGGTCACAGAGGGCCAGTTTGGAGCACACACAGCTGTTTTATGACTTTCAATATGTTACATAACTCCCTGTGCCTCAGTTTTCTCATCTGTAAAATGATGATGATAATAGGATTAAATGATTATAAATAAAGGTGTTAAAACAGTGCCTGGCACGGAGTCAGTACTAACAACCATTTTGGTTGTGATTTGGGTGGTGGAAAACAGAAATTAAGAGCATGCATTCTGGCATCAGACTGTTAGTTTAGACCCTAGCTGCACCTCTGTGACCTGAGCAGGTTATTTAAGCTTTCTAAACCTCATGTGAAACATTCTACTTGGCACCTGCAGCACAACACCCTCCTGGTTCTCCTCGTTCTTCCCTGCAGCGTCTTCTGAGACTCCTTTGCTGGTTCCTTCTGATCTTCCTGACCCTGAATGTGGAGTCATGCCCTGGGCCACTTTCCTATTTACATTCACTCTCTAGTGTTCTTCTTAGGCCCATGGCTTTAAAATGTATTTATACCCTGATGATTTACAAATGTATTTATCTAGCCCTGACCTCTCTCTGAATTCCAAGTTCATGAAATCCATCTGCCTACTCAGCATCTCCCTGTGAACGTCAAAAAGGCATCTCAAATCTAACATACCCAAAACTTCTGTCTTGATTTTCTTTCCTTCAAGTCTGTGCCTCCTACATGTTCCTTATCTCAATAAATAACTCACTCTGTCCCCAAACCCTTGAGTCATCCTTCTACTCCCTTTCTCTTATAACCCACACCCAATCCATAAAGAATCCAGCTGGTTCTTTCTTTTTTTTTTTTTTTTTTTGAGACGGCATCTCCCTCTGTTGCCCAGGCTGGAGTCCAGTGGCACAATCTTGGCTCACTGCAACCTCCACTTCCCAGGTTCAAGCAATTCTCCTGGCTCAGCCTCCCAAGTAGCTGGGATTACAGGCACCCGCCACCACACCCAGCTAATTTTTATATTTTTAGTAGAGATGGGGTTTCACCATGTTGGCCAGGCTGGTCTTGAACTCCTGACCTCAAGTGATCAACCCATCTTGGCCTCCCAAAGTGTTGGGATTACAGGCATGAGCCACCACACCCAGCCCTCCAGCTGGTTCTTTTATATAAAAATATATCCAGAATCTGACCACTTCTTACCACCCTACTGCTGCCACCACAGTCCAAAGCAACAGCACCTCTCTGCAGGATCTCTGCTATATTATCCAAACAGCACTCCCTGCTGCCACTCTTTCCCCAACTTGATTTTCCATAAGTGGCCAGAGTGATTCTTCATTTCAATTGAAGTTCAACCCAAAGTCCTTCCTTCAGCCTACTGACCCTTCACAACGTGGCACACTGATACTCTCTCACTCCAGCTTCTCCCGTCTCCCCAACACCTGTTCGGATTCAGGTGCACCAGCCACTTTGCTGTTCCAGGAAACACTCAGTATGCCCCCACTGCATGGCCTCTGTACTGTGGTTCCCTTTGCCTAGCATGCTCTTTCTCAAGACATATCCCATCCCTCTCCCATCTCTCTCCCAGAGGAGAGAAGAAGTATAAACTAAGAGACAAACACATAAACCAGTCTAAAAGATGACAAAGAACAGATGAGGTTAAGTGGATAGAGAAGGCATGGGCACAGCTGAATGTGGCTTACCAACTCTCCCACTTCAGGTCCTACTCAACTACCATCTTACCATAGAGACCTTTCCCCACTATCTTATATCTTGTATTAAACTGCACCCATGCCTTCTCTATCTACTTAACCTGCTTATTCTTCATCATAATACTTTTTTTTTTTGAGACAGAGTCTCTCTTTGTCACCCAGGCTGGAGTGCAGTGGCACAATCTCAGCCCACTGCAGTCTCAACCTCCTGGGTTTAAGTGATCCTCCTGCCTCACCCTCCCCAAATAGCTCAAGCGTGCGCCACCACACCTGGCTAATTTTTTTGCATCTTTTGTAGAGACGAGGTTTCACCACGTTGCCCAGGCTGGTCTCGAACTCCTAAGCGCAAACAATCCATTCGCCTCAGCCTCCTAAAGTGCTAGGATTACACGTTAGTCACCGTGCCTGGCCCTTTGTCATAATACTTTTCACACAGATTGTTTACTGGTTTATATTTCCTTCCTCTTCTCCACATGCATGATCATAAGTACCATAAAGCAAGAACAATACCCGGCACAGAGCAGGTGTTCCATATTTAATGTTAAATGAATGTACCCCTTTTCTCGTTATCTATAGACTAATAAAAAACTACCTCAAAACTTAGTAGCTTAAAACAACCACCAAGTCATTACATCTCATGCTTTTGTGGATTAGGAAAGCAGGCAAGGAGTGGCTGGGTGATTCTTCTGTTTCACATATTATCAAGAGAGGGCATTTAGTGATATTTAGCCTCTGGATGGATTTGTCTGGAGAGTCCAAGAAGGCTTCACCTATATGTCCAGCACCTTGGTGGGGACGACTGGAAGGATAAGGCTCAGCAAGGACTATGGACTGGGGCACCTACACATAATTTCTTCAGCACAGCTGCCTAGAATGATCAGACTTTCAATATGGTGGCTTGTGGTTCCCATAGTGAGAGTTCCAGCTAATAGGGTAGACACTGCAAGGCCTTTTATGTATAACTCAACCTCGAAAGTCATATAGCAAAAGGTCGGGCATGGTGGCTCATGCCTGTAATCCCAGCACTTTGGGAGGCCAAGGTGGGTGGATCACCTAAGGACAGGACTCTGAGACTGGCCTGGCCAACATGGTGAAACCCTATCTCTACTAAAAATACAAAATTAGCTGGGTGTGGTGGCACGCGCCTGTAATCCCAGCTACTCAAGAGGGTGAGGTGGCAGGATCACCTGAGCTTGGGGAGGTCGAGGCTGCAGTGGGCCATGATCACACCACTGCATTCCAGCCTGGGCAACAGAGTGTGACCCTGTCACAAACAAACAAACAAAATACATTTAAAAAATAAAATTTAAAACTTCTGCTCTGTAAAAGACACTGTTCAAAGGAAAAGACAAACCATAGATTGGGCGAAAATATCTGCAAGACACACTATCCCCCTGATAAAGGACTGATATCCAAAATGTAGAAAGAGCTATTAAAACTCAACAATAAGAAAACTAACTGAAATAAAAATGGGTGACAGATCTGAACAGACATCTCATCAAAGAAGATACACAGGTGGCAGATAAGCATATGAAAAGATGTTCAACATCATATGTCATTAGAGAACTGCAAATTAAAACAATTGCATACCACTAAACACCTTTTAGAATGGCTAAAATTTTAAAATGACAATACCAAATGCTGACAAGATGTAGAACAAGAACTCTCATTCATTGCTAGTGATAATGCAAAATGGCACAGCCACTTTGGAAGACGATGGTTCAGCAGTTTCTTACAAAGGTAACCATAGACTTACCTATTTAGCCATAGAAAAGAATGAGATCCTGTCATTTACAACAACATAGATGGAACTGGAGGTCATTACGTTAAGTGATTTAAGCCAGGCACAGAAAGACAAACTTTGCATGTTCTCATTTATTTGGGGGAGCTAAAAATTAAAACAATTGAACTCATGGAGACAGAGAGTAGAAAGATAGTTACCAGAGGCTGGGAAGTGTAGTGGAGTTCGGGGGCGGAGAGAAGTGGGGATGGTTAACGGATACAAAAAGATAAGTTAGAAAGAACGAATAAGATCTAGTATTTGATGGCCGGGCGTGGTGGCTCACGCCTGTAATCCCAGCACTTTGGGAGGCTGAGGCGGGCAGATCACGAGGTCAGGAGATCGAGATTATCCTGGCTAACACGGTGAAACCCCATCTCTACTAAAAATACAAAAAATTAGCCAGGCATGGTGGCGTGTGCCTGTAGTCCCAGCTACTCGGGAGGCTGAGGCAGGAGAATGGCGTGAACCCAGGAAGGGGAGCTTGCAGTGAGCTGAGATCGTGCCACTGCACTCCAGCCTGGGCGACAGAGAGAGACTCCGTCTCAAAAAAAAAAAAAAAGATCTAGTATTTGGTATTTGATAGCACAAAAGGATGACTATAGTAAATAATAATTTAATTGTACATTTAAAAATAACCAAAAGAGTATAACTGGATTGTTTATAACACAAAGGATAAATGCTTGAGGAGATGGATATCCCATTTACCATGAAGTGATTATTATACATTGCATGCTTGTATTAAAATATTTCATGTACCCTATAAATAGATACATATACCTACTATGTATCTACAAAAATTTAAAATTTAAAAACTAAATAACCCCATACCAAAAACAGACTTACACATGATCCATCAATGACACTCCTTGGTATTTACCCAAATAAGTTGAAAACATGTCCACACAAAAACCTGCACAGAGATATTTATGGCAGCTTTATTCACAATTGGCAAAACCCAGAAGCCACCAAGATGTTCTTCAGTAGGTGAATGGATAAACTCTGGTACCTCCAGACAATGGAGTATTATTCAGTGCTAAAAATAAATAAGCTATGAAGCCATAAAAAGACATGGAATAACCTTAAATATACATTACTAAGTGAAAAAAGCCAACCTGATAATACTACTTGTTATGTAATTCCCACTACTTGACATTCTGGAAAAGACAAGACACTAAAAAGATCAGTACTTGCAAGGGGTTCAGGTGGGGTTAAAGGAAGAGGGGTGAGTAGATGGAGCACAGGTCATTTTCAAGTAGAGAAACTATTTTTTTGGGTTGGTTCCAAGTCTTTGCTGTTATGAATAGTGCCGCAACAAACATACGTCTGCATGTGTCTTTATAGCAGCATGATTTATAATCCTTTGGGTATATACCCAGTAATGGGATAGCTGGGTCAAATGGTATTTCTAGTTCTAGATCCCTGAGGAATCGCCACACTGACTTCCACAATGGTTGAACTAGTTTACACTCCCATCAATAGTGTAAAAGTGTTCCTATTTCTCCACATCCTCTCCAGCACCTGTTGTTTCCTGACTTTTTAATGATCGCCATTCTAACTGGTGTGAGATGGTATCTCATTGTGGTTTTGATTTGCATTTCTCTGATGGCCAGTGATGATGAACATTTTTTCATGTGTCTTTTGGCTGCATAAATGTCTTCTTTTGAGAAGTGTCTGTTCATATCCTTTGCCCACTTTTTGATGGGGTTTTTTTTTCTTGTAAATTTGTTGGAGTTCATTGTAGATTCTGGATATTAGCCCTTTGTCAGATGAGTAGGTTGCAAAAATTTTCTCCCATGCTGTAGGTTGCCTGTTCACTCTGATGGTTGTTTCTTTTGCTGTGCAGAAGCTCTTTAGTTTAATTAGATCCCATTTGTCAATTTTGGCTTTTGTTGCCATTGCTTTTGGTGTTTTAGACATGAAGTCCTTGCCCATGCCTATGGCCTGAATGGTATTGCCTAGGTTTTCTTCTAGGGTTTTTATGGTTTTAGGTCTAATGTTTAAGTCTTTAATCCATCTTGAATTAATTTTTGTATAAGGTGTAAGGAAGGCATCCAGTTTCAGCTTTCTACCTATGACTAGCCAGTTTTCCCAGCACCATTTATTAAATAGGGGATCCTTTCCCCATTGCTTGTTTTTGTCAGGTTTGTCAAAGATCAGATGGTTGTAGATATGCAGCATCATTTCTGAGGGCTCTTTTCTGTTCCATTGGTCTATATCTCTGTTTTGGTACCAGTACCATGCTGTTTTGGTTACTGTAGCCTTGTAGTATAGTTTGAAGTCAGGTAGCGTGATGCCTCCAGCTTTGTTCTTTTGGCTTAGGATTGACTTGGCGATGCGGGCTCTCTTTTGGTTCTATATGAACTTTAAAGTAGTTTTTTCCAATTCTGTGAAGAAAGTCATTGGTAGCTTGATGGGGATGGCATTGAATCTATAAATTACCCTGGGCAGTATGGCCATTTTCACGATATTGATTCTTCCTACCCATGAGCATGGAATGTTCTTCCATTTGTTTGTATCCTCTTTTATTTCACTGAGCAGTGGTTTGTAGTTCTCCTTGAAGAGGTCCTTCACATCTCTTGTAAGTTGGAACCAATCCAAATGTAACTTGGAACCAACCCAAATGTCCAACAATGACAGACTGGATTAAGAAAATGTGGCACATATACACCATGGAATACTATGCAGCCATAAAAAATGATGAGTTCATGTCCTTTGTAGGGACATGGATGAAACTGCAAACCATCATTCTCAGCAAATTATCGCAAGGACAAAAAACCAAACACCGCATGTTCTCACTCATAGGTGGGAATTGAACAATGAGAACACATGGACACAGGAAGGGGAGCATCACACACCGGGGCCTGTTGTGGGGTAGGGGAGTGGGGAGGGATAGCATTTGGAGATATACCTAATGTTAAATGACGAGTTACTGGGTGAAGCACAACAACATGGCACATGTATACATATGTAACTAACCTGCATGTTGTGCACATGTACCCTAAAACTTAAAGTATAATAATAAAAAAAAGAAACTATTTTTTAATGGTACTTTAAAGGTGGATACATATCATTATGCATTGATATATAAAACAAAGTAGGCCAGGCGCAGTGGCTCACGTCTGTAATCCCAGCACTTTGAAGGCAGGCAAATCTCCTGAGGTTAGGAGTTTGAGAACAGCCTGGCCAACATGGTAAAACCCCATCTCTATTAAAAATACAAAATTAGTTGGATGTGCTGGCACATGCCTGTAATCCCAGCTACTTGGGAGACTGAGGCATGAGACTAGCTTGCACCCGGGAGGTGGAGGTTGCAGTGAGCCGAGATCGTGCCATTGTACTCCAGCCTGGGCGACAAGAGTGAAACTCCATCTCAAAAAAAAAAAAAAAAAAAGCGAAACAAACAAAAAACCCACTAGCATGAGAAACTGCTTGTTGGTTAATGTAGATAGCCACAACCACTTTTAGAGTCCCTAGCAGTCTATAATGTTCCACTACTGCTTACCTGAGTGTGAAAATGCACTTGCTCAGATGGTGAAGGTATAAGGGGAGGGGAAGCACAGGTTACCTTGGCTGCTGAATCACTCACTCAGCTACTTTGTTACCATGTGTTCCCACAAGGAACCCTGAACATGTCCAATTCAGCCTGTTCCCAGTCATTATGGGTAGACACTTCTATCCATGCAATCCTTGCTTCCAATTCTTCAACTGAGTTGTATGAATTTTCTTATTGCTGTATCACAAATTGCCACAAATTTATGATTTCATAGTTCCCATGAGACAGAAGTCTGGATCTGGGTTAGTGGGGTCATCTGCTCAAGGTCTCACCAGGCTGAAATTAAGGTGTCTGCTGGAGATGCAGTCTCATCTAAGGCTCAGGGACTTCTTCCACACTCACTGGTTATTGGCAGAATCAATTTCCTTGTGGCTGTAGGACTGAGGCCCTTAGCCCCTAGAGGCTGCATGCCATTTCCTGTCATGTGGTCTTTCCCACAAGATGACAGTTTGCTTCTTCAGGAAACAAGAGAGTATCTTAGCTGCTTTAAATCTCTCTGGCTTCAGGCTGGGCGTGGTGGCTCACGCCTCTAATCCCAGCACTTTGGGAGGACAAGGTGGGCAAATCACTTGAGGTCAGCAGTTCAAGACCAGCCTGGCCAACATAGTGAAACCGGGTCTCTACTAAAAATACAAAAATTGGCCAGGTGCGGTGGCTCACGCTTGTAATCCCAACACTTTGGGAAGCTGAGGCAGGCAGATCACCTGAGGTAGGGAGTACAAGACCAGCCTGACCAACATGGAGAAACCAAGTCTCTCCAAAAAAAAAAAAAAATACAAAAGCTCTTTCCGCACCGCCACAATGGTGCGCATGAATGTCCTGGCAGATGCTCTCAAGACCATCAACAATGCCGAAAAGAGAGGCAAACGCCAGGTGCTTATTAGGCCGTGCTCCAAAGTCATCGTCCGGTTTCTCATTGTGATGATGAAGCATGGTTACACTGGCGAATTTGAAATCATTGATGACCACAGAGCTGGGAAATTGTTGTGAACCTCACAGGCAGGCTAAACAAGTGTGGAGTGATCAGCTCCAGATTTGACGTGCAACTCAAAGACCTGGAAAAATGGCAGAATAATCTGCTTCCATCCTGCCAGTTGGTTTCATTGTACTGACAACCTCAGCTGGCATCATGGACCATGAAGAAGCAAGACGAAAACACACAGGAGGGAAAATCCTGGAATTCTTTTTCTAGGGATGTAATACATATATTTACAAATAAAATGCCTCATGGACAAAAAAAAAAAAAAAATACAAAATACAAAAATTAGCCAAGCATGGCGGCACATGCCTGTAATCCCAGCTACTCAGGAGGCTGAGGCAGGAGAATTGCTTGAACCCAGGAGGTGGAGGTTGCAGTGAGCCGAGGTTGCGCCATTGCACTCCAGCCTGGGCAACAAGAGCAAAACTCCATCTCAAAACAAAAACAAAAACAAAATTAGCCAGGCCTGATGGCGGGCACCTGTAGTCCCAGCTATTTGTAAGGCTGAGGCAGAATAGCTTGAACCCAGGAGGCAAAGGTTGCAGCGAGCTGAGGTTGTGCCACTGGCTTCAGTAAGGGCCAGTCTCTTTTAAAGTCTCATCTGATTAGGTCAGGTCCACCTTGGATAATTTTCATTTGACTAGCTGAAGGGCAACTGATTTGGGACCTTCATTATATCTGCAAAATCCTTCATCTTTGTCACATGACAGCTTCATCACAGGAGTAAAATCCATCAGACTCCCAGTCCTGCCCACTCTCAAGGCAAGGGAATGGACAACAGGGAGCGGGAATCTCAGGGCCATCTACACTTCTGCCTACCACATGGATGATTAATCCTAATGAACTAATGCTGTCAGGTTAATCCTCCTAAATCAAGCCTCATCACACTGTCCTTCTCCTAAAATAACCTTCAACAGCTCTACAAAGCATAGAGTGAACTCTAAATTCATTAACCTGATATTCCAGGCCTTTCTCAACCTCACCCTAGGTGACATTTTGAACCTTAACTCCAAAAGGCCCTCCTCACCCATGGGGTCCTTTGCTCTGCCCCTCCCATGTCCTCTGTGTTCTCTGCTCCGCATTCCTTCTTGCATTTTCCTCCAGACCCTATTTGCTCTTTCCCTCCTCTTTCTCCTTCAAAGCCTATACAGACTTCAGGATGTTGCGCAGATTTTACATTCTGGATCATATGCTCCTATGTGTCCTCCTTTGTCCCATTTATGCATCTTTGCTAATTAAATTCATTCAAGTGATTTTTCTCCAGGCCCCCAACAGACCCTAAAGTCAATTGAAATATTGAACTGTTTAGGTTATAGTGCTAGCTCTATAAATATGATGCTATGCTATGGTCTCAGACCAATAACCCTCAGAGCAAAGGAGAAGAGCGCCAGTTAAACAATAAATTAAGAAAATGTGGGGCCTCAAATGCAGTGGTGATGTCAGCAAGTTAACTAGCATCATTTAAAACCACCTTCAACCTATTCCTGGAGAATATTTTTACCCAGAAAATCAGTAGGCTCAAATTTGATAATACAGACACAGAAACAACCACTGCTGACTGACATTTTCATTCTGGGGGCATTTTATTAAGAGAAATACTCAAAATTCCCCACATGCCCATATTTTCCAATAAATACTGGAAAACTATATGCCAAAACTCCAAGGAGCTTGACTTTATGCCTCCAAGATCATTAAAAAAAAAAAAGTCATTCGAATGGAGACAGGATGAACATTCTTGACTCTTAGAGAAATGTTTAGTAGGAATTCATACACATACTCAATTTTTTTCACCTCAGAAAAAGACTGAGTCCTGGGTAAGTGTATTAGTCCCCTTGTTAGCCTACCAAAGTACTAACTTGTCCACCATGCCATAAAAATAAGCCCACAAACACAAAACTAGAGATAGATAACATTCTACCTCCAGTAATAAAGTTTCTGATGATGTAATATGTATTACCTGTGCCTCTTTGATGAGAGAAGTATTATTACTAGAAAAATCCATTTGGCTTGCCTCTCCAATAAATCAAATTTCCCAATGACAGGAACCATGTCGGTTCTTCCATCCATAGTGCAAGAACTCTGTACTTGGATATGCTCTTAATAAATATTTCCTGAACATCAGTTTGGATACAATCTATCAATTAAAGCCTATTCATAAACTTTTCACCATAAGTAGACAATGAATGGTAAGAGGCAATATATTAAAAGGTACAATGGTGTTCTAAAGAGAACATATGCCGTACAAAAAGGCCCACTTGGCTTTTCACTGCTGCCAGCTTTGTGGAAATGAAAGGGTGACCAGCATTACGGTGTAACAGAAAATTCTGGGGGTGGGGCAGTGGTGTGACATTCAGGCAGACAGGCTGTGGGGTGTTCTGCCCCAGCAGATCCAGTAGACCTACGTGACACCACTCTGCCCCGGCCTTCGTTTCCTCATTTGTAAAAGGTGAGATCTACCTTAGGTTGTTTACTTAGGTTCCTTCTACCCCTAAAAGAGATTTGATGTTATTAATGCCATTTTTCAGCACAAAATCACTTTTCAACAGTTAACAAGTTTTCTACATAGTAGATACACAAGAACTTTCTACAAAGTTTTCTTCTAGCGTCTCCAATCAGTAGCACAAAAACATATACAAATTTTTATCAGTCGGATAATATAAGTTCTCAAATGTATAATGCTGATGTTCCCATTTAACATTAGAGATTCTAATGTTTCCTATTTAGATTCAAAAAAGGAAATCTGGCTTACATATACAATTAGAAGAACTTATTAACTCATATTTAATCAGATGACAAAAATGATAATATGGCAAGGAATATAAGGATTAAGCAAATTAATTAGACATAAAGTTCTCAGACTCTAATGCTGCATTCCTAGTAAGTTTAACTGTCACCTTCTGTGGTACCAAAACTTCAAAACAGATTTATTTTCTGAAAGCCTGGAGAGTAGGGGGTTGGGGAATGACTTATAAGTTAACCAGGGATTATGTGTATATAATTATAAGCTGCAATCACCATGATTCAATGATATTCAAACTTTTAAAGTTTTTTTGTCAAAGAAAGAAGGAAGGGAGGAAGGAAAGAAAGAAGAAAGAAGGACAGAAAGAAAATTAGGTCTTGCCTACAAGATTACTTATGAGACTTAAGGAATTTACACATTCATGGCTGAGTGCTCGATAATACATTCCCAGTGGAATGGTCTCTAGAAATGTCTACAATTAAAAACAGAACAGTAGAAAAAAAAAATTGAATGGCTTACTCTCTTGTTGGTGCGTTAGTGGAGGATTCCTTTTCTGAATCAGGAGAGCTTAGGGTTTGCAAAATACAATTTTTTTCAGTGGATAGGGCAACTCTTTCTTGCTCAGCATGGATTAATTTTAAGGCCTCTATTCCATCTTCTCCCTCCATCTTGCCACCTGGATTTGGCTGTGGTTCTGGGCTCTCTAAAATCAGATCATCTTCACTTATTGAAATGGTAAGGTCACTGCTGGTGCTCCAACTTTCCTCCTCCTCTTCCTGCATTTTTCTGAAGGGCTTTTGTGACTTTGGTTCCCTGTGAGCAAGATGATCTGCAAGTGGCGACATGAACTGATTACCAATCACTGACTTCAGGAGGAAGCAAGGTAACACACAGCAGAATTACTCATCAGTTAAAAACATGGAGAAGCAACCCACACACAATTCATTACGGAACTTAAAAGCTTAAACACGTTTTCAAATGTTTAAAAAAATCACAGTGGGTTTAAAAATCAGCAAATTCACTCCCATGTACATATTTAAGAGTTCATTAGAATGGAATTTGTTGGCAAAGATACTATTTTATGAAAGAGAGATAATTAGTATATTTTGTCCTTACATAAGATCACTACCACCCAGAAAAATCAGCAACCAAACTCAGCCTCTCATCCCACCTGAAACACCTTCCCAAGGAGAATGCTTCTCTTGAGACCACTTATTTTCAGATTCACAGTATTCTGAAACTGGTATCGGAGAGACTGGCGGGCTGGCTCTTTTTTCCTCAACTTCAATATGTTCCCGTGTCAGTATTTCTCCCTCTGATCCGCTGGAACTGTCACACTTTAAATCAGTGGTTCTGTTCTCTGGACTTAATCTTTCCCGTAACGGGGAATTGAGTTCAGCAGACTTTTTGCCTTCAGATAAATTACTCTTGCCATGACGTGTGTTACTTCCTATCTCCAAGCAATGAGTTTGTTCCTCCTCAGACAATACACTGGCTGTGACTGGCATTTTCTCACCAATCTGAAGAGATGCCTTTCCATCTATGTTGTCAGACTTATTTAAGCACTGTGTGTCATTACTAGTTTGTACTACACAGCTGTCTGTCACATTACTGCTCTGGGCTGTCTGTCGGTGTGAATGTGGGTCAGGAATTGAAAAGTTCTTTGTGGGCTGGGGAGATTTGTGCTCTGTACTGAAATCTCTCATGCTTAAGATGGCTGACATTTGGCGGCCCATAAAGATTGTTGCTGGTTGATACAATCCTCTTGACATGGCTGTTCCTGAGTTAATCCCCTCGTGCACTGCAACCTGCAACACCAAAAGAGATGTGAGTTAAACATACTGTGTATAAACAATTAGGTGGGGTTTTTTTTTTTTTCCAGAAATGAAAGGAGGTCAAACAAAGCATGATTATTGAAATCAGCACCTACCATGTATTATTAAACTCATGGCTTCCTACATAATGAATGAGCAAAAAGCAGTAAAGTCCATAGGATTTAATTTTAATAACAATGATAGTTCACAAAACAAATATAGTAAAGAAAGTAAGCCGGGTGTGGTGGCTCATGCCTGTAATCCCAGCACTTTGGGAGGCCAAGGTGGGCAGATCATCTGAGGTCAGGAGTTCGAGACCAGCCTGGCTGACATGGTGAAACCCCGTCTCTGCTAAAAATACAAAAATTAGCCGGGCACGGTGGCAGGTGCCTGTGATCCTAGCTATTCAGGAAGCTGAGGCAGGAGAATCACTTGAACCCGGGCAGCAGAGGCTGCAGTCAGCCGAGATCATGCCACTGCACTCCAGCCTGGAGACTCCATCTCAAAAAAAAGAAAGTATAGAATATGTTTTTGAAAAAAGAAATACATGCTTTGAAAAGACGTCATCAGGAAAGTGAAAATATAACCCACATAATGGGAGAAAATATTGTAAATTATGTATCTGATAAGGGTCTAGTACCCAAAATACATAAAGAAGTCATATAACTACATAATAAAAAGACAAACAGCCCTTAAAAGTGGGAAAAGGATTTGGATAGACATTTCTCCAAAGAAGATATATGAATGGCCAATAAACACATAAAATGATGCTTAATATCATTATTCATTAGAGAAACATAATTCAAAAGCACAATAAGATATCACTTTACCCACTATGATGGCTGTCTTGGTCTGTTCAGGCTGCTATAACAATACCATAAACAGTGCATAAATAACAGAAATTTGTTTCTGATAGTTCTGGAGGCTGGGAAGTCCAAGATCAAGGCAGGCGCCAGCAGACTCTGGGTCTGGTAAGGAACTGCTTTCTCTCAGACAGCATCTTTCTGCTGTGTGCTCGCAGGGTGGAAGGGGCAGGCAAATTTCCACGGGCCTCTTTTATAAAGAAACTAATCCCACCCATGAAGGCTCTGCCCCCTTGATTTAATCACTTCCCAAAGTCCTCACCCTCAAAAACCATCACCTTGGGGATTAGAATTTCAATATATGAACTTTGGGGGGGACACAAATATTCAGCCCATATCAATGGCTATACTAAGAATGACAGGTGTCTTAATTTAGGATTTTTAAGATGGAGAGTACCCCTCCAATAATTAGGAGAAATATGAGATGGAAATAAAGACATTATCACTTACAGGTTCTGGGGAGTACATGGCACACCTGGAGGCCACACACACAAACATCAGGGAGCGCAGGCAGAGAGAGAGAGAAAAGGGACCCGTGTCCTTACATGGTAGAAGCAGGGGTTGAGGGGAAGGACACATGAGCCAATGTCTTTACTGAGTCGCAGGTGTTATCCAAACAGGTTTCCCACAGGCAGCCTGGGGAGTTTTAACTGGTGAGTTTAAAGCAAGGAGGCATGAGTTCTGGGAGGTTACCCAGTGACTGAGAGGTGGTCACTGTGGCATATGGTCCATGGGGGATGCGAAGGTCAGAAGGGCCTGTCAAGCAGGCTGCATCCAGCTGTCCCATAGGGAAGTGGTCACCAGAGAGCAGCTGTGTAAGGCAGGTTATCTGGACCGACCACACTGAGGAACTGCGAAGGAGGGTGGAACTGCCAACTGTGTCAGGGGTGACTGAGTCCTGCTTCTGGTATGAGAAGGTTCAACTTAGATTTAAAATGGATGCTGAGGCAACATAAAATTATAAGAATTCACTACAACAGGCAATAACGAGTGTAGTCCAGGATGTGGAGAAATTAGAATCATACACTGCTGATGGGAATATAAAACGGTGCACCCACTTTAGAAGAGTTTGGCAGCTCCTGAAAAAGTTAAACAGAGTTACCATCTAACCAGCAATTCCATATCTAGGCAGAAGTACGGAGAGTGTAAACATATGACTACACAAAATCTTGTAAAAGGATGTGCATAGCAACATTATTTATGATAGCCAAAAGTGGAGATAACTCCAATGGCCAACATTAGATGACTAGATAAAATGTAATACATTCATACAAGAGAATAATTTTCAGCCATGAAAAGAGATGAATTACTGATACCTGTTACATCATGGATGAACTTTGAAAATATCATGCTAAATGAGAAGCCAGTCATAAAAGACCATATACTGTAAGATCTCATTTATAGAAAATGTTCAGAATAGGCAAATTTTTAGAGACAGGAAGTAGTTAACTGTTTGCCCCAGGCTGGGGACCGAAGGGCTGGGGTGGGTGGTGGGGAGTAGAAGGAATCGGGGGGAGGTAAACAGTGATTCCCAACAGGTATGGGGTTTCTTTTTCAGGAATGAAAGTATGCTAACATTGATTGTGATTATGGCTGCGCAACTCTGAATATAATAAAAACTATAAAGCTATCACAAAAAAAGAAAATGAACAAATGAATAAAAAATCCTTAGAAAAGAAATTAAGTTATGCAGCTAATCTGAGATTAGGAAGAGTTCCCGGCCCTGAGGCTGAGATGGGAGGATTGCTTGAGCCCAGGAACTTGAGACCAGCCTTGGCAACATAGTGAGACTCCATCTCTACAAAATTAAAAATTAAAAAAAATTTTTTTAATTAAAAAATATTTGGGCACCTGTAATCCCAGCTACTCAGGGGGCTGAGGCAGGAGAATCGCTTGAACCCAGGAGGCAGAGGTTGCAGTGAGCCGAGATCTTGCCACTGCACTCCAGCCTGGGTGACAAGAGCAAAACTCCATAAAAAAAAATAATAATAATAGTAATAATAAATAAATAAATAAATATATGTGTATATATATGTATTTTACTAGCTGGGCATGGTGGCACACACCTGTGGTCCCAGCTACTTAGAGACTGAGGCAGGAGAACTGCTTGGGCCCAGGAAGTCAAAGCTGCAGTGAGCTATGATCGCACCACTGCACTCCAGCCTGGGCTACAGAGTGAGGCCCTGTCTCAAAAAAAAATTAGGAAAAGTACATCTCTCCCATCTCTCCCCACAGAGGGAGGAGAAGCAGGAAGATCCAGGAGGATAGAAAAGTATAGAGGAAAAAGGAAGTTCCACCTCCATGATCCTTTAGTCCTCTAGCTGTTCTCCCCAGAGAAAGCAACTCTAAGTTTCTTGCAGAAAGGACCTGGATACACTAGTAGGTATGTGCGTAAAGGGTGACATACTTTGCATTATATAATTATAGTTTTTATTATATCCAATTTTAACAGCTGCATATTATCCTATTCTATAGATGTACCATAATTTATGTAAACAGTCTGCTATTGAAGGACATTGGTTTGTTTCCCACCATCTTCCACTCCAAATCATGCTGCAGTGATTATCCCTGAGTGTATGTCTCTCTGCACACAGGCAAGTTTATCAGTAGGATACTTTTCTAGAACTGAAATTGCTGGGTCAAGCCTGCCTTACAGAATACTGTCATTTCACCATCCAAAGAGGCCATTATGTCATTTTAAAGAATTTTCCATTATACCATATGGTTTAAACAGCAAAATGATATTAATCAACATTCTGACTCACCAATATGAATAGTATTCATAATATACTGTGTCTTCTATTCCTTTTGTAATAAAAAAGCTGATATATATTACACTGATATAATAACAAAGACAAATTTTAAAACAGGAAAAATTACCTATTACCACTACTGTAATCTAACAACTACTTTCATTTTTCCTGTTATAAAAAAACTAGTTGTGTAAATAGATGGCTCTAAGGGATGGGCTACTATGGAGACTTTAGCAGGGCTAAAAGGGCTGAGGCCTCAGAGTGGCTGTGCAATAGCAGTTACTTGGTGGAGACATGAAGCAAATCAGTGATCAGACTTAGGAGTCTGAGAAGCCTTTAATTTTTCATTTTCAAGACCAGTTTATGAAGTGTTAATGCACCAACACCAGAGCAACGACTAACCCAGCACAGGGAGGACATGGCAGGCCTAAGCACCTTCCTCTTTTGATCCGCTAAAGGCCAAGCCAAAGCACAAAAGAAGGCACATTTCAGATATGAGAAAGACACCTGAGGAGGGCCAAAGGAAGTGCCCCTGAGTTACTGCTCTCAACTAGTAATTCTCAAATGTCTCCAACCCCCTAAGATAGGCAAAACTGAACAACGAATCCAGAGCCAAGAACTGGAGAGAAACAACAGATTGGTAATCTGCATAGTCAGGAAAAGTAGCAGGGAACCATGATGTACTTATAGTAAATGCTTCAGAACTACAGAAAGTGAAAATAAGGCCAATTCAAGAGACAACACTGTTAGCAGAGGTTTATTTCCCAAAAAGAGGAGTATTTACCACTCTCTGTGACAGCAAGTAGTTATTAACTGTTTTGCAATTTTGCCAAGCATTGCCAGACTTCTTGGAATACTGAACTCTGGGTCCTCAACAAACTCTAGTAATATACTAATTAATAAGTACATGGCATGTTAGTGGCCTGTAACAAATTAACAATTATAAAAAAGTGGCCCTTAATTATGTGTAAAAATAAAAGTCTGTGGACGATGCATCATTCATCCAAGGGCCCAAAAAAGGCAACGTGTACTTGAGGATCTGCTTCAACTCAATAGGAAGGTTGTCTTCCCGCACTATTTCTAGTTGTTGCCAGTATTATTTATAGGAACCAGTAACTTTTTATTTTGACATAATTTAAACAATTTTTTTTTTATTTATAGAGATGTGGTCTATGTTGCCCAGGGTGGACTCGAACTCCTGGACTCAAGTGACCCTCCTGCCTCAGTCTCCCAAGTAGCTGGGACTGCAGGTGTGCATCAGCATGCGTGGCTTTACTTTGATATAATTTTACACTTACAGAAACATTGCAAAAATAATACAAAACACTCCCTTAACAGTGTTTAGCCAGATTTACCAAATGTTTACATTTTATCCCATTTATCATTTTCTCTCCCTCTACATATATGTGTTTGTCTCTGTATGTGTGTATACCTAAATATAAGCTATGATTTTTTTCTGAACCATTTGAGGGTAAGTTGGGACACCCTGCCTATCTACCACTAAGCACTTCAGTGAGCATTTCCAAAAGCACAGAGACACGCTCTTTCTTGAGCACAGTTCATGATCAGAATCAGAAAATTTAACATTGATATTATCTTGTTTTCTATTCCACAACCCATAATCCAATTTTGTCAATTGGGCCAATAATAAGCCAGTAACAAAGTCATTTATTATTATTATCACCAAGTATTATATACTATACATAATTGTTTCTGCTATACTTTCATACAACTGGCAGCACACTAGGTTTGTTGACACCAGCATCACCACAAACATGTCAGGAATGCATTACACTACAATGTTAAGTCATTAGGCAACAGGAATTTTTTCAGCTCCATTATAACCCTACGTCTAAGACTGATAACAATGTAATACCATTCTATAAACATTATATTGAATTTTTAAAAATTAAAATTATAACAATCCTGGATTGGGTCCTGGAACAGCAAAAAAAGAAGACATTAATGGAAAAACTGGCAATATCTGAATCAAGTCTAGAGTTCAGTTAACAGTAATGTATCTGTGTTGGTTTCCTAGATTTGCCAAGTGTGGCATGGTAATGTAAGATGGTAACAATGGTGGAAACTAGGTGAGGGATCCAAGGGAACACTTTGTACTATCTCTGCAACTTTTCTGCAAATCTAAAATTATTGTAAAATAAAGATGATTTTTAAAAATTATAACCCCCCAGTACTGAGGAAGGTTAGGTGAAATAGAAGCTGTCACACCGCTGGTGGCTGAATACATGGGCAGAATCCTCGTAGGAAAGAATCTGGCATCAAAAGTCCTAACCATGCTTGTTGCTTTGATTCAGTAATTCTATATGGAAATCCATCATAATAAGGAAATAAAGCTAATAGAAAAAGCAGCTATGTGGACAAACAAGTTCACGTAGAGCATTATTTCAAATCATAAAAAGTTGGAAGCAACTTATATGACTATAAAATAGGGAAAGGTCATGAAGTCATAAAAATGAGGCAAATAAAGACTATGTCATAACAAAAATACTTAGATACGGTAAATTTAAACTTTTGAAAACCATTTTACTGAGATATAATTCACATACCATAAAACTTATCCTTTTAAAAGCATACAATTCAGTGGGTTTTTAGTATATTCGCAGAGTTGTGCGACCATCACCACAATCAATTTTGGAACATTTTTTTCATCACTCCAACAAGAAACCCCATACCTTTTAGCGTAACTCCCCATCCTCCCCAGTCAGTCCCCAGCCCTAGGCAGCCATTAATCTACTTTCTGTTTGTAAAAATCCGCTTATTCTGCACATTTTATGAATATGTAAGTGGAATCGTATAATATGTTGTCTTTTTTGATTGGTTTCTTTCACTTAGCACAATGTTTTCAAGGTTTATCCATTTTGTGGCATTTATCAGTATTTTATTCCTTTTCATGGCTGAATAATATTCTATTTTAAGGATATACTGTAGTTTGTTTATCCATTCATCAGATGAGAACATGTAAATTGTGTCCACTTTTTGGCTACTATGAATAATGCTGCTATAAACTTTTGTCCACTTTTGGTGTCCAATCTTGTACACAGCAAGCTGCTATGCTTGAATGCTATGCTATGAATGAAACTGTTGCCTCGTACGGTAACTATATGTTTAACTTTTTCAGGAACTGCCAAACTGTTTTCCAAAGTGTTTGCACCATTTTACATTCCCACCGGCAATTATATAAACTTTTATAACAAAAAATGAGAAACTTGCAAAAATTAACTGCTGCTCACTATAAGACAATGCTGCATTTGAACTAGCTCCACACTTGCAACGTAAAATACTGGCTCCAGTGAAATGTAAGCTGAGTTTCTGTAGGCTGGCAGGTTTCCCATTTGCTGAGATCAGGCTCTAAGACAGGTGTCTCTTCTTTTTTAAAAGTCTGTCATTTTATTAGCTTAGCAACAGGAAACAGAGTACTCTTTAATCTTAAATTCTGAACACTATTATGTGTCTTCTCAAAGCAGTTTCTGAGCCAGGGAAGCTGAAAACAGAATGCCATGTTTCACATTATTGTTGACACAGGAATAATATTAGGAATTCAAAAGTTTTTGAGAGACAGATGTTATTGCCAAAAGCAGCAGCATGTATCAGTATTTAAGGATCTGACATAATGACCAACTTTTCCACACCTTCCTATTACTTTCTGTAGTTGAGTGCTAGAGATAAATCTATAATCCAAGATTTTAGTTCAGTTTTCTTCTCTTCTTGTCACAGTTATTCATCTGCAGTCTTGAAAAATGTTAGGAGTTGTGGGAAGCAATAGCAAAGCACATGAACATGACTGAAAATATTTATTAGTGAACAGAAGATAACTTTTAAAAATCAGGAATTCATCTTTACTGGGGGAAAGAAGAGGAGTGAGCATAAGAAGAGATCAACAAGTTTAGAACTGTAATGATGTCTTAATCATTATGAACTACAGCATTTAAAGGCAGACCTCAACCACTAGTATACTTTGAAAAAAAAGTTACACTTCATGTTTTGCAAAATGCTAAGGAAATCTTTATTTTTCTTCTTCTTATTATCTTCACAGACAAGGGAATGAGAAGCAGCAAGTTAAATGCAGAACAGAAATGAAGCTGTTAGACCAAATTTTCAGCTTCTCACATGGTACAATTATTGTTTTTAATTTCTATGTAAGCAAGTTCTTAAGTCACATTGAGAAGATTTTTAAAAATCCATTAACAATAATTTACATCCAACAATCCTGAAGTTATATGTTTATTATAAAATTATTATACATATTTTACATGATACACGTATCACACACTGAATTGTGTCCAATTCATATGTTGAAGTCCCAATCCCCACTGTGGCTTAAAGGATAGGGCCTTAAAGGAGGTAATGAAGGTTAAATTATGTCATAATGGTGGGACCTTAATCCAATAGAATTGGTGTCCTTATAAGAGGAAGAGATACCAATGATCTCTCAGTTCATGCACAGAGAGAAAAGGCACATGAGGACACAGTGAGAAGGCCCCTTCTATGACTCAAGGAGAAAGGCCTCACCAGAAAGCGACCCTGTTGGCACCTTGATCTTGGACTTCCAGCCTCCAGAACTTCAAAAAACACATTTCTGTTGTTTAAGCCACCCAGTTTGTGGTATTTTGTTATGGCAGCCCTAGCAAACTAATACAGTATGCCATTGTGATTTTTAAGTCTTCTTCTTACATGTTGCCACCATGACAAATGTAGTCATCACCAAAATCTCACAACTTAGACCATCGAGAGATATCTCTGGCCATGAAATTCAACAGTTATTGGAACTATCTAAATTTAAGATATATCTGTTAAATTAGGCTTTAATGGTGTATTCTGTAAATTATCTTGCACAAAATCAATCTTTACGAATTGTCACCATCAAGTGCTATTACCTCCTATTTCTTCAATTCATAGGTAGTCTCCCTACCCCCACACCAACCTCTTCACTATCTTAAATAAGTGGCAAGAATCCAGGATCAAAGTAAGGCTACCCTAGTGGAGAACAACAATGGTAATGATGGTGGTGACGGTGGCATCAAGAGCAGGGAACATTTATCAAGCATGTACGAGGTGACAAGGAGGAGCTAAGAGATTTATATTATGAAAACAATCATTATTATTAGCCCTACTCTTATGAGACTTAGCCAGGTTGAGCAACTTGTCCATGTTCACAGAGCCAGGATTTAAACTCAGATACCAGGACTCCAATGCAAACCTCTTATGCTACAATATTCAAAACTGAGTCAGTCAAACTCAAATTGCATTACTGAACCACAGCTTTTAAAAACAAACATAAAAATCCCTAATAGTGAATCTGAAGCCTGTGCCTAATTTCTAACTTCAAATAACTCAAAATCTGATCTCACTAAGATAGACCCTGAATAGAACTTGTATATGATAAATAAAACCTAGTCTATGTGGGGTAAATGGAAGAGTAAGAGAAAAGCAGGTATGAGCTTCAAGAGAAATTCGGCATTCCAAAATAGTGACAGCAGGTAACTTTCACAAAATAAACAGAACACCCCAAAACCACTGTTTCACATCCGTAGGCCTAAGCAATTGTCTTGGTCAAAGTAATACAAAGTTAAGTTATGGTTTTCAAGTAACACTTCCTAAGAGGCTTAACAAATACCTAAAACTGTCAAGGTAACAGCCCTTTCTTTTTATAATACAATTCAATATCCCCTGTATATGCTCCACCATCCCCAAATAGGGTAACTCAGGATAAAACTCTCTTAGAGATCTCCATTCACAAAAGAAATATGCAGAACTACATCAGAGGGATAGAAAGGCACCTCCAATTTTCTATAATTCTGAGGGATTTGAGTAAGGACGTAAGCAACTCACACTCCCCCACAATTAAAAGAACAGTCTCAACCACAAGCAGGCTCCTTCTTCCTAAAATGAACTAACCACCTGCTCATCCCTTCTTCATAGGTTTAATTTTTAAAATCGTATAAAAATTATTAAATTATAGAAATGAGACATAAGGCAAAGGGATGTAAAGAACAAGTTACTTATTTTCCCCAGCTCATTGCCTCCCTCTCCCCTCCATGAAGTAACTGAAGCAAACCAGTTAGGATGCCTATTCACACCTTCCTTCAAACCCAGGACAACTAATTCCTTGCTGGTAAGGTTTGGCCACTTGTACAAAGTGAGAGCATGTTGTAAGCAACTCTCCGCAACCTGCTTTGCTCTCTTAATAATATTCCTTGGACGCTGCCCAGATCATGAGGAATGCACTGGATTCTGGGCGCCATATGCAGAATACTTGATCATGAGGGTGCTCTCTCTCCCTAGCTCAGCCTCTCCTCTGCAGCTGCTCATTCAGGCTGCTTCTGTGTTTTTGCTGCTACAAATAATGTTGCAACACGCAGACTATATTTTTGCCGTTTTGAACAAAAGATTTTCTTTCTAGGGCACAGATTACCAAAAGTGGGACTGCTGGCACAAAGCATATGTGTGTATTCATCGTGACTGTTACTACCAGATTCTTTTCCAAGAAAGTTCTAGGCACTAACTTTTTTTTTAAGACTGCATGAAGTATATCTTTTTCTAATAATACAGTATTTCATGGACTATATGAATTTGGAAAGTCTTCTAAAGAACAAGAACTCAATACTCGTTCTCCTATGGAGCTTCTATAAATCCTTTTCTACTATCAAAAGGAGAAAAGAAACAGTGTTTCCCCACAAAAATTTATCTTTTTCTTGTTAAATTGACTTACGTTTCTTTTCCCCTTCTCATCCACTTTTTTTCTCTTCCCCCTCATTCCACTACACGATAGGCACCTCTATCTGTGAATACGATTTTCTCACTTGTTAGAGCCTCTGTCACATAATACACTTGCCACAGAATACTGCCACAGAGAAGAGCAAAGGAAGACAGCTGGCTAGCCAAATGTCCCCACAATGGGTAAGTTATAAAAATACTGTCTTTCCTTCTTGACTATGAGAGAGTAGCTAATACCTTTAAAAAAGGCCCTCTCCCACCATTTTCCTAAGTAAATCCTTTCTTCCAGTAACTGAAAAGCAGACTGATGTATTTATTAAGACTCCAGACCAGTATGCCACTTACTAGCTGTGTGACTAAGAAATTAAGTTACTTATTTGAGCTCCCATTTCTTAATCTGTAAAATGGGTATTAAAATAGTTCTTATTTTGTAAGGTTGCTGTAACCAATGTGTATTTCTATACGCCTATATTATATAAAATCCTTAGAATAGTGCCTGAAAGACCCATGGGGGAGCTGTCCATCAGAGCCACACTCCCCACCAGCTCCTTGGAAGGCACCCCCAAAAGCAGGAGTGGAGAGTCCAAATGTCATCTGCCCTCGAACACCACATGAAATGGGGAGTACCCTTCACTCAGAGAGCAGCCCACCCCTCTTCCTCCTTTCAGGTCAGCAGGTTATCATCACTCACCAGGTGCAGGGTGCTGTGGGGTGGTGTGGCAGGCAAGAAGGGGCTGGGCCCTGCCATGTGGAAGCTTACTGTCAAGTGAGCTGGGAGAGAAGAGCATGTTCTACCCTCTCTTGAAAAAAAGGTCTGCAGATCTGCAGATGTAGTTTTAGGGCCAGGGCTTGAAATACAATTTGTGTAATTCGGGTTAATTTCTAATTGTTTTCTGAATACAAACACATATAAATAAGAAATCAGTTAATATAAAAAGGTCCAGCTGAACACAGAGAGGCTACTTTTTGACTTGTCATGGCTCTGTCTAAATCAAGTACAGCCATAACTTTGAGAATGGCAGAACCGAGGGCCACGTTCCCCGTGAAGGCAACTGCTCAGAGCCCCCGTCTAGGGAGATTTTTGTGTTGTTTATAGTTGAGCAGTGATTCAAGGAGGCTGCTGGTGAAGGTGGCACTGTGGGCTAATAAGGATAAGAAATCGGGCTTATACAGAGAACTCAAAGGAATAACCTCTACCTCCTCCACCCACTGTTATTTCCCTTAGCAGGTGTGAGAGGGCGGGCCCATATCCCTGGGCCCTCATCATTCCAGTACCTGCCCAGTGTCCTCCTCTAAGCACCTGTGCCTCTTGGCCCAAGCGTTTCTCTCAGCTGCTGTGCAGCACCAGAAGAGGAGCCAGGCGTGGCACTCTGGTAGTGACAGACCTGGAGGGGAAAAACCTCCCTTTCCTACTCCTTGAATGGGATATCCCTGAGGCATGCCCTACACAGTCATCCAAGGTTCCCCAATGGGACTGAGCACCAGGTGCTATGAGTGATAACCCACTCAATCACACACTCTTACAGCCCGCTTTCCCTTCCCCATGCCATCTTCCTCTCTTTTCTATCTGTGCTTCCTGGGACCACCTCCCATATAAACTACTTACACTCAAATCCTTGTGTTAGGGTCCTTCCCAGGGGATTCCAACCTAAGTCACTTGCTCTTTCAGTATAGTTTTAGGATTCCTTTCTCCCTTGCTGCAATATTTATTTCAATCAAGTTTCCCCCACACAAGGTATCTGGTCCCTTTACTCCTTGGAGATGAGCCAGGTCCTACAGTGGCTGCCTTGGTCTTATGAATGGTGCTCAGATCCTGGGAACACATCTGGAATGGAAGAACCCTTTCCATCATCTCATACTGGGGTGCTGTCTTCTCTGACGTGTGCCTCTCCTGCAGTGGCACTGCTCCTGGGAGCACCTCGGACACATGCTCAGATCCGTGGCTAAAGCCACTGCAGAGCTCATCCCTGCATACCAGGCACACAGCTGCCTCCTGTGGCCGTGCAGGCTTTCTCCCTTCAAGTTCTTCTTCAGTCGAGTTGTAAGGCATTTCTTCTGCCCAACAAAGCCAACCGAAACGGACGCTTCTTTTATTGCAAACATGGGCAGTTTAGGGGGCGGGTCCTCAGCTTGCCATGGCTCACCTGATTCAGCTCAAATACTACAGCACCAAGGAAGACCATTTCCTCCCTCAAGTCTAGGTAAAAATGCAGTATTTAAAGTTGTTTTTATTTCACCAGGAATTTCTCCAACTTTTGAAGAGCTACCCATACTATCTTTTACCCATACTACCTTAGAGGGCATTGCTGCAAGGTGGTTAACAGCATGGATGCTGAAGTCCAGTGGTCTGGGTTTGAATATTGGTTCTGCCTGGTTGTGTAGTTTTCGGCAAGTTAACTAAATTTTCTGAGCCTTACTATAAAATGGGGACAACAATATCCTCTACTTCCAGGGTTGTTGAGAAGATTAAATGAGTTGATACACATAAAGTGTTAACGCAGCACCTAGCAAAGTAAAAGTGCAGTGATTATTACCCATTGTTACTACCAGTATTAAAAGTGGGAATAACACCTTTATAACCATTCTCCCACCTGATCCTTGCAGGGAGGGTTACCACAGTGGAAGTGAAGCTCCTCAACAAGCCTTCAGCTCTGTGATGAAATTCCCTGGTCCTCCACACCTATCCATCCCTGACAGAGTATGATCAGTTTGCTTCTATTTCTAGTAGAATATATTTCACAGCATAATAGTTCAAAGAAACCTTACAACCCTATCCCCAAATGTATACTGTCATTCAAAAACGCCATCTCAATCTTTCTTGAGGACATACATTTTTATGTGTTTTTATGTATATTCTCTAGTCACCGTTCTTCAACCAGAAGAACATGTCTGGAAACAGAGTTTGCCCCCAAAATAAAAAATAACAATATATATAATAGAGGTGAAGAATTACTATAGTAAAATTTGTGAGGATCTGAGTGGGGCTTGAAATGTGCCTTTTTGGTAAGACACATTTTTTGTAAGCTGACTAAGTAAATTAATAGTGGAAACAAGCATGGCAGATGAACAGACTAACTATTAATCCTTCTAAGCGAATGTATGATTCTAAAGAGCAACTACTGGATGCAAGCAAATAATAGATGTCCTACACCAAAACTGAGCCAGAGTTTTTATATTTAAAAAATGGACACACACCACTTGATGACTTTTCTTGGCATCCAAGTTACTGCCTATGGTTGAAAGCTGTATAGCCACTTAAAAAATACCTTTTTATAATTCAGAATGATCACCAATTTGATAGATCCTCTCCCCTTTGTTAGTGTTTTCCACCTCAATGGCCATCCCCAATACAGGTCCTCCATTCTGTTAATTCCTCCTGTCTGAATGGAGCCTGATTTCCTCAGTTCCACGTACTCCTCCCCAGGCTCATCCTGCACAGCACTGCCAGCCTCATCTTCCCGCAGCTGCACACATGGGATGTGACTGCTCTGCTCACAAGTCCTTCCTTCATCTGCTGCCACACACACACACACACACACACACACACACACAAATTCCAGGAGGAAATCTCAGTTCTTAGCCTGGGACCATAGTTCCAGGTACCAAATCCCACAAGGTAGCTTTCCAAGCTCATTTTCTACCACTGACTGGCATCCTGCACATCCTTCTATGCCAGCTCACACACCACCTCCTCCACCAGGGCTGGGATTACTCAATTCACAGGAAGCAGAATCTTCTTTCTTCTCATTGCTCATGTTTGTCCCACGTGACTGGCACTTTATCACACACTATTCTGTGCCTTAGAAAGAACATTGCTTTCTGAGAAGCACTCTGAAGGTAAGAAAATTGTGGCCTTCATAGAGGGGCCTACTGTTGCTTCTCAAAGAGAACTGATGCTTAACAACTATTTATTGATTCAACCAGTGACTGTACTATGCTTCAGGAAAGGCCCTGGAGGTCAATGACCAAGACCAATTCATATGACTGCCCAAAGAAGAGAAGCTTGGATTTCCACTAAACAATAAGCTATAACTCATATGATAAGGAATGGTTCAGGAATTAGTATAAGGATTAACTAAAACATGATTTTGCTGAAATGTATTTACCTTTTAATTGGTTGAACATCAATGGAAAATTAGAAAATGCAAAATATAAATTTCTCAAAGTGTTACCTAATCGATTCTTATACAGCCAATAGTCAAAGCTTTTAAGGAAATGACACCTTTCCATATAAATGAAAAGACTTCTAATTATTATATGTAACATTTTAAGGGGTTGTCAACTGTATGTCTCTTGCCCTAATTTTAAATATGTCCTAAAAGGAGACTCCACAACTACATGCAAGGTAAAGAATCAGTGGGTAAATAAAGAAAAAAAAAGCTTCCGTTTTCCTGAAGTACCATTGACACTGCCGTGCTAAGAATATGTCTATCAAGAATGGCATAGAAAGAACTAACTGGCTTCTAGATTAAAACACATCAATTATTTCATGACCGAATATCAAATAGAAAAACTGCCTGAATGCTCTAAAATTCTATCACATCATACCACATTTGGCCTACATCGAATGGCATATACGTCATTTATCATTAAAGCCTTTTTATATAGGTCAAGGTTGCTGGGGCTTGGTGTTTTGTATCTTACAGTTTAAAGAATGCTCTAAGTTCTAGGGTTTTTTTTTTAATTTTTTAATCTATGAGGAAGGAAAACGAAAACTTCCTATAAACTCAGATTAATGCCTGCTAATGCACGGAAGAAAGAAAAACTAAAACCTTCCTCCTACTATAAAAACAAAATAGTGTGGCCTCTGTTTCTTTTCTGATAAGAGTCTTAAATACCCAACAGTTAACTGCATAATAACATTTACTGGCAGCCAGGCAGCCTGCTTAGCAGATATATAAAGCAGGTAAAAGGAGAAAAAGTTAATTTCTTGGCTGAATGATTCCATCGGTAGCTATAGGGCAAACCTGAAAGTCTTTTAGTAAAGTAGCAGTTGATTCTTCTATCAATCTGTAGCACACACACTCTTCCAAGGAAAGCATTAAATATGAAAATCATATCCCGTTATCATCTGTTTCCAGCTTTCAGCCCAGTAAGCTTTTCTTAATGAATGCTGCAGCCTAAGGAACAAGCACGCTGTTGGCTTTTCTGAATAATGGAGTGATGCTACCATTTTTGCTTATTACAATATCGACTGGCTGAGGGGGTTTCACACATAGTCACAAGTGACTACTCTTGCCAGCATGCTCCAAGTTATTACAAGATGTTTTTAGACATTTCATCTAAAAGAGCTTTACTGCTTTTAGTGAAGAAAACATCTACGGTCTTGAACAGAATCATTTATATGGAGATAGGCAGGAGGATTAGAAGCCTGCATTATAGCAGATACATAGCAGAATTTATTTAAGTATTCCTTGTCGATCTTTTTGTCTATTGCTTAGATATGCAATCTTTTCTTTCCACGTTTTCTGTGCAAAGGTTAAAATGTACAAAATTATGTATATTCGCACAAATAAAAGAATCAAAATGCCATATTTTGTTTACTTTTCATTTAAAACACTTCTCAAACTAAGAAAAGAGCAGCTACAAGGCATGATTTAGAAAAACAATTTTACCTACTGACAACACTGAGGTTTTCTTTAGAGTCTATCCTTTCTTCACAAAGTAACACCCTTTCAGCAAACTTAATTAAATTAGACATTAAAGCAATATTCTGTAAGCAAAAATCTTTAAATAATCACGTAAGGTTTAATCAAAGGGATCTTCCTAATAAGATGATTTTATTTAAAACAATATCTCAAGATATAAACACTCCAGAATTCCTCTGTTAACAGAAAGGTTACCAATTTAGTTTATTACCTTTTCTCTGTCTTCATCTGTCAGTTCCTCTTTTAGTCCCAGGCTATCTTTTGAGCATAGCATCTTCTTAATTTGAGTCTCATATTCGAGCTAAATATAAAGAAAGTTTGATTTTGTGATAAATATTTTTACAACTAGCACCTGTCTGTATACTGCGGTCTTTACAACATACAGGGAGCATTGAAGTAGAAAGTAAAAGCTGATGTTGCCAAGAAATTCACCTTATCTTAGAAAATGAACAATTTTGCAAATGACACATATCAAAAGTTGAATTTTACAAAATGCTACAATTTTTAAATAAAATAAGATTTGATGGATTTTTACTTTCATCAACTTAGGAAATAAAATCTTTATATATATACACATGTATATGTGTATATATATGTATACAGTTTGATACTTTATCACAAAAATACAATTCCTTTATTATGAAAGTAGCACATTAGACAGTGTTTCCTTTTAGAAGTTTTGCCCCAAACAAACAAAAAAAATCAATCCTACTGATTTCTTATCTATATGATATCTACAAAATATCATGATTCTGATCGTCACAGCAATTGAGCATACTTGCTAGATCATCAACTTAAAACAAATTCCATTTTCTATGAATAAAAATATACTGCAGACATCAATGATCAGAAACCAATTTGCTCTGGCACTAATAACTACATAAAGATGTCTGCATCATCACCACACTATAATTGGTGAAAGTGATTCAATCTTAAAATGGCTTTTTCTTAAAAGCAAGGCATAAAAAAGCACTTTGATTCAGTACGCTAGTAATTAAAGCCTTAAAAAAGTCATGGATTGTGGTCCATCAAAGATAAGTATCAGAACATTTTCTAAATTAGGCAGGTATGCACTGTAATTAGAAACACACCTATGAGATGAAATGAGAAAGCTGTTTCCTTAGTTCTCTGAACATAAAATAGGCCTGAGCTTTGTTTTGACATACGAAAAACAAATGGGCAATAATAACCAAACTGATTTGTTTCCCTCAAAATATTTTGAAAGGTAATATATGCTGTCTCATTTTTAGTAACAGTTAGGTATGGATTTTTTTTTCTCCAGCAGAGTACTATATGATAGATGGCAGTAATTCTCTAAATAGATACCCAATTAAATGAAAATTTTATCAGGCCAGTACAAATGATAAAATAATAAACTAGGAATAGATAAAGCAATAACAAAGATACAATTTACATCTCTCTGTTCCATATCTATTCCTCTGAACTTAGAGATGTTTACATTTTAGCCCCAAGAGCTTTAAACAGGCATCCTTTACAGATTCCAAGGGATAGTATCTCAAAAAGAAATGGGGGATGAATTACAATATAAACATATAATTACAGGTTAAATAAAAATTCTTTTTTCTTGTGACTACAAATGTTTTCTTACGCTCTTTGAGATCAATGAGCATTGTACCTGATTTCCTCATTATAGGATCATTTCAGAGCCATACCTTCCAAAGACAGAGCACTTTCTCATAGAAATATGAGAGTTTTATTCAATTCATTTTGCTGAAGGAAAAAGGAAGTGATAACTGCATAAAGTCTTCCTAAAGAACAGAAAGAAGTATCTTTAAAAGCCCAATTTAGACTGCTCTCAATGCAACTGAAAAAGTCACTCAACTGTAGATACTCTTTAGCTAAATTAATAATGCAAACAGAAATCGCACAATGAAGTCAGAGAGATACAATGATAAATTAATGATACAGAATGTAAGTCTATATCCCCTGGGACCATGGATTTCCATCAAAAAATACTTTGTTCTCTTTTTCTTTTTTATTTTTGCATACAACACCTGGTTATTATCCATGTCCGGAACACTGGAGAGCAGGAGTTTTCCACAGCGCTCTCCAGAGCCTACTCATGCCCCAGTAACATCTCCTGGTCTGGAGCCCCTCTAGGGATAAATAATTCCCTTATCTCCCCTGCCCCAACCCAAGAAATCTGTTTTAATAAACCCAAGAGCACTGAGTTAATCCATCAGGTAACTTGTTCTGTCTGTCACTGTATTGCTTCACAGCACTGGCTTGATGCTGCCCACCTAAATTTAGCAGAACCTTTCCATTTACTTCCTCAGTATGCACATGTAATTTATTTCAGCTGAATTAATGAAATCTGTTAACAACGATTAACAGATTGATGGAGGATTGATGGAGGTTCTGGCAGAAGTTTCAGGTCTCTGGGATTTCTCTCCATGCTCACAAACGTTTTCCATTATGATACTTTCTGCATTCTCACTTCCGTCAATTTCCCCTCCATCACTTTACTGTTTGCCTGAAAGTGCCACCACTATCTTTTTTTGCTACAGATTTCCTTTTTCATTGTTTTTCAGGGTTGCACAGCTAATTCTCAAGTTACAGAATAAGTGAATAATTGAACTGAATCGACGTTTAAAATCTGCTGGCCCTGTCTCCTCACATTAGAGTTGAGGAAATGGGTACAGAGAGTTACATAATGGGCTGATTTGATCCTCAAGTCAGTATGAGAGATGCAACTAAGCTTCACAGTCTTTTGTTTTCTCTTCTCCTATTTTTTTCCAATATCTGTGCTTCCTCTTAGATCGTGAACTTTTACCAAAGATATGGGGGAACGTTCATTTGTTCAACTAATGCATATTAACAGGCAAGACACTTTGGTTGATAAAAAGTGGTATTTGCTACACACTTTGCCCTCCAGGGGCATGAAGGTTGTGCCCTGCTCACAATGTCTGTCACAATCCTCAGCAGAAACCAAATCAGAGTTCAAAAGACTTGTTCTCAAATATTAGCCCCTTATAGGCATACATAACCTAATGACTGAATTTTCAAGGAGAAACACATCTATTTTACTTTATTTATTTATTTATTTATTTATTTGAGACAAGGGCTTGCTCTGTCACCCAGGCTGGAGTGCAGTGGCATGATCACAACTCACTGCCCTTCAACCTCCCAGGCTTAATCTATCCTCCTACCTCAGCCTCGCAAATAGCTGGGACTAGAGCACATGCCACCACATCCAGCTAATTTTTTCTATTTTTTTGTAGAGACAGGTTCTCATCATGTTGTCCAGGCCTGGAGAATCACATCTTTAAATAATGACATTATATATTCAGAATACCTCTGCTATTAAACAGAAATGCTAACTGGG
The DNA here is from genome assembly GCF_000001405.40 of Homo sapiens. Taxonomy (NCBI): domain Eukaryota; kingdom Metazoa; phylum Chordata; class Mammalia; order Primates; family Hominidae; genus Homo; species Homo sapiens. Next base: position 21,142,519 of record NC_000020.11, on the reverse strand, counting down.
AAGGTATAATAAAGAGTATCATCAATACCACATTAGTTCTCACATAGTAGTAGTTCATGGTCCATAACAGAATGAGACAAAAAATATGGAAGAATTAATTTCAGTCAAGGGGGAAGTCTCAATGCTTACTGAGTGCTTATTATGTGCCATATTATGGGTCAGATACTGAGAGCATTGAAATAATAAGACAAGGAGCTCACAGTGAAGTGGGAAAACAGACATGTAAACAATTATAATACCATGAAGGAAGTGCTTACTGAGATAATTATGACACAGACCTAAGGCAGGGCAGGGGGAAAAAGGCCTTCTAATTGAAGGAGGTATGAGATAATGTGGTGCTTTCAAGGAAATGCAAATTGTCCAGCATGCTTAAAGCACCGCGGGTGCATGTAAGAGTGTGTATGTGTGTATGTGTGAGAGAGAGTGTGTGTGTACGTGTGCGGGAGATAAAGATGTAGAGAGACAGTGGGAAGATATGGGGGTGGAAGAGTTAGAGGATCTGGAGAAGACAGATTTGGGGGCAAGAAGAGGCAAGGAGACAGGAATAGGAGACAGGGGAGAGATAAGAGGGAGAAATGGGGATGGCAGGAGAAGGTGGAGGGGGGAAATTAGGGAGAGATGAGGAGAAAAAATGTGCACGTCTGTGTATTTGTGTGAGAGAGACAAACACAGAGAGAGAGAGAGAGAGAGAGAGAGTGTGTGTGTGTGTGTGTGTGTGTGTTGGGAGGAGTAATAAGGGTGAGGCTGCTCTGTGCAGGCAGAGACCAGCACCTGGGCTTTGTCCTCAAAAGCCTGGGCCAGCATTTCAGGCCAAGGAGAGACCTAACCAGATGAAGACTCTTGTGCCTGCCATGGGGATCCTCCCTGAATGCCCTGACATGTAGACCCCATGCCTGGCAATATTGCCATGAGGTAGGCTAAGGCAGATGCTGGCAACGTTCTACACACATCCCTAGGACCTTTCTGGGCACTCCTAACTTCTGGAATCTGGGGCTCCGTGCCTAAGGCTTCTCAGAACCTGGGAAGGCTGCTCTGGAGAGTGTTTGGTTAATTCCCTACCACCTACAACCTTGCTCAGCAGTCCTCAATCAATGCTGCTTAGGAGCTGCTGGACACATATCCCGAATGTGCAAACCACTTACCAGAAGTTCCCTGTAGGATTTGGCGCCAGGCTGACTATGGTAGCTAGCTTAATAATACACCCAGTGCCCTCCCTGCCTCCCTTCCCCCATTTCCTACTGATATTCCTTATTTCCCAAATCAACCACTTACCGTCAAATCCCTGTTCTCCAGGTCTGCTTCAGGGAGAACCCAACCTGAGACAAGGATAATGGGGACCTGAGTGAAACTGCTTTAAGTTAGGACCAACTGGGGCCCCCTCTACAAAAGCAGCTAATACAGGGAGTAGGGGGGCAGAATGAGGGAGAGGAGGGCAGACTCCTCACAGCATTAATACTAATATTTACATTCTTGGGTTTTTTTAATTTACTTTATTATTATTAATTTTTTTTGGAGAGCCAGGGTCTTGCTCTGTCGCCAGGGCTAGACTGCAGTGTCACCATCATAGCTCACTATAACCTCAACCTCCTGGGCTCAAATGATCCCCCCCCATCTCAGATTCCTGAGCAGCTGAGACTACTGGTGCACACTCCTACAGCTGGCTAATTTTAAATTTAATTTTTAAATTTTATTTTTAAATTTTTTGTACAGATGGGGTCTCACTATGTTGCCCAGGCTGGTCTCGAATTCCTGGCCTCAAGTGATCCTCCCACCTCAGCCTCCTAAAGCACTGGGATTACAGGCATGAACCACCATGCCCAGACCTAATATTTATATTTTTGAACTGTGTTTATTCAGCCCCTTTATCCAACTGACAAGTAGCAGCATAGATATAACACTGTATTTTCAAAACTACATAACACGTCAATATCCTTTAAAAGCCCTGAAAATTATTATAGGCCTCCAAATAAAGTATTATGAGTCATAAAATCAGTTGACAGTGTTTTCAGTATTTAGCTCATTTTAGGAGATTTTAGCATTATATAGTGAACTGGGCCCAGCCCACCTCTACAAAGTGGGAGAAAGTCACTTGGTATCAGTTTGGGCAAAACCCCCACTTCTCTCACACTGCTTCACTTGGTTGCACTTTCTGGAATTCTACCAATTTGAAGTTCATTTGTATTAACTGTAGTCTGTTCAAGGTGCAATACCTGTGGCATTTTGGGGTGTGTGGGCAATGCACTGTGAACACCTTTCTCCCAAGACTTATGTGAGGTCAGTCAAGAAAGGAGGTAAACATCTGATACCTGGATGGCAGCATTAAGAGGAGACAAGTGGTTCTGGCATACCTGGGCCACCTCTGGACTCTGGCCCAAAAGGAAGAAGCAGAAAGAAATGGGAAAACACCAGAGACAAACATCCCCTATGTTGAACCTCAGCTCACTGCACAGCCTGCTGAAGAAGATGGGATCACTGGAGGGGTCGCTGACATTGCTGTCTGGGTTCGTAGGCACACAACAAACATTCATTGGCTTTGGACCTAGGGTGATGGCCAAAGTCCAGTTCTCCATGGAACTCACATCCTTCCTGAGTGTAGTGCCATGATTTGGTCTTTTACGCTACTAGAAGAATTTTTTTAAAGGCATTCCTTATCCAAAATTCAAATAAGGAACACCTACATAATTTTTGAACCATGTTTATTAATAAAGCTTTTCATATTCCTATCTAGTTTGTCATGTTAAAATGGTCCCCCATGTTGATAGTCTTAAGCAGCTCATACAAGGTTTTTTTAATAACATATCCTATTTTATATAATGAATGCTCTCAATATAAAAAATTACAAAAGATGATTCTTCCCTTCAAATTCCTTCCTCTCAAATTTGGTTATAATAAGAAATCAACTATTAAATGAAGCCTCAATATGAAGATAAGCAGAAATGTTCTATTATTTCCTTTATTTTATTGGGAAGACAAAATTCCCTCCTTTGCCCATCACTTTCATTTTCTCCATGAAATCTTTGAAAAGTGGTTTACAACATTGATAATGACAACTTTTTTTGAACTTTAAACATTTTTCATGAATACTAAAAGAAAAAATTGGGAAGCTAAAACTTGCTATTGCTTGAACACATTTAACCATATATCTTGGTTTCTAAATACCCCTCTCCATTAAAAAGAACCACAGCTCCTTGGATAGGAGGTTAATTCCATATCTGAGGGAGAAAAAATGTGAGGTAAACCTGGAATATCTTGTTATGCCCCAGATCAAAGAAGGCTCAGAATTAACGGGGTTATGTCAAAAGGACACAGGAGCCAATCTGGAGAGACTCCAATTGGCCAAATATAAGACGATAAAACAACAAAAAGAATAATTACTGTAATTGATAACATACTAGTAAATAGAAATTCACAAGTCCATCATAACATTAAAAAAAAAAAAAAAAGGTCCTACGGCCATACCACCCTGAACACGCTTGCTCTCATCTGATCTTGAAGGCTAAGCAGGGTTGGGCCGGTTTCATACTTGGATGGGAGACTTCCTGGGAATACCAGGTGCTGTTGTAGGCTTTAAAAAAAAAAAAAAAAAAAAAAAAGAGGTTGAAAGAAAGAAAAGGGGGAAAACATTCTTCGTTATAGAGGAAAGTCAGCTAACAGAAGATACAATAAAACAGAAAATCACCACTTTTCATAACCTCCACTAGAAATAACTGGTTCAGGCAAGGCTCAGATCTATAGGTTCTAAAACCATTAGGTAAAAGGATACTAAGGAACACAATATTCCCATGATGCCAACCCATCACTCTATAGATGAGTTACTAATATGCAAAAGGGGAAAAAAATGTACCTTACAATAGAGACATCTAGAGATCATCATCTTAACCAAGGGGTCAAAGTCAGCCTCACCCAGGGGCCACCTGACATCATGGGCCTCCTGATGGGATGCAGTTGGAAGTATAACCTCAGGTGTAACTATTTAAATTAAAATTAATTAAAATTGACAAAATTAAAAATACAGTCTTCAGTGTCACAAGCCACATTTTAAGTGCTCAACAGCCATATATGAGCAGTAGCTGTATTAGATAGCATCAGCATAGATACAGAACATTGTCATCACTGCAGAAAATTCTACTGGACAGTGCTTGTTTAGACCACATTTCCAGTTCACAGGAAATACAGGGGATGCTGTGCAAGTTAAATGATGCCTTAGATTCAGAATGCGGATCACTCTACAAGCAGATGGACTGCCTTTTTCAAAATAGCCAATGACATGGGGAAAAAAAAGGAGGAATGGTAGGAGACTAAATTAGATTAAAAGAGACAAAAAAGGCACAATAATCAATAACATAGAAAACAATACATGAGCCCTAGTTGGCTCCTAGTCTGGAAAAATAAGTTACTTTTTGGGAGAAGTGGGGAAATCTGAATACGAGCTGAAAATTAAATATTATGTCTGGGTGCAGTGGCTCAAACCCATAATTCCAGCACTCTGGGAGGCCAAGTTAGGATAATTTCTTGAGACTGGGAGTTCGAGACCAGCCTGGGCAACATAGTGAGACCTCATCTCTACAAAAAAATAAAAAATTAGCCAGGCATGGTGGTGCATGCCTATAGTCCCAGCTTGAGGCTGAGGAGGGAGGCTCGCTTGAGCCCAGAAGGTTGAGGCTACCATAAGCCATGATCACGCCATTGCACTTCAGCCTGGATGACATGGTAAGGCCCTGTCTCAAAAAGCAAATTGTGGAATCATTTTTAATCTTCTTAGACGTGATAATGGTATGATTATGTAGGAGACTGTCCCTGCATTTAGGAGATCCACGCTCAAGTGCTTAGGAAAGAAGTGTCATGATGCCTGCAGCAGACTTTCAATGGCTCAGAGAAAAAAAAAAATACACATACAAAGCAAATATAACAAGATATTTACAACTACTGCATCTAAGTGGAGAATTATGAGTGTTCATCATAATAATTATGCTAACTCTTCTGTGTATTTGAAAATTTTACAATAAAAGGCTGAAGAAAAACTGCAGGGCAAAAAAAAAAAAAAAGGTAGGGGGGCTCAGTAGCAGGCTAGCAGGCAGAATACTGAATCCAACTCCTCCTGTGACCAGTGTTAAGATGGGTTACATTGGACAACACCTGACCAGTGCAAATGGTGAGGATAAAGGCCTAGCTCCTGGCCCTCCACACTTGGCATAATTTGTGGAGCAGCAGGAAGCCAAGCAGCAGCAGGCAGCCAAGCACCTGCACTTCAAGGGGAAAAAGGTGCCAGAACCAGAGAGAGCTGCAAGGGCAGTCACTCTGGGTCACACAGACCAGGAGCATAAAGGCAAACTCCTCGGGGACAGTTCTACCCTTACTACTCTCCCAATGCACTGTTTGCCAGAGAAGAGGGGCCCAGACCACAGAAAAAGAACCCTTTCAAGACAGAATCAGTTTCTAGAGAGAACCCCAATGCTGCTCAAATTCAGTCATTCAGCCAACAAATACCATGTGTTACACCGTGCCAGGTACTGGCTAGTGATCTTGCCTGTGTTAGAGATATCCCATTGATTCCTTAACTAAAGAAGAATCTTGGAAAATGCAGTTTCAAGTTCCCTGATAAAATTCAGCCACATGGTAATTCACAGAAAAAGCTGATACTTAATCCTAATTATGAACAACAAAACATTAGTGACTACCACTGATCTGAAACTTAGTACTCATTATTTCTCATTTTAGCAAAAAAAAGATTAAAAACAAAACATAAACCTGGGGTGTGCATCTGTAATCCCAGCTACTCGGGAGGTACACAGCTACATGGGGTGTGCACCTGTAATCCCAGCTACTCAGGAGGCTAAGACAGGAGGACTGCTTGAGCCCAGGTGTTCAAGTCTAGCCTGGGTAACACAGTGAGGTCTCATCTTGAAGAAAAAAAAAAAAACACACAACAACAAATAAAATAAAACACAGTAAAAAACAGGAAGTCACCTTCAGTTTTTGAAGCTTCTCTGTATTTGTGGTGAAGTGTACAACATGAGCTTGGACACGCTCAAATCGCTTTAAATATTCTTGGTTTCGAGTATGAGCCTTCTTTTCAGATTCACATATTTCCTTCAGATAATTCTTTAGTTTTACATATTTCAGCTTAACTCTAGAAAATTAAAAGCAGTTTTAAAACAATGGACTAGACTTGGACGAATCTAAGAAAGGGAATTTTCTTCATCAAAATTGTTAATGAGACAATGTATTCTAAGGTATTTTACCCAAACCACCGAAACCCAAACAACAAAATGTATATACACATTTTTGGAGAGAGAAAGTTAATGCAGCACCACTGAGGTATCATATCGGTTTCCTCTAAGCATAACTCCCCTGAGAAATATATATAAGACCACATTCTAACATTCACACAGTAAAGATTTCTATGGATTTATTTCTCAAAATTAAATGTGATTTCAAGAGTAGTGTCTATGTGGACATGTTCGACGAATGGCTCACTAACATTCTTACATATGACAATTTCAAAAATAACTGCTCATATGGAATTAAATCAAACTACAAATCACAACCCATAAAATTAAGAAATTAAAAAGAAATTTAAAAATGTAAAATACCAAAAGCTCTCATTTAGATAATATAAACATACTTGTTAGAAATTGCTACAATATAATTCACTATTAAAATATTTTATAATATATGGACTATAATTACTCCAACTGTGAAAAAAACTTTCAGACTCTTATCCAAAGTATAATAGCAAAAACATATTCTGCATTCCAATTTTTCTGTACATAAAAAAACATACTGGATAGTTCAAGTTGTGTAGTCGACTTTTCTCATGGCACCAACGCTGTTAATCCTAACTCTTCTTCCCTGTTATACAGCATTTCAATTGTTGGCTCAATAAATTATTCAACATTCTTTCATCAAACAAAAATAAAATTTAAAATGACAAAAATATTCACCCTCAAAACAAAGATTTGCAAAGATGCTGGAGATGTCCAAAGTTGTTTAACAACAGATCTTAAACTTCCAATCCTAGGCCAACAATTTTCAAGAAAGTCTTTATCGTGTTAATAATTCTGCGCTTTGACCATGGTTGGCTGTCTTCATTTTTCTTTCTGAATAAAAACTGAAGGCTGGTCTTATTGCTGCCCATGTCTCTGCATTTTTGACGCAAGTAACTGTAACAGAGGTAGAACCTAACATACTGTCGTTCACACTCAGGCACTCAGTAAAGCTGCTGCTGGTGGTGTCTACCCGGAGTGGGTACAATTGTACTATGCCTTCTCCATCCAAATTCTAGTTCCATTCCAGCTACCACATTAACCTTCAAAGCTGACCACATGAGTGAGTAACTCATCTACCCATGCAATTATCCATATATTCAGCACTCTAAAGATCAAAGTCTTTCAGCTAAGGTCAACAAAGAAAACAATGAAATAAGTAAATACGTGATGAATGCTATGAGGGAAACTAAAAAGGACTTCTACACACCGGGCAACCTGACCTAGCTGAAAAGGCCAGGGAGGCCTTCCCAGTGGAAATAACTTTCAGCTAAGACCTGAAAGATGGGTCGGGCATGGGGGTTCATGGCTGTAATCCCAGCATTTTGGGAGGCCGAGGTGGGTGGATCACCTGAGGTCCGGAGTTCCAGACCAGCCTGGCCAGAATGGTGAAACACCGCCTCTACTAAAAATACAAAAATTAGCCGGGTGTGGTGGTATGTGTCCGTAATCCCAGCTACTCAGGAGGCTGAGGCAGGAGAATTGCTTGAACCCGGGAGGCAGAGGCTGCAGTGAGCCGAGATCACACCACTGCACTCCAGCCTAGGCAACAGAGCAAGACCCTGTCTTGGGGAAAAAAAAAAAAAAAAAAAACCTGAAAGATGAATGAGAGTTAATCAAAATTGATGAAGCCAAAAATGAAAAGATGAGGGGAAAACATTCCAGGTGGGGGAACAGCATGTCAGAAAGCTCGACGGCAAAAAATAGGAAAAAGAATGTTGATAAAATTGTAATAAATAATAATTGGCTCTAGGTCAGACACTGCTTTAAGGGTTTGTATGAATCTTAGTGAGTTCTCACAGCTGTCATTGTTCCCATTTGACAGAAGAAGAAATGGAGGCACCGAATGTTGGAGTAATTGCCCCAAGGTCACCGGCTCAGAGCTGGTGAGGCTCAGATGGAAGTGAAGCACCTAACCACAGAGCCTAGAAGTTTATACCACATTACAAAACATCCCGTCATGCTTAAGAGCCTGACGTTTCAGTCAGTGTCGAATCTTAGGGAGAGGCTGGAGAGAGATGGTGATAATGTAAATTAAAAAGGGTGCAGATAATGGCGTGTCTGGTGGGCTGCTGGATGAGACACCCTTTGTGCCCACCTCACGCCTCCTGGCCCGACCTTTTTTCTACCATCCACAGTCGCCACAGTCGCCACAGCCGCCACAGCCTGCTGCATGTGGTATAACCTGAGAGCGTCTGCCTCTGCCTCTGCCTCAGCTGCACTTGGCATTTCAGGGCTGCCGTTCTGAGTTTGCAGCATGGAAAAGCCTAGATGTGTAAAGGAGTTAACTCCACCTGGGGCTGCCCTTACCAGTGGGGGTCAGAAACCGGTAGGAATACAGCCCCATCTCCTTTCGCAGGATTAGACACTGTGCGGAGCAGAAGGGTAGTCTACACTGCTCCTCTGAAGGCTCCTCTGAAGGTCTGGAGGGACTGAGCCCCAGGTGCTCACTGCAGTGAACAGCTCTTATTTCGGTCAGCCCAGCCCTGCTCTCCAATTTTAGGTGACCACCTTGTCAAATAAATTACCACTTATACACAGACCCTCGTCTCAGACTCTGCCTTCTGGCAGGTACTAGGTGGAGGCAGCCTTGTTTGGATTTTCTTCTACAGGCAATCTAAGCAAGCCTATTTTTAGCAAATCATATCCTCTGTCTTCCAGGAAACAGTAAGAGGCTGGGAGAGAAGCAGCAGCTCAGTGAACTGACGGCTTGGTAAAAGTGCCCATCCTTTTCTCACACTTGCCCCTCCCACCACCAGAAGGCCAGGAGCCTTCCCAAGAACAGACTGCATGAAACGTCTACACACAATCTTCTGCCCTTTAGCCATGGGCTAGAAAAATGGCAGCTGCCAAGGATCCCCTCAGACTTGGGCCCACTCTTGAGGCCACAGCATCCACAATGCTGGCTATTTCTTCCACACACAAAACAACTGATTTCTTGTCTCTTTCAGAGTTACTAGAGTCATACGGCTGTCTACCTCAACTGGAAGCTTTGGAAGTACACTAAATCTTAAAACCAAAGAATAATTTTGAAGACAAGGGAAAGAACTGACCTAATAGGTAATTTGACTTTAAAGGATTCTTGGCCTCTCTCTCTTCTGGATGAGATCTTTTCATTTCTCACTCATAGTGTGACATGGATAAATTACAAACTTAATGCTATCAAAGCCAGAAGTTCTTCATATGAATAATATAAGAGGTAATGCCATACTTTTGGCTTAAGGATAAAGTTCAGTTTTTATAAAATAGAAATTAAAATATTTAAGATCTGCTCTTAATAGTGGAGGAAGAAACCTAAAAAGGATAATGCGTACAATATATTATTCACTGCTTATAATTTTAATAGTCATTCTCATATATCCATGAACAAATGAGATACCAGGTAATCCTGCCTACAGTAGTACCTTGAAAGATCAACTACAGTAATTATGTCTTAATCATCACACAAGCTCAATGTGTTTAAATTGCAACCAAAAAGATAAGGCTATGTCTTATTTTAAGATTTTTAAGCAAAACAGATTCTTGAAATAAAACAAATATGAAATAATGAAAATAACATATTTTGATCTCATACCGATTTTAACCAAATTTGATAGTAATTATATTAAACTGCACTGTTTATTTCAAATTATTACACACTAAAAATAAGAGAATGGTAAGAGTACTCCAACTAGGCTGGGCACAGTGGCTCACTGCTGTAATCCCAGCATTTTGGGAGACAGAAGCGTGGGGATCACTTGAGGTCAGGAGTTCGAGACCAGCCTGGCCAGCATGGTGAAACCCAGTCTCTACTAAAAATAGAAAAATTAGCCAGCATGGTGGCACATACCTGTAATCTCAGGTATCCCAGCTACTTGTGAGGCTAAGGCAGGAGAATTGCTTGAACCTGGGAGGCAGAGGTTACAATGAGCCAAGATCACACCACTGCACTCCAGCCTGAGCGAAAGAGCAAGACTCCATCTCAAAAAAACTAAACAAAACAAAACCAAAAACCCAGTACTCTAACTACAATATTTATGACATAACATTAGGGTTACATTTTTGATTAATATATGGAACCTGGCTTGAAAACTGTTCCCACTGTCGTCTCTTACCTGCATGTATCAGACTGATTATATTCATAAAGTTTCTTTTCCAGGTCCAATCTCTTCTTTTCACTATAATAAAAAACATTTTATAAGTAATTACATGATAAGTAACAGGGAGTTGGATTTAGACCATGCTCTTCTTTGAAATAATGGCTTTGTTGCAAGGTGTTGATTAGAGGTCAAAAAAAGCCCAAATACCAAATCACACCTTTGTGAAAATGCTTCTCTGGTCTAAGAAGCAGAAAATGCCAGACGCATCTAAAACAAAAGGCACAAAAGTATGCAGCAGTCGCCAGGGAAATCTAAAAAACAAAACGAACACCAATAGGAGACAAAAGAATAAAATCCACAAAGTAAATGGGGAAATGCAATAGGAAAAGTCTGAGAAGCAGGTGCCTTCATTTAGCAAGTATTTCCTGAGTGCCTATGATGACCCAGGCACTGTTCTAGGCCTGGAGACTAATATGGCGAACTAGCCAGCCAAGACTCCTGCCCTCAAAGAGTTGACATTCTAGGGAGAAGGACAGACAATAATAAACAAGATAAGTATATAAAATGTAACGTGGCCAGACTTCTCTGAGTCGCTGGCATTTCGGTGATGGGGTCCCATCAGATCTTGTGTACAGATTGAAGACTGGTGGCTTGCTCTGTTTTCAACCAGACAAGCCTGGGCACAGCCAAGTGGATGAGATAGAGAAAGACCTCTGAAAAGTAAACCTGGCCTCACTTACATCTGATGAAGACCAGGCCTTCTAAGACCATCATTTCAAATTTGGAGGGATTTCTTTTTATAACTCTGTAATGGTGTCATTATTTGTCACAGGTTGCTGTTTTCCTGGAGCTACTACCAGTAAAGACTGAACCTGTGCTGTTCAGGTGAGTGCTAGCAGTAAGCTAAGGAGAAAACCTGTCTTACCCCACAACCAGCCTGGGCAAGGACGAGGGGGAACTGGGCAGCAGAGGAAGCAGAGGCAGCCAAAACCAGGGGGCTGGGGGATAAAACTGATGAAGCCATTCAGTCCCAAGAAGAGTGCCTGGGAGGATTAGCCACAGAGGGTTCCATCTGAGCACCACTATTTGTTTCAATCCCACCTAATTGAAGCTAAATTGCTCATCTAAGTTAACATTAAGTAAAGGCCAAAAAAGAAACCACATAATATTCTATCCAAGCAAAGAATCCTAAACAAAAGGCTGTGAAATAAAGATAAGGACTCCAACAGAGGTGATCTCAGGTTGGCTTCCTGAGGGAAAGGGGCTGGCCCCATGCTCCATTTGTGAGCTCTTAATTATCAGTTTCTATATATCTTCAGAATAGTTCTTTTCCTTTAAAAAAAAGATCATCCCAAAAGTCACTGTTAGCTACATTACAGGTTACATAACTTTCTTTCCTTTGCATAATGTTAAATGGAAACTACTATTTAACCAAAATTCATTTAATGGGAATATGGGGTCCAAAATCCAGACACAGAATCTTCACTTGGGGAACACAACCCATGGGTTGCAGTATGCCTATGTTAAAAAGAAAAAAAAAAGATTAAAAGGAAAAAAATTACAAAAACACACATTTTTAACTAATAGCATCACAAATCTTTACCTTCTCACTAGTAAGAGTGAACTTAGAATAGAAGTGAAGGAAACATAGCATAATTGCTTCCACATTAGAAATTTTTATTAGTTACCATTCCCCCCCTAGAGTTTCATGATCAATTGGGTACTTGGTTCATGCAGAATGAATGACTGGATAGTGTGAGCAACTTGTCATTAAATTACAAAGAAAGGAAGACCTCTGAATACATCTATGACCCCATGCCCTGAGGTAGTGCTTCATTTCTGTTGTATTCCTAAGAAAGCACGACTGCAGTCTGGTAATGAGACACCATCAGATAGACTCAGCTTGAGGGTCACCCTCTAGAATGAAAGCTGTACTCTATGAACTTGTCAGGAACATGAAAGACAGGGAAAGACTGAGGAATCGTTCCAGATGTAGGGAGACTGAAGAGACATGCCAGCCAAATGCAACCGCGGTTTGCAGGTGAGCCACTGGACCAGGGGGAAAAAAAAGGGAGCATCGTTAAGATAGCTGGTGAAATCTGATGCAGTCTGCGGACTGGTTTCACCACTAGGAGGGCTGTATGGTGTGATCATGTACAAGAACATCCTTGGCTTTTGGAAACACACATTGAAGATTTTAGGAGTGATGAGGCATCATATATGCACTTCTCAAACAGATCAGAAAAGGCTAATGGTTTTAGATAGACAGATTTAAATAGATACCCAACTGATATCTCAGTGTCAAAAATCTAATAAAATGTTAATAGTTGAGGGATCTGGGTGACAGGAACACTGGAGGTCTTTGTCCTATATTCGCAACTTTTTTGTAAGCTAGAATTTACTTTAAAAAATATATATATATATACACACATTTTTTTTTTTTGAGATGGAGTCTCACTCTGTTGCCCAAGCTGGAGTACAATGGCACAATCTCAGCTCACTGCAACCTCTCCCTCCTGGGTTTAAGGGATTCTGTTTCAGTTTCCCAAGTAGCTAGGATTACAGGCATGCGCCACCACACCCAATTAATTTTTGTATTTTTAGTAGAGACGGGGTTTTGCCATGTTGGCCAGGCTGGTCTCAAACTCCTCACCTCAGGTGATCCACCCGCCTCTGCCTCTCAAAGTGCCGGGATTATAGGTGTGAGCCACCACGCCCAGCCACTTTAAAATAATTTCTAAAATTCACCTATGACTTCTAGTGAAAAAGGACCACAGTCACTTTGGAAATCCACCACCTCCCAAGCAGCAAGTTCTTCTTAGTAATGAATGTAAAATTTATTTGTAAAACATCTTCAGCAGATGCAGACATCTGCTGCTCACACTTCTCTATCATAACACTTCATACCCTGATAATCAAACTCCTCTTGGCTTTCTCTCCCAGGCAAAACGGTGGTAATCTTGTTAACTCTTCTTCACAGGCCTATTTTCTAGCCCCTCATCCACACTGCAGCACCTCAGAATGCTGAGCCCTCCATGTCTTTTTAAAATTTAATACTAAAAACCAGATATTTGCCTCAATGAAAAGCCTTTCCATGGCTTGCAATTCTTACATATTAAATCTCTATTCAGAATCTTTGAAATACCCATCCCTGGGATGCTTACCCATAGTTCATGTTTTCAGTCACCCCTCACTTGGACCTTTCAGTTTTACACAGCTAAGTGGTCCTTATCTTGCTGAGTTTTCTACTTTTAAGCCACTTGTTATTCTGTTTTTGTCTCGATACCACAATTCTATACCATCTTCAGCTTACTCTACTAATATCTCAGTGTCAGTTTCTAGACTATTATGATATCTTACTCTGAATCAATATAGGCACTGAAAAAACCGCGGCTGGCTAATGGGCCCTTTTAAAAGGATGTTTTTGTATAACCGTAAGAGCCAATTCCACTTATAAGTTTCTACCATGCTTGTGGGTGCTATACACACTGTAACAAGTCACTCCATTAGACTCTTTTAGATTCAATTATTGACTTTCACCACAATGCAGAAAAAACACTGTACACACATAGGAAAACATTCAGACGATAAAATTACATCTACGTGTAACTACAGCTAACATGACTTGGGCTGGAAATATGCTGGTTATTTGACCAGCTAACATTGCAATGACCACCTCTAAAAGGGCTGAGAAAGAGGGAGTTTTTTTTTGTCTCCCACTTCCCAGAAGTTTCTGGATTGATAAAGCAGCTGTGACTACCCAGGGTTGCTCCCTATGAAATGACTCAGGAATTTTAGGAGACAGTGGTATCTGTGATCAGTGGGATGCTTTGTGTTTCTTTGTTTAAAAAGGTACAACCAAGGCCGGGTGCAGTGGCTCACACCTGTAATCCCAACACTTTGGAAGGCAGAGGCAGGCAGATCACCTGAGGTCAGGGGTTCGAGATCAGCCTGGCCAACATGGTGAAACCCCATCTCCACTAAAAATACAAAAATTAGCTGGGGTTGGTGGTGGGCGCCTGTAATCCCAGCTACTAGGGAGGCTGAGGCAGGACAATCGCTTGAACCTGGGAGGTGGGGGTTGCAGTGAGCTGAGATCATGCCATTGCACTCCAGCCTGGGTGACAGAGTGAGACTATGTTTCAAACAAATAAACAAACAAACAAAAAGGTACATCCAAACACTCAAATTGGATACAGACAATAATATTCTTTACACATTGCTTTGCAAAACTACAGCTTTCAGCTTTTTTTTCTTTTTTTACTTTAAGGCCCATTATTCTAGCAAAGAGAGAAAGAAAAAAATCTGTGGCCTTACTTTGCATATTAGTCAAGCCCCCTCATTCCTGGTAAAGAACCAAGGTTCAGAGAGGTGGAACAACCTGCTCAAGGTCACACAATTGTTCGTGGACTAGAATCCAGGTTTTGATATTTCTACTGCAGCCTTTTCTGTATCTAGAATTATTTGCCTCTATAACTGTGTCCAGTGTGCATTAATTTGAGTTAGTTATAAATTCTTAAAATGAAAAATGAACACACACAGCAACAGATTTGTACTGACTTAAAAATAAAACAAATCTCGAAATGCAGAACCGTGAACAGGCTATAAAATTTGATTCACATTCCTTATATATTTTCAACAGCCTCACCTTGTTTAATAATTAAATAAGTGTTAATCATAAAGTACATAATTATTATACAGTTATTGTGCCATAAGGACTATAAACAGCCAGGTGTTCCTAGCACAGGAAACAAAAATAACTTACAATTAATAGTTCAAAAAGAATGCCATTTATGAGTGCTGTAAGAATGCCAAGAGTCACAAAAGTTAGGGAATGGGTTGAAACAGGGAAGGCTCTACAGGAAGAGATTTCTTTTTAAAGTCAGAAATTAAGAGGTCACTGATATGGGTGAGCGGTGACATGTCAGAAAGAAAATAGGACGTAGAAAAGGAGTACAAGGTAAAAAAAATGCTAACGACAATTAAGGAAGCCTGTTGTAGATGCTCTATAAATATCTGACAAGAATTAAATCTAGCGTAAGATAAATGTAATTCCTTTTCAAAATCGCTCACTTCTGCCTTTATTTTCCATGTAATTATTGTTATCATTTTAGCACTGTCACGCACACAGCTCTCCTGTTCACTAGAATGATTTTGTAACTTTTAACACTCATTAAATGTTTTGTTTATCAAGAGATCCAAAAATGTATTTCCTTTCTTGTCAACTAATGAGAGTTACAACTCCAATTAACTTAGCAGCTAAATAAGAGGTCCAGCAATTTATCTTTTACGTGGTTATTCATAGTACATTGCGGTATAATTTTCTCTCTATATGCACTCTTAGATCTAGCTGTTTTCAGTGGTTCCCATCTTTCATATCTTAATCAAAGGCATCATGAACCCTCTGGAAGCTGGACTTCTCTAGCTGGAAATTTCATCCCTTCGCTGGAAATCTAGCCAGCCCTCGCTACCCCTAAAAGTCTCCTGAGTTTAAACGGGGGCACATGTTTGACACACACACACACAACCGTCTGCGTTCCAGGACTTGTCATCATTGATGCAGTGCAGCTGTCACGGCGGGATGGCAATTTGAAGAGAGTGGGGAGGGGGCGTGTAAAAGGGGACAAGAGAAACTCACAAGGCTTGATGGAGAGTGACAGGCAGAAGAACTCCCACCTTCACTTCTGGGCAAATTCTGTGACGCGGCCGCATCCTCAAACCGTAGACCAGGCTTTAGCTGCTATTGACGGGGCGGGGGCGGTCTCTCACCTCTCTCCGCTCCCACCCCCAATACAGGGGGTGGCTCTAGTAAACACTGTCCTCCAGGCCCCACTGGGAGCCTGGGGGGCGTTGCGCGCGGGCCTGGGCCCCGGGGAACCTCGGACGGGGGAGCGGGAAGGAAAATGGGGCAGGGCACGCGGAAGACCCCCGGCGCGGGCCGACTCCCCACCCCCGCCCCAGTGCCCTTACCTGTCCCGCAGCCCGTGCTGGAGTTGGCCCAGCCTCTCGTAGTAGTCGGGACTCGACAGGGGCACGGCCGATGCGAGGGTCCGGCTCATGCTGCTGCCGCTGCGCCAGCTCAGCACAGCCTCTGGGTGGCCGTTCGGCCGGGGTTGCCGAAGGAGACCGCCCCACCATGCACCGCGGGTAAACACCGCGCCGGGCCGCCTGCAGGAGGCGGGGCAAGACGCCGTGGGGGCGGGGCGCCGCTGAGGGACGGGGCGGAAGCCGGCTTTGTGGGGGGCGGGACGAAGACCTGCATGGGGCGGGGAAGAGGCGTGGCAGAGGCGGGGCGTCGTGAGGCCGGGGCGGACCACGTCGGAGGGGCGGGCGCTCGGTGCCCTCTCCTCTCTCCCTTGACGCGGTGTCTCCTTTCCCCTCACCTTCCAGGATTCGCACAAGCTACGTTAATGTTACAAGGCGCATTCCCTCCCTTTCTTTCGTCTCTCGCTTGCTTCTTTTCCTCGATCTCCTTTCTTGCCAGGATTTGTTGAGTGCCAGGCACTGTACTAAGCTTGTTCTATTATATCAGCACTCAAAAGCGACACAAAACACCAAGTAAAAAAAGACAAACCCTCAAATGCTAAACAGCCGTGCTCAGCCCCGACAGTGGACCAACCCCTTACTCGAAAATCCGTGCTGAATCTAAGGATTGTTCCAGGTGCCAGTATCGTTGGCGAGAGGGAAAAGTTGATAACTAGTTGCTTGGGAAGCAGACGTTTGTGCAGACAGCTCTAAGGGACAATGCTCCTAATGTCCTGTAGGATCCTCTAGCAGGAGCCCGGGAGCCAGACTGCCTGGGTGTACATTCCCTATCCACGTCCCAGCTGCCAAGCCGTGTGCAAGTCACCCCAGGTTTCCTCATATGTAAAGTGGGAGGCTGTTAACACAGGATTAGTTTAGGATTCGATTGTTAATATGTGTTAGTGTTTATAAGTGGGCCCAGCACATAGAAAGCATCAGGTTTTATTATCATCACCAACGTCGGGAAAAAGCTTCCTGAAGGAAGCCAACCATATTTCAAAACCCACTGGGCAGAAAAATTAAGCCTTAGCCTGCTTCTCTGCCTTCCTTTCCTTTTTTTTTTTTTTTTTTTTGAGACAGAGTCTCACTCTGTTGCCCAGGCTGGAGTGCAGTGGCGTGATCTCGGCTCACTGCAAGCTCTGCCTCCCGGGTTCAAAAGATTCTCGTGCCTCAGCCTCCTGAATAACTGGGATTACAGGTGTGCGCTACCACACCCAGATAATTTTTGTTTTTTTTGGTATTTTTTATATTTTAAGGAGAGACGGGGTTTCACCATGTTGGCCAGGCTGGTCTTGAACTCCCAACCTCAGGTGATCCACCCACCTTGGCCTCCCAAAGTGTTAGGATTACTTGCATGAGCCACCATGCCCGGCCTGTAGAGTTTCTTTAGTCTCTTATTGTTCACTTCTTTTGGTTTCTTTCCTATGCCATTAATTTTACTTACACATACAAGGTGCAAGGTGTGACAAACTAAAATTGTAAGAGAGATGGAACACTCAAAGGCCAACAACACAAAACTATGATTTTACTCAGCCTTCCATTCACATTTGCCAGTTCCAGGGCAAGAGTGTGAATGGAGGCCCTCATACCATCCGCCTAAATATTGAATTATAATTCAAGATAACAAACTTAGGTAAAATACGTGTTCTCCTCTCCACTTTGACCAATATGCCTTCTTAAGAACCTGGACAACCAGGGTGGAATTTAGTTTGCCTGCTTCTCCAGCTCCCCCCAACTCCATTTCCCACCCCAGGCTCAGTCTTGCTTTGTGAGGGGGTCTCATACACTAGCAGGGATGTGTGTGCCCTGCCTCTTCTCCTCCTCTTCTCCAGCCAGCAAGTCCCAACTCTGCCTACATCCCCACCTCAGCCTCCTCTTGGCCGGGCAGTGAGCATGCCAGTGATGGTCACCCTTGCAGGAAAGACCCAGCCAAGAGGCCTTTTAAAGCCTTAGAAAGCAGCTTGGGCCCCTTTGAGCAGGGAAGGTAAGGGTGTTGGGTACTTAGAACGTGTTCTAGAAGAGCATGTGTGTGTATGTGTGTGAGCACCCCAGGTGGGCCTGTCATCTGGCCCTGGGACCTCCTTGCCTTGCGTGGAGCAGCATGGGCAGAGAAGGGCTAGAACAGAACCTCTAATACACAGAAGCCAGGGCAGAGGCCTTCTTGCCCTGGTCCAAGGGTAGCACTGATGTGACTTTTATTTAGTTTTTATTCAGATTATATCCAATTGATTCAGTGGTAATGTGCAAAGGTTTATTTTAATGAGTTTAGTGTAACTAACATTTTACTACAACCCTGGCAAAGAAAAGAAAAGCATTAAATTTTTAGGATATTTTATTTAGGACCATGCCCCCAGGGTTAGTTTTTTTTTTTAAGAAAAAGAATCCCCAAACAATTAATATAACTAATTTTAGCAAGTAGCACAGAGTAAGCAGATGAGGCAGTCATTTAGCACCCAAAATTTTTATTAGGCCATTTTAGGAGAATCTAAAATTAAATGTAATTAAACAGTAAATAGATAATTCAAAATAATTATAATTTACATCCTATGGTTGATTCATTAATGACGTATGACAAATCTAGATGTAGGATCTCCTTTATTAACAATAACACATAGCAAACAAAAGGAATATTTCTAGAGTATTTATGCTAAAATTATGCATTTTAAATGGTGACAGGCTTTCAATAAATTCTGAGTTCTTCACTTTGAATATTTAATTTGCCAGAGCCCTCTATTTTAATATTTTTCTTCAAACTCTTTATTTAGCTGAGCTGATTTCTGTAAGCAGCCCTGCTTTTAGCTCACTGGACCAAGGGTCATCAAGTCTGCCTAGATCAAGGCTTCCTCTAAGTCCTAGAATGTCTTAGCTAGAACTTAGAGGGAGTCTAGCCCCACCCCCTTGTTTTACAGGGGAAAAAGGGTTCAGGGCAGATAAGGGGCTTGGCCAAAGTCACCTAGCTGGAAATCTATGTAATATTAACGAGTCTAGTTCAAAATATGGATCCCTAGTGGTCCCATTAAGCAAACAGCAAGGGAAGCCAGTGTCTCGGCCCAGAAGTCACATGAATCTTTGGGTGAACCAAATGAAATTGTTGTTTTTGTAGCTCAAAAACAAAATTGATTCTGGAAAATATATTGAAATTAGAATTGTACATATATTCTAATATTGGGAAATTCTAATTTCAACATATTTCCATATATATGTATATATACATTACATTTACCAGTTTATTATAAGAATATCACAAAAGATACAGATGAAAAGATTCATAAGGTGAGGTCTGGGGGAAGGGGTGTAGAGGTTCCATGCCCTCCACGGGCACACCACCCTCCAGGAACCTCCTCCACATGTTCAGCCAGCTCAGAAGCTTCCTGAACCCTGTCCCCTTGGGTCTTTTATGGGGACTTTATTGGATAGGCATGATCGACAGTCGTGTAGAAGCGTGATTGGACAAAGGGGACATGATCTAACACTAATTGAGTGGGAAACCCAACAAGTCCTGTTCTGATTCATCTCGGCCTCTCAATGCAGCAGAAATTTTTTTTTTTTTTGAGACGGAATTTCACTCTTGTTGCCCAGGCTGGAGTGCAATAGCATGATCTCAGCTCACCGCAACCACTGCCTCCCTGGTTCAAGCGATTCTACTGCCTCAGCCTCCTGAGTAGCTGGGATTACAGGCATATGCCACCACGCCTGGCTAATTTTGTATTTTTAGTAGAGACAGGGTTTCTCCATGTTGGTCAGGCTGGTCTCGAACTCCCAACCTCAGGTGATCCACCTGCCTTGGCCTCCCAAAGTGCTGGAATTACAGGCGTGAGCCACTGTGTCTGGCCTGCAGTAGCATTTTATATTTTAAAATGTACACACTATGCTGCTTTTAATTAAATCATGTATATTTAGTCAATAACTGCTTGGATATTATATTAATTTGCTAGGGCTGCTGTAAGAAAGCTCCACAAACTAGGTGTCTTAAACAACATGATTTATTGTGTTTCAGGTCTGGAGGCTAGAAATTGAAGATCAAGATATCTGCATGGCTCGTTCTTTCTGAGGGCTGTGGGGAAGAATCTGCCGCATGCCTCTCTCCTGGCTGCTGGTGGTTTGCAGGCTATCTTTGGTGTTCCTTGGCTTCTAGACACATCATCTTGACCTCTGCTTTCATGTTCACATGGTGTTCTACCTGTGTATGTGTCTCCAAATTCTGCCTTTTTATGAAGGCACCAATCATATTGGATTAGACGCCCACCCTTCCCCAGTATGATCTCATCTTAACTAATTACATCTGCATTGACCCTGTTTCCAAAGAAGACTGCATTTTGAGGTACTGAGAGTTAGAACGTCAACATATGTATTGTGCAGGGGACACATTTCAATCCATGATAGATATGAAAGTAGGACAAGATTTCATTTTGCAGTCATTATGCAGACATATCCAATCTGGTAGCCATTAGCCATGGCTATTGGGCAATTGAATATGGCTAGTGCAACTG
Source organism: Homo sapiens (assembly GCF_000001405.40). NCBI lineage: Eukaryota > Metazoa > Chordata > Mammalia > Primates > Hominidae > Homo > Homo sapiens. The sequence goes on along the minus strand of NC_000020.11, from coordinate 21,121,660 downwards.
AGAAATTGAATTTTTAATTTAATTTTTATTTATTTATTTATTTTGAGATGGAGTCTCACTCTGTTGCCAAGGCTGGAGTGCAGTTGTGCAATCTCAGCTCACTGCAACCTCTGCCTCCTGGGTTCAAGCAATTCTCCTGCCTCAGCACCCTCTAACAACTGGGATTACAGGCACACACTACCACACCTGGCTAATTTTTGTATTTTTAGTAGAGACAGGGTTTTGCCATGTTGACCAGGCTGGTCTCGAACTCCTGACCTTAGGTGATCCACCCTCCTCAGCCTCCCAAAGTCCTGGGATTACAGGTGTGAGCCACTGGGCCCAGCCAAATTTAATTTTATTTTAATAATTAAAATTAAAATTTAAGAGGCTACATGTAGCTAGTAGCCACTTTGTTGAACCATGCAGATCTAAAGATGAAGTAGAAAGATGGATAAACATGGAACAGGGAGAGGGAGGACATAAATCACTGGGAAGTGGAAAGATAAGAATAGAAGGTAAGATGCCATCCTTGCTGGGAGGTTGATATGGTTTTGTTCTGTGTCCCCACCCAAATCTTGAATTGTAATACCCCTGTGTCGAGGAAAGGACCTGGTGGGAGGTAATTGCTGTTCTTGTGGTAGTGAGGAAGTTCTTATGAGACCTGGTTGTTTGGTAAGTGTCTGCCAGTTTCCACTGAGAGCTTGCTCTCTCTCTGTCTCTCTCTCTCTGTCTCTCTCTCTCGCCTGCTGCCATGTAAGACATGCCTTGCTTCCCCTTCCGCTATGATTGCAAGTTTCCTGAGGCTTCCCCAGCCATGCAGCAATTAAACATCTTTTGTTTATAAATTACCCAGTCTCAGGTAGTATCTTTATAACAGTGTGAAATGGACTAATATAGAGGTGATGGTCATCAAGAGGAGAGGTGTGATTGTGAATTTATTTTATGTGTCAACTTGGCTAGGCCATGGTGGTCAGTTGCTTTATCAAACACCAGTCTAGACATGACTGTGAAGACTTTTTTTTTAGATGTTGTTAATATTTGAAGCAGTAGGCTTTGAGGAAAGTAGACTGCTCTCCAAAATGTGGATGGGCCTCATCCAGTCAGTTGAAGGCCTTAGGAGAAAAGAATGAAGTCCCTCACAATCTCATGAACCACTTCCTAAAAATAAATCTCTCTCTCTCCATATAAATATATATATATATAAATATATATATATAAATATATATATATATAAATATATATATATAAATATATATATATATAAATATATATATATATAAATATATATATATAAATATATATATATAAATATATATATATATAAATATATATATATAAATATATATATATAAATATATATATATATAAATATATATATATATATACATACACACATATATATACACACACGTGTGTGTGTGTGCGTGTGTGTGTGTCCTACTGGTTCTGTTTCTCTGAAGAACCCTGATGAATACAGGAAGACATGAGGTTACTAACAGCACTTTGCTCAAAGGCATTTGTTTTTTAAATTAAATTAATTTGATTTTAAGACAAAGTCTCAGTCTGTCACCAGGCTGGAGTGCAGTGGCATGATCATGGCTCACTGCAGCCTTGAATTCCTGGGCTCAAGTGATCCTCCTGCCTCAGTCTCCCAAGTAGCTGGGACAACAGGCACATGCCACCATGCCTGGCTAACAAAGACATTTGTAATAGCTAATTTAAAATAATAAGAATTGGGTGCAGATTCCAATAAATAAAATAAAAACATAGATTTCCTCATTTTATTTCATATCATATAAACCAACCATTAATATGTGGGTCCTGGCTGGGCGCGGTGGCTCACCCCTGTAATCCTAGCACTTTGGGAGGTGGAGGCTGGAGGATTACCTGAGCTCAGGATTTAAGACCAGCCTGGACAACATGGTGAAACGCTGTCTGTACGAAAAATACAAAAAATGAACTGGGCGTGGTGGCACATGCCTGTAAGCCCAGCTACTCAGGAGGCTGAGGCAAGAGAATCGCTTGAACCCAGGAGGTGAAGTTTCATGCTGAGATGACGCCACTGCACTCCAGCCTGAGTGACAGAGTAAGACCCTGTCTAAAAAAAAAAAAAAAAAAAAAAAAAAAAAGTGAGTCTCTAAAATACTTGAGTTCTAGAAAAGCTAAATAACAGCCAAAAAATGGAATAATAGAGTAGTTAACTGCCTCTAGCTAGAGACTCACTACTTAAACGAGATGGGCTCACTCTGTCTCACAGCTCTTATATGCCTATGATTTCCACTGAAGTCCTTGAATTGGGCTTCCATGAGGTCTCCAGGATTATCCCTTTGTAGACAAAGAGGAATCCTCAGAGGAGAGAGACTTGAAACACCAAATCTTTGCACTCTTTTCTCCCTGCAGGACTGGCCTGTGGCGTGGTGTACCAGGCAGGAGCAGCTCTGCAGCCCTGCAGCCCTGGGTGCATGAGTGACAGGCTGTGCTGATGTCACATGTGAACAATCTTTGAATGCCAAGATTCTCCTCAAAAATCATTTGGTGAATTTCTTAATTGTTTGCCACTTGGATGCACTTCTCATCAGGGTTCAACAAGTACTCCTAACTACAAGGGTTGGAAACAAAGGGACGCTCTAGGACTGTTCTTACAATTCGCAGGCAGGTTAAAACCAAAGGGTTTGCATAATAAGTACCATTTATTTGATGACTATGTATTTATGTTTACAAGGTGACAGGGCACCTCATGTAGAATGTTCCACTTCTCATTGCCTGCAATTATTCACAGTCTTTGTAAAAATGTTGGCTTCATTCATTGCTGGGGCACACCTCAATGATGACTGCTACACAAAATAACCTCCCTTCACTTAATCATCAAACATTTGCCATTGTGTCCTCAAGAAGCAGTCAGATACAAGAGTTGGGAATTTGGGCTCAGGTGCCTCCTCTGCATAGTATACTATCACTTCTCTTACAACCTGTGTGACCCTGGGCAGATTACTTACCCTTGATGTGCCTCCAATTCCTCATCTGTGAAATGGTGATCGTAAGAGTGCCTTCCTCTCAGGGTCATTGAGAGCCTTAAATGTGGTGATCTGTGTGATGCACTTGGAATCATGCCTGGTAGAATTATCCCTCAACCAACACAAGCTAGCATTGCTTCTTAGGAAGACAAGAAAAATATCCCTTTGGGAGGTGAAGCAAGTCGTCAGAGGTAATGGCCCAAATTCTGCATTTTATGACTTATCTCTGTCTCTCAGAGGCATTTCCTGAGCTTCCTCTCTGTCCTTTTCATCAATTCTACTGGTTCTGCAGTCACCTGCCCACGCAGGGTCAGGTTCTGGTCACCTGAATTCATCACTGATGACTCAGTAGGTGACATTAAGTTGGGAACCTCAACCTGGGATTCCGTTTTACTCCTTTTGTGTCAACCCTGGCAGTTGAGGAGATCTCAGCCCATCAGCCTCAGGGGTAGAAGTCAATGACACGCAGGCAGCACCATGTTGTCTAAAGATCATGTGCTTCAGAATCAGTAGACTTGAGTTCCAGTCCCAGCTCCGCCTCTTAGTGACTGTGTGGCTCTGAGCACATCTCAACATTTTGAATGTCTCATTTTCCTCATTTCTAAAATGAGGGCAATAACATTTTTATTTATCAAGTAATTGCAAGGAGTAAATGAAATAAATATTTAAGACGTCCTTAGCACAGGCCTGGCCCGTAGAAAACACTCAATAAACAAATGGTTCCAACTCTCCCTGAGGACAAGGAAGCATTCTGAATTTCCTAGGACTTCTAAATGTAACCAAAGAGGAATGGAAATGGGTTCATTTTGTTAGAGATTGTACGTGTGTGGTCACATGCATGTGTGTCAGTAAATAGTATCCGATAGCTAATATGATGGAGCTTCACTTTGTGCCTGGCTCTTCACATGTATTGGCCCCGTTTTCCAGATGAGGAATTTGGAGCATGTTGAGGTTAAGCCACTCCACCAAAGCCACATGGCTCGTCAGAGGAGGGGTGGAGTTATAACCCATAAAATGTAGTACCAGAGACCTAATTCTCAACCACTATGTTCTGCTACTTCTCACAATGGCAGGTGTTTGTTGGAGCAGTGAAACTGAGGCACAAGAGGCTGTGTCATATCCAAGGTGGGCCACTGCTGCAGGAGTGGAAGCTGGGGTGGGCCTGTGGAGGTGTTATGCGGGCATTGCTTCTTCCCAGTGGTGGACTTTTTGGGAATGAATTTAAACTGGAATCTTTTTGCAAGTATTTTAATGCCATGTTCTATGACCGCAACTTGATTATAGGCCATCTTCAGGAATAAAGGCTGCCATATATTTCTTCAGCATTCCTCAGCTGAGTTCTGGGACCAGAACCCAGGCCAGAAGACCACCCCAAAGATACTGGATGATGGTCGGGTGTAGCAATAAGAAGCCAACAAGATGTTTTTAAAAATTGAGATATAGTTCACATTTGATGAAATCCATCCTTTGAAAGAGTAAAATTTAGTGATTTTTAGCATATTCACAAAGTTGTACAACCATCAACACTATTAATTCTAGAACATTTCATTGCCCCAAAAAGAAACCCTATACCTCTTAGCAGTCATTCCCCATTCCTCTGTACCCCCAGTCCCTGGCTACCACTAACCTACTTTCTATGTGGGTTTATCTATCCAGGAAATTTCATATAAATAGAATTGTACAATAAGTGGCTTTGTATCTGAAGAAGCCATTATTTTTAATGCAATAAGGTGGTCAATATAGAAGCCAGCTTCCATCATGGCCCCTGTATTAGTTTGTAGGGCTACCATAATAAAGTACCACAAATTGAAAGGTGTAAACCACAGAAATAAATTTTCTCACAGTTCTGGAAGGTAGAAGTCTGCAATCAAGGTGTCAGCAGGGTTGATTTCTTCTGAGGCCTCTCTCTTTTGCTTATAGATGGTCGTCTTCTCCCTGTGTCTACATGATGTCCCTCTGTGTCTGTGTCCCAATCTCCTCTTATAAGAACACAGGTCATATTGGGTTAGGGCTCACCCCGATGACCTCATTTAGCCTTTGACATGATTTGGATCTGTGCCCTCACCCCCCAAATCTCATGTTAAGATGTAATCCCCAATATTGGAGGTGGAGTCTGCTGGGAGATGATTGGATCACAGGGGCAGATCCCTTATGGCTTGGGGCTGGGTGCTGTCTTCACAACAGGAATGAGTTCTCACAAAATGTGGTTGTTTAAAAGTATATGGCACCTCCCTACCCTCTCTCTTGTTCCCATTCTGGCCACATGCCATCCTGCTCCCTCTTTGCCTCCCATGTGATTGTAAGTTTCCTGAGGCCTCCCGAGAAGTTGAGCATATGCTCATGCTTCCTGTACAGCCTACAGAACCATAAGCCAGTTAAACCTCTTTTCCTTAAAATTACCCAGCCATAGGTATTTCTTTGTAGCAATGTAAGAATGGCTAATACAATCTTAATTACCACTGTAGAGAGCCTATCTCCAAACATAGTCACATTCCGAGGTACTGGGAGTTAGGACTTCAACATGAATTTTGAGGGGATACGACTCAGCCCATAATAGTCCTCCAATATTCCTTCCCCTGGAATTCATGCCCTTGTGTAGTCCCCTCCTGCACTGTATCAGGGCCAACCTGTGTGATGTTGTACCAGCCATGTGAGTGCTGATAAGTCGGCAATTAGACTTAGCTGGAGTTAAACCCTCCAGCTCTGTCTAATTTTCAGAGGACTACAGCTCTAGGCAAAATCTGACTGCATCATCACAAGGGATCTCAAGAGAGAACTGAACAGCCAAGCTGCTCTTGAATTCTGACCCTAGAAACCATGAGATAACAAATTATCATATTCTTTTAAGTCATTAAGCTTGGGTATGATTTGGTAGGCAGCATTAGGTAACTGATACAGTTGGGGTGGGATGGTGGTGGTTCAAAAAGTCGATGATTATTGTATACCCACTCTCTTTCAGCCATAGAATCATGTGTGGGAGTCTACTTCTTCAAGCCTCACAAGAGCTCTGCAAAATGTGTGTTATTATCCCTGTTTCATTGAGGCTCGGGGGGTTAAGGAACTTGCTGACTATTTAAATCTAGTCCAGCCTTTCTCCAAGATCTGTGGGTTTTCTACTGTATCATTGGGTCCCTATCATAGGAGACCACCACTCAGGGATGGTGGTGTGTACACAGTTAACTACCTGCTACCACTTAGCAGCAACAAGGGTCACCCAAAATATGTCTCATACTTAACGTTAGAATTCTACTTTGGAAAAGTCACGATTTTGTATTCAATTTTTTCTTCTCTTTTTCTCTCCTATTTTTCTTTCCTTTCTTTCTTCATGGGTGCATGTAGGTGTTAGTGTCTTTAAACCAAAATGACTTATTATATCACATGAATCTGTGGGCCGACTGAGCTCATTTGGATGGCCTGGTTCACATTTTTTTTTAAATCCAATCTATTTAAAAATAGAATCTGCCAGCTTAGCGTTTTCCACCAACTTGGGGAGCTGAAACTTTCACAACCTTCACAGTCTTTTGCTTAGGTGCTGCCTTTGTAGGTGCCTTAGCAGCAGCCATTGCAGTCTTTTTAGATGCTTGCTTAGCCTTTTTTTGCTTCCTTAGCAGCCCTGATAGCTTGTTCTCTTTGAGCCTTTCTAACTTCAGGTTTCTGATCCCTCTTGGCCATTATATCAGCAAGAGATGCACCAGTAATGGCCCTCTGGAATTTGACTGCTCGACGGGTTCTTTTCTTCTGAATTTCTTCTGACTGTCCCTTTTTGTGCTTCGTTCTGTAGAGGACAGTCCAGCTTATCTGCCGAAGATTACTCTTGGAAAGGAATGCCTACTCGCATTTTGAATTAAGAAACCGGAAAACCTTCCCTTCGGTCCTGGCGTAGCGCCTCCTGTGTCCGGAGTAGATCTTGTATCCGCTGAAACTGCACAGCTCGACTTTCATGGTGGCGGCTCCACGGGAGGAGAAAAAAGATGGTAAAGAGAACGGTTCACATATTAAGCACATTCAACCAGGAACTTTGCTGAGGCTGCAATGTCCAGGATGGCTTCACTCTTGTACTGCAGCCTTGGTATAGATGTTGGCTGGGCCTTTCTTTCCACATTATCCCGTGTCAGTCAGTGGTCTTGTTTCTTTCTCTGGTGGCTGGCTTCCAGGACAGCTCTCAAATATTTTTTCATTATTATAATATTTTTGAAACAATACATCATAGGAAATTCAACTGTGAAAAAGACAGCAAAAAATGTCCCTCTCCTTCCTGCCACAAGCCTTCCAGTTTCCTTTTCCGGAGGCAATGAGTTACCAGTATCTTACTTGGCCTTCCTGAGTTATTCTAAGCACATCTTTGTCTATCTGAGCACCTCTACATTTCTGAACCCAGCTCCTATAGCATTTAAAATATGTAAATAGCAGCACTCTTTACACACCGTTCTGCATCTTGTGTTTTTGCTGAACATATCTTGGCGATCCTACTGTATCAGGATATGGAAAGCTATAGATCTGCCTCATCCTTTTAAACAGTTATGTAGAGTTTTGTTTTGTGGATCTTACATGATGCAATTTATCTAGTCCTGTTTTGATGAGACTGTTTTCATTTCATATACTATGATATTGACAGTGATGGCATTTAATATAGTAACTTGTATTTAACTTTTAAAATTGACATAAAATGTCATGGGGTAGGCATCTTTCTAGTACATCACAGCAGCGCCACACTATAGCACTACTAATAAGTCATTTGTCAAATGTGTACATGTGCCTTGCTTATGGAAACACGTGGTCTAGTAAATGCTGCTGACCAGTACCTCTGGGCTTTTAAAAACTTGCATCATTAAGTCATACTTAGAGCTGTGCACCACTACTGTAGGCTCCCTTCCCCCCATGAGATTTTAAAATATCCCATATCACTACTATTTCATTATCTTTAAAAAATTATCCCTTCTTGGCTTCAGTGACCCGCACCTCAGTCGCCACTTCATTTGCTGATTATGTTGCTACTTGAACCCACTCAGAAGAGTAATTCCTAATACCAGCCTTAGGATACAAGCATGGCATGAGGAGCCAGTGCTGGGCTATTAGTGTCCAATTACACACTGCTGGATGCTGTGTTATCATTGTTTCAAGTGCATTACTCCCACATCTGGTAAAACTAAAGAACATAGTCTAGAACCAGAAGACCTGGGTTCTAATTCTAGTTCTGCTACTAACTACCTTGATCATTTGTCAAATGACCTATCTTATTTTTGATTCCCCAAAGCAGATCCCACGACAAGGTTGGAGGGCACAACTAGTTTATTTTGGAGGTTATCCCAGAAAGTGGTTGAGAGACAGGGACCATTAGACAGAGAAAGGAAGGAAGCAGATTTAAGAGGCCTTAATGAGCAGGTTACCACTGAGGACAGCTGTGACTCAATTCAGCTGGGGACCTCTAAGGGACTATGGAAGGATAGAACAGAATCATCTTGACTGAGGGATGAGAAAGTAGGCTTTTGAATCTATCCACTCCCACCACTCATTGATGGAGGGTTGCTCCTTAGATTAACTCCTGCTATGGTCTGAATGTTTGCAATACTCCAAAATTCATATGTTGAAATTGAATACCCAGTGTTTTTTGTTTTTTGTTTTTTTTTTTTTTTTGAGACGGAGTCTTGCTCTGTTGCCCAGGCTGGAGTGCAGTGATGTGATCTCAGCTCACTGCAACCTCTGCCTCCCGGGTTCAAGTGAATCTCCTGCCTCAGCCTCTCGAATAGCTGGGATTACAGGCATGCACCACCACACCCAGCTAATTTCTCTATTTTTAGTAGAGACGGAGTTTCACCATGTTGGCCAGGCTAGTCTTGAACTCCTGACCTCAAGTGATCCACCCGCCTCAGCCTCCCAAAGTGCTGCGATTACAGATGTGAGCTACCACACCTGGTCCCCAGTGTTTTGATATTAAGAAGTGGTGCTTTTGGGAGGCAGAGCCCTCATGAATGGGATTAGTGCTCTTGTAAAAGAGGCCTGAGGGAGGCTGTTTGCCCCTTTTGCCTTTCCACCATGTGAGGATGTAGCAAGAAGATGCCATCAGTGAAGTAGTGAGTCCTTGCCAGACACCCAGTCTGCTGGTACGTCAATCTTGAACTTCCCAGCCTCCAGAATTGCGAGCACTCTACTTTCCTGTTGTTTATAAGTTACCCAGTCTAACATATTTTGTTACAGCAACTTGAACTAAGACAACTCTAGTATTTCCAGTCTTGCTTGCAATCTCCCAAGAAGTCCCAGCACCAGAGAACACCCTCAAACAGAGAGGTGGAGGATGTCCTGGACTGTACAGACACTATGTAACCTGCAGGGTAAGAAAGGAGAAATGAACTCTAACAGCATCAGCTATTTAGAAACAGCATGTGCATTAACTAAAAACATAGTTTTTAGTTCCTTAATGGAGCATATCATGATAGGCCAACAAGTGAGGATGCTTTGAACACTTGGACCTAAAGGGTATTTAGCACTTGGGAGCACAAAAGAAGTTTCCATGGAGAACTTAGAATATTAATCAAAGGACACTGACATATACTGAGTGCTATGATTCAGGCCTTGGCTGGGCTTTCAACATGTAGGTTCTTATTACTCCTAACTATAGCACGGCAAGGTGAGCATTATTATCCTGAGGCTTGGAGAGGTTGCTTCTCCTGTTCAAAGCCTGGCAGAAGACAGAGAAGTAGAGGGCAACCTATGGTCATCTGCATGACAAATGTCCTCTTAGGATAATGGGGAGGAGGGAAACCAGGCTGTGTCATTCTGGTTTCTACTGCCTTGCAGAGAACTAATAAGTGAGTTTAGCAAGGTTGTAGGATAAAAGATCAATATATAAAACTCAATTGTATTTCTATATACCAGCAACAAACAATAGGAAACTGAAAAATTTTAAATACCATTTACAATAGCATCGAAAACCATGAAATATTTAGGGACAAATCTGACAAAAAATGTGACAGAACTGCACACTGAAAACTGCAAATATTGCTAAGAGAAATGAAAGAAGATCTAAATCAATGGAGAGAAATATGAGTGAGGACACTCAATATTGTTATGACGTCAATTCTCTCCAAATTGATTGATAAATTCTACAAATTCCCTATCAAAATCCCAGCAGGTTTTTTTTTTTTAAAGAAATTGACAAGCTGTTTCTAACAGCCAAAACAACTCTATAAAGAAGAATTGTGGAAAGAATGTTGGAGGACTAAGACTGATTTCAAGCCCTATTATAGGACTACTAGAATATACTACCTTGCTTAAAGGGGAACTGTTCAACTTCCTCTCCATGCTCCAGATTTGCACTGAAGAACTCGGTGGATACACTCAGAAGCTGTCAGATGGAGGGCTTCGGGCATGCACAGGAAGTCTCACCCTGAGCCTAAGTCTTGGGCCAGTTGGTTACCTTGTGATATTAGTACTCTGGTGCCTTCAACAACAGACATACTTACTGGCTTTCTGGCCTTTGTTGCTGTAAGATGAGAGCAATGCTCTTTCCAGCTCTCTTTTATCCCCAAGCAGAACCTGAAGTCAGTGGGATGAATTTTAAATAGAAGGTAGAGGGGCCAGGTGCAGTGGCCTGTGCCTATAGTCTCAGCTACCTGGGAGAATTGCAGAGCCCAGGAGTTCAGTGCTGCAGTGTGCTATGATAGTGCCTGTGAACAGCCCCTGCACTTCAGCCTGGCCAACATAGTGAGACCCTGTCTCTTAAAAACAGAACAAACAAAAAAAAATAGAGGGAATGAAATTGTGGTCTAGAAGTGACAATATGAAATGAAGTGAGAGCCTCAGGCCAACTGGATATTGCAAGGTGTGTACAGCAACGAAGATAGCAATAAGTTGGAATTTTCTACCACTTCACACTCTAACACTCCATGGGATTCCTTCTCCAACATTCTTTTCCCTGTTTTAAGTTTCCTTGAATATTTCAGAGCTGAATTTCTCTATAGAAATAAATTTCTAATAAACATGTTGAAATTGTGACATCATTATCTTTGGGCAATAAAAAAAAAACAGAAAGAAAAGAGTTATCGGCTATGGGCAAGGAAAAGAAATACAAAGATTCCCATGACCCCTCAAGTCTCAGAAAATGCACCTGGGCATTCCAAGAGTAGGAAAATAATTGGACCTCATGTTTTTTTCTCTATTATGATATTCAACCTGATTTCTAGAATATTTTGGTGACATCATTGATGAGAAGTGTTACCTCTTGTTCTGTAGAAAGCCCATAGCCAAGGTCATTGCCATTATTTCACAAAAGCGCCAATAAAAACTCTCATCATAAAACCACAGAAATATTTCAGGGTTATTTAAGCAACTTAATAAAGAAGAATAAAACCACTTTTTCCTTAACCTACCGACTATTTAATTAACTTTATAACCTCTTCAGTGCCACAATTTTTATAATTTAGTAATCTGTCCATCTTATCGTATTTAAATCTTTATTCATTTGATTTTCAGCTTGGTGTTAAAATATGCATTGTCAATTTAATGACAGCAGAATAGTCCATCTCATTGATGAGTCTTGGGAATTTGAGAGCAAGAAAGTTCGAAAGAGCTAAAATGTCAATCTAGGACAAGATATTCACTACAGAGATGATGAAACTGAGGTACAGAGAAGCAGAGTGGACAATGTCACTTCCTGTTCTGATTATTCTCATTATCTATTGCTGTGTGATAAACAATGGCTTTTTATTACTTTTATGGTTCTGTGGGTTTACTGGGCTCACCTGGGTGGTTCTTGGCTTGGATCCTTTTCAGCCAGAGTTCTCCAGAGAAAAAGAACCAATTATAGACATAGGTATATATATATATGTATATGTGTGTGTGTGTGTGTGTGTGTGTATACATATACCCTGTATATAGATATACCATATATATATACTTAAAGGAATTGGATCATGTAATTGTAGGGATTGGCAAATCTGAAATCTGTAGCACAGGCTGGCAGGCTGGAGATGCAGGCAGGAGTTGATGCGGCAGTCTTGAGGCAGAATTTCTTCTCCAGGAAACTTCCGTTTTTGCTCTTAAGGCCTTCGACTGATCAGATGAGGCCCATTCACATTACTGAGGATAATTTCTAACACTTAAAGTCAACTGATTTTAGTTGTTACCTACATATATAAAATACCTTCACAGCAAGTTACTGGGTACCATAGCCTAGCCAAGTTGATACATAAACTAACCATCACAGGATCTCTTATGTGTTTTTAAGTCAGATGTGAGAGCTGCAGTCTTCTGAAGCCTCCACTGGGCTGGACATCCAAGATGACTCATTCTCATGGTCATTGCTCACTCCACATTGGTGGCTAATGCTGGCAGTCAGCTGGGAGCTTAGCTAGGGCTGTTGAACGGCACGCTTACCTGATCTGTCTCCAGCATGGTGGCTGGGTTCTAAGAGGGAGTGTCCCAAGAGCCAGCATTCCAATAAACAAGAAATGGAAGCTGCTTGGCCAGTTAACACCCACACTGGAATTAGTACAATGTCATTTTCACTGTTCTATTGGTCAAAACAGTCACAGGGCCCATCCAGATTCAAAGGGTGGAAAACTAAGTCCCACTTCTTGATGGGAGAGTGGCACAGTCAATTGCAAAAGAACACGTGGGCTGGGAGATACAGACACAGCTGTTTTTGGAAAACACAATGGGACTCACCATTTCCATGCACATCGGCCCACCCTCCAACTGCCAGCATCTATGACCCTTTACCTAGGGTCTTTCTTTGGCCAATGTCTTCTTCACCTCCTGTAAGGCAACTCTACAGTGTGGGCAAATAATGCCCACCCCAGAAGTCCTCAACCAATAATAGGATGGTACAATTCCCTTGTCCCTCAAGCAGGCGTCTACACTGCCTCCCAGGGTTTCTCTAGTAGTATTAAGTTCCAGTTGCAATAAAATGGTAACTTGCTTGGTAATTCACTCTGTATTGCTCCCTCCCCTTCCCTGTTTCTTTTCCCTACTTCCCCTACTGTGTTGCTTCCTGAGATCACCTCCTGAAAAATATATTTGCACTCATCTTTGGCTCAGGGCTGACTTCTAGGGGAACCCAACTAAAATAAGAGAGTGACTTGTTCAAGGTCACAGAGCTATAACTAAGGGCTGAACTGACCCCTAGTCAAGAGTGCTTTCCAAATTTGCTACATTCTGACAAAGCTTCAGAGAATTAAAGTGTTCAATCTTATTTAGTGATAGGGAGGGCCTATGAAAAAGAACAAATTAAATGTTTGTGTTAGCTATTATTTGGAGAGAGGACTGGACTAGGAGTCAGGAAATGTGGGTTCTTGCTTTTGCTCTAGTGGTGAACAAGTTCCATAACTTGAGCCTCAGGAGTGGAGATAAATTCTCATCTCGAATTCACACTTTTAGCATTTCAGTGAGCATCAAATGGGTGATCATGCAAAAACAGTACAATGAAGAAAATAGGCAAATGAGTGAAAGGAATTATTTTTTCCCATTTTTGGTGACTCTACTCAATAAAACCTTATGTTTTAATTTTTTTCAAAAGCTTCTCATGTAATCTTGAAGTACACGATTGCCAAGTTCACCAAACCATGTTGTCTGGATAATTCAGGTTATGTTCAAAATCTCCAGTTTTAAAACAAAGTCTTCAGATACAATTTTTTAGCCAATGGCCCACTTTTACCAGAAAAAGCTCCTGGCATTGAAAGCCATCTCTCAGTCCCTGACAACAAATGTCCTTGTCACTGCAGAGCATACGTAGGCATGAACTGCCTGGATAAAGATAGTCAATATATTTTTCACCGTTGGCTTATGAAAAAATATCACATCCATATTATGGCATTTCCCCCTCTGCACTAGCTTCTTTAGGATGTATGAATTTCACCTAGCAGTATGTGTGTGTGTTGAGTTTTGATACCCATCTCTTTGTGTGTTAGTGGACAGAGTAGAAAAATGCAGACAACAGATTAACAGAAGAGAAAATAACTCATGAGCGGTCTTGGACACATTTAATATTATCAATGATATTCTGCGATAAAACATAAGCGGGGGTAGTATTTATGTACTTATTGGCTTACTAAATTGATCACATTTTCTGGTGGAAAAGTTAAATGCAATTTAGCTGCAGAGGATTTGGAACATGCCCCAGTTTGGTATTTGTTTATACTTTATATTTTAAAAAGGGAAAACAACTTGATTTAATCTCTGATTTGTGTAGAAAACTTGGCTTGCCAACTTATTGAAATTCACAGCTCTTGCCCAGAGGAACTGGTCTTCCGCTAAAAACTAGCCTTGGTTTATGCTAAGGTGGCAAAAGACTTAATTTGGGAATTACATTTCTTCCAAAGACTAATTTCAAACTAGGTATATATATTTTTAAGTTGGTTTGCAGATTCACATCTACACCACCTCTTCCAGAGTTGGGGGATGTTTTCCCTCTTGTTTATCGTTTTGCTGGTGTGAATGCTGAGAATTAATTACTCTCCTTTGTAACACTAAGACAACTTTTAATGATCATTTGTTTCTTCTATTGTATGGAATGAAATCATAAGAAGTTTCATTTAATTGGTTTATTCATTTAAAGAGATTCCTTTAATTGAAATAGAGAAAAGGAAAAATAAAACCCTAGAAAATAAAACCAGGTTCTAACCACTCCAGGGCGAAACGCGTAAATCATTTTAAAAATGAATACCCCAAATTAAGAATTTAATTTTTAAAACTCTTTATGTCTCTCTCTCCACATTTGTAGTATGTGAAAGGCAAGAGAGACCCTTTGAATCAGGGAAAAGTTATTCTTTGAAATGACATCGGTGATCTGATTCCCTCTGTATTTCAACCGCATTAACTTCACACCGTCCACACTGGGCAATGAAGATGCTCAGAGTCAGGTCAAATTCACCCTCCTGAAAAACTGCAAATTAAGATGCTGTTGATTACACATCACCGGCTGTCTTAATCATCGTGATCAAAATCCAAATATTAAGGAAAGTGGCCTGGGAGGGTTACGTTTGGGCTTTTGACAGACCCTCAACCAAACTCTGACGCCCAGCCTGCGCGTTTCCACATCTTTTTCCAGGCAAGAGGCTCCACCAGCCCGCGTGGGGCTCGCAGTGTTTCTCTAGAGTGGCTAGACATCCCCCAGCCCCCAAACCCAGACACACCCCGACCCCCGCGAATGGTTCTGGGCTGTCAAAACACGCGGCGGCGTGTTCAGTCCCAATAACTCGCGTGATGATTAATGAGCAGCTTGATAATTTAATATCGCGTGTGATTAAATTATAAGGCGTGGGGGAGGGGAGCTCTGCGCCACCTCGGCAGCCCCGCCGACGCCGACCAGCTAACCGGACTGGGCTGCGCGCGGAGCCCCCTCTTCCCGTGCACAGTGCGGGGCGAGGCTTGGCGAGCGGTGGGTCTGCGCCTTCCCAAGGTCAGTGGGTCTGGAGAGGGGAGGACGGCGGGACTGGGGGTGGCGGAAGGGATGTCTTGCAGAGAGGAGGAGAGGTGTGGGCTCAGGGTAGCTCTGGTCTGAGCCGATGAGCAGGGCGAGTCATCGACTCTTTCCCCGGCAAAGGCGCGTGGAAGGCTGGAAAATGGCCTCAGGCAAGGGAAGATTTGTTTTTAAAAATTCCTCTTTTCTCTGCCACGGGGGCTTAGAGAGTCCCTAGGATTCGGAGACCCCTGGGGGGAAGGGGCGCCCCTCTGAGTCTCTCTCTGGATCCCATCCCCCCGACCCCGCCCCGCGCCTTGACTTTGTGGGGTTTCCCCGCAGGCCGGGCCGAGGTGGCGGTCGGGTTGGGCCACCCCAAGCCCCTTCTTTTCCCCAGCCCGCAGAGCCCGGCCTTGCCTAGTGCTCGGCGGGGTTCAGGCAGGTCCGGGGGAAGAGGGAGTGGATGAAGCCTGCGAGAGCCGGAAGCTGCGGGGAGGCAGAGAGACGCCCGCAAAACTCTAGGCGCAGAGTCTCCGGGGTTTCCAGCCGGATTCCTAGGGGAGGCGCGAAAACCCGATCTAAACTGAGGTTACTGGAGGGACTCCTGGCCGGCACTCTTTTCTCCTGAAGAGGTCGTTTAGGGGGGCTCAGGCGTGGCCACTCCTTCCCCTGGAAGAAGTGTGAGCGCAGGGCCCTCGCCGGGTGAGGGGGCCGGCGGCGCTCACACTGTCCCTGCCGCCGCGGCACAGTCCTGCCCCGGCCCAGGTAGGCGGTTGCTTTTGCTGCTATGCAGAGCCAGGTCTGCTCCGGGGGCTGCAGCCTCAGAGGGGTACCTCGAGAAACCACTTGCGGGACACAGGGAGAGTCGCCTCTTATTCCATGGCTCTGTCGAAGGGCTGAACTTTTAGCCCGAGGAGGGCAGGCCCTCGACAGGTAGGGATGTCCCCAGAAGACCCTAGGAAACAACACCTTGGGGTGGGGGGCGGGGGACGGGGGGGTTGTTCAGACCCAGAGCGGGAGGGTGAAAATTAAAGCGTCCTGACCAGGGCTCCAGAGGGCTCGGCGTCCAGGCTGTGCTGGCTGGATTTTCAGCTGGGAAATGGCATTCGAAAGGGGACCCGGTGGGCTGAACCCAGGCTGCCCGCTTTCCTTCACCCAGAGAGGCCCTGCAGAGCGCCAGAACGGCGCGCCTGGTGTCCGGTGCTTCGGGCTCCAGGTGCAGTGGCCGAACCTTCCTCCTAGACAAAGATGGAAGCTTCCTAGGTTGGGCTCCTTGGATATGCAGCCATGACCATTTCTCTCCCAGCTTCTCCAGATATTTGGAGGTAACACCAAGGAAGGGGAAAATCATGAACAACCAAATGGGCTTGTAAACAGAGGTCACAGTATAGAAAAAATATATGAGTGTGTGTGTACGCGCCTGTGTGTCTGTGTGTCTGTCTGTGTGTGTCCTCTCAAAACACCCAGAGAGAATATGTAAACAAAACCTGCCTAGCTAGAGCAGAAACAAGCCACAAATTGGTTCTAGGAGGCTCAGCCTGAAATGCCCCAAATTAGCAGAGGATGTAGGTTGTGACTGCAATTCCAGGATATTTGGAACACACAAAACCCTTCTTAGGAAAAAAAACAGTAAGTCAGGGGTTGGAGGGTGGGGGGCAGAGGAGAAGTGCTCCGAAGCTGCCCCGCGTCCTGGGCCCCCAGCGGCTGCAGACCTGGTTGCATCTTTCTCCAGGGGCCGCACCTCTCTGTCCTGGCCCAAAGGCCCTGAGAGGAGGCCACTCCCCTCAAGGTGAGTTAGTGGTAACTAAAGAGGATTTATGGACAAGGCTGTTGCTTGCGGCCGCCTCTGCAGCCGGAGTCATTTTAAGGAGAAGCAGCCTCTGATATTACTGCTGACGCTCCACCTCGGGGTACTGACCTGACCAAAGGCCAACGCTCTGGTTCCCGCATGCCGCTTTTGTCCTTGTTATGAAAATCATTCCTTAAATTTGCTCCTCATCTGTGCTGCTCTCAGACACAAACTGACCCCCTTATATCTGGTGCCACCAAAAATAGTGGCTGGGCCCAAGGAGAACAATTTAAAAGCCCAGGACTAACCTGTTTCTCCCAAAGGTACCACACCTAATTACAGCATTAATAGTGTGCGCCTGGTGGACGCATTATATTTCCCAGGAATTACATTTGTTTTCCAGAAGCTGGACTGGGAAGGTCCTAGACAGAAGTGAGTCCTTGGAAGAAAGGACTGAGCGTCTCAGTAATGACATGGAGGTGGGGAGGGGGTGGGATAAGGGACTCCAAACTGGGTTGTATTTCCCAGATTATCGTCAGTCTGCTGCGTGACTGATGCCAGGAGACTAACAATTCCCAAAGTTGCGAAAGGAAAAACAGTTAGTCTTATACCCCCGTCCACAAGATCACTCAAGTCTAATGATTTCGGACACCTGCAAGATGAGTCGATCAGTGACGCGTGGGGTGGCATTGTTCGCTCGACGTGCCAGGACGCCAGCGGTGCTACCTTTTCCTGTCTCCAGAGCGCGAGTTGGCGCACATTGATTTCACCCCTCGCTCTCCGCCCCGCTGCCGAACACCATTTAGGCCAAGATCGGGTATAATGGGAAACACCATCAGCAGACAATTACCCTTTCAGAGGATTCACTTCTCCTCACAGACACTGTTATTTGAGAAATAGGATCATTTGATTTCATATTGCACTAAATAACACCCAGCCGGTTCAAATTGCCAGCTTCTTAAAAACCGCCCATTGGAATAAATTGCATCGGCCTCTTTTGCTTTTCAGGGCAATATGATGGGCACCGGGCAGAACTTGGAAAAATAACTACAAAGCCAGCCCCGAGCCGTGGCTATTGGTAGGGACAGCCCTGCCACCCCGCAGGCAAAGGCATCCAGCCATCTAGTTCCCTGCCACCGCCCCCTCCACCCGCCAACTTTGAGATGGTTCAACCTCTTGACTTTGGAATTAAAATGCACAGCCCCAGCCACCCCAAGGAAGCGCTTAGAGCCACAAGGCGCTTTCGTGTTGAGCAGGGAAAGATGGGCAGGTGTGCGAGACACGCATTTCGGTGTGCCCTGCCACATTGCTTGCAGCGTTGGCGCGTTTGGACAGCGCCTCCGGTTTGGGGCTCTGAGGCCGGGGAGTGCGCCCTCCAGCTTCGCGGGTCTGGGGTTCCCAGGGCCAGACCAGCCGCTACACTCTGCACACCAATGCGCCCTCCAGGCCTGCCGGTCGCGACGTCCTTCTCCGCTCTCAGCACAGGCGCCAAGCCGGGAGTCAGGGCTTCCGGGTCCAGCTGCTGACAGAAGGAGGAGCGAGCTGCACTGGGGCTTCAGCACCGAGTCCAGAGGGAGAGAGAGGCGAGCGGGGTGAGCGGCCACCGGCGAGCTGGGGTTCGCTGCACACCCATCACCACAGACATTTCAAAAAGAATCAAGCCTTTTGAAGTCTGCCAGAGCTGCGGTTTGTTAATTGACACTGTTCAACTGAGTGACAATTGTTCCGCTCAGTGGGGGCCATCCACTCCCTTCCTCTCTCCCCCTCCTTTTTTTTTTTTTTTTTCTTATAAAATAGGAATTAACTCCTTGGTTCTCCGTTCTTCTGTGCCAAGGGGCAGGATTTATTTAAGACGGCAAGGGCTTTGGCGATTCTGTGCGTTGAAGTCTTTCTCACATTTGCGTGAATGTACTTCAGGAAGGCCGTGTTAAATTCTCTCTCTCCAGATCCCAGAGGGTCGCCGCTGCACCCCTGTTCCGGGCATGAGCTGGAAAGGCCCTCTTAGTGGGTCCTGTGACCTGGAGCGAGTTAGTCTGAGACTTTGGGGACAGGGTGGGAGTCTTTCTCCTTCCTTGACACTGGGAGGAGCCAGGGAGCAGGGGGTTGTGGGTATGCGGCTAGAGGGAAGGTTCCAGACACGTCGAGAGTGGGAAACTTAAATTCCCCTCTCTGGTGTAGGCGCAGGCTTTAGCTCCAGGATCTTTTCTGGGTAAGGAGTCGGTGCCCGCTTAAGATGGCATGATAGGTAGCAGGGGGCCTCAGCGTGTCCTCACTCTCCACTTGGCCTTGAAGTGGGGACGCGGAGCCGCGCCGCTCCTCGGCGATTCGCCAGGTCTCTGTTCGCAAACAGCTGAGTTGCGAGGCCCAAGTATACTTAAAGCAAAACCTCGGCCGCGGGCCTTCAGCACTGCCCTCCAGGCCTGGGGAAGATACCGCGATGCCCAACTGGCCACGCCACCAGGTCTGGCCTTGCGTATCCGCCTCCAAGGATCCAAAGCCGGCCTGGGGCTGTCCAATCGAGTCCGTGGAGAGCCCGGAGCTACTCCATCGCCGCCCCTGCCCCAAGGCGGTCGCGCCCTCACCCCTCGCCGCACTCCGCCCCCAACCACCCCCGCGTGCCCCCGCCAGCCTCTGGCCCCTGCACTCAGCTAGGGGGCTGTGTTCCAACTCCCACCTCCATCCCCACGGTGGCGCAGCCGAGGAAACCTTTCTTGACCAAGGCCAAGCCCAAGCCCAAGCCCAATCGTGACAGCTTTTCCAGGAGGCAGGCACTGGGCGGTTAAATTCGAAGGAGCGGGAAAACACGTCTTGCCCGGCTCCAAAGTTAGCTGCCTGAGCAAAAGGAAGGGCGGAGCTACCCGGTGGAACGGCCTAGCCGCTAGCGTGGCTACTCCAACCTGGGGCCCGAGCCCCTGGAGCTGGCGGCCGCGGACTGCGTCCCTGGGGACACTGGAGGGGACTCCAGGGACAGCGTGGGTGGGCCTTTCCCCCGCACGCGCCTCTGTCACTCTCTTTCCGGGCCAGAGCCGGGGCAGCGCTCTAAATTAAGGTCGACCTCCAGCGCTGGGTGAAGTCTTGAGTCCGCCCGGGAGCCCTAGGTGAGGGTGGTCGCGGTTTGGCGGGGGCTAGCGGGTCAGCCCCTATTTCTGCCCCCACCCCGATTGCCTCTCGATGTCGGCCCCCGCGCTCCCTCCCTCGCCGGCGCTCCCTCCCTCGCTCGCGCTCCCTGTACGTCGCCGCGTTTACCAGCGCGTTTTGTTCCCCTGTCGGATTCCCGGCCGAGGGGCTGTAACCGTGTTCTCCTCCGATGGACGCTAATCAAGTAATTTCCCCATCCCAGCCCCATCAAATTGCTCTTTAGCTGTTGAACCGCGGAGTTTTGCTCGCCTTTTCACATGCTAATCACGCCCATTCAGCGGCTCTCGGTGGGGCTGTTTGTCGCGGGATAAATCTCCTTGTTTGCCCGCTGCATGATTAATTGATATTGTTGTCTGGCTTTTGTGGGGACTGCGAGGAGCTGAAAGGCGGCGCGTCGTGGCTGCGCCGGGGCCGCTAGCGACATCATCGGGCTGCCGAGGTCCCGGCGAGGTCGGGCCGGGGCTGATGACATTATGGGCCCGATTTGGTTTTCCTTGTTAGAAACATGATGAAAGACTTGGAAACCTCCTGTCTTACAACCCACCAACTGGGTGCAGAAACCGCCCGGCGTTTAAGCCACAAGCTCAGACAAAGCCCTGGTGTTTGCTCAATTCAGGGGAAAAAGTGGGTGTCACTTCTCCACGCAGGAGACAATTAAATCTTATTTCGGCCCACCCGGGATTTCAACAGAGTTGAACATGAACGCACAGCATAGTGGTTTGGTTTTACAAAGAACAAAAAGAAAAAAAAAATGTTTTTGGGGTTAGCGGTTGTAAAAGCAGGAACCAAAGGTTAAAACTCCTAAAAAATAAGTAAACGGAAGCCAGAGCCTCCCTTGTAGGCAGCGGTGGAGGAAAGTTGCGCAGAGGCGCTTCCACGCCGGGCCCCTAGCGATGCAGTTTGCGGAAACGCCACTCCCTTCGAATCGCCGGCTTCGGTGAAACCCCGGGCTAACGCTGGGCTCGCGCGATTCCCAAGGCCCGCGTCCGTCTACAAGCCAATGTTTTATTTGACATTACTGGTCCCGGCTCGTGGCTGTATTTTGCCGCCGCCCGCAGGTGTACAGTCAAACCAACAGATTCCTCCGCCCCCTGTACCCCTCCCACCCTCTCCGCTGAGCACTGGGGTTTTATCCTCTACGGGCATCCCTAAAAACTTGAAGATTCAATTAAATAATTCCAGCTACGAAGTGCTACTACCGCCTGCTTATTGCAAATATTTCCTTTTTCGAGTTCTTAAAAAAGAAAAAAAAGCGAAGAGAAGAAACTGTCGCTTTCGCTTTCACTGCGGGCGGGGTAATTGATAGGCGCCATCGGAGGTCAGAATTTGCATAAGAATTAAGAGCAGTAAATTAATTTAATATTCCATGCACATCTCCAATTATTCCTGGAGACCTTTGTCTCCGCGGCTGCCAGAGAGGGGATTCAGCTGCTCTTCAGCCAAACAACATCTGTGCGGTTAATAATTTGATAAACAGCTCATACAGATAGTTTCTGAATTATCTGGCAGCCCAATGACTATTCAGTTTGGAAACGTTTTGGCAGTGTCTCCCGGAGTCCTCTGAGAGCCTCAAGCACCCGCCCTGACAAATGTCTTCTTATCTTTTAAACATCAGCAGACGACAACGTGTAAAATAAGTAATTATCATTAAGTAATAACTCTAACCCTTATATATATAAAAAAAGAAGGGCGCCTGGGTCATCAGGGTGTCAGCAGGTCGTCTGTCAGGTACCCCAAGATGAAGAAATATGTTGGGGAGTGGGGCTGGGTGAAGAATGACCTGAAGGGGAAGAGAAGACCTGGGTGCTGGGAGGGGCTGGATGGGGATAGGGAGCTGTGTTTTTAAAGATCATGGATTGAAATTGAGTGACAATTCGCGCATGGAAATATCTGCAAGGAAGGCTCACAGTTGCCACTTGAAAGGAACCAAGGTAGGTGGGCTACAGGGAGACCAACTTTCCACTGTGCTGTTTCTTGAATCTTTCACTTTTCTCCCCACGTGCGCAGGTGTTGTTTATTTCAAATATAAATACATAAAAATAAATTGCGTTTACCAGAAAGCAGGGTAAATTATTTTGGCTGGATATTGTCCTGCCTGGCTCGGGGCTATCCTCCTCCTGACCACTGTCCTTCCTATCTTCACCTTCAGCCAGTGCACTCGCATCCTGAAAGCAACTTCCCAGAAAGCACAGGTTTATCCAAAACCATGGAGAGGGCACACATCCTTTCACAGATTTAGCCAAAGCACTGAGTTGGCCCAAACTGGAAAGGAGGCACTTGTAGAATGAGGCTGCTGTGTTGTTAAAACAGGCCTGAATTTAAACACTTACCCCTTGCTCTTCTTGTCTCTACACTAAAGATTTCATGGCTGCGATTATGTTCTTTTATCTTTCTGTTACCCAGAGCAGAACCTGTTCCTGATAAAAAGCCTAGAAAGGAACCATTTGATCTTGAATGAGACTCGGGATGCTCTAATTCGTGCAACCTGCACATTGCAGCTCTGTTTACTCCAAGCCTGTGTTTACCCTGGAATTGTTCTGCACCCTCTGCAATATAATAGGATGTTCGAGGAGGATCTTTATCTCTCTGTCTATACATTCCCACATGTTTGATGTATACACCTCACCCATTCAATATTCTACTTTCTATTTCCTATACTGCTGACAATCTAAGTACTTGAAGCCACTGAAAACTACCTAGAAGTTCTGAGGAGTGTCAAAGCAGTAACATGCTAGAGCTTTGTCCTGGTACTCTAATGAGCCCAGGTAGCATTGAGCTTTAAATACAGGCAAGCCCTTCAGACTACAGGTTTAAATATACAACTTTACAATGAATACAATGCTTGCCTGGGCTCAATTGAAGAATTACTTTTCCAGAAAAGAAGTCATTGTGTCACAAGAGTATGACAATAGCATTTCTACCGGGCACATTCATTTCTATTTTCAACATTTTCTTCTTGCATTTCATTAGTTTTTTTCCCCATAGAGCTATAGACACTGCTGGGCCATGCAGGCTTTTATACATATAAAAATGATCTCTGCTATTTATGATTGGGGGTCTCTGTCTGCATCCTATTATTAATTTCTGACTTTGATTCAGACTCCTCTAGTCAGCAGAGTGATTTGAAAACATTTCTTTTCTTAAATGGAACATTTTCAATCCTTTGGGGAACCATGCTAATTTTAAACACCAACATATTCAGTTTCTTAATCTGCAGCCACTGGTGTTGCTCATTTTTATATACAGAACCTATCCCCTTTGGCGCTAGTTCATTTATGCTTGATATTTATCTTCTTTACATTTGTTTGACTATTTTTCAAGGCAGTATATGGGCAGGAAATGGCTACTAAACAAGAAGGCAGGGAGCTTGTATTATATTTTTGACTATGTCAGTAAAGCTACAGAACATGGAAATGTTGAGAATTTTTTTTTAAACTAATGAGCCCTCTCCAGAAAAGCCGTCTGGATACCATTAAAGTTGATGAGTTTGGAAGGCTTATCCTGATAAATGCTTGGCTTTTTTGGTGATTAGACACATATTTTCAACACAGTCTACTAACTGAGACTGAGGTTTGCATTTGGAGAGAGGTTTGTTGAGCATAACAGGAAATTGTTGGGGGGAAAAATCCAAAGTACCACTTTACTGTATAGGGTTCAAATCAGAGGTAACTGCTACTCTTGTTCACTTGCACAAAAATATTAGAAATATAATAATGAGTTGTGTCCAATAACTTAAATGAAATAAACCTTGGTAATTTTCAACCTACATGTAAAAAAATATACACCTTATATCTTGGGAAAAGTTAAAGAATGGTTAAGGCAGAATAACGATTTTAAAATTTAGTACAATCTCTATGGAGCATAAAGGATTTTTTTTTTAAATTGACATAAAAGAACAGTGCAGAGCCATTTAACAAATTTTTCCAATAAACAATTCATTTGCTTTCATTGCCCCCTTTTTTTAATGACCATTTGTACATTGGCCAACTTAACCCCAAATCCAGTCAAAAAGTGAATTTGAAAAATTCAGGTTAGCATGTAAAAGTTATGAATAGGATCCGCTTAGATAAACCTGTCACCTTTCATTTTCTTCTATTTTAATGTATAAATGAGCTGTGCTGGGTGGGCTTAACCTTCTAGCATTTCCATCTGTGATACAGAGTTCCAAAAGAAACAGCTTTGTCGGCCTGTGGATAATTGGAAGCTACAGAAGCAAGTTCAGGTTCTTCAGAGATGACTGCAAAATATCTCTGATATCCATAGATTTCAGCTAGCCCCGTGGTTCTTTCCTCTCCCTCTCCTGGCTAGGATTCCAATCCGACAGGTTGAGTGTCACATAGGGGTGCCCTTCCCATCATTGTTGATTTGTGTGGTTTGTATGGTTTCTAAGACATTGTTTTGGTGTTTGTCAGTAAAGTAACAGGTGCATCTAAAAATCTGTACCACGGGGCTACATGGGCTAGCAGTGAGGCTGGCTGGCTCTGTTTGAAAGCATAGGGCCTTATGCTATTTGCTTTGGCCACAAAGTCCAATCTAGCAACCTCATGTAGGCTGAGCCTGAGAGGGCCTCCAACGGCTTATTCTGCTTTGCTGCTTCTGTGATGAGGGGAGATGAACCTTGCAGAATACCAGACTCTTCAGCATGACATTTGAGCCCTGTTGCAGTCTGGCTGGAATCCAAGTGAGGGGAGTAAGGAAAAAAATAGTGTGCAGAAAGGCTTATAGTTCCACTTGTCCACTAACTAGCTATAGGCACTTTGGCAACAAACTAATCTTCCAGGGTCGGAGACTCCTGTCTGCCACTCGTCATCATTTATTCTATTCTCACTGGGCACACGGCTGACCAGCTGAACTACATTTCCCAGCCTCCCTTGCAGCGACACGAGGACCATGTGACTAAACATTCGCCAGTGGCATGCAAGTAGAAGTGATGTGCGTAATTGTCATCTCATACTTGCACCTCCCTGTTCCTTCTTGCTGGCTGGGAATTACACTAATGAGAGTCATGTACTGAGGAAGGCAACGGTTCCCCAATGGCTGGGTCCTGAGATGACTTCCAGGAGCAGAATCTGCCCTCCCATCCTGGACTGCTTATATGGCGATAATAAATTTCTGTTTTGTTTGAAGAACTGCAAATTTTGGTTCATTTTGTTATAGCACCCGTTCAAAGTAATCCCCGTCCTGGCTTTATTTTTCTTAACTGCAAAATGAAAGCATCTTAGTTTGGGTTTCTCCAAAAGCAAGCAATGTATTACCGAAAGGTGATCTCTGGAAACACCAGTAAGGGAATGAAGTTGAGAGACAGAGAAGGGAAGGCAACCATCAAGGTGTATTATAAAGCAGGTTACCATTGTGGGCACCTGGAATTTAATTCTACTGTGAGCTCTGGGAAACGATGTAGCACATACTTGAGCTGGAATATGTATAGACCAATTCCATCAGTCACTGGCTGAGGGCTACTCTGCTGGCATTATTTCCTCAGCACTTCTGGCCTGTTGCATAAGCAGAGTGAGCTTCAGGGGCCAAGAAAAAGTTCCCAGGCAATGAAACACAGGTGCTGGTGGTTGGTCATTGAGCTGGTACACGCTGATGTAGACAGGTAAGGAGCTATCAACACTGACAGCATCTCCTATGGAGGGCATCACATGGACTGCCTTAAAGATCTCCTTCCCACAATAAAGCTATTTGGGCCAGATTTATTGATCTATATTCTTCTAGTTGCTAACCTGAAATGCTTGCTCTAGCCAGGTTGGTTTATCCAATTTAGGGCTCCCTAATACCATATGTGCTCATTCTCATTTTATTTATGCCACCTTCTCATGTGGAAAGCAGCTCATCACGTGTGTACTCCTCTTTATCCTACTGTTTCACTTATCTGTTGCTGCTTAATGAATCACCCCAAAACTTAGTGACTTACAACAACAACAGTTTATTTTTTTTCACAATTCCATTGGTCAGAATTTCTAGCAGGGCTTGTTGGGCACTTTTCTAAGAAAGGTCAGCTGGGCTTATTTATGTGGAAAGTCCAAGACACTCTCTCACCTCCCAGGGCCTGTCTCCACATGACCTCTAATCATTCTGTACCCTAGCATGGGTTTCTCTTCTGCATGGCAGCTGGGCTCCAAGCGGGAGGCAGTGGAAGCTGCTAGTCCTTTTAAGGCCTATGCAACCAGAAGTCCCAGACTGTTACTCCCATCTCATTCTACTGGTCAAAGCAAGCCACAATGTGCAGCCAGATTCAAGGGGAAGGGAAAAAGGCTCCTCCTCTTTTTATTTACTTATTTATTTATTTTTGAGACAGAGTCTCACTCCATCACCCAGGCTGGAGTGCAGTGGCGTGATCTCTGCTCACTGCAACCTCACCTCCTGGGTTCAAGCGATGCTCCTGCCTCAGCCTCCTGAGTAACTGGAATTACAGGCACGCACCACCATGCCCAGCTAATTTTTTGTATTTTTAGTACAGATGGGGTTTTGCCACATTGGCCAGGCTGGTCTCAAACTCCTGACGTCAAGTGATCGGCCCACCTTGGCCTCCCAAAGTGCTGGGAATACAGGTGTAAGCCATTGTGCCCAGACTATTTATTTTTTTAACAGACAGGATCTGGCCATGTGGCCCAGGCTGGCATGCAGTAGTGAGATCATAGCTCACTTCAGCCTCCAATTAGGACTACGGTGTGAGCCGCCACTCTTCCTATTGATGGGAAGAGCTACATGGAATGGGAAAAACTGAGGGTGGTTATATTCGGATACTATCATGCTTACCCACCCCTCTTTCCACTTATTCAAATCTCCAAGACACACTCTTATCCTATTTCATGTAGAAAGTCTTTCCCATCATGCTAGTCCACGGGGGTCTTCCATGCTCACCCCTCAACTCCTAGGGCACTTCTTATTATACACACTTGTTATTTTGTCTTTAATCATTTACTGTCTTGTGACACTTTTTGTTGCCTCTTATTGTTGGCTCTTCAAGGGCAGAAAATGCAAGTTAGAGCTCCAAGAACACTCTGTACAGTTTGAGTACATAGTGGAGTCTCAACACGAGTGTCTGTGCAAAGCTGAAAGAAAGACCCAGAAGGGCTGGGTGGAGAGAGTGACCAGCATATATCTGCCCTTGGGTTAAGATTAGATCAGTAGAACTCATTTCTAGTAGATTTCTCTACAGTCTTCAACTGCTGATTCTGAAAATTAAATAATTCTGAAATCCTCCCAGCATAAGTGAGGCTTAGGTGATGTAAACATCTACTTCAGGAATGGCCAAATTTGTTCTCACTGGAATGTATCACCTGGAAGGCTTCCCCTTCCCAAATACCACACCTCTCCTCCATCCCCATCATGACACACCATTCCTTTGGGTCAAGCATTGCCCTCTTTTATGATACAAGTACTGCCTGTTGGAGATGGAAAGGGAAGGATAGGGTATACATTTGAATCTCTGGTGTCTTAGTGCAAATGAACTGATAAGAGCAAGTGTTTCTCTTTCTCTTACAGAAGAGACTGGGGCAGCATGAATGTGCTGGAAGATTAGAGGCTGCTGATGCTGAAGGAAGGAGAAACGAGGAGGAAGTGTCCCTGTGGACAAGTCATCTCCCTTCATTTAAGCCAGGCCAGTAGTCCGGGAGACATTCTGAATGATGCATTATCCTAGGCACCAGAAAGTATCTAACATTCTCATGGACAGCAGGGAAAAATGAGCACATGAGACAGGGGAAGATTCCAGCACCTGTGAACATGTTTGTGCAGGTTTCCAGTCAGTACATGGATATCCCTCAAGCCTTTGAATCCAGTCTCCTGTGTTGTGATTGGACCGTTTGTCATTAGGTTTCCAGTGGCAGAGTAATGCTGTGGGAGAACTGGCTACGATGGCCGCAGGAGGTGAATTAAGTATTGTTGTGTTTTTAGTAGAACCACTAAAGGAAGATCTGCAGGCAAGTTGGATGAGTATAAGAGCCAAAGATTGACAAGACTTCCTCAGATGCTCCTACTGACCAGTGGGGGCACTTCTACAGCTCCCCGAATATGTTCTCCCTGCAACCCCCACCACTTTTTAATTAAATGGCCAGAACTGCCTTTTTGTATCAAAACTTATTTTAGTCTATCAATCAAAGGCTTCTATAGCCCACCTCATGGCAAAGGATATCAGAGAGGTAAAAGATAATTGTTTTGACATATTTATTATCACAACTAGCGACTCTTTCTGCATTCACATTGGCTGGTATGCAGAAAAGGGTGCTTTACAGGATTCTTGGAAATGTGTAGTGGATGCTGGCTCTAGGGGAGGCAGAATAGAGTGTGGGTTCTGCCATGGGTCACATCCGGGTTTTAATTCTGCCTCTGCCACATGACCTTGAGCACACTGGAAAACCCTATTAGATGTGCAAGAAGGCTTCCCCATCTGTAAAGGTGGGTGACTTAGCAACTTTAGCAATGCTTAAGTCACCCGGTTGTTGTGAGTAATACATAAGTTAATGTATGCTAACTTTCTAGAAAGTTTCCTGGCACAAAGTTGTATTTAATAAATGATTTTTAAAACAAGCTCTTTTTTGGGGGTTAGTTGCCATCTGATCATCTAATCACACCACTGTTCTTGTAGACTGTGTGTATGCATTTTCTATTCAGCATCAGAAAATATACATAGAAGCCTGCAACTCCTAAAGATCGGGAAGAAATCCAGAGGATCTAGGAAGACTGGCCATTCTGTTAATTGAAAAGAATCTTTTGGTGCCAATTTGAGGGATTCATAAAGAAGATGAGCCATTTAAGCCATAACAGAGAGGAATTATCTTTAATCATTGAAATAACAGATGATCTGGTTATAACAATTGGCAGAAGCTCCTGGATGTGGCTCTCCCTTCTACCTAGGGCATTCAACCTCAAAGTGCCTACCGCCTGGGCATTCCCACTGCTGCATCATTACAATTTCTTGTAAATTTGTAAAGAAGCCCCTTTCCTTTTGGATGACTCCTAGTTATTGAAAGTTACCCTTTTTGTCCTTCTCTGAGTTCCAACCACACTGAGACTTGATCGTCAGATACGAATGTTGGTAAACACTCCTTTTTGTTCCATCTTTATCCCTTGATCAAGCTTCTCGTGCAATAGTACCCCCCGAAATAAACCAAGAGTAATCCTTCCAATCACCTCTTTCTCTTCCAAAGGGTATTTATTGGTTGATAATAGTACAGAATAGTACAGAATTAGCAGAGTCCTTGAACACTGGGTGGAGTAAACATCTCCTGATGGACTCTTTAATTGAGTTGAAGCACCCTGACGAGGGGGTCTTAATCAGCCTTTTCCAGTTATTAATAGTGATTTGTCAGAAAGCCAAAACTAAGGGATTTTGGAAAGAACCAAAAGAACTCAGTATCTTTACAAAACTCCTCTCTCAAAATTGGAAAGAGAAAAAAAATACCTGGAAAAAATTAAAGAAAGACAAATACCAAAGAAATCTGGGAAATTGCTGGAAATGAATGTGCATACAGATGTCACTTTTCTGAAGGCAGTTAGATTCTTGAGTTTCAGTTCACTCATCATATTAATATGTGCCCATTGCCAAGGATATATGCTTCCAAGAAAATAAAGGCAAGTTTCTTGGCATCTGTGTCTCTACATCCTGCTGCGGAAAACTCATTAAAGAGCCATTCTTGATGGCAACAGGAAATGTAAATGAAATGGACCCCTTTTTAGTATTTGGTTGAGACGGTCCTAATGTTTGGTGGAGTCGTTAAACCTTCTCCAAGCAATATTCACAAAAATTAATAGAAGTTGTCAATTCTCAGCATCATTAAATTTATGTCAGTAGTCACCATTGGAGGGAAATGGAAGTCACATTTGCATTGCAGAGTGGCGTCAGTAAGAAACTAAGGCTGTGGCTCCACTTTTCAGGGATGGGAGGGTTTGCACAATCTCTTTACTAAGTTTTTAATCAAGTTGCTAGTCCACTCTTTCTTTTATGGAGCCATAGAAGTGTCTGTAATGAAAGATTAAAATGGTCCTGTGCAGTGGTTTGCAGTAGCTATGCCCAAATAAAATATGACGGCTCTCTCGTCGGGCCTATATGTAAGCAGAGGGAGCTGCTAACAAGCTGCATTATGCTCTCTGTTGTGCATACTGATTGCAAATTGTGTGGGTTACCCTGGATGCCATAAAAAAAGGTGTGTGTGTGTGAGTGTGAGTGAGAATTTCTTTCCCCCAAATGATTATGCACCTCATGAATAGCAAGCAATGGAGCATCGATGCTCAGATTTCCTGTAGCAGAGGTAACACACACACACACACACACACACGCACACACACACACGCACATTTACACACTGACAGGCTAATGGCTACTTTCCCAAAGAGTGGTTAGAAAGAAGTAGTAAATGGGACTGTGTTGATGCCAGGAGAAGACCCGGGCAAAGATCAAGATACCCAGCAACATATCGGATAACACATAATTGGCGGGTCACAGCCAAATGAGTGTAGTCATGCATCTCCGGGCAGGCCTTTGCTGGCGATAAAGACACTTGTAAACAATTCAGTCCCAGAACATGGCAATAATATGTTGATCCGGCGTGTAATGAGGTGTTCCTGGAATCAATAAGCAGTCATGGAGAGCAGGGAGCAAGGGCAGCGGCTGTCTTTTTGATGACCTTTCCTCACCACCAAGGACCTCATCTCCCCTGAAGAGGACTTTTCTCATTTTGCAGCAAGCTCCGAGTGTCAGAACTTCCATCCGCAGCCGGCAAATGAACAGCCAGGCCCTGCATGCTAATGAAGTCCAAGCTATTTTGCACCTTTTCATCCGCACATTATGCTCTTGACTCTGGAGAAGGTGGGAATTAGGCCGGACCCCGGTGTCAGACTGCCTGATGGCTCGGCTCCGGAAAACTGGTAATTGAAGCTGATGACTGATGCGAGGGAGGCCTGAATTTGGAAATAAACAGTTTCAAGCACTGCATGTCATTTCTAGAGAAGACTGCTGAGAGAATGGAAATGAGCTTCGTTTCTTGAATCTAATGCAGTTTCTCAGCAGGAAAAACACCGTCTTTTAGACAACAATGCCAGTCATTAAGATTTAAATGTTCTGGCGATAATAGAAGAACTGGCCTTCCTGTTCACAAACAGCACTTATGTAAATGTCTTTCAACACCCAGATCTTCATTTAATCCACGCCCAAGAAGATAACTGTGTCGGAAAGCGGAACCAAATGCAATTCGGAGTCTATAAATATCGTTCATAAGAAGAGAGAGGAAAACAGTAAAATTGTTTGCCAACATATCACATAGCATTGCCTGTCAGCGCAGGAGAAAACAGCAGCTCTCTGCTGAAACAATGGAAAGACATTCAGACGTCTACATAAAAACACACTGAAGCTGCACTTTGACTGATTATTTTTGTATTGCTGTATTTCATTACAAATAATATGCTACCCTTTTAATGTGGAAATGGCATAAATATTTCCTACCTTATATGCGGAACCCATATTTGGACAGTGAATCCTCATGTTTAATGTTGCAGGAGAAGCCCAAATCTAGACGCCTTCGCTTGTAATCTTTTCAAATAAGCTATTTTATCGAGTATTTAATTTTCTCTTAACATCACTAGGTTGTCACAAAACCACAGACTAAACATTGCAAATTGTTTTAGTCCCATCTCCCCAGTCGGCTGAG
Source organism: Homo sapiens (assembly GCF_000001405.40). NCBI lineage: Eukaryota > Metazoa > Chordata > Mammalia > Primates > Hominidae > Homo > Homo sapiens. Next base: position 21,089,692 of record NC_000020.11, on the reverse strand, counting down.
ATTAATTGGACATTGTTTGCTGTATGCAAAAAGAATGACTCATAACCCAAACATAGGCTTTTGCGTTTTAAGAGGCTTTAAAAATCATTTTTACTAGACATCCCTCCAGCCCAATTCTTCCTGTGCAGGTAAAACACCTTCAGGGAGAGAATTACGAGCCCAGCGAAGAGAAGAAAGAGGCCACTGTTATTTATCATGGCAGGCCCGGGGTGATTCATGAATAACCATCGGTTTGCTTTTTTCTCGTTTCCCTTCCCTACCAGAAGTGAGGTTTTGATATTTCAAGCCTTTTTCAATTTAATGGTGACATACAGGATTCTCACAGGCAGTCTCTGGTTTGTTAGAGACATCAAGGATATCAGCACAACTTGAGAGAAACCGAAGGGTGTTATTGTCACTTCAGTTTAAAGGTAGCAAACCTATCTTGCAAAGGATCAACACTGAATTATTTCAACCTTTCAAAAATATAGATAAATAATACATTTCTAATAGCATACTTGTGGATACTAGATACATCAATGAATATTCAGCAATCCTTTGCATGAAATATATGAAACTCAATGAGAAAAAGGTTAAATCTTACACACATGCACACACATACACGGGCACACCTACTCCTCACTGTGACAATGTTGCTCCATTCTGACATTATTCCTGTGTCTCATGGGGTCTCCTATTACTTAATGGCTAAAAAAGAGGAAGAAAATTGGGGTCGCTACAATCTGATAATAATAACCACAGGGTTCTCTGTGCATGGGTTACACATACACTAGGAATGCAGTATTCGTATAGTGATTCCTTCCAGGTTCAGAGCACCGAACATGTTGATTTTTTTTTTGGAAAAGCTTTTATGTATATTTCATCATTGGACTCTCATCACAAGCCCATGGCTCAAAGATCTATTTTATTAACATTGTAAGAAAAGGGAAACAGATAGAAACTGTTATTTTTCTAAGGTCAATAGCAAATACAACAGTGAGGCCAGAATCAGAACTTTCTGTTTGTAATCATTTGACATGTTGTTCTTTTCTATAAATCCACATTTCCCTGTGTAGATACTATCAATAAAGAAAGTTATGCTGTGTTAGGCTATTTCTACTTTTATCTTTCACAAGCACTACCTTTTCTATTGCTGTTATGAGGTTGAAATTATTCCTACTTCCAAGACTTGCAACTCCAATTGTCCTGAGAAAGAATAGCTGGAGCAAGATTTCTCCAGTCTTTATTGGCCACAGATGGTGACTTCTGTAGTAATAGTATAGCGTTTGTGTGGAGAGTGTTACCTGGATGAGAAGGAATGACTCAGCATAGCTTTGGTTCAAATCCTGGCTCCATCACTGTATCAGTAATAACAGAAATGCAGAGTGGGTTTGCTCACGTAACCAGAATTCTAGACGTAGGTAGACTAGGGTGGAGGAGAACAGGCCCCATGATGCTATCAATGTCCCGGGTTCTTTTTATCTTTCTACGCCACCTTTATTCACGGTCCTATAGTGACTGCGGCAGTTTCAGTCATCTCATCTGAAGGAGGAAGGAGGAGGAAGGGAAAGGCAAAAGAACTACTCCTACTTTCAAGGAGCCTTTTGGGAAACAGCTCCACCCTCAACTTGCAGCTGTAATGCATTGGTAACAATGTAATCACATGACCATTTCTACCTACAGGGAAGGCTGGGAGGTATGAATTTGAAGCTGGACACGTTGCTGCTCCCCTTAAAGTTTGGATTATTTTACTAAAGAAGAAGAGAACAGGTACTGTGTAATTAATTGGCAGGAGGAGTTTGCTGCCATAAACACTTGATGTGTGAATCCACGCTAGTTCCCTAGCTTCTAAGCCTCAGTTTACTCATCTGTCACCTGGGAAAAAATATTTGCTCGTTCCTCACTATTATATCAGGAATGAATTGTGAAGATAAAATGAAATAGTTCACGTAAAGTGCCCATTATAGTTCTGGGCACATAAATGTTAAGAAATGGTAATTTAAGAATTAAGGCATGAAAATATGTTCAGCTTTACTAGAGACTGGGGGAATGCAAACTAAAATGCCAACAAGATGTAATTTTTCTTTCCTTTCCAAATGACAAAAATTAAAGTGAACAACAATGTTTCATTTTGGCAAGGTCATGGGGAAATGGCACTTTCATAAGCTACCATTGAGATGTAACTGGGATGATGTTTTTGGAGGGTAAATTTGACAGCAGTCCTTCTTCTTTGTCCTTCCTCAAGCCACTCTAAGTAGATATTTGCACAAATTTATAGAGACCTGTCTGACAATGGTCTCTGAAGCACTGTTTGCAATAAGAGAAAGAAAAAACTGAACCCATTCAAAAGGGGAATGTTTAATTAAACCATGGCACATCCATGCCATGGCTCTCTAGGCAGCAGATTAGAAGAAGGGAGATCTGTTGGCATATAGTGGCAAGGAAAGAAGGAAAAGAAAAATGCCAAGATCCTGTTAAGCGAAAACAAGTTGCAAAATGACATGAAGAGAATGATGTCAAATTTTTAATTCATAATCCATACTGCCCCCAAATAACTTCTTTCTGTCTCTATCTCTATGTCTGTCTCTCTGTCTCTATCTCTGTTTCTGTCTCTCTCTCTACATATATAGTGTGTGGGTGTGGGTGTGTATATATATGTATACTATATATGTACTCTATATACTATATAGAGTACATATATACTATATATGTACTATATATGTACTATAGTACATATAGAGTGTATATATATACTATAGTACATATATACTATATATAGTACATATATAGTGTATATATACTATATATGTACTATATATAGTACATATATACTATATAGTGTATACTATATACATATATAGTGTATACTATACATATATAGTATACACTATATATGTATACTATACATATATATAGTATATGTATATATAGTACATGTATAGTATAGTATATGTATATATATAGTACATGTATAGTATAGTATACTATATATAGTATATATGTATATATAGTATACTACATATGTATATGTAGTATACTATATATAGTATACTATACATATATAGTATACTATATATAGTATACTATATATAGTATACTATATATACATATATATACTAGTGTATACTATATATACACTATATATGTACTATATATATAGTACATATATAGGTATCCATATATAGATATGTATCTATATAGATATGTATCTCTCTCTATATATATAGATACATATCTATACGTATATAGATATAGATACTTGTGATTGTATAGCTAATAGTCTGGAAAGGTATGCACCAAACAAGCCATGATCACCTCTGGGACTTGGAGAAGTGGAATATCAAACGAAGTTCCTTTTGGCCTTGTCTGTAATGATTTACCTAAATGACTTTGTAAATGTACATTTTGATTGCAATATTGTTGAGAGGCAGTTCTCTATAGATCTCTCATGTTTCTGCAAGTCTTGTGAACAAAGGCACTAACAGGTTTTGTTCTAGACTATCTTTTCAAATATGTTCATATAGTGAATAGCCTTGGAAGTTAGAGATGGGTCTCTGTCTGAGGAGGGGCAGATTTGTTTGCTGTGCAGTATAATAAAAATAATGTCTCCTTCTGAGACAAAGTTTAAGCAGCGTTTGCTTAGAGTCCCTTTACGAGACTGATGTTTCCTAGGCTAAGATTGTCTGATGCAAATGCACTGCGTGTGCAGCTTCCACCAGGGCTAATCTCCACGTCACCCCTGTGGGTCTTGAGGGTTAAAGGGAGCTGATACAAACAGAAGCTTATGATTCCTGTGAATAATAAAGTCCTTTGTCTCTGACCTAGGATCTTGTGTCTTCTACCAGTATCCATGAGATTGTGGCAGGCTAAAATCACAGACTCTTCAGAGTTTTCATAATGATAAAGTAAATATTGCAAAGTACACATACAATAAGTGTACAATTGATGAATCCTACAAAGTGAACTCACTCATGTAACCAGCACCAGATGAAGAAAAAAACATCAGCAGCATCACAGAAGCCCCCCAAATGTCCCCTTCAGTCAATAGCCTCCCAAAGATAACCACACTCCTATCTAGCAGTGTGGGTTAATTTTTCCTGTTTTTGAACTTTGCATATATTAAATCATACAACATGTACTCTTTTGCGTCTGAGTTTTTTGGTGCAACAATATAAGATTCACTTGTATTATCTCATGTAGTTATGGTTTGTCATAATCATTGCTGTATAGTATTCCATCATGTCGATAAATTTATTGATGGACATTTGCATTGTTTCTAGTTTTTTACTATGCAATTATTTATTTTTTAAAGGTGAGTGTATTTACATTTTACTTATATAATTTTTATTGTGGAATTTTCAATCATGAACATAAATAATAAGAATGGTATAATGATTCCCTGGACAACCATGGCCCAGCTTCAAGTATTAACTTCTGACTTTTTGTATGATGAAATTGTAATTACAGTTTCATAATATTTAAAAAAGAATAAGCCAACTTTACTCTCCCCTGAATTACTTTTAAGATGAAAGTTTTTCACTCTTTCCTCTATCTTGAAATCTCTATGATGAAAGAATAACACCAACTCACTCTCTTGGTGACCTTAACCTGTCTCGTAGCTTTAAATTCCATCTACATCTGGTTGACATCCAAGTGTATTTTTCTAGCTGAAACAGCTGTCATGAGCTTGACATGTCTGCTTGGACATCATTTTGGATCTGGTTCCTCAGCAGCTGACCTTAGACGAGGGTTTGTGTACATGTGATCCATTAGGAGCTACTCTTAGGAGACTAGCATGGGGGTGTGTGAAGCAGGACAGGACAGAGAAGGTGAGGAAACAAAGCAAAGTGTGATCTCAGGCAAAGTTCCGTGGAGCGTGGCTTTAACCTTATCCACAGGGCTGTTCACACCACAAGGTTGGTAGTTTGCCCCAGTGCAAAAAAAATGGGAGCTGGGCTATTATATTCCTGCATTTATCAGTCATTCTTCAGGCACTGCTCTGGGAAAACATAAACTCCTAGGCATCTCTAGTTTGGCAGCAGAGCACCAGCAGTCTGCTACAGAGTCTATTAGACATCGCAAACTTAACATGTCCTAAACTTCTGGACTCCTTCCCTCACTCCCACTGCTCTCCCAAACCCATCCACTTACACTAGCTAGATGCTACATAAATGGTTATACCTTGGAGTGATCCATGAGTCCTGTATTTTTATCACACCCTTGTCAATACATCAGGGAATCAGGTTGCCTTCACCTTTAAAATGTATCTAGGATCTTCTCATCACCTCCACTGCCACCCCCTGACTTGAGCCACATCATCTCTTACTTGAATTATTGCCGGAGTCTCCTGGCAGGGAGAATAGTCCTCTCAACATAGAAGTGATCATATTAGTCTGATCAAAATCTTTCAATAGCTGCCCATATTCTTCAGAGTAAAAGTCAAGATCTTTACACAATGGCCTTCAAGGCCACGTGTAGTCTGCCCCTCCTCTCTGCCCCACCACCCTTCCCTCTTGACCTTCTCTCCTTCTGTACTTCCTGTCACTCCCTCCCTCCAGCTACACTGGTCTCCTTGCTGTCCCTCAAACATGCCAGGTCTGAGCCCGTTTTACCACCCCTGCATTACTGGTTCCCTCTGCTGGTATTCTTTCCTCCCACATAATTGCATGCTTCCTCCTTCAAGTCATCTTCTCAAAGAGATCTACCTGGACAACCCATTTTAAAGTTGCAGCCATCCACCATTCCTCAGTGCCCCTCATCTTTCTTATCTGTGCTCTTTTTCTTTTCATAGCATACCATATAATTTACTTTCTTTCTTTTCTTTTTTTTTTTGAGATGGAGTCTCACTGTCACCCAGGCTGGAGTACAAGTGGGTGTGGTCTTGGCTCACTGCAACCTCTGCCTCCTAGGTTTGAGTGACTCTCATGCCTCAGCCTCCTGAGTAGCTGGAATTACAGGTGCCCGCCCACCACAGCCGGCTAATTTTTGTATTTTTAGTAGAGACAAGGTTTCACCATGTTGGCCAGGCTGGTCTCGAACTTCTGACCTCAAGTAATCCACCTGCCTTGGCCTCCCAAAGTGCTGGGATTACAGGCGTGAACCACTGCGCCGGCCATAATTTACTTTATTATGTATATTGTTTACTATATCTCTTCCCACTAGAATGTAAACTCCAGAAGGGCAGGAATTCTTGTGTTTAGTTCACTGATATATATCAAGCTCCTGAAATAGTTTAGACCCGTAGTCTATGCTTAATATTTGCTAAATGAATGAGCTTCTGTATATCTCAGTGCATTGATACTGTCTCAAAGGAATATGCTTAGATTTGTAGTCCAGCAGCCTTTCACGTTGTACCCTTGCAGTGAGTGATCATTGGATGTACATTGTCCTCAAAGAGGGGCTGAAGCTTGGGCCAGGCAGCTGCCATCAGCTAAGAGCTGTTTCTGGAGAGGGACCCAAAAGTAAGTCCTAAGGAGGCAAAATGCAGTCCACCCATGCAGTGCATGCACCCGTCCTGAAGCAGGAATCTGGGTAGTGTCCTAGCGTCCTCTATAGAATGGGGTTTGTGCCTCTCAGTTCTGCTTGCTGCATGTAAATTCAGCCTTCCATGTTTCTCAATGTTTTTTCCTGGGGAAACTTACAAGAGGAAAGTTAGTGGGATGAACTATAGCTCCTAGTAATGTAGCTAACTTAGGACTGAAGCTGATACTCATCTTTTCCTTCCCCCATTCTTCATTCTAGATTTCCCTCAGACTCAGCCAGTACCTGTCCTGGTCTAGGAAACTTCCTTGTTGGGGTGACCCAGATCTTTGTCCCTGAGGAGTCTGAGCCTCTGGTCTCCATGCCCTTCTGTGACTGTGGCTGCTATGCTTGTCCATTTACCATTACAACTGGGCAAGGGAACGCCTAGAGGCACTCAGTGGATGCAGCACACATTCCTCCCGGCCCTCACTGCTTACCAGCAGCCCTGTCTGTTCATGATGATCAGGGTTAATTGATGCTTTCCAAAATGGTGACTCCAGTCCTTGCTTGCTGGTCTCTTGACATGAGGAGCCCACAGTTGGCATTCACAGCTATAAAGTTTAATGATATACTTACATCCTCTGGTGGAAGTGTTCCCCTTCTGGGTAGCAGAATGTCTACACCCACGGAAACTAGGTTTGAAGACATGAGAAGCACGTATTTCTAAACAAATCACTGGAAGTGATGATATGTGAGGCTACTTCTATATTCAGCCCTTGGTCCCAAAATCTATTTATTTCATCTAGTGGGGACACAGTACCATATAAGGGTCATTGACTTAGGCTGTGTGCCATATTCTGGAAAACAGCCTCATCCTGGTAAGATGTTTATCTCTCAGCCCGCACATTGGCTTTGCCTTGAGCAGGTGATATAACTCATTGATCAGGCTGGCAGCTTCCTCTTGGTGTTGAATGCAGCAGGACTCGTAGACCCCCTGGGCATGAAACTACTGCTGCATCATTTTTGCTGTAAAGTGGGCTGTCTTAGTCCATTTTTGTGTTGCTATAACAGAAAATCTAAGACTGGGTAATTTATAAATGAAAAATATTTATTTAGCTCATGATTCTGGGGTTGGGAAATCCAATATTGGGTGGCCACATCTGGTCAGTGTCTGCTGAGAGCCATGTGCCGCATCATAACGTGGTGGAGAAGTGGAAACAGAAGTGTGTGCATGCAAAGAGGACAAAACATCAGAGGCAACCACACTTATTTTTATTTTCTTCTTATTGTTTTTTGAGTGGAGTTTTGCTCTGTCACCCAGGCTGTAGTTCAGTGATGTGATCATGGCTCACTGCAGCCTCAAACTCCTGGGCTCAAGTGATCCTCCTGCTTCCCCGTCCTGAATAGCTGGGACCAAAGGCATGCACCACCATGCCTGGCTAATTTTATTTTATTTTATAGGAACTACCTCTCACAATGTTGCCCAGGCTGGTCTCGAACTCCTGGGCTCAAGCGATTCTCCTGCCTTGGTCTCCCAAACTGCTGGGATTACAGGCATGAGCCACCATGCCCGACAACCTCACTTTTAACAACTTGCTCTTGCTGCCACCAATCCAGTCCCATGAGAGTGAAAACTCATTCACTCCTGAGACGCTACATTTATCCCTTCATGAAGGTGGATTCCTCATGACCCAAATACCTTAACGTTCCATCATCTCTCAATACGGTTACAACCATCACCACCATCCCTCTCCAGCACTCATTTTATCTTGCAAAATTGAAACCCTGCATCCACAAAAAATAACTGCCCATTTCCCTCTCCCCCCGGGTCCTGGCAACCACCATTGTACTTCCTGTCTCTATGAATTTGACTACTGTGGGTACCTCATATAAGAGTAATCATACAGTATTTGTCTTTTGTGTGAATGGTTTATTTCACTTAGCATAATGTCCTCAAGATTCATTCATATTGTGGTATGTATCAGAATTTTCAGCATCTCAAGTGATGTTATTGTGGTCTTTAGTTACATTTCCCTGATGAGTAATTGTATTGAACACCTATTCATATATTTATTATCCATTTGGATATATTATTTTGCAAGTACCTGTTCAAGTCTTTTGTCCATTTTAAGAATTGGGTTGTTTGACTTTCTCTTCTTGATTTACAGGAGTTTTTGTAAATTACGTATGTGAATCTTTTGTTAGAAACACAGGTTGAGAGTATTTTTTCCCAGTGAGTGGCTTGCCTTTTCACTATATTAATAGTGTTTTGTTTTTTTTTTCTCTCCAGGCAGAGTCTCACTGTTTTCCAGTCTGGCCTCAAACTCCTGGGCTCTAGAGATCCTCCCACCTCAGTCTCCTGAGTAGTTGAAACTACTGGTGTGCACCACTGCACCTGGCTAATGGTGTTTTTTTTTTTTTATGAGTAAAATTTTACATTTTCATGAAGTCTAATTTATTAGATGTTTTCTCTAATGGTCTTTAAAGTTTTGTGCCTTAAAAAATATTTCTCTACTCTAAGATCATGAAGATAGTCTCCTATATATTTTTAGGAACTTTATATGTTAACTTTCACATTTAGGTTTATGATTTATCTTAATTTTTTTTGTGTGAATGGTGTGAGGTAGGAGGTCAAGTTTCATTTTTAAGATATAAATTCAAATTTCTCCATACTATTTATTGAAAATGTTTTTCTTTTCCCTTTGAGTTGTTGAGCATCTTCATTGAAAATCAATTGAAGGCTGGGTGTGGTGGCTCACACCTGTAATCCCAGCACTTTGGGAGACCGAGTCAGGTGGATCACCTGAGGTCAGGAGTTCGAGACCAGCCTGATCAACATGGAGAAACCAAGTCTCTCCAAAAAAAAAAAAAACGAAAATACAAAAATTAGCCGGGCATGGTGGCACATGCCTGTAATCCCAGCTACTCAGGAGGCTGAGGCATGAGAATCGCTTGAACCCAGGAGGCGGAGGTTGCAGTGAGCCGAGATTGCACCATTATACTCCAGCCTGGGCAACAAGAGCAAAACTCTGTCTCAAAAAAAAAAATTAATTGACTTTATGGGTCTATTTTTTGCCTCTAGTCTATTACTTTGATCTATCTATATGTCTTTGCACAGATACACTGCTTTGTTTTGTTTTTTCTTGGCATAGATGTGCTGTTTTAATTCATGCAGCTTTGTAATAAGTCTTAAACTCTGCTAGTAGTATAAGTCCTCCTGCTTTGTTTTTTTTCTCATGATTGTCTTTGCTAATCTAGTGCCTTTGCATTTCCACATCAACTTGTTGATTTCTAAAATAAGGCTTGCTAGGGTTTTGATTAGAATCATGGTGATTTAATAGCTCAGTTTGGGGGTGAATTGCTATCTACAATATTGAGTTTGCCACTCCATGAAAATAGTATATCTCTCCATTTATTTAGATCTTTAGATTTTTTAGTAGTACTTTATAGTAGTGTAAATGTCTTGCACATATTTTGTTACATTCATTCCCAGGCATTTAATGTTTTTGATACTATTATAAATGGCATTTACAAATTATTTTCCACCTGTTTGTTGCTGATATACAGAATAAAATTAATTTTACATATTCACCTTGTATCCAACTGCTTTATTCTATTTATTCATTAGTTCTAGTAAATTTTTGTAGACTTTTTTGATTTTTAACGTATACGATCATATCATTTGTGAATGAAGACAAACATTTCTTTTCTTCAGGTGTTTGTTCTTTTGCTTCTTGAATTTGCCTCTTCTGTTTTATGGTTTTTATTTTTCTTAAATGCATGGTACTTCTTGAATGTCTTCTTTTTTACAGGTTTCCTATCTGTGAGTCCTATATGTTTTAATGAGTTTGTCTCCAGTGTTTCATGAGTGAGATGCATAAATCTAGGATAACTCTCTAGTCTTTGGCTTAGGTAACAGGGTAGGACCTATTTACCAAAACAGCAAATGTAGAGTGAGAGCAGATTGGAGAAGAAAAGATGGAGACTTGAGATTTGGACAGATTGAGTTTGAAGGGCCAATCCTATCATCTGTAATGTTCACCAGGCTGTTGGTAGATAACTAATACTATGGAGAAGACAGACTGGTTTAGTAGCCATCAACATAGATGTAAGGTTACATACATGGGTAAGGATGATATTGCTCATGGAGAGTGAATAGAATGAAAAGAGAAAAGGAGAGAGGATAGGGCCTTGAGGAACACACTTGAATAGTGTCCCTTGGATTTGCTAATTAAGAGGTCATTCGAGACAGCAGATTGAGTGACGTTATGAAAGTCTTCTGGTGGTTTGCAAGGGAAGCATGGTGGGATGGAAAGAGGAAAAGAAAGAGGATGGGTGTTTTAGGCAAGGGGAGGGTAATGGGTTGGGGAATGTGAGGCAGATGACAGTGGGTGAGAAGTAAATGAGAGATGTAAATGCAGAGTTCAGATTGTTATTTCTCAAATGGAAAGATATTCTGAAAATAATACTTGTGTATGTATTAAAGAAAACCAAAGAGTGCCAAAGGTCATCCAATGAAAAGCAAAATCCCTTCAACAACTTTAAACTTTCTTTGATTCTCTGTTTTCCAGTAGTTGCCTCCATAACTCTAATTAACATGGCCTCCCACTAGTTCTTGATTTTGTTTCTTTCCACATTTTCTACGGAACTTGTTATATCAGATGAGGACTTTATTCGTGTACACCCTTTCTTCATCTTCCCCTCCCAAGTTTTGGTAAGTAAATCTTTCATATCTGTCTGCTGGCTATGTTTACCAACCTTTTTTTCTCTTGTATTTTCTAATGTAAGGCACTCTGCAATGTATTACTTCTACTGCACACACTGAAAAACATTTGCTTTATCTATAGGAAACCACACTCTTACATGTTACTTTTCTGGCTGTAAATATTTTTTCCTTTTTTGGGTCTGAATGCATTTGTCATGTTTGATTCAATCTGCATAACTTCAATTAAAGGACAAAAAGAAATAAAACCCACATGGGAATCTTTGTGAGTGTGAAATAGAAGCCTTATCAAATATTAAAACACACACACACACACACACACACACACAAAACCAAACTCAACACCTGAGTCTTCCTTTTATCTGAGTAACAAGGGAGAGAGAATCTTTGAAATCCTCCCTGGATTCCATGTAAATGACCAAGACAGTTAGGTAGCAAATGATCTTCAAAGTAGGCATCTCCCAACAAATGTTTGCATTGATTTCGTTATTCTAAAGGCTGACTGATGCCAGAAAGAACAAAGTGATAAGGCAAAAACTGTCTCTTTGATCGTTCCCCTTGTCCTATATTTTAGAGTGATGACGTGACACTAGACTGATTCTCTGGTCATTTAGGGAATTTTAGATATTCCCTATCAGAGGCTAAGGGGGACTGACAGGAGGGTAATAATGAACTGTGTCATGGGGTCAGGTGTCCAGAAGTTCCGTCTGCTGTTTGTTAGTTGTTCTTTATGACATTTGGGGATTAAGCTGCTTAAGAAAGGGTTAGAGAAAACCAACCAATTATTCTGATCTTGAATCTTTTACCTTGTTTGAATGTTTAACTTTTAATTCTTTACTTTTTAATGCTGTAATGTTAAGTAGAGTGATTTACAAAAATCACCCTCAAAGTCTTTTACAAAACCTTAGAATTCAATTCCTACAGCCCTTCAAAACCCCCACTGTCCCACCACTGACCGTGTCAGGCCTATCTAAAAGTTGTACCATAACTATAGACTCCATGGGCTTTCTTTGCTCTTCTATGCTGCAGATGAAGAAATTAGAGTGAGTTTTCAGCCTGTGTTAAATAGAAGAAAGAAAGGATATTAGATGCTTTTATTTATTTATTTGGAAACAGGGTCTGGTTCTATCGCCCAGGCTGGAGCGCAGTGGTACAATCACAGCTTACTGCGGCCTCTAACTCATGGGCTCAAGTTATCCTCCTGCCTCAGCCTCTTGAGTAGACACCGTGCTTGGCTAATTATTAATTTTTTTTAATTTTTCTTAGAAACAGGGTCTTGCTTTGTTGCCCAGGCTGGTCTTGAATTCCTGGCTTCAAGTGATCCTCCCTACTTGGCCTCCCAAAGTGCTAGGATTACAGGTGTGAGCCGCCGGACCTCATCAGACGTCAGATGCTTTGCTTAGGAATTTCCTAGCAACTGAGGCAGGAGGACAGAAAAACAAATGGCAAGTAGGATGGGAAGACAAATTAAGCCAGGGCATTTTGGGAAAAAAAAAAAAAAAAAAAGAAACCAGGGCACCAGCATAGAAGGATTGATTTATAAGAAAGAATCATTTCATTACATGGAAAATTATTTCTGATTCTTATATATAGGTATCTTTAACAAGATTTTAATGTTGAAAATATTATTGAGAAAACTTACAAATATGGCAAGTAATGGGAGATTTAATAATATATTAGTATCCAAGAATAAATGGTTGGTTTCAGTTATCTTAATCTTTGTACAGAGGACACAAAAGAACCTGGAACTTTAATCTTTTTGGCAAAAGGAATGCATATTTTAGGGTATTTGCTGACCCACTTTTGGTGAGCAATGAGCTAAAGCTCTAACCCAATGTTGTTCAAGAGGAATATAGTGCAAACCAGACCTGTCATTTAAAATTATCCAGTAGCCACATTATTAAAAAAAGAAAAGAAACTGGTGAAATTGAGTTTATTAATATATTTAATTTAGCTCAACACATTAAAAGTATTTTCATTTCAACATATAATCAATATACAAATTATTAAATATTTCACTTTTTTCATTCTAAGTCTTTGAATTCCAGTGTGTATTTTACATTTTTATCACATCTCTATCCAGACACTAAATTTGTAATGATTGCAATTAAATGTGTTTCTACCAACCCAATAAAGCTGTCTTCAGCAGAAAAATAGTTTTACCCTTCTTTAGTTTTTAAGTTTAAATTAGTTAAAATTCGGTTTCTCACCACATGTCAGTGTTCAACAGTCACATTGGCTATTGAACATGGTAGCCACACATAGCTGTTGGCTACCATTTTGGACAGTGTAGGTCCCCACCAAAGGACACCCTTAAGATGTTCATGTAGTCAAGCCCGTTGTCAGTCTTCCAGCAAGAACGTCTTGGGTTAGAATATTTGTAGTTTGTAAACATTCTGCTGTTGTAGGCTGATTTGTGTTCTCCCAAAATTCATAGGTCAAAGCCCAAGTCCCAGTACCTCGGAGTGTGACTGTATTTGGAAATAGCTCCTTTAAAGAGGTAATTAAGGCCAGGCGCAGTGGCTCAGACCTGTAGTCCCAGCACTTTGTGAGACCAAGGCGGGCGGATCGCTTGAAGCCAGGAGTTCGAGACCTGCCAGGCCAACAAGGCAAAACCCTGTCTCTACTAAAAATATAAAAATCAGCTGGGCATGGTGGCATGTGCCTGTAATCCCAGCTTCTCAGGAGGCTGAGGCAGGAGAACCGCTTGAACCTGGGAGGCAGAGATTGCAGTGAGCCGAGATTGCGCCATTGCACTCCAGCCTGGGCGACAGAGCAAAATCCTGTCTCAGAAATAAATAAATAAATAGGTAATTAAGATAAAGTGAGTCATATGGGTGAGCCCTAATTCAATCTGACTATATCCTGATAAGAAAAGGAAACCCACACACACAGAGAGACATCAGGGATGCCTTCGCACAGAGAAAAAGCCATGTGGAGACGCAGCAAGAAGACAGCCACCTGCAAGCCAAGGAGAGAGGAGGCCTCAGGAGAAGCCAAACTTGCCTCTGACTTTCAGCCTGTGGATTGTGAGAAATAAACTTCTATTGTTTAGGCCATCCAAACTGTGATATTTTATTACGGCAGCACTGGCAAACTAATATAGTGGCCCAACATACAGAGGGTTAAATAAAATTCAGATAATCTCTCTACCATTTCAGAGGTGTTTCTCCTATTTAGTCACCAGCTATATATTTAAATGTCCCACAATTCTTAAAGCTTGGCTCTCTGAAAACCGATTTAAGAAAAATACAAATCCACAGTTATTTTTTTTTTAAACTGGACTTGTGTGCAAGTTATTTATTGGCTGAGTGGCCAAGATGTTGCGTGCAGTTTCCATTCAGAAGGTGAGGAGTGAGTGAGTCATACCAGAAAACCACAAACACAGTGCTCATGTTCAAAATGAAGTGTCTGTGCCCATCAAGCGGAGCCTCTTGCCTTTGTCCATCACAGGCATCGAGCCTCTTCATGGTCGCCAAAGTTCGTTAATAACGTTTGTGTCTATGCTAATACAATCAGAAAATTATGCAGACCGTCTATTTCTTCCCAGAGAGAACAGGGTGATCAGCCATTAGTGATTCACACTGATGAGCCTCCACTAATTGCACAGAATGTAATTAGTGATTATATAATATTTGAGCTCTTGCAACTGTCATTAATGTCCACGATTCACCAGAGATGGGCCCTGCTGAATGGAGTATGATTGCCACATGCGAAATCTAGTTAATCCGAGGCATGTTAATCAGCACAGGATGCTCTTTAGGCAGTGGTTAAAAGCACTGGTGACCTCAGGAAAAAAACCCTTGCCATCCACCGAAGTCTGAATTGCATACAATACAGATCCCTTTCACAAGGGAAATTTAATAATTAAATGGCCTGGAAAACTTGAGGGCAGAGTTATCAGATGGTTTTAACACATTTAGATTTTTCTGTAACAGATATGGTGATCAAAATGTTGTATTGGTGCTGGCATTAATTTATGATACATTAGACTACTGGCTCAGGGTATATGATGTGTCAAAGTTATGATGGACTTGTCATGTGGATAAGGAGAACTGGATTAAAAAGTAGTTCTTTCTAAGAGGAAAGATGATTATATATAATTGTCCAGAGACCTATTAGATAGAGCATAGTTTTCAAGGTTCATTTCATGGAAAAAAGTTTTAGAAGTAATAACGTTCCAAGGTATTCTGCTTCCTGTAATAAAAGTTGGGTTCTAAAATGGATTCACATAATCATACATTTCACCATGTTCTGAGTCACAGTACATTTTAAAAACATTTGTAGCAGATGCTACAAATTATATATATTTTTTGAGACAAGGTCTCACTCTGTCACCTAGGCTGGAGTACAGTGGTGCAATCATGGCTCACTGCAGCCTTGCCCTCCTGGGCTCAAGCAATTCTCCCATCTCAGCCTCCCAAGTTGCTGGGACTACAGTGACGACAGGTGCATGCCACCACCTCAGCTAATTATTTGTTTGTTCGTTTTGTAGAAATGGGGTCCCACTATGTTGCCCAGTTGGTCTTGAACTCCTGGGTTCAAGTGATCTTACCGCCTTGGCCTCTCGAAGTGCTGGGATTACAGGTGTGAGCCGCTGCACCTGGCACCTTCCCTTCTTATCCTCCATCCTACCCAGCCCCTGTCATCATAAGAGACGGTAACCAGCTGCCGGGACTTCCGGCAGCCTCTTTATATGTGTGGCAAGCCCTGAGTAGTTCTCTCCTAGATATGTGGTTTTTACCCGTAAATTTATGTGAATTAAAATCTTTTACAATAACCATAATTTGTGTTTTAAGTGACAGTACATATAAACGGCTGTTTCCAATGCGGAATTGTACACGTTTACAAATTTCCGAGGCCTGAGTAATTTAATATGGTCCAGTTTTTCATAAAATAATATGGTTGTTGTAGATTCTAAGGGAAATAGCAGCTTGTGATTTATGTGATTTCCTCCTGTTTATGTATTTTATATAAATAGTAAATACATGGGCATCTTTGTTTCTTAAGGTGCTTTCTAGTGGTTGTTTAAGCAGCTCAAAGTCCTTTAGGTCTTGTTTGCCAGACACTGAGGAAAGTTCTGCTAAATAATAGGGGCCAACCAAGGTGGCTCACATTGGTAATCCCAGCACTTTGGGGGGCAGAGGCAGGAGAATTGCTTGAGGCAAACAGTTCAAGACCAGCCTGGGCAACATAGTGAGACCCGGTTTCTACAAAAAGTAAAAATAAAAATTAGCTGGGTATGGTGGTGTGCGCCTGTAGTCCTAGCTATTTGGGGAGGCTGAAGCATGAGGATGGCTTGAGCCCAGGAATCTGAGAATGCAGTGAGCTGTGATTTCTCTACTTCACTCCAGCCAGGCCACAGAGTGAGACCCTGTCTCTAAGCAACAACAACAACAACAACAACACAATAGTAATAATGACAGGAACTTGTGTGGCCACTTACTCTATGCCAGGCACTAAGCCAAGCTTTCTGCTATAAGAACTAGTGTCATCTCCAGTTATAGATGAGGAAAATGTGGCTTAAAACAACAGGCAGATCACTTGAGGTGAGGAGTTCGAGACCAGCATGGCCAACACGGTGAAATCCCGCTTCTGCTAAAAATACAAAAATTAGCCGGGTGTGGTGGCGGGCGCTTGTAATCCCAGCTACTTGGGAGGCTGAGGCAGGAGAATTGCTTGAACTCGTGAGGCAGAGGTTGCAGTGAGCCAAGATTGTGCCACTGCACTCCAGCCTGGGCGACGAAGTGAGACTCAGTCTGAAAAAACAAAACAAAACAAAACAAAACAAAACAAAACAAAACAAAACAGTTAACTGATGTCCTGCCTATGATGTCATGATCTATACATGGTAGACAAGCGTCTGCATAGAGGTGCCTTGCTTTAAAGCCCATCACTGTTCTAAGGCTGAAAATGGAAGACATTAGAGAACTTCCTTCAAATTCCTGATTCTCCTTCATTTGCTCAGACTGAGTTAGGAGCCAGGACACTGCAACAGACAAGGTTATGTCAGCCAGGGCATTCCCATACATATTAGCTCCCCAAAGCCATTGCCTGCATCTCTCTGTCCACAGTCTGCCTTTAGGGTTCTTCACCTTTGATGCTCACCAGAAGTGCCTGGAATTTATGTCTCCTTAGGGGTCCCCCTTAACAATGCCAGATGGAGCAGGGCTATAAACACTGTAGTGTGCTTGCCCTGGTCTGGGCACAGTGAGGAAAGACCCGTGTTGGGTGGACTGAAGCAAAGTCACTTTCCCTGGTGATGAGCTTGAAACTGCACCTGGCTTGGCCTCCTTCCTGGTTCTGCTCCCCACTCTCCCACCAGGTTTTCCTGGGGTTGGGTCCTAGTAAGCCACATTCACATGAACCTTATCTCAGGGCCCGCTTCTGGAGAATCCAACCTAAGACAGAGCCTGTGAGAGGGCCATCAATGCTTGGAGTCAGAGGCATCCAGAAAGACAAACCTGCAAGATGAGCTGGGATTAGAAACTGTGAACAAGGGGCCGGGTGCGGTGGTTCACGCTTGTAATCCCAGCACTGTGGGAGGCCAAGGCGGGCAGATCACAAGGTCAGGAGGTCGAGACCATCTTGGCTAACATGGTGAAACCCCGTCTCTACTAAAAATACAAAAATTAGCCGGGCGTGGTGGCGGGCACCTGTAGTCCCAGCTACTAGGGAGGCTGAGACAAGAGAATCGCTTGAACCCGGGAGGTGGAGGTTGCGGTGAGCCGAGATCGTGCCACTGCACTCCAGCCTGGGCAACAGGGTGAAACTCCATCTCAAAAGAAAGAAAAAAAAGAAACTATGAACAAGGTTCTTCACTGTTTGAACTAGAATATGATTGTATGATTGGAATACAGTTGGAAGCAACTTGAATGTCCATCAGTAGTGGATTCATTAAATAAATTATGGAAAATTCACACAATGGAATAATATACAGTCATAAAAAGGAGTGGGGAAACTGTATTCTAAGTCAGCAGAAGTAAACTCAATCTATTTGATTGGAAGACAAAAAAAGGAAAGATAAGAAGGTAGACTAATTTCTAATATATTAGTAATTATAGTAAATGTATTGGATTTAAAAATTCTATAATATATTGTACACAAGAGACACTCGTGAAATGGAAAGGTAAAGGAAGTTTGGAAATAAGATGAAAAAAGCTATAACAGGCAAATATCAACCCAAAGAAAGTTGGTGTAGCAACCTTAATTTTCAAAAAAAAATAAAATAACAGGCAAAAATTCACTTACAACAAAACAAAATGCTATATAACTGCAAAAAGAACAATAGAACAAAAATATATATCTAACATAACTATATATGGCCTTTATATATCAAGCAACAACGGATAGCACTGCAAGAGAATTACATAAAACTTCAGTTGTTTTTGAGGATTTTAACACAGCCTTTTCAGAACTATTAGATCAAGTAGATTAAAAATAAGCAGAGATACAAAAATTTGAACAGTATAATACCTGCTCGAGGTCATAGAACGTATATAGAACTGAAAGAGAGAAAGAGAGAGAGAGAAACAGAGAAAGAGACAGAGACAGAGACAGCGTCTTCTTAATCACACACACAGAACATTTACGGAAATCAACAATGGGCCAGGTGTGGTGGCTCATGCCTGTAATCCCAGCATTTTGCAGGGCTGAGGCAGGAGGATTGCTTGAGGCCAGCCATTTGAGACTAGCCTGAGCAACATGGCAAAACTCTGTCAATTAAAAAAAAAAAAAAAAAAAAGGACAAAAAATTAGCTGGGTGTGGTGATGTGTGCCTGTAGCCCCAGCTACCTGGGAGGCTGAGGTGGGAGGATCACCTGAGCCTGGGAGATTGAGGCTGCAGTGAGCTGCGGTTGCCCCACTGCACTCCAGCCTGGGGAACACAGTGACATCTTGTCTCAAAAAAATAAAGGAAAATAAAAGAAAATTAACAATGTATTAGCCATAAAGGCAGTGTCAATACATTCCAAATAGCCAATAGCTATATTTTCCCTTTATGGCTACTTTCTCTGCCATAATGCAATCAGTAGAAATTAATAACAAATGAAAGTGAAAGAGTCAATGTATTTGTAAATTAAAAATATATTACTAATTGAACCAAGTTCAAAAAGAAATCAATCAATAAGTGAAAGAATATTTAGGACTGAATGATAATGAAATCCTACTTTTCAAAAGTTGAAAGTAGTGATTCATTATAAACATAGCACTTACAAGGATTTTCTTTAGCTTTTAAATACAATAATAAGGAAACCAGAAAGGTTAATAATAAATATAGTGAATGTTCAACTCACAACTTTTGAAAAGGCACAATAGGGAAAGTCCAAAAAAAATGAATAAAGGGCAGATGTTCATGACATAGAGAAAAAATTAAATATGAGTTTTCAAACAAAAAACTAGTTCTTTGAAAAAAATTAGTAATGTAGGCTGACATCTGATCTCTGCAAATGAAGAATGAGAAAGAGCAAATAACCACAGACACTCTAGGAATATAAATAAAGTAAAATAATAATATTATATATGTATGCCAGTAGAGGAAAACTCTCACAGAAGTAATTAAGTTCCTAGAAAAATATATAATATCCCCAAATTAGTGCAAGGACAAAGAGATAACTTGAAAGACCAACAGATATCAAATAAATTAAAACTGGGCAAAGACTTATTTTTTCCCAAACCTCATGATGTGGTTTGGTTGTGTCCCCACCCAAATCTCATCTTGAATTGTAGTTCCCATAATCCCCACGTGTCATAGGAGGGACCCGGTGGGAGGAATTGAATCATGGGGGCAGTTTCCCCCCTGCTATTCTCGTGATAGCAGGTAAGTTCTCATGAGAGCTGGTGGCTTTATAAGGGGCTTCCCCCTGCTCTGGGTTCCAATTCTTCTCCTTGCTGCTGCCATCTGAAGAAGGATATGTTTGCTTCCCCTTCCACCATGATTGTAAGTTTTCTGAGGCCTCCCGAGCCATGCTGAACTGTGAGTCAATTAAACCATTTTTTTTTTCTTTTTTTGAAACAGAGTCTCACTCTGTTGCCCAGGATGGAGTGAGTGGCGCGATCGCGGCTCACTGCAACCTCTGCCTCCCGGGTTCAAGGGATTCTCCTGCCTCAGCTCCCCTGAGTAGCTGGGATTACAGGCGCGCCACCACGCCAGGCTAATTTTTGTACTTTTTAGTGGAGAGGGGGTTTCACCATGTTGGCCAGGCTGGTCTCAAACTCCTGTTCTCGTGATCCACCCACCTCGGCCTCCCAAAGGGCTAGGATTACAGGCCTGAGTCACAGCACTGGCCAATTAAACCTCTTTTCCTTTGTAAATTACTCAGTTTTGTATATGTCTTTATTAGCAGTGTGAGAACGGACTAATAACCTCACATGCCTAGATGGTTAACGTGAATTCTAAAAATAAAATTCCAAGGAGCAGCTAATTCCTCTTTTATACAAGGTGTTCCAGAAAATAGTGGAAAGAAAAAAGACTGCCCGATTCATTTTATATCATCATTTTGGCTACACAACTTGACTGAGGACAATACAAAGAAAGATCATAGGCCCATTTCACTAATGAACATAGATTCAGAAATCCAAAAACAAAAACAAAAGCAAAACCAGTCAACTGAATCCAACAGTATATAAAATATTTCAGACTCATGTAGGGTTTATTCCAGGAAAGTAAGGATGGTAGATTTGCCATAATAATAAAATAGAGAAAATCATGTGATTTCTTGATGCAGAAAAAGCACTTGTTAAGTCTCAATACCCATTTATGATAACTTCAGGAAGTTAAGAACAGAAGAGAACATCTATTGGCTGATAAAAGTTTTATACCCAAAGTTGCAGCAATCATTATACTTAGCAGAGATATTTTAAACTCATTACCTTTAATATAAAGATATTGTGGAATAAGTAAAACAGGGGGTTATTAGACTGGAAGATGCCAGCTGCAATTAATACAATAATACCATAATGAACACACCAGGATTAATCTACCAAATGCTTAGATGAATGCTACATGCTGAGATTCTCGTTCTTTTGAAGCCTCTCAGAAAGCTAGAAGTCAAATCTTCACCCTCCAGGTAGAAGACTGGAAGACGCCATTCCTGGAAATCTGAGCAGCACGAAAAGAAAAACCCAAAGATGCATATATGGAAGGTTTGTCAACAGGGAACCTACCCCGATCACTTAGGAGTGAGGCTGAAAGTCAGCAAGCTCCATATCAAAACACCAAGGATATACAGGACACAGTGAACAATTCTGAGCATATGAATTTAGAGAGGAAGAGAAAAGAATGGAGCAGAGCCAATATTTGAAGAGATTGTGACTAAGAATAGTCCAAAGCTGATCAATGATATTGAGCCACAGATTTAAAAAGCGCTATAAACCTCAGACAGGATGAATATAAAGAAACCATACCTAAGGATAGCATGCTGAAACCGATGAAAACTGAAGACCAAGAGAAAATCTTGAAACTAGCTGAGGAGGATGCTGGTGGTGGTGGATTAACAGTTTCATAATTTCTGTTGAAAAATTAACTATAAGTCTAATTGTTGCTTTTTTGAAGGTAAAGCACTGAAAGGAAATAACCGCAAATCAGAATTCTATACCTAATGAAAATATCCTTAAGAATGAACATGAAAAGACAATGTTTTAAGGCACATTTCACTGTTATTCGGTTCATAGTATTTTCCAATGCCTATTGTGATTTCTTCTTTAAATTATGGGTTATTTAGAAGAACAAGAAGAACACTGCTTAATTTCCAATAGAGATTTTCCTAATTATCTTCTGTTATTGATTTTTAGCTTAGTTTCACTGAAGTCAGAGAATATGCTCCCTATGTTTTTAATATTGTGAAATAAAACTTGATTTATGACCCTAACTTACCATCATTTTTGTTAAATGTTACATATAATATACCTGAAAAGTATGTCTATCTCCAATTTTTGTTTGAAATATTCTACATATGTTATTAAGGCCATGTTGGTTGTCCAAATCTAGAATTTTACTGATTTTTCTTTCTCTTTGTTCTATCATTACTGAGAGAGTTTTTAAAATTTTGTAACTATGATTATGATGTCATTTTTTTGTTCTATCACTTTACATAGTTTGAAACTGGATTATTAACTACATACAAATTTAGGATTATTATGTCTTCCTGTTGGATTAAACATTTTATCATTGTGGAAGTTTCCCCTTTATCTCGAATAATTCTTCCTCCTTGAAGTCTTGTGACTGTGTGTTTTGTCTAGTATTAACACAGCTGGATCAAATGGTATTTCTGGTTCTGAATCTTTGAGGAATCACCACACTGTCTTCCACAAGGGTTGAACTAATTTACACTCCCACCAAGAGTGTGTAAAAGCATTCCCTTTTCTCTGCAACCTCACCAGCATCTGTTGTTTCTTGACTTTTTAATAATCACCATTCTGATTGGCATAAGATGCCATCACATCCTGTACATGTACCCCAGAACTTAAAATAAATAAAAATTATGTTAATTTAAGTTAATTAAAAAATATAGCTATACCACCTCTCTTTTTGTTAGTGTTTGCATGGTATATTTTTCAGACTTTTATTTTCAGACTTTCTGTGCCCTAATATTACAGCTGTGTCTTATTTAAGCAGCACAGCACTGAATTTTTGGTGCACTATGAGAATATTGATTTTTAATTAAAACATTTAGTCTGTTTGTATTTAATGTATACACTAATATATTTGGGTTTAAGGCCAGCATATTACTATTTGCTTTCTATCCATCCTACCTATTGTTTATTTCTTTTGTCTTTTTTGTTGTCTTCTTTTGGATTAACCCAGTTAATGGAAAATTATTCCATTAAATGGAATTCCCCAAAATTAAAATTATTCCATTTTTACCCTCTATTAATAAGTTATACCTTCTTTCATTATTTGTTGTTTGACCTACAGATTACAACATGCACCTTGATAGATCCTGATAAATCTACAGGATCAAAATGCTATAAACTAGTATCGTACAATTTTCAGACAATTAAAGAATTTTAGATCACTAACTCCATTTACTCTCTCTGACCTCTTGTGCTATTGTTGGCTTTTAATTAAGTATTTTAACCTCACAAGACAATATTATTTTTGGTATTTTATACATTCAATATTCACTTAGATCAAGGTTTCTCAAACCTGGCACTGTTGACATTTTAGGCCAGATACTTCTTTGTGTAGGAGCTGCCTTAGGCACTGTAAGATGTTTATCAGCATCCCCAGTCTCCACCCTCTAGATGCCAGTAGCATCCTCCCCACCCTAGGTTATGGGCCTCAAAATGCCTCCAGTCAGTGCCAGTGTCCCCCAGTAAGCAAAACTGACTTCAGATGAGAACTACTAATTTAGACTTTCCACACATATTTACCATTTCTTATCCTTTGTTTCTTCTACCTTTCATTTCTTCCTTCATTTCTGTGCTTTTCTCTGAAGTAATTTTCCTCCTGCTTTCATGGGTGTTAATCGTCTGAAAATTGTATGATACTAATTTATAGCATTTTGATCCTGTAGATTTATCAGGATCTATCAAGGGGCATGTTGTAATCTGTAGGTCAAACAACAAATAATGAAAGAAGGTATAACTTATTAATAGAGGGTGAAAATGGAATAATTTTAATTTTGGGGAATTCCATTTAATGGAATAATTTTCCATTAACTGGGTTAATCCAAAAGAAGACAACAAAAAAGACAAAAGAAATAAACAATAGGTAGGACGGATAGAAAACAAATAGTAATATGCTGGCCTTAAACCCAAATATATTAGTGTATACATTAAATACAAACAGACTAAATATTTTAATTAAAAATCAATAT
Organism: Homo sapiens; assembly: GCF_000001405.40. Lineage (NCBI taxonomy): Eukaryota > Metazoa > Chordata > Mammalia > Primates > Hominidae > Homo > Homo sapiens. The sequence goes on along the minus strand of NC_000020.11, from coordinate 21,065,710 downwards.
TCTCATAGTGCATCAAAAATTCAGTGCTGTGCTGCTTAAATAAGACATAGCTGTAATATTAGGACACAGAAAGTCTGAAAATAAAAGTCTGAAAAATATACCGTGCAAACACTAACAAAAAGAGAGGTGGTATAGCTATATTTTTTAATTAACTTAAATTAACATAATTTTTATTTATTTTAAGTTCCGGGGTACATGTACAGGATGTGATGGCATCTTATGCCAATCAGAATGGTGATTATTAAAAAGTCAAGAAACAACAGATGCTGGTGAGGTTGCAGAGAAAAGGGAATGCTTTTACACACTCTTGGTGGGAGTGTAAATTAGTTCAACCCTTGTGGAAGACAGTGTGGTGATTCCTCAAAGATTCAGAACCAGAAATGCCATTTGATCCAGCTGTGTTAATACTAGACAAACACAGAGTCACAAGACTTCAAGGAGGAAGAATTATTCAAGATAAAGGGGAAACTTCCACAATGATAAAATGTGTAATCCAACAGGAAGACATAACAATCCTAAATTTCTATGTAGTTAATAATCCAGTTTCAAACTATGTAAAGTGATAGAACAAAAAAATGACATCATAATCATAGTTACAAAATTTTTAAAACTCTCAGTAATGGTAGAACAAAGAGAAAGAATAATCAGTAAAATCCTAGATTTGGACAACCAATATGTACTTAATAACATATGTAGAATATTTCAAACAAAAATTGGAGATAGACATTGTTTTCAGGTATATTATATGTAACATTTAACAAAAATGATGGTAAGTTAGGGTCATAAATCAAGTTTTATTTCACAATATTAAAAACATAGGGAGCATATTCTCTGACTTCAGTGGAACTAAGCTAAAAATCAATAACAAAAGATAATTAGGAACATCTCTACTGGAAATTAAGCAGTGTTCTTCTTGTTCTTCTAAATAACCCATAGTTTAAAGGAGAAATCACAACAGGCATTGGAAAATACTATGAACGGAATAACAGTGAAATGTGGCACATGAAACTCATGAAAGGTAGCTAAAGCTGTTCTTGGAGGGAAATTTGTAGCTCCTGATGCATAATTTATAAAAGACAATTTATGACCTAATTCTGTCTCTCCTGAAGTTAAGAAAAACATTGAATTACACCTAAAGAAAATGGATGGAAAGAAAGAAGAAAGATAACATCAGAAATTAATTAAAGAGAAAACAGGCATAACAGAGAAAATCAACCCAGGAAAAAGTTAGCTCAATGAAAAAACTTAAGAAAATAATTAAATTTATAATAAGACTTAATCAGAAGAGAAAAGCCACAAATTACTACTTTTCAACAATGAAAAAGAGACCATCACTACAGATCTTTCATATATTAGAAAGATCATAAAAGAGCATTTTGAACAACTCATGCCAATAAGTTTGGAATTCAGATGAATTATACAATTCATCTAATTTTTCAATTTCCTTGAGAAATACAAATTACCAAACATGAAGTAAACATGATGAAATAGAAATCTGAATACTTCTCTTAGATTTATTGAAGAAATTGAATTTGTAATTTGAAAACTTTCCAATAAAATGCCAAGACAGATGGCGTCACTGTTGAAATATTTCAAATGTGTAAGGATGATATAACACTAAACTTACATAAACTCTCTCAGAGAAGAGAAAAAGGTGAGACACTTCCTAACTTGTTTTATGATGCCAGAATAACCTTGATATAAAAATATAACAAGAGGAAGGGAAAATAGGACAATATCTATCATAAATATTGATGAAAGATCCCAAATTATTAGCAATTCAAATTCAGCTATATATATCTATATATAGAGAGAGATATATACATATCTATATATATAAGATAATCATGATTACATTGGGTTGATGTCAGAAATTCAAGCTTGGTTGAATATTTGAAAATCAACTGATGTCATTTAATATGTTAACAGAGATAAATGAGAAAAATATCAAAAGATTATCTCAATAAAAGCAAAAAAAGCAGCATTAATTTAAATTCATCATCAAATAATTCACAGCATACTAGGAATATATGAGAATGCAGAAGGACAGGTCCCTGGACGACCTTGGCCAACTGAGTTTATCCCCCTCTTGCGTGCAATTCTTAGGCAGAATGAACTGAAAATGCAACATCTTGAGATAAGGAGGAGGTGTCCACAGCAGTCCGGGCTATGTCATGATTCCTCCTAGAATAGGGTGTCCTGCAATGCTTGTGCTCAGTGAGCCAAGTGGTGCCCAGGGTGTGGAAACTCAGGGCGGAGCGCTTGCGGTTTCCTTCAGTTGCAGTGCAATGTGGGTTATGTGCGGAGGAGACTCCATCCATCCTGGGCAGCTTTCCTGAGCCTTAGAGAACTGGCTGGCCATGGAGCCTAGGCTTCTGTTTGCTCTTGCTGTCTATCTGAGTAATAACACTGTTCTGCCTGGCTTGTCCTGGGAGTGTTTTGTCTGTATTCATGAAATTGGTAGAGAACCTTTACAGAGAACTTCTAATCTAATATTATGTATTTGTATAAGCCCCACAGAAAACATCACAGTTAATGGTGAATTATTAAAAGCTTTCCCCTGGTGATTGAGGGAAAAAGAAGGATGCTGCTACCATCCCATTTATGCAACATAATACTGGTGGTTCTGGTCAGTGAAAATTGGGAAGAAAAAGAAAGAAAACTTATGAATGCTGAGAAGGAAGAGAGGAAGAAAAAAAGGAAGAAATAAAAACAGATGACATGTACATAAAAAAGTTAAAGTAATCTACAGATAAATAAGTAGGATAAATAAATGGACTTAGCAAGGCTGCAGAATATAATAACAAAATAGCAAAATCAGTCTAATTTCTGTATGTTAGCAATAATTAGAATATCAAATTTTATAAAACAGTGATTTCTGATAGCATTAAAAATGAAATATTTAGGAATATGGATGTGCAAGAGATTGACACAGAGAGCTACACAATGTTACTGAAATATATTAATGAATTGAAAGGCTTAACATTATACAGCTGCTATTTTTAAAAAATTAATCAATAGAGTCAACGCAATCATAATAAAAACCAGCAGGGTTTTTTTGTGTGTCTGCAAATCTTTAAGTTGATTCTAAAATGCATATGAAAATGCAAAGGACCAGAAATAGCCAAGGCACTTGTGAAGAAGAACCAAGATGATGGATTCATTTAATTACTGGTGCTTTATAAGAAGACAGTATGGAACAGATGCAAGAGAGACAAATAAACCAGTGAAATCAAGGGTCTAGAAGCAAATTCATAAACATTCAGTCTCTTAATTGTATTGCAAAAGTGCCACGAGAGCACAGTAGGGGAAGGGTGGTTTTTTCAATAAATGATTCTACTTACATCATATACAAAAACAAATTCCAAGGGGGTTGTGCATGTAAATATTAAAGGTAAATACATTTAGAAGGTAACAGCAAAATACCTTCATGGCCTTTGGAAGGCTAACGTTTCTTTTTTTTTTTTTTGAGATGGAGTGTGGCTCAGCCACCCAGGCTGGAGTGCAGTGGCACAATCTCGGCTCACTGCAACCTCCACTTCCCAGGTTCAAGCGATTCTCCTACCTCAGCCTCCCGAGTAGCTGGGATTACAAGCATGGGCCACCACGCCTGGCTAATTTTTGTATTTTTAGTGGAGACAGTTTCACCATGTTGCCCAGGCTGGTCTCGAACTCGAGCTCAAAGTGATCTGCCCACCTCGGCCTCCCAAAGTGCTGGGATTACGGGTGTGAAGTCACCACACCCGGCCTAATATTTCTTAAATGGATGCAATAATCACTAACCATAAAAGAATAAAGTGAAAAGTCAAGCCACGGAGTGGGAGAAGATATTTGTAGTAATATGTATTACTGGATAATGATACACTGAAAATGAAAAATATTCTACAAGTCAGTTAGAAAAGACCACACAATTCGAAAAAATGGATAAAAGGCTTTTAAAGACGTGAAGAGCTTCTCGACTTCATTAAATGGCAGGGAAATGCGAATTAAAATCTCAGTGAATTACCATTACATACCTACCAGATGCCTACAAGTTAAAAAAGAAAAAGGATAATACCAAGCATGGTTGAGGATGTAGAGCAATTGGAACTCTTTCTGTTCTTTTCTTTTTTTTTTTTTTTTTGAGTGGAGTTTTACTCTTTTTGCCCAGGCTGGAGTGCAATGGCATGATCTTGGCTCACTGCAACCTCCACCTCCCGGGTTCAAGTGATTCTCCTGCCTCAGCCTCCTGAGTGGCTGGGATTACAGGCATGCACCACCACACCCAGCTAATTTTGTATTTTTACTGGAGATGGATGGGGTTTCACTATGTTGGCCAGGCTGGTCTCGAACTCCTGACCTCAGGTGAGCCACCTGCCTCGGCCTCCCAAAGTGCTGGGATTACAAGCATGAGCCACTGTGCTTGGCCTACAATTGGAACTCTTATATACTGATTATGGGAGTGTAAATTTTTACCACCAGTTTTGAAATCCATGTTAACATCTACTATAGAGGAATATACACATACCATATTGAGGTAGGAGGTGGACTTGACTCCAGAGGCAAGGCTTGGACTCTGGACCAAATTGAGGACTAGCTGAAACAGGAATGTGGCTGGAGCACTATAAAACATGCCTACCAGTGTGCCATGCTGGTTTACCATTGCCATGGCAACACCAGAAAGTTACTGCCCCTTTTCCATGGCAGTGAACTGATGACCTGGAAGTTACCACCCTTTTCTGGAAATTTTCTACATAATCCACGTGTACATAAACAAGTTAAAGCAATCTACAGATAAATAAGTAGGATAAATTTATACCCATTTTCAAAATGGGTATAAATATGACTGCAAAACTGCCTTTGAGCTGCTACTCTTAGCGCGCAATGCCTATGGGGTGGCCCTGCTCCGCAGGAAGAGTCATGGAGCTGTAACATTGCTGTCAGGCCTCTGAGCCCAAGCCAAGCCATCACATCCCCTGTGACTTGCATGTATACACCCAGATGGCCTGAAGTAACTGATGATCCACAAAAGAAGTAAAAATAGCCTTAACTGATGACATTCCACCATTGTGATTTGTTCCTGCCCCACCCTAACTGATCAATGTACTTTGTAATCTCCCCCACCCTTAAGAAGGTTCTCTGTAATTCTCCCCACCCTTGAGAATGCACTTTGTGAGATCCACCCCTGCCCACAAAACATTGCTCTTAACTTCACTGCCTAACCCAAAACCTATAAGAACTAATGATAATCCATCTCCCTTCGCTGACTCTCTTTTCGAACTCAGCCCACCTGCACCCAGGTGAAATAAACAGCCATGTTGCTCACACAAAGCCTGTTTGGTGGTCTCTTCACACGGACACGCATGAAAATTGCCATCTCAATACAGCTGTTTTCTTCTACCACTGGCTCGCTCTTGAATTCTTTCCTGAGCAAAGACAAGAACCTTCCTGGGCTAAGCCCCAATTTGGGTCTTGCCTGCCCTGCCATCATGACCTAAGAGTTCCACTCCTATATAGACAACAAAAATGTGTGCCCATGTGCTCAAAAGGCTTGTACAAGATTGCTGATAGCCGCATTATTCAAATATTTCAAACTAGAAATAACTCAACAGTCTATTAACAATAGAAGGAGTAAGTAAATTTTGGCATAATAATATACTGGGATGCAGCAATAAAAATATTTATGAAATTAAAAATAAAATTCAATAAGATACAGCAATAAAATGCTGAAACTATTTCTATATGCAAAAACATAGATAAATCTCACCAACGAATGTTGAACAAAAGAAGCCAGACATAAAGGGATGTATCGTCTATTGTATGTTTCTATTTCTATAAAGTTCATAAACAGGCAAAACTAATCAACGGTGATAAAGGATACAATAGTGATTATCTTTGTTGAGGGTCAAATATGGGGAGGAGGAAAATTTCTTGGTTTTGTTAAGTTACTATTTCCTCACTTGTGTGGTAGTTAGTTAGGCAAGCGTATTTAATTTTTAAAAATTTATTGGCCAGGTGTGGTGGCTCATGCCTGTAATCCCAGCACTTTGGGAGGCTGAATGGGGAGACTGCTTGAGCTCATTAGTTGGAGACCAGCTTGGGCAACATGACGAAACCCCATCTCTACAAAAAATACAAAAATTAGCTCAGGCATAGTGGCACATGCCTGCAGTCCCAGCTACTTGGGAGGCTGAGGTGGGAAGATGACTTGAGCCCAGGAGGTGGAGGTTGCCGTGAGCAGAGATGGTGCCACTGTACTCCAGCCTGGGTGATAAAGCCAGACGTTGTCTCAAAAAAAAAAAAAAAATTTAAACTATATATACAATTTGTGCAAATTTTTATATGATGTTCTTTTTCAATAAAAAGCTTTCTTAGAAAAGAATCTTTGGAAAATTTCAAACATTAAATATATGATAGCAGAAATAAAAATAGAAGGCTTAGAAAATAAAGTTGAGGAAATATTCTTGATCCCAGAGCAAGGAAATGGAGAACAGTAGAAAACGAAAATTAGAGGACCAGTTCAGAGATTCAACATCCAAATAATACAATTCTAGAAATCAAGGGAAGGAAAAAAATTGAAACAATTTAAGAAAAAAAATAACAGAGGGAAGAAGTTACCAGATTGAATGTTCCCACCAATTATTAGTGCAGGGGAATTTCATCATTGTGAAATACCAGGGATGATGAGAAGCTACTAGAGAATAAAAACCAGGTGTTATACAAATGAATGGGAATAAAAATGACAATGGAGTAATGCTTTTGACATTAAAACAAAGAGCTTTTCAACCTAAAACTCTTTAACAGTGAAACTATCAAATAAGCATGAAGGTAGAATAAAGACATATTAAGAAAGGAAATTTACATTCCAAATAACTTTTCTCAGAAAAGCTATTAGAGGGTGTGCTCCACCAAAATTAGGGAGTAAACAAAGAAAGAAGACATGGATGCTGAAAACATGGATGCTGAAAACATGGATGCTAGCTTCTTTTGTTCAACATTAGTTGGTGAGATTTATCTATGTTTTTGCATGTAGAAATAGTTTCTTCATTTTATTGCTGTATCTTATTGAATTTTATTTTTATTTTTATTGCTGCATCCCACTATATTATAAGAGGACCATCATAAGAGGAATTCTCCAGAAGGATGGAGAACAAGGATCCCAGGGTGATGGCTGTGTGCCAAACACAGAGAGTAACTAGTACAGATAGCTCAGAATGACTCGAGTCAACTTGTAACAGAATATCAAGATAGTCACTGCCATTGTATAATTTGTATTTTAATGTGAAGACAGAACATCTAGGTGAGCCTAGCCCAAATTTTGATAAGCCTTTGGTTCACACTGATCATGTACTGAAGAAGTTCCTGCCCTGCAGCCTTGTAGCCTGGACTGAGAGCACTCATTTCAGCTCACAGAGTCTTCTGCTTGGACCTACGCCTGAAAGACCAAGGAAGGGCATGGTGAACTTAGAAATAGAAAATATAAAGTGACCCATGCTCATTGACCATATTCTGGGAAGGCATTCAATACTGATCCCATTGAATTCCTTCCAGACAGCCTCATTGTACAAAGCTTCAAGTTTTCTAGGTTTTTATTCAAAGTCTTGCCCTCTGATTTTTTTCAAAAGGGACTCTTATAAACTGCATGGATAGCTGATGACAAACTATATCCCAGAAGATCTCTTCAGTTTATTTCCTCTAGAAGCCTTCATTTCACAGTGATAATAGTGTCCTTCCTTCACACAGAGAAACGTGTACTTCCTACCTAGTTAAAAAATGTGGCAATATATTGTTTAGGAATACAGACTCAGGTGTTAGATGTATTTAAGTGAAAAATCAAAAAATAACTAATACAGAAGTTCTGTTGTTTGTCTCTGGGGAGAGACGAGAAAGGGAAGCTAAGAAGATATGAACTGTACACAGTTTATTCAATTTCTTAATCTGGGTAGTAGGTATGTGGATGTTTATTTTTCTTTGAACTGTATGTTTTAAACTTTCTGTTTATATCACACATTTTATAATAACATATTATTTTGAAAGATATCTGTCAATACCTGTTATGACCAAAAGGATGAGAACCAGACATTATGTGCTTCCTGGTGGAAATACCCACTCTACTATAAAGTAGTTTTACCAAGAAAAAAAAATAGAGCAACTTGTATATGCAATTATAATTTTTTTCCCCAGGAAATACAGAGGACTGAGGAACTTTATAGACTATACGATGGAGATGAATCCAGCAAAATCCAGCTTATATGAAGTAATATGGGCCAATCAACCTACTTTCTTCAACAAATAAATGACAAAGAAAGGAGAGATGTGAGTGGAAGTCCTACAAAATAAAATAGATCTGACAGAACAATCGAATACATCTCATGGCTTTATTTAAATAAACACACTTTAAAGAAACAAACTAAAAAATTATGACATTTATGAAACAATTGGAAACTTGGAACATCAATGGTTATTTGATATTAAGGGATAATTGATCTCTGTGAGTAAGATGGTAAATTTGAAGGTCAGATTCTAAGTTCAATTTATTTCAGTTCTTGCTTTTAATGTCTCAAAAAAATAAACCTCACAGTTTTATATATCCAAATGGAAGAAGTGCATCAATGGCTGGGCTAAGTGACAAAACACATTTGTAATCACATCTTTCAATTTTCAAAAATTTTTATTCGAATTTGGCTAAGTAAACTATAGCTTTCTTGATATCAGTCTAACAAAATGATTGAAAAGTATTGCATTTTTATATTTTCAAAAATCTGCTCAGAATGAAGAAAAATTCTTTGTTTAGAAGACCTTATAACAAGTTAAAAATTCTGTTTGTGAGGGTGCAAATATGGGAGTTTTGGGTAATAAGTATATTTGTGTGACAATGGAAATGTTTCCGAACACACACTGTTCAAAATGCGTCATTATGGGATATATTTTCTTTTAAAAGCAGCTACTTTTCACTCCTTGGTAAATAAAGAGAACTTCCTTTCTCTTTTACACTATAGTAATAGATTGTGTGCTTGCTTACTTGAAAAATATGTGTGAGGTCACATAGTAGTGACAGCTACTTGTCATCACAGAGAAGTCCAGAAATCCGGAACCCTTTTAGTTTCCCTGTTCTTTTAGGTACATTGTCCAAAGGACAGTCTGTGTGGTCCAAAGATTTCTTAGGGTCATTTCTATTCTCATTATAAAATGTGTTAAAGATTCAATCATATTTGGCAAGTCTCGTTTTTATAAATTTAACCTCATAGGTGACATCTGTTGTTTTCTTCATCTTGCTTCACTATTTGCTAAGAACGACACAGTAAATGGATTTGATGGTTGTGCTTTCTTTGTTAACTTTACTGTAATTTTTTTCTTAAAAAACAAACAATAATTCAGCCATTCCACCACTAGTGATTACACTTAACAGATTTCCACCCTGAACACTTTTTCAGTCATTTACTACTGAGACTGTAACGGTTTAGTGGCTCATAAAAAAATGGCCTTTGGTGTATTTCACTATTGAAATGGAATCTAGCAAACAGCACAAAGCGAGACATGTTGGAAATATCTGTACTTTCATTCAATGCTCTGGCAAACCTTGGTAAAGCATAATTTGTTCTAATGTGTGTATCTTTAAATCTTCAGCATTGTTTGCTATGCATTTCCAACCGCGTTGCTAATAAAGGCAGGCATTTTAACTTGCCGCCTTATTGTCGTTTCTGTATTATTGCAGCCATTTTTACTGGGGCATAAAGAGAAGGGTTTACTCAATGGTAGGTAGCTTTTTTATTTTTCTTTATTTAAAAACTTCAATATTTTTCAGTAATCTGTGTGAAACTTTGATAAAATACTGAACTGAGTATCTCACAATTGTAAACATTGCTTAGAAGTCTCAGATATTTGCTTCTGCACACCAAATGCTTACTATTTGTAGGTCTTGGTTATCACTGTGACTTTCCATCACCTTCACCTCAAATCTTCAAACCACCACACACATGTGGAATTCATTCTCCATAACAATGGTTGGATATGCTCATTATCAGTAGTCTTCATTATAAGTTCAATATTTTAGGCTGAATTCTTCTCATACTAATTAGATTATTATAATTTTTACCTTGTAATGAGGCTAATGGGAGGTATTGGGAATGCAAGGGTCAGTTCTACCATTTATTTTCATCTTTCTGCTTGTGATATTAGGATTATCTTCAATCCATTGTTTCTTGTCTACAATATTTTTAAGCCACTTTCCCAGGTTGAGAAAGTTATTTAGTTAAAGCTGGATTCATATAATCTGTGCGTTCATTTAATGAGGCTCACAGAAGACACCAAGTGGGCGTGCCACTCTCAGCTGGAGTAGTGGAATTCCCATATTCCCTCAGGGGGACCTCTGGTACCAATTCTGCAAGACTCTGACACACAGACCCAGGAAGGGCACTATTGTCAATCATTATAATGTATTTCAGTAAAACTTAATCACTTTGCCATTTTTACATAAAACTTACAAATAGATGTCCTAATATTTTCTTTTTTACCCAATGGATTGTCATGCACCCCCCCATGTGGAGACCCTGGCTTAAGGTTGTATGTGTTTGTATTGTGTGTGTAGCTGTCTAGTAAGAGAAGTTAATTAATATTTACAGACTATCTTCTAGTGCCAAATACTGTATTATGTGAGTTCCTTAATAATATAATAGCAGGTCACACCTGATTATCATGGGTGCCACCAGGCTTTGCACACATACTCTGTGGCAACCCTATGAGTTAGGTATCATTACTTAGCTATTGTTCAGGTGAGAGGCCAGGTATTTCCTTGGTTCATTTGGAGACCCGCTATGGGGAAGGGATGTCTTTCAACACCTGGAAACACACAACCTTGCTCACTCCTCAGACTCCTTCAACATCTTTGCTTTTGATCCTTCTGATTTTTAACTATTAAAATCCTTTCAGTTTTTAACTAAAATTTTTTTGTCGTTGTTTGTTTTTTGTAGAGACAGGGTCTAGCTTTGTAGGTCAGTCTCAAACTCCTGGTTTCAAGTGATCCTCCTGCCTTGGCCTCCCAAAGTGTTGGGATTACAGGCATGAACGATTGTGTTAGTCAACTAATATCTTTAAAAAAATAGTAGTCATCCATGCACAATATGAAGTCTCTCACCTATCCCCTGTGGCCAAGATTGGTAACCTCAAGGGCGCAGGAGCCCAGCTGCTGTCTTTAGCACCGTTACACCATTAGTGTCTAGAAGAGTGCCTAGCAAAGTAATCATGCAAATCTTTGTTGAACAAATGTGTGACTTGAAAGTTTTACTTCCGAAAGACAGTAAACATAAAAGTCTATCTAAAATATGGGATAACTTTTGTTTTTCACTATATCTCTTTTATAAGCATCCTTTAAATGTTTTCTCAATTAAAAAATATCTTCATGTGATCTTGAAAATGATAGTATCCTTCTCTGTATTTGACTAATTTTATTTGATGTTGTCTTGAGGGAGGCTTCTCTTCATAACTTCGCAATTTCCAAATAGGGGATTACAATACTAGCTGAAGCACCAGGCTTTGCATCCTGGAAAAATTAAATCTCAGCTTTAGGATATGTATTAATCATATAGACGTGAGCAAACAGTTGGTTAACATTGGGAAACCTGGATATTTTTCTGAGCATTCATTTAGGATTTTAAATGGACTTCTCGCTTGTGTTTATGAGAGGCTTTGCAAAAATGCCCCCAATCTTTTCTGAACTGAGGCTCAGCTTATTTTTCTTTCTTCACTATAAATGCAATGCCATTGGGTCTTTTCTAGTTTCTCTACCTGTTAGCTGGAGAGGCTGTTAATTTCAGCAATGTTGCATGATTTTCTACCAAATTGAGTTGGCTTAACTGACTCAAATTCACTCAAGAAGTTTTATGGGTAAAGTTCTTAAGGGGTTCCTTTCAAAGTGAGCTGAGACTAGAAGTATCACTTTGTGGCATACACACACTCTTGTTCCTTAAGTTCTCCTTGTCTTCGGAAGAGATCCTGTGTGAAGCCTCCCTGTAGAATCACAGAGGGCTCCATTCCACAACCCCCACAGCTGCAGCACTTGTTTATTTATAAATCAGATGGATCCCTGGGGAGAGTGTTTTCCCCTCAGCTGGCCTAGGTTTTTACCACATACGAGCTATAGCTGAATCTAAAACTATGAATAAACTGATAACAAGCAGAAAGATATATTTTTGGCGTAGCATTTTCAAGAATGGAGGAATGCCGTGTAACATGGGAATGAATGTGTTAAAATCCTTCCTACTAGATGAGGGTCTCCTGGCCAGGGAGCTCTGCCAGCGAGAATCTTTCCTTTGTCTCAGCATGCCCCCAGCTGGCAGACGGGGCTCACAATTTGCTTTCCAATATCTCAGCCTGGATATAGGATCTGGTGTTTAAAAGGAAAAGGGGTACATGAAGATTTCCCCAGCCTGCAACGCTCTGGGCAAATAATAGCCTTTGCAGGGTGATCTTGGGCTGTTGCAACACGCGAGGATTAACTATTCAAATAAAGTTCCTTCTCTGCTAGAGAACAAGCCATTCATTCAAGCACGGTTTATCTGCTCCAGGCCATGGGTTTTTGCATTTTTGCAACAACATTTTCCCACTCTCTCTACCCCTCCCCCAACATCTGGGGTGACAGAGGAGGGAACATAAATAATGGTCAGGGTCTCACTGGCTGCTCTATTCTAATCTGTATGGTTTAGTCAGTGGGCCTACTGGGGGCAGGGGAAACTCTTAACTTTGGGCCTAGGGAATGTAGCAGGTGCTGTCGGTATCCTGCCACCACTCACTTAACCCACTGAGGAGGTGTCCTGCTGACACTCCCTCCCAGGTCAGTTTCCTGTGTCTCTCTGTCTGAGGGTGTTGTCTGTGGACTGTGCTCATCCATGGGGCAAACCAGAAGCACCCGGGAGTTAACACCCTGGGAGTGACCCTCCATCAATGAAGGGTGGGAATTAATGGAAAAACATGCAGCGTCCTCACTACTCAGAGGGACAATTCCCTACAGCCTCCCCGAGGCGTCCCTACAGCTACAGCGTCCTGGGGATTTTGTCCTGGGCGCCCACTGCAGTCACCCACTCACTTACCCACACTGGGTTCCCTCCTGCCTGACTCTCCCCACTTCCTCACAGGGCTTCCTGGGGGTCAGCCCCCAAACAAACCACCGGAACGCAAATCTTCATCTCAGGCCCTGCTTTGGGGGAACCCATGCTAAGTCAGGCACCCCTGGGAGATGCAACTGGGCAGGCCAGCTAGGCCTGCCTAAAGCACCCAGCCCAGTGCTGGGGTGGGCTATAGCTTTCCTCCTAATTTTGATGTGGTTCTTGTCTCTTGTTGGCTGTCAGCACAGTCACAGCAGGACAATCTCTGGCAGGCTCCTGAGAACACGCATGCGGTGCCCACTCATGAGAGTGACCAGTGGAGGCTGATGCCTGGCCCTGCCCGGCCTGTCCACCACACCCTGAGCCAGGCATGGGGCTCAGTCAGCAGAGGAAGGGGAGCTTTTTGTGAATTGGTCCATCACAGGGGGCACCGGTCATCTCCCCAGAGTGGTGACTTTTGTGATTTGCCCACAGGTGCTTTCAATGCAGCGGCCTTGGCCAATGGAGGCTCACCAGTTGAGTTGCTGCTTGTGACCTCTTCTCTGCTTTCTGTCTTCTTGAGTAAGGTGTTAGATCCTGCTCTGGCTGACCTCCCAAGTCAACCTGAGGCCCTTTTCCCAGAGGACTCTGCCTCCCAGAGATCACCACCTCCACGGAACTTGTTGATCAGAAAGTCACAGAAAAACTTTGTGAGAGCAAGGCCACCACCACTCACCATGAAAACATAAGAACAGTTGCAATTCAGGACAACTGATGACATTCAGGTGTGCAATTGGTTTTGATTAAATTGATTTGTATAAACTCATATCCACATGTTACTAAAAATAAATCGTGTATAAACTATTATGCAGTTTCTACTGAAATTAAATATATGCATACCAGCAATTTCACTCCCAGGCATAGATTCAAGAGAAATGATTGAATGTGTCTACAAAAAGACATGTTAAAACATGTTAACACTCATTTCAACATTCCAAAACTTACTAGAAAGCAACAGTAATCAAAACAGTGCAGTACTGGCAAAAGGATAGACATGTAAACAATGGAATAGAATTGAGAGTCCAGATATAAAATCACGTGCCCATGGCCAACTGATTTTCAACAAGGGTGCCAAGACCATTCAGTGGAGAATAGTCTTTTCAGCAAATGGTGCAGGGACAACTGGATAACCATACCCATAAGACCGAAGTTGGACCTTACCTCATACCGTATACAAAAATTAACCCAAAATAGACCAAAAACCCAAATGTAAGAGCTAAAATGATAAAACTATTAGAAGAAAACGTAAAGGTAAATTTTTATGACCTCAGATATTGCAATATATTTTTAGATATAACACCAAAAGCACAAACACCGCAATGATTCGTCAGTGCAGGGCATAAAGTCAGCTCCCTTGTTCCAACAGCTTGGAGGTCCTGATGGGATCACCTGATACCTTGAGACCTCATTCCAGTCCAGAGTCCAGCCTCAATCTGCTTCATTCACACCTCACAGGTGTTGATACCAAGAGCATTGCCTAAAAAAACTCAGCTTCTGCCTCCTGGGGAAATTGACCTGTAATAATGAAGTTCAAGCTCAAGCAAAACTACTTGGTGATGGCATTCAGAATAGCGATTTCCTCAGGATTGGGGGCAGGGGTGTGTGGCTATTGTCTGGATCTGGACTTCCTGCCCCATCATCTTTGCTCCTCATGGGGCTGCACTACCTGGTCTGTTCATGGTCCACTCTGAGCTGCAGCTGTGTAGGCAATAGCCTTTACATTCCCAGGGCTGGCGGGGCCACAGTACTGTGCTCACACTGCAGACAGCTCCCAGCCACGAGTCCATGAGCCCTGCTCCAAATGTGAATCACTCACCTGTAAAATGAGGGAGTCAAATGGGATGTTTTCTTCTTTGATATGGCTTTTTTTTTTTTTTTTTTGCAAAAAGTTGTATAGTTTTATGAAAAAAGTTAAACTGTTCAGGAAAGCATAATGAAGAGAAAGAATCCTCCTTCTCAGGGATGACTGTCGTCAACAGTTTGGTAAATATCCTTCCTGACACTTCTCTATGTGGATTGTATACCTCCTGTGCCCTCTTCATAGCCCCTTGACCCATCTTTTAACTCCAGTTGTTGCCATGGCCACCAGCTGTGCAGGTATAACTCCACCTCCCCTGCCTATCTCTTGCTGTATGCCTCAGGGCACCCCTGCCACTGCAGGATGGAGCACTCACCACCATTCCAGTGCAGGTGATCGCTGGAAGGGAAAAGGAATGAACACCTCATAGGGCAACTCTTGACCAATGGGGCCTATATCTAGTGGATAAAAATGCCCCTGTCCTGTTCCTCAAGCGAATGATTCTAAGGCTGTCTACATAGTGCTCCAGAGAGTCCCAAATAGGCCTAGGCCCAGATGTTCACAGTAGTGATGATCCCTCTTTCTCTGTCTCTTTCTTCTCTAGCCTCCCTCTCCCGTTTCTGTGGTCTCTTTCCAAAATACACTGACCATGTACATGTAAGCCCTTGTCTCAGCCTGATCTGGGAAGAACCACAATCACTAAGACACTGTGTATGTGTGTGTGTGTATGTGTGTGTAAGTAAATCAATCAATCAATGTAAAATAAAGGGGCCATGCTATTCACATGGCTCTACAGCCTGAATTTGTACTTCCTATGCCAGGAGATATCTACATCTATATCCAGATTTCCACCATCTGTGTAGTACTTTATTGTTGTATGTGGATGCTTTACCTAACTTATTGGGTGGTTTCTAGGTTTTTAGTGCCTCACACAGGATTCCACCCTTGATGAAAATGGGTTGGCTAATTTCTAAAGTATTGTCTAGTTGGAACTAACCAGCCTATGGAGAGTAGGCCTCAAAAACCCCTCCCTGCTGGGTAACTGGAAATGTCATTTCTACTTCATCAGTTAATGCTATGCAAAGCTATGATCTGTGCCTGGGATTTAGCTCCAGCCCCCTGGGGAGCTCTGGAGTGTGAATTGCACTGTGGAGTTCATGCCCCTTGAGGCATCTATGAGCCCTGTAAGGTGTGGTCACTGGGCTCTGGCCGCGCATGGGATGGGCTCATAACCTCCTGGGTAAGTAGCTTCCCTTTTGGCCTGAGGACAATTCTGCAGTGAGGGAGGCAGCTGAGATCCCTAGCAGCCAACACTCCCAGCAGCTGGTAAGGGGCTCTGGGCCAAGCTCTATAGCTCCCGTGCCGGGCAGTACCTTAGTGAGAATTACATAGCACGTTCTCTTTACACTATGTGTGGATTACCAGTTTTCAGCCCACACTTTTGCTATACACTCAGTGGGGCTGCCTTGCCCGTTCCATTTCCAAATGTTCTGATGAAGATGTATTGGGATAAATTTCAATTAAGTGACAGCAAAATCAGCCCTTAAGACGGCATGCACCATTACGCTTATCAGAGTAACTAATAGTCCTTAATGAGCCACAGTCTCTCAAAGTTCCAGAAAAACCAGGTCCCAAAGACACAGGAGGTCCCTGAGGACTCTCATACCTCACCTGGACCATGGCAATTTTCCTCACTTCCCAGTCCCCTCTGGCCACTGTACCAGCATCCATTCTCCCTCCACCCTCCCAGTGCCTTTTGTGCCAGCCTCATTCCCCTCTGCTCACTTCTGCCCTCTAGTGGGCGCTCTGATGGGCTCTGATGGGCCCGCCCTCCGGGAAGCTCACAGGGTATCCCTAACCTGGAACTCTTGAGCTCTTCTGGGGCCTCTGGGAACTAGTGAAGGAAACATCTTCTCTGCTTTCACCTCTGGGCATTCTAAGGACTGCTGTTGCCGTCCTCTGAGCAACCTACCTCTCCTGCCTGTTTTTCCTCCCCATCGTGATCCGAGCTGCTTTGCACCTTTATGAGTTGAGGAGAGACCCAATGAGAGCAGTCTATTAAGAGAAACAGCTGCAGACCCTCCCAGTTCCATTCCTCTTTGCCTCTCTGAGATAACTGCACGGCCGGAGGAACAGCAGGGCTGACCTCGTTAGGCTGTGATATGGCTTCACGGAGCTAACATCCAGAAGGTTCCCAGGGCAGTGCCTGGTCTGTAGTAGGGACTTAATAAATGTGTGCTATTATTGGTATAAGGTCACCAACCACTATGTCTTCCTGCTTCTTATCAAGTTTCATGGTAAAAACGGATTTTCCCTGCATTTTTCTATTTTATATTGAATTAAAAGTATCTGAGTTGACAAGGTCAGCTTTGATGTGTGCTGGAATAAGTCTATCTTGGTCCTGATACAGCCAAGAAATAAGATGCTGGCAGGATGCAGCCGAGCTGAATGCAGGCATGTGGGTTTTACAGCTGGATAGAACCAGGTTGGAATTCTGGCTAAACCACTCCAGTCTCAGTTATTTCATGCAATATGTCCATCTAGGGCCATTGTAAGGTTTGAATGAGGAAGTAGAGCCTGGTGGTGGAGAGCGTAATAGGTTCTAGAGCCGGACTGCCTGGCCTGGAGTCCCAGTTTTCCACCACCTATCAATTGTGTAACTGTAGGCAAGTTACTTAACCTCGCTGTGACTCAGTTTTCCCCAATTACGAAACGAAATAATGGCAACATTTACTTTGTAGCAGATTGAGTTAACATCTCTGCTTGGCTTATGGTATTTAAAAACATGATGCTCTTTATGAATTACTATGTGATGAGTGAATGGCAACGTTAACTAACACATATTAGCTTTTAATTATTAGGAGAATCATGAAGATGACGATTATGTCATAACGATATATTTTATGAGAATTTAGTATTATATACAATGTTAGTTATTTTATATTTTTGCTGCAAATTTGAAACAATGCAAGTCTCCATGAAATAAAAATTAATCTAGAATTGGGTCATTTCAAAGCTGATAGGTCGAATGAACTGTGTACTGGTTTATGATGTTGCCACATGGCTGGTGATCAGAAGTACCTCCTTCCTTGGGATTTATGTTGAATCATGCAGCTTTGCATTATGTGATTTCTTCAGGAACAGTACCCTTTGCATAAAGTGCCACCACCTTGCATATAAAAGCCCTTGAACACTGCCTGCCACAGAGGAGGCACTCCACGAATGGCAATTACCATGCCGGTGTCCTCTGCAGTCAGGTACCAAGCAAATAGCTTGGGTTCCCACAAGCTTGGCTGGTTAAGTCCTCTTCCACCAAGCACAGCAGCTCCCTAGGAATGGGAAGATGAGTGATATCACTACCCTGATATTACCACTCAGCGTGGAGATTGCTTCTCTGCAACCCTCTCACCCGAGTCGCTGTGAGCCATCTCTGTGGCTTTGCTGTGAATACAACTCACTGCTTCCCTGACTGCATTCTTAGTGCTGTGACATTGGGGTGTGCCTTTTCTCTCACGATTGTTACTCTTGTCTCACAGAGCTCTAGGCATACAGTCAGTATGTAATACATCCTTACCAACTCCAAAATTTTTCAAAATTTGGAGCAAGAAAGGGGAATGGCTGTATGTGGCAAAATTACCCACTCTGGACATGTGCATGATTTGTCAATTGTGTTGATGTTCGCTTGTACATCTTCCTGGTGCTAATACATCTGAATGAGTGAGGGTGTTTATTCCCCTTCTGAATCTAGTTTCAGGTGGGGCACAGTTCAGGCTCCACTCTGAGTGTCCCTTCCACTCTTCATGGGATTTGAAGCAGCAGTTGAGGAGCTGGTTGATCCAACTGCCCTTCAGCCTGGTTCC
Source organism: Homo sapiens (assembly GCF_000001405.40). Taxonomy (NCBI): domain Eukaryota; kingdom Metazoa; phylum Chordata; class Mammalia; order Primates; family Hominidae; genus Homo; species Homo sapiens. The sequence goes on along the minus strand of NC_000020.11, from coordinate 21,046,934 downwards.
CCATTGTCTTAGTCTTCATTCCCTCTGGAGCTGCCCCTGAGGTGAGAATTTGCAGACAAATGTTGCCAGGAAGCACCAGTAGGGAGGAGAGCAGGCAGAGCAGCCCATGATAGGTGTTAGCAAATCAGGCTGCTGTGAGCAGCTGGGGAGAAGGTGCAGCACCTCTGTAGATGGTGTGAACATGCATCGGAGTTTTCCATCTGAGAGGTAAGAGTTGGGCTACTTATCTAGAAATTTCCATTTCCATTAATTAAGGGCTTCTCTGGAGTCAATAACTCCCTGGTACTTCATTCCTGCCCCTCACTGGCCACATGGGCTGAGCCAGGAAAGCCCCCAGGCAAAGAGTGACAGTAGCTTTCCGTAGGAAGTTGACAGCTGGTATGGAAATGATGAATGTCAGGGGGCTGTAGACAGCACTGATAACATCTGCTGCATAGGTTAAGAGAAGGAATGTGTATAGAGAAATAGTCTAATCATACTCAGGCTCTAGGATGTAGTGTTCTGGTTATGTATTGCTGTGCAACAGCATGCCAAAACTTACTGGCTTAATCTCCAACTACCATTTTATTCCTATTTATGGTTTCTGTGGGTCCGGAATTTGGGAAGTTTCTGCTGGGGTCTTCTTTCATGTGGTTGCCATCAGTAGGTGGCTGGAGCTGGCACAGCAGATGGAGACGGCCAGGAATTTCTTTCTCTCTCCATGTGGTCATCTGCATGGGCTTGTTTGGGCTTCCTCACAACATGGGGGCCTCTGGGCCCTTGGGCTGCAGTGGCAGCTGAACTTTGTAAGAGCAGGTATTCCAGCTCCTAAGATGGAAACTGCATTACTTTTTACGACCTGGCCTTGGAAGTCACTTCTGCTGGACTCTGTTGTTTATGAGTGACAAATAAGATGTGCAGAAATTTACAAATTTTGTAACTGTCTGAGGCTGTCTCCCCCACAGGCATTCTCAGCAGGCTGAATGTGTGTGTGTGTGTGTGTGTGTGTGTGTGTGCGCGCATATGCACACAGACACACATATGCACGCTGTGCATTCTTAGACGGAGACAGTATTGGCTAATGATTATCAGCGACTGCGGAAATGAAGGAAATCAGTGACACAATAAAAACTCTAATTGCTTGGCAACAGTGTTCAGGCCTCATTAGGTAGATTTGTAACAGCTTCAAGAGAAATAAACTCCTGTGTCATTAGATAACAAGGCAAGAAATAGGTTATTTCCTTTTTGAAAGGTATGAAAGCTTCCAATTGCCTGATATATTCACTTAATAGATTATTTTCTGTCATCTCAATTAATTGAATTTTATCCTTTGCTCTTAAAATGCTTTCCTTCAAAATAAGGGTATAAAGTTCAGAGAAGTCATATTTGAAATCATAGTCACAGAAGGCAGGAATCAACCTTATCTAGACAAAGTGCTCCAGGAGAAAATAAAAAACCCAAACCTTTAGAAGATCACCTTTCCCATATTCTTGGATGATTTGGCATTGAAATTGTATTTTGTGGAATATATCTTTGTAATATAGCACCCAATTTAAATTTTAAAATGAAAATGAAGATTATGTTTAGTTTCATCTAAATTCCTTCTATGGGGATTCCATCAAAGCTTTCAATGTTGAAAAGTTTTTTATTTTGGTTAAAAGGAACAAAAATCAGAATTCAGGTTTGGTTCCAATATAAATTTGGCTTGCAATATATTTGGTAGTAGCACACTTTCAATATGTCTATGACATATTTCATGCCTGCCCTCTCGGTCTTTATAAACTCTTGAGTCTTTCTTGATTATGCATAAGACACACACACACACACACACACACACACGCGCGCGCACGCGCACACACCCCTCGACACTACACAGTCAGTTATAATGTGATATAAAGCTCATTTTCCCTTTTAAGTGCTAAAAAGTGGAGCAAATCAATGTAGCAAACATACTCATAATATCTTACATCTGGATTTCCAAGGCTAAAATATCCCTGACCATACTGTTTATCACTTCATTCTTTCACTACGGGCTTTTAACTCCTCTCTCAGGAAAAAGAAATATGTGTATCCAATCCACTCCCTGCCTGCCTTGAATATGTCCGCTGGTTTGTTTCACCTGCCCATTTGTCCCAGCCCCTCAGAAGTTTAGAGATGCTGATGAGGGAGGCAAGCAGAAGTTAGCGCCTTGGGAAGTCTACAGCATGGACTTTGACTCTTTGGTGCCAAACAACGTCTCATGCAGAGGGTGTCTAACCCTCTCCTTTCTCACAGGTGAACACCTGGAGGGGTCTAGGAGAAGAGAGATATTCTACCTCCAGTTCTCATAATTCCAAGCCCTTGGCTGGAGCAATTTTCTTAGAATGATGGCTTTGTGAGAAGATGAAATGATCATCAAATTTGAAGCCAAAACCACCTTCTGGAGACATATATGGTGAAGCAAACACTGTCAGGGCCCACCCATGTCCCCTTGCCCTCACCACCCTTGCACATGCCAGTGCCTGTGTCAGGTAGAGAACCTGCACAGCATAAGCAAACAACAGGCCCGAAGTGCTCAGAAATGAATGCTACAGGGAGGGGCCCTGGACCATAGGCAGACAGGAGTGGGTGGATAAATAACGTAGCTTCCTCGGCCTTTGGGTGGGACAACTCTGAGGTGTGTTCGACATAGTCACCCAGATGTCCCCACTGGGCGCAAGCCCATTGCCCACAGTAGTGAAGCACTCATTCGTCTGCCTCATAGGGGTTTCCTTCTCTTCCCTGTCTCACTTCCCCAGCTTGCCTCCCCATCCCCCCAGCAGCCTTCCTGGAATCACCTCCCAAATAACCTACTTGCACCTAAATTTCTGTCTTAGCATCTGTTTTGGGGGAGCCCTGGTTATTTTCATCTCTGAGGGCAATGAAGTCTAATATTGGATGATTTCACTTAACAAAGATGGGGGCCCATCTATGTGGAACAGATTTGAATTGGCTGTGAATTCCTGGTCTCTCATTCCCCGGCACACCCGGTTCTGTCTGGTTTTCCTGTATGCTAAGACTTAGGCTCTGAGCTCAGACCATCCTGTGCTTGTTTCTAGGCTCAGTTACCAAGAACTGGACAACCCTGAGCAAGTTCCTTAACCTCTGTAATTTGTTTCCTAACCTGGACCTGGAGAGAAAAATAATTCCTAGATCATGGGGTTAGTGTAAAGAATGAATGAGATAATGTTTGCGAGAGGCTTAGTATAGTGCTAATACACAGAAAGTGCTTAATACATGCTAAAATACTATTATTATTACTACTACTGTTGTTATTATTATGCCTAACTTCCTAAAATACATTTCTGCACATAACTGAGAAGTTTGCTATTTGTTTCTTTGGCACAGAACCAAATTGGCAATGTGGGTTCAAATGGACACTGTGGTTCACACTGCTACGGAGATACTATCCAAGACTGAACAATTTATAAAGGAAAGAGGGCTGGGCATATTGGCTCATGCCCATAATCCCAGCACTCTGGGAAGCCGATGTAGGCGGATCACTTGAGGCCAGAAGTTCAAGACCAGCCTGGCCAACATGGTGAAACCTTGTCTCTACCAAAAAATACAAAAATTAGCTGGGCATGGTGGCAGATGTCTGTAATCTCAGCTACTCGGGAGGCTGAGGCAGGAGAATTGCTTGAACCCTGGAGGCGGAGGCTGCAGTGAGCTGAGATCGTGCCATTGGACTCCAGCCTGGGTGACAGAGTGAGACTCCATCCAAAAAAAAGAAAAAAGAGGTTTAATTGACTCACAGTTCCCCATGGCTGGGGAGGCCTCTGGAAACTTACAATCATGGTGGAAGGTGAAGGGGAAGCAGGGCACGTCTTCACAAGGCAGCAGGAGCAGGAGAGAGAGAGAGAGAAAGAAGAAGCACCAGACACTGATCAAACAACCAGATCTTGTGAGAACTCTCTATCACAATAGCAAGGGGGAAATTCGCCCCCATGATCCAATCACCTCCCACCAGGCCCCTCCCTCAACACATAGGGATTACAATTTGAGATGAGATTTGGGTGGGGACAGAGTCAAACCATATCACAATGAATGAAATTTTGGTTCAGAATATTCCTATGGCATAAAATGTCTAAATTCTAAAGCTTGATGTTGCAGATCTTAAACTGTATAGTAACAAGTCACTTAGTTCCTTGAAGAAAGTTTTATCTGACAAACTCTCTGGACCTCTTCTCCATATTTGCAACTGCATCTTCTGGATATTTCTAATTGTGTTCACAGTTCAGCAGAAGCAGTCTGCCTGACTGCTTGAGCTGAAATATCAATCTTCTCTTGCCCTCAGTGCTCCTGGTTCTCAGGCCTTCAGACTCAGACTGGAATCTATACCATTGGCTCTCTGGCTCTCAGGCCTTAGACCTGCACCACTGGCTTTCTGGGTCTCCAGCTTGCAAGTGGCAGACTTTAGGACTTCTCAGCCTCCATAATTGCATGAACCAATACCTTATAATAAATTTCACATCTCTCTCTCTCTCTCTCTCTCATCTGTTTCCACCTGCCTGCGTATCTATCTGTCTGTCTCTGCCTGTCTGTCTATCTATCTATCTATCTATCTATCTATCTATCTATCTATCTATCCATCCATCTATCTAATCTGTCTATCGTCTCCTATAGGTACTGTTTCTCTGGAGAACCAGGAATAATACAATGGGTGCCCTCTTTTCCTGGGGGTGCAGTGTGGAAGGGAGGAAGGTGTAGAGTGCGGAGATAGTGTGATGAGAGACCACATCTCTAGAGGTGTAAACTGTGAATTTAAATCCAGTATTTCTCTCTCCTAGCATCATTTGCATTTTAAGCTTCTTTCAAAGGAATTTCAGGCATCACTGATGTAGGGAGGAAGAAGCGGGGCCCAATGATATAAGCTTCCTCTGTCCTGGAGGTGTCAATAAAGGCCCAATAGTCAATAAAGGCCCATTTAGTGACTTACAAAGCCATGGCTAAGGCTGTGAGCCTGGAAGTGCCTGGGAGGGTGAACAGATGAGCTCCCCTTATCTCAGCATCAGCTCATGTGGGAGCTGAATTGAAGGTCAATACCTTGGATTCTCCTGCAGTAAGCACGTGTCTAGAGAGTATAGATTTTCTGCTATGTAAGCTCAACTCTCCTCTTATTGTTGGCCTGCATCAGGCCAATTTCAAACCCGTCAAAACATATTATGGAGAAGCCAGGCTTGAACAAAACCCTCCACATGGCACTTCCGGAATTTAGGGCTGATATTGTGCAGGGCTGATATTGTTCTTTCTCCTCCCCACCACCTCCATCCCCTCTCCCTTCATTTCCTGAGGACAACACATACTGACCATTGGTAGCATAGCAAAGATGTCACACTCCAGAAAGAGTCACACCCTTTTTAATTCATCCATTGCTACAGCTGTTCTAGAAAATGACAGGTGGTGGGTGAGCCACCTCTGCTCTGGGGACTCGCCACATAGAGTGCATTAAGCATGTTGGCTGCATCAACATGACTGGGCTACTGGGTGCCCAGATATGTGGTCAAATATTATTCTGAGTGTTTCTATGAGGGTGTTTTTGAATGTAATTATTATTATTATTATTTTTTTTTTGAGAGAGAGTCTCACTCCGTTGCCCAGGCTGGAGTGCAGTGGTGCGATGTCGGCTCACTACAACCTCCGCCTCCCAGGTTCAAGTGATTCTCCAGCCTCAGCCTCACAGGTAATTGGGATTGCAGGTGCCCGCTACCATGCCTGGCTAATTTTTATATTTTTAGTAGAGACAGCCAGGCTGGTCTTGAACTCCTGACCTCAAATGATCTGCCTGGGATACAATTAATATTTAAGATGAGAGACAGAGTTTAACAGATTCCCTTCCCTAATGTGGGTGAGCCTCATCCAATCAGTTGAAGGCCTGAATAGAACAAAAAGATGTCCTTCTCTCAGTAAGAGAGAATGTTTCCTGTATGATGGCCTTCAAACAGGAATATTGGCTTTTTTTCCAGACTTTGGACTCAAACTGAAATATCAGTTCTTCCTGGGTCTTGAGCCTGCCAGCCTTAGGATTGGAACTGTACCATCAGCTATCAGTCCCAGGCCTATGGACTTGGATAGTAAGTAAACATTGGGCTCTCCTAGGTCTCCAGCTTGGAGACCAAATCTCCACCCAAATCTCCACTCTGCAGATCTTGGGACTTGCCAATATCCATAATCATCTGTGTTTGTAAATCAGGTAATAAATCTTGTGTGTGTGTGTGTGTACACATATATATTCTTTACACACATGCACAAATATAAATCCTATTGGTTCTGTTTCTGTGGAGGACCCTGACTAATAAAACCAGCACACGAAATAGGCATTGAGCTCTTCCAGTGTTTTCCTTTGGTTGTCATGCATTCATTTATTTGTTCATTTATCAATTCACTCAATAATTATTCTTTAGTAGTATTATTTGGCAGACACTGTGCTTGGTGCTGAATATATAACAGTTAACAAGACAGAGTCTTTGCCTTCACAGAATTTGGAGTTTATGTATACCAATTAAAAATTGCCATGTATGCTACATAGCTCCCAACTACAAAACTTCTGGGGTGCACAACAATAAGTATTCATTCAGCTCATCTGTTTGTGGGTTGGCTGGGGGTAGGCTGATCTTGGCTGAGTGGCTCTGCTGGTCTTGGCTGGGTTGGATCACATACATCTGGGAGTTGGTTTAAACGGTCTTGGCTGGCAACTTGTATTAGTTAGCTTGAGCAACCATAACAAAATACCATAGACAGGGTGGCTTAAACAACAGGAATTTATTTCTCACAGTTCTGGAGGCTTGGAAGTTCAAGATCAAGGTGTCAGCTGATTTAATTCCCCATGAAGGCTTTCTATTCCTGGCTTGGAGATGGCCCCCTTCTTGCTGTGTCCTCACACAGAGGAGAGAAAGAGAAAGCTCTGCTCTCATTCTCTTTTTATAAGGACATGAATATCATTGTGGGGTCCCTGCCATCATGACATCATTTAAACCTAATTACCTCCAAAGGGTCCATCTCCAAATACCATCACACTGGGGGTTAGGACTTCAATGTATAAATTTTGGCAGTGCACAACTCAGTCAATAGCATAGCTCTACTTCCTGATCTGGATCTAGTTGGGCTTGGCTCCTCTTCATCTTGGATCTGCTTTTCCTGTGTCCATCTGGAACTCAGACTGAAGGGGAAGCAGCCACCTGGGGGAGTGCTCCTATGATGGCCAAGTTTCATGCCCAATCATCAAGAATTTCCAGGCTGTCAGTCATGTTGCCCCTGCTCACAGTCCATTTGCCAAACCAGTCACACGACCAAACCTGATGTGAAGAGGGTGGGAAATGTCCTGTGCTGCTCTAGTGGGAGGAGCTGCAAAGTCACATGGCAAAGGGAAAGGTGAAGAGTCAGGGCCATCTGTGGAGCCTATCACACCTGTGCTACTGGTGTTATTTCTCAGAGGGCCTTCAAGGCTCAGGTTGAAACTTCTACCAGAAGAGGTGGAGCATCAGCAAGTGGCTGGTTTGGGAGGTGGAGATAGTTGGTGTCAAAGCCATGGGCCTGCTGGTGATAATGGCCTCGGGGGGTCAGAAGGGAGCCTGGCAGGAATGGTGGTGGTGGATGGAAGAATGGATGAGCCTCAAGTCAGGGGAAAGGCTGAACTCACCTAACGATATGGGAAATTTGAGATGTCATTGTACATGCATGTGTGCACACATGCCTGTGCTTGGGGTGTGTGCCTGAGTGAGGGGGGCAGATTGAGAGGGACACTCCATAATACCTAGTTTGGAAAATAGTTTATGGAGGAGGAAAATGATAACAATAAGTCAGTTTCTTTCCACCATGGCTGTGTATCAGAATGTTAAAATATATGTATACCTGGCTGTGTCCTGCCTATAAGGCTTCTGATTCAGCAGTGCAGGGAGAGTTCTTTAATTTTATATAGTCAGATTAAAATTATTTACATGTAGTCATGCACTTCATAGCAATGTTTAGGTGAATGACAGATTGAATATACAACAGCGGTCCCATAAAATTATAATGGAGCTGCCCTATACAGGTGTACCATTTTTTCATCTTTTATACCATACTTTTTTTACTGTACCTTTTCTATGTTTAGATATATATTAGATACATAAATACTTACCATTGTGTTATAGTTGCCTACCGTATTCAGTACAATAACATGTTGTATAGGTATGTACCCTCAGAGCAATAGGTTATACCATATAGCCCAGGTGAGTAGTAGGCTATGCCATCCAGGTTTGTGTAAGTACACTCTATGATGTTTGCACAATGGCAAAATTACCCAGTGACACGTTTCTCAGAGTATATCCTCATCATTAATCAAGCTACAACTGTACTATGTTCTAAAACCATTTTTTTATTATACTTTAAGTTCTAGTGTACATGTGCACAATGTGCAGGTTTGTTACATATGTATACATGTGCCATATTGGTTGGCTGCACCCATCAACTCATCATTTACATTAGGTATTTCTCCTAACACTATCCCTTCCCCAGCCCCCAACCCCTCAACAGGCCCCACTGTGTGATGTTCCCCTCCCTGTGTCCATGTGTTCTCATTGTTCAGCTCCCACTTATGAGTGAGAACATGCGGTGTTTGGTTTTCTGTCCTTGTGATAGTTTGCTGAGAATGATGGTTTCCAGCTTCATCCATGTCCCTGCAAAGGACATGAACTCATCATTTTTTATGGCTGCATAGTATTCCATGGTGTCTACGTGCCACATTTTCTTTATCCAGTCTATTATTAATGGACATTTGGGTTGGTTCCAAGTCTCTAAAACCATTTTTTTTTTTTTTTTGAGATGGAGTCTTGCTCTGTCACCCAGGCTGGAGTGCAGTGGCATGATCTCGGCTCACTGCAAGCTCCACCTCCTGGGTTCACACCATTCTCCTGCCTCAGCCTCCCGAGTAGCTGGGACTACAGGCGCCCGCCACCATGCCTGGCTAAGTTTTTGTATTTTTAGTAGAGACGGGGTTTCACCGTGTTAGCCAGGATGGTCTCGATCTCCTGACCTCATGATCTGCCCGCCTCAGCCTCCCAAAGTCCTGGGATTACAGGCATGAACCACCGTGCCCGGCCTGAAACTATTTTTATGCATCTATTTGGGAAGGCTGAAAGTTAGAAACCAACAACTGACATTTATACTATTGTGATTATGTGAGTATTCAGCATTCACCAAAGTGTTAAATATAGGATAGTCTATTTCTTTTTCTACATTGCCAGTGCTTCTCAAAGTAGACTCTTCTTTGCTTCGAGGTAAAGCTGTAAGCTGGTGGGGGTGGGGGAAACACTGGTTTCCATACAGACCTTCAGCCAGTGGTTCTCACCCTGGCTGCACATTAGAATCACCTGGGGAGCTTCTAAAACTCCCAACACCCAGATTGCACCTGAGACCAATTAAATCAGAATCCGTAAGGTAGCATCCAGGCACTGTTGCCATGCAAAGCTCTCCACACATTCGCCTGTGCAATCAGGGTTGAGAACTACAGCTTTATTCCTCCAGTGCTCAGCTTACTTCTTGTCCCTGCCCCTCCTGGCCCTGCAGGGTTCTGCCAGGCAAGTGGGCCTCCTCCACCTCAGCGCCACCTGCAAGGTTCTTGCCTGCAGTTCCCCTAACCCCCCTTCTACCTTTTACTGTCTTCCCAAAATGTGTTGAACTCTCACTAACTGCTAAGGCTTCCTCCACTCCATTTGCTTTGCTGTTACTGGGTTTTATTTTTAAAAACCCATTATCACAATTTTAACTGGACCTCAGAATTTTAACTGGACCGCACAAAGTGTGCGCTCAATTTACCATCTTGAGCTGTAAAAGTTTAGGTTATTTAAAAATGTTTTTAATAGGCTTTTAAAAAAAGTTATCTGCCTGATAGTGACTCACAGCCATGAGCTTACTTGTGTGCATTAGCAAACGGTGGATACACCAGATTTCCTGAGATAGTTGTTGATGGTGCGTGATGATATACTCTGGCTGGATAATGTGGCTGTTTAACCATGGGGCGCTGTAGTAGGAGAAATACTGGTCTTGGACTCACAGAGTTGTGGGTTCTAATTCAGTTCTGGGTAAACTATCATGTAAGTTTTCCAAGGCTCAGTTTCATTATGTAGAAGATGGGGAGAATTACAGTTGCCTTACAGAGTCGTTGTGAGAATGCAATTATAGCTCCCAGAGGAAGCTCCTGGTGCAGTGCCTGGCACAGGCCATTTTCCTTCTTGCTTCAAAACTGCCTTGGGATGGTGCAAGTAAACTTGAACTTTCTGCCTAAATCAAATGTCTCCCTATTTTATTTTGTGGTCGTGCTGGTGTGCCAATGCAGGAAACTGTCTGCATTTTCAAAGGAAAAAATGCAAATATAGGAGGAAATGGTTCTGTCTTTATGGGCAGGGCCCAAAGGTTCCTCTCCTGTTTTGGGTTACGCAGGGCCATGCGTTAGTTGTGATAGCAATGTGATTTCTGTCCTTTTCAGGCAAACCTTGGTCATCTCCGGCATATGCTGCTCCTTCTATTGTTTGGTTTTCCAGTGATTCCTAAAATATTCTCTCTCCCATTCCACGTCATTATAAAGAACATTTCTGAAGGAAACTTGAGAGTATTTCTAACCAATATCCATAATTTTTTTATTTTTATTTTTATTTTTTTTGAGATGGAGATTTGCTCTTTCGCCCAGGTTGGAGTGAAGTGGCGCGATCTCGGCTCACTGCAACCTCCGCTCCCCAGGTTCAAGCAATTCTCCTGCCTCAGCCTCCCGAGTAGCTGGGATTATAGGTGCCTGCCACCATGCCCAGCTAATTTTTGTATTTTTAGTAGAGATGGGGTTTCACCATGTTGGCCAGGCTGGTCTTGAACTCCTGACCTCAGGTGATCCACCTGTCTTGGCCTCTCAAAGTGCTGGGATTACAGGCGTGAGCCACCGTGCCTGGCCCTTTATCCGTAATTTCATGAGGACCCAGCTGTTGCTGTTGGTAATATATTGATAAGAGCACAGCTTCACCAGAGAAATAATGCAGAGAGAATGCAACCTTAGCAAGCTGACATTTTGTATATTCTTCCAGCCAGGGCTGTGTAGACAGGAACAGAGATACAGTGAGGCAGGAATTGGGGCATTACCCAGACAGCCCAAATTCCAGTTTTTTGGTCTCAGTCATGGTCCTTCCTCTTTTTGCTCCTCAATAGCACTGAGTAGTGTTTAAGCCCAAAGCCTTTGGAGAAACAGAGGTTGGTTTGAATCCTTGTATGAGCTGTGGGCATCTGAGCTTTGTCTGCAGCCTGGACGTGGCAATCCTTATCCCATGAGGGTGAATGAAGATCACAGCACAGGGCTTGGCACATAGTGCTAGATAGTGCCCAGCATCACTGTGCTACTGAATGGGGCCAGAGAAGAAAAGCAGCGGGAAGCTGGGTGCGGTGGCTCAGGCCTGTAATCCCAGCACTTGGGGAGGTCGAGGCAGGAGGATTCCTTGAGCTCAGGAGTTTGAGACCAGCCTGGGCAACATGGCGAAACCCCGTTTCTACAAAAAAAAAAAAAAAAAAAAGTAAAAATTTAGCCAGAGGTAGTGGCGTGTGCCTATAGTCTCAGCTACTCAGGAGGCTGAAGTAGGAGGATCGCTTGAGCCTGGCAGATTGGGGCTGCAGTGAGCCGTGATCATGCCGCCGCACACCAGCCTGGGTGACAGAGCAAGACCCTGTCTCAAAAAAAAAAAAAAAAAAAGAAAAAGCAGAGGGAAACATGAATCAGATAATTTTCCTATGTAAGAACTGCTGAAGAAATGGTTAAGGAAGGAGACTTCACAGCTAACATAAGGTGTGGGGATTACCTCTTGGTCTTAGAAGCTGGTGTAAATTCTGTTTAGGAAAATGGGAGCTCAAGTCTTATGTCTAATTAACGACACTGTGGACTTTCTTATGCACAGCTCCATTTTGTCCTCAAACATCCTCATGGAGCCAGGATGGCAGGAATCACCTGCATTGGCCCCAGATTTTAGCAGCATCAATGGCAGCTGATCTTGCCCTGGAAAAATGAAGAGCAGCACGAAGACTGGAATGCTCATGTCTTGATCAAGTGTAATGCGCAGGAAAGTTAACCTGACACATTTGATGAAATGGATCATCATCTTGGGGCTGGGGGTAAATTAAGCCCCTGGATAAGTCAGGGAAGTGACATTCTGTTTTCTTTCTGAGTGACTTTAGAGGTGGCTACGTATGGATCAAAAAAAGGAGTAGAGAGAAGTGAGTGATGCATCAGCCTCTTGTGTCTCAGGGTGCTTGGATCATAATCTGAGGGGGCCTCAGCTTCATTCGTTCTTCCAGGAGCACCAGTGACCAGGTGTTTCTGGAGCTCAGGCTCAAAAGTTCACCACCTCTAGGTATGCAGAATGCTGAATCCACAGAGTGGATATTGAGCTTCAGACTGCATGGTCAGTGACAACCATTTGTGCTGAAAGATGACCCTGCTAGCCAAGGGATGAGGAGCAGACAGGGCAGTTGAGGCTGAAAGCTAATGAGGGACCAACTTATCCACTTGGTGGGAGAAAGAGTTTGTCAAGGAGGTCGTGGGGGTGTGTGTGTGATGGTCCCTTCCTATTCACACCAATTTTAAATTTCAAAGAAAGCCTGGTATTGTGACTTATGGAGAGACTTTCACCACTGTTCACACATTCCTTCTTTGCATGGCTTAAAATACAACTAATTAAAAATTGATTTTAGTGAACAGATATCCATCTGAGAACAGATAAATGCTTCAGCAAGGCCGTTCCCTATCAAGTATGAGTGAGCGTAGCTGGCTTGTTTTTCTAGAGCCTCTGAGGAACCTAGCAAGGGGGTTGGGGTTTTGTTAGACCCTGAAGTGGCTGCAGGGCCTGGAGGTTGTGTATTGAGGCTGCAGGACACAGCGGGACTGGGCTGGGTGGGTGGAGGGCTGTCTACACCCCAAGCGAAGATCAGGAGGTTAAGTGGCTGTCAACACGTGTGCGTGCGTGTGTGTGTGTTGTGCGTGTGTGTGTGGCGGTGCTGATAGTGGTGGAGGTATGGAATATGGGATGAATAGGCAAAAGTGAGACCAGGAAGCAGAAGTAAGGGAAGAAAAAAAAGAGAGGTGGCAAGAAACCCCATTTATTCAACATATTAATCACCCACTGTGTACAAAAGAGCATTCCAGGTCCTTTAGGGCTGTAGTTCTCAAATCTTTTTAAGTAAAAAGATCTTGTTGGGTATGAAAATCCTATTATATAGAGGGCCAATGCATATATAATAATTCATGTTTTACTACTTCTTGACTAAAAAACAACATAATGTCCAAAAGTTAAAGCACCCCTGGTTTAGGCCCACATGTTAGAAACACTTCATGGGTGGGGAGAAATTAATTAAATGCAAATGTTGTAATAATTGTAATAGGCAACGTTTCTTAAATGTTTACTATGTTCCAGCCTCCTGCTAATTGCTTCATATGGACTGTCTCATTTAACCATCACGATAGCCCCCTGAATAATACCTGAAGCAGGTATCATTTCTATGCCTGTTTACAGACAAGGAAATTGAGGCTCAAAGATAAGTAACTTCCCCAGGTTTTCACAGTGAGGCAGAGACAGCTATGTGATGGCTAAGGCCCATTTTTTTCTTCCTCTTGAGCATCTAGCTAGAATATATTTCCTCATTGTCTTTGCAGTTAGATGTGGCCACATGACAGTTCTGACCAATGGACTATGTGCAGAAGTGGCTGTGAAAGCCTCCTCCACGATCCTCCGCATGCTCTGCCCTGATCTGGCAGCTGACTGCAGAGGGCCCAACGAGGAGTCTGAGGCCCAGGGAATGGTGCAGCCATAAGATGCAAGGAAACTAGAGTCCTGAATGATCACATGGAAAGCACCTCCCAACCAGAAACATCCACTTTGGATTTTGTGTGAGCAAGAAATAAACGGTTTTAAAAATTTAATTAATTAATTAATTTTTATTTCATTAGCTTTTGGGTTACAAATGGCTTTTGGATACATGAATAATTCTATAGTGGTGATTTCTGAGATTTTTGTGCACCTGAGCAGTGTACACTGTTCCTAATATGTAGCCTTTTATTCCTCCCCTACTCCAGCCTCCCCACCTCTGAGTCTCCAAAGTCCACTATGTCACTCTGTGTGTCTTTGTGTCCTCATAGCTTAGCTCCCACTTACAAGTGAGAACATACGTATTTGGTTTTCCATTCCTGGGTTACTTCACTTAGAATAACGGCTTCCAGCTCCATCCAAGTTGCTGCAAAAGACACTATTTTGTTCCTTTTTATGGCTGAGTAGTATTTCATCGTATATATACACACCACATTTTCTTTATGCACTTGTTGGTCGATGGGGACTTAGGTTGGTTCCACATCTTTCCAAATGTGACTTGTGCTGCTTTAAACATGCATGTGCGTGTGTCTTTTTCATATGACTTCTTTTCCTCTGGGTAGACACCCAGTAGTGGGATTGCTGGATCATATGGTAGATCTACTTTTAGCTATTTAAGAAATGTCCATACTGTTTTCCACAGAGGTTGTACCAATTTACATTCCCACCAGCAGTGTAAAAGTGTTCCCTTTTCACCACATCCACACCTACATCTATTGGTTTTTGACTTTTTAATTATGGACATTCTTGTATGAGTAAGGTGGTATCTCACTGTGGTTTTAATCTGCATTTCCCTGATGATTAGTGACGTTCAGCATTTTTTCATATGTTTGTTGGCTGTTTGGACATCTTCTTCTGAGAATTGTCTATTCATGACCTTTGCCCACTTTTTGATGGAATTATTATTTTTTTTTTTGCTGATTTGTTTGAGTTCCTTGTAGATTCCGAACACTAGTCCTTTGTCAGATGCATAGTTTGTAAATATTTTCTCCCTGTCTGTTGGTTGTCTGTTTACTCTGCTGATTATTTCTTTTACTGAGCAGAAGCTATTAAGTTTAATTAGGTCCCATTTATTTCTTTTTGTTTTTGTTGCATTTGCTTTTGGGGGCTTAGTCATGAATTCTTTGCCTAGGACAATGTCCAGAAGGGTTAAGAAATAAACTTCTATTGTGCTAGGTCGCTGAGATGTGAGGCTTTGTTTGTAATAGAAGCTGGTATTATACACCCTACCTATTTGTGTAGTTTGCAAACAGTGGAGCCAGGATTCACCCAGGCAGTCTGTGAGCTGAACTACCATGGCATACTACACATAGACAGTGACAACAAGAAAAGGAAGTAGATGTCTTTCTTAAATCTTCTTATTCCCATTCTTGGCACTTGTAAGAAAGGGCCTCATCCCATTATTTTGGCCTTTAAAAAGATGGTCAATTGTACACATGAGCAGATGCAGGAAAGGGAGGGGATGGCACTGGGAATTTGGAAAGGGAAGTGGGGTGCACAAAGGGGACTGAGGTGAATTGTGGTCAAGAAAGGTGAAAAGAAGGTACATGCTGGGGTGAGTTGCAGTTCAGTGTGACACCTGGTGGACCATGGGGCTGGGATAACTCTTTTTTTTTTTGCTAAATGATTTCCATTCTTTATTGAGATTCCCTGTTTGTTTTTGATTATGGTATTAAAAAAATCCTTTGAACATATTTGTAATAGCTGCTTTAAGCCCTCACCTGCTAATTCTAAAAATACTGTCATCTCTGGGTCGTTTCTATTGACTCATTTTTCTTCTGGTTATGGGTCACATTTCCCTACTTTGCTTGTCTACAGTTTTTGGATTGTATGCCCTTGAGTTCTGGATTTTGTTGAGCATTGAGTGTAGTTCTGGCAGGCAGTTAATTTCCTTGCCAATGAGTTTGATCCCTTGGAAGCTTGTTTTTTGAACTTTGTTAGGGTGGGTCTAGAGTAGTCTTCACTTTAGACCTCTAGTTGAGTCCTACTCCCAAGGTGTGGCTTTTTGGGAGTATTGACTCAATGCCTGGGACATTCATTGATGTCTCTCCACTCTAGCTGTTAGAACTCCAGCGTCTCTCTATCCTCTGTAAACTCCAGAATCCCCATCCAGCACATAGCTCCCCAGGGATTGTTCTCATGAATTTTTTCTTTGCACAGGTGCAATTTAGTCTTGAGCCAAAGGTTTAAGAGGATCTTTATGCAGATTCTGGAGCTCTTTTTGTGCACAACTCCATCCTTTTCAGTCTCCTGATCTCATACTTCAGCCATGTCAGCAGATCCAAACTGTGATGTTTGACTCCTCCTCTCAATGCAGCCACCATGGTCTGTTTGGTCTCCATCTCTCTGTACTGTGGTCTGGACAGTGTCTCCAGGTAGACAGCTGGGCCATCATTGGTCTCACCTTGTGTGTTTCTCTTCCCTCAGGGCCACAGTCTTGTGTTGCCTTCTAATGTCTAAAAATAGTTTTGTTAGTGGCCTACAGTGGAAGAGATAGTCTGGAATTTGGCATGCTGTCATGGCAGGAAGCAGAAATTATCTTCCTGTTGATCTGATGTTCTTAGATTTGGAAAGAGTCAGTTGCCTCTTCTACCCTCTTCATACCTACTCAATATCCGTTTGCAAGCAGGCTGGAGGGTACTTCAATGGGGGTCTTGAGGGAGATGCCCTCTATGCTGTGGATGGGATCAGGACCTCAGAGGGGCAATGAGTGTATATATCAAGGGGTTATGCCCTGTTGGCCGGAGTTTCTTGCTCAAGCCCCTTCACTTGTCAGGATGCAGGCAGCCTTTTTATTTTCCTTTTCTTAAATAGGGGAGTAGGAAAGAGCTAGGAGGAGTAGAAGGTTCAGACCAGGAGATCTGAGGACCATACCCAGTCACATCAGTTATACACTGTGGGATACTGGACCAGCCATTTAGACTGTCTTGACTTTCATTTTCTCATCTGTGAAGTAGGAGAAATGGTCATAGTGCCATACAACATCAGTGAGCTCATGGGTGTGAATGCAGCTTGTAAACCAGGAAGCCTCATAAACATGAAGAGTTTTTTCTCTCAAGGAATCCAGGTGCAGTATGTAGTGTGTGATTTGCCCAGGGCCCCAGGATCCCTTTGGAGAAATCCCAGATTGTGGAAAGAAGCAACTGGGAGAAAGAATAAGGGAGACATTTCCTTTCCCATCAGCCCCCCTCAGGCCTCATTGGTCCGTTTGTCCCTCAGGCCATAGTGAAATCACATGTGTCCCCTTGGGTGTGTGTGTAGTGGTGGTTATTGGCCCAGGAAATAAGCAGGCAGCCCTGAGGCCTGCGATTGCCTTGAGAGGCTTTCTGAGGTCTGCCTGGCCTGTGTCTGGATGCCAGGGCTGCTGGTCCCCAGGGTTCAGGCTGGGTGGCTTTGGGGACCTGCAGGAGAGGAAAGCCCTTCTTTCTGTGAGGTTCTGGCTTCTCTCCCATCCACCCACCCTACCCCTTAGGCTGCTGCAGAAGGTCAGGTATACAACTGTCTGAGAGGCCGGGTTGGGTAATCTCCTGTGCTCTGAGGCTGAACAATAGGGACCACCAGGGAGGGGCGCCAGTGTGGCCTCCAAGGCTGACCCCAAGGCTTTATCAGCAGGATAAGGCCATATGTCCTCATTAATCCAACATTTGGGTCACAGGGTGAAGAAGCGTATAGAGCCTGGCTAATGCCATGGCTTAACTCCCCTCCCAAATTATAATTATCAGTGGCAGGGGAAATTTAGTTATTAAGAGATGGTAGCGGGGAAGGCAGAAAACAAAGTAGATTTTGGAAAACAAACACATTTAATTTGCATGTAGTGTTCTTGAAAGCATAATGGGTTAATTTCAACATCACCCTCCCTTGCCCCAAGATTAAACAAGAAAGAGGGGGTGGAGTGAGAGAGGACAGTTTCTTTATGGAACTTTAGACTGTGATGTGGGATTTTGTGGTTTTCTCATTAACCTTTCTGAACCCAGGTTAGACCCACACCCCACTCCCAGTTGCATTTTTTTGGTTGTTGTTTCAAAAGTGAAATTTGAATCCAACTTAACATAATTGGACACCATTCCTAGTGTTCACAACGTAGCCCCGGAGCGGCTAGCTGGCATTCTTGGCTGGCCAAAAAATAAATAAACAAATAAAATCTGCCTTTGCAAATTAAAAAGATAATCAGGACATGAAGAGAATAAATAATTGAGTGGCAGGTTTTCAGGTCTTGTTATTTTAATTATGAAATCACTCTCCTAAAGTTCACTGATACATTTTCAAGTTCATTCTCCACAGAGTGGAAGTTCTACATTCCAGAACAAAAAAAAAAAAGCACTTTCCTCCCTGCTTGATTTAACAGACAAAGGTGAACTGGCCAAAAACCAGTTGTTGTCCCCCCCACTGCCACCCCCACAAAGCCTGAGCTCTGTGAAATGTTCTGACTGGTGCCGTGCATGTGCTAGCAAATGGCAGCAGTGGGAGGGTGGGGGCTTCGGGATGTGTGGGTGGCCCAGGGCCCCAGCCAGAGGCATCTGAGTGTAAACAGATGCACGGTTTGCTGTGCCTTTCCTGAAGACACAAGAAGACAAGCTTTGAGCTACTTGTTAAGCAGGTAGAAAACCTAGGATTTCTACTTAATTATAACCAACATCCTTCCATTTTGGGAAAGATTCACCTTTGCTAAATTAGAGACTTGATTTGTAGAGTAGCCAGCAAGGGAATGAACAGGGACTGATGACTCTGCCACCCAAGGCTCCACCATCACGAGAGATGGCTCTGGAGTGGCAGCATCTCAGTCACTTTTTTTTTTTTTTTTTTTTTGAGACAGAATCTCCTTCTGTTGCCCATGCTGGAGTGCAGTGGCAAGATCTCGGCTCACTGCAACCTCTGCCTCTCATGTTCAAGCGATTCTCCTGCCTCAGCCTCCCAAGTAGCTGGGATTATAGGCACCCACCACCACGCCTGGCTTATTTTGTATGTTTTTTTAGTAGAGACGGGGTTTCGTCATGTTAGCCATGCTGGTCTCAAACTCCTGACCTCAAGTGATCCACCTGCCTCGGCCTCCCAAAGTGTTGGGATTACGGGCATGAGCCACCACTCCCAGCCAGGATCTCAGTCACTTTTGAAAAGGCTGTTCCATTTTCTGTTTGACTGTCCACCAAGCGCATTAGAACAAATTGCACAGTATGCACTACATTGCTATAAATTTCCCAACTCTTTCAAAATGGTTTCTTCCTGAGCCCTTTTCTCCTGGGCCAGTTGGGTGGAGCAACCCCAGGAAGCAAATGCTGTGGCAGAAGCGAGTGTAGCCTTCAGGCTCCCAGGTCCCTGCTGGCACATGTTGGTACAGCACTTTCCCGAGCTCTGCCTGTAACTGGTAAAGGGGAAAGTATTCAAAGGCTGAGAGCGACAATGCAACACTGCAACACTGAATTCCAGAGAAGCGAGTGGACATCGAGAAAAGACGTCTTGGCCAAAACTAAAACTTGCCCAATGAAAGGGGGAAGAGGGATAGCTGTGGCGCTTTGAAAACATCACCTTAGTACGTGATGAATGTGAGTTCTTCTGTGTCCAGAATGTCAGATTAGTGGCTTGGGATCCTTATTAAATAGTTCTGAGTCATAAGAAAGCTCATATACTAGTGTGAAGATACTGACTAAAAGAATCGTGATGAAGCAGCCGTAGAGCTAAGCAAATGTGCCAATCACTTCATGAACTAGAATGAGGTGACCAGGGAGGGAGATTTAGCTGGGAGAAGACTAGGTTGGGGTACAGCTCGGGGTCTGTCTCTGAGGAAGAACGCACCCACCCTATGACACGTCACCATGATTGGAAAGGCGACAGCAATAAATACAGGTTACCTTTAATTTGTCATTAACTTGTTTGCTTTCCTGAGGGTGTACTATGTGGCCTTAGGTACCGTGAAATTCCAAGATCAAAAACATGGCCTCTTGCCAGGTGCAGTGGCTCAGGCTTGTAATTCCAGTGCTTTGGGAGGCTGAAGAGGGAAGATTGCTTGAGCCCAGGAGTTTGAGGCTACTGTGAATCATGATCAGGGCCACTACGCTCCAGCCTGGGTGACAGCAAGACCCTGTCATTTTTTTTTTCAATTTAAACAATTTTTTTTTTTTGAGACGGAGTCTCGCTCTGTTGCCCAGGCTGGAGTGCAGTGGCGCGATCTCCGCTCACTGCAAGCTCCGCCTCCCGGGTTCACGCCATTCTCCTGCCTCAGCCTCCCGAGTAGCCAGGACTACAGGCGCCCGCCACCACGCCTGGCTAATTTTTTGTATTTTTAGTAGAGACGGGTTTTCGCCGTGTTAGCCAGGATGGTCTCGATCTCCTGACCTCGTGATCCGCCCGCCTCGGCCTCCCAAAGTGCTGGGATTACAGGCGTGAGCCACCGCGCCCGGCCCAATTTAAACAAATTTTAAAAAGACCCACATGGCCCCTGATTGTTGGGACTCATGGTAAGGACAGAAAAATTCATCCTCATCATCCTCCTCCTTCATAAAAATTACCGAGCATTCACGTATGAGGCTTTATATATTTCAGCTCAATTGATTGCCACAGAAAGCCCCTGAAGTAGGCAGTCTTTATATTCCCATTTTATTTTAGAAATGTGGAAAATGAGGCTGAGAGAAGTACAGCGTTAGCAACTGCGGAGCCTGGATCTGCAGATACAAGTCGACAGATCACTAGGCAAGATGTGGTAGGGGCTGCTGGAGAGGTAGAAATCAGCTGCAAGGGTGGTTGAGAAGTGGGAGGTCAGTCACATTTGGGTAAGGAAAGGGCAGGCTTCAGGGAGGAGGTGGCAGTTCAGTGGGGGCTGGGAAAGGTAAGACGGATTTCATCAGGTGGGGACCAGGGTCTGGCAAAGGAGGACAACTGATGGTAGACACTTACGTGGGTGAATGCTCAGCTAGGCCCTGGCGCTCTGTTTCTGAGGACACTGTCCTAGCGCTAGGGAGGGAGGCCAGGCAGCCTTGCTGTCCGACATGTCCTGTCCACATTCAGACTGACATTACCAGTGATCACATCATATCAAAAGGTGAGTTTCTGTAACTAAAACAAGTATTATTCAAGATAATATCTACATGGAAGAAAAGGTAAGTGGAATGTTCCCCAGATGGCAGTGTTGAGAGTATGTTTGGGGAAAGGGTGAATAAGGCTTCCTATGGGTGAATATTTGACAATAAAGATAGAAAAGGAAGAGATAATTAACTACAGTGAGAATTAACAGCTGGGGGCCTGTGGGGCAGAACTACGATGCACCCAGTATCTTTACATACCTTATGTCATTTTATCCTAAATAATATCTACAAGGTAGGGTAGAAGGGTAAAAAGTATCAGGTAGATATTATTGCTGCCATTTTATTGATGCACAAATTAAATACCAAAAGATGAAGTAGCTCACTCAACACCACGTGGCAGGTTCAGTGCAGGTGCCGGAGCATTGAGCCCAGGCCTCCCTCATTTCAAAGCCTGAACTCTTTCCATTATACCGCTAAAGCCAACTCATAGCACATAGCGAATGCCAGGCAACTAATTTTTTTTTCATTTTTATTTTATTGTGGTAAAATACACATGATATAAAATTTACCATCTTTTCCGTTTTTAAGTGTGCAGTTCAGTGGTATTAAGTGCTTTCTTATTGTTGTGCAACCATCAGCACTATCCATCTCCAGAACACTTTTCCTCTTGTAAGACTGAACCCCTATACCCATTAAACAATGACTCCTATTCCCCCCACCCCCCAGCCCCTGGCAACCACCATTCTACCTTCTGTCTCTATGATTTTGACTATAAGTATCTCATATAAGTGGAATTGTACAATACAGATACCAAAATCCATGGATACTCTAAAGTCTCTTATATAAAATGGTGTTGTATTTGCACATACCCTACATACATCCTCCTTAATACTTGAAATCATCTCTAGATAACTTATAATACCGAATACAATGTAAATGCTATGTAAATAGTTGTTAAACTGTTTTTTATTGGTATTATTGAAAATATTCAGAAAAAACAATAAAAAATAATACAAATAAAAATAGTGAAATAAGCCAATTGCAAAAGGACAAATACAGTTGGCCCTCCATTTCTGTAGGTTCCATATCTGTGGATTCAACCAGAGGTGGTATTTCATTGTGTTTTGATTTGCATTTCCCTAATGATTAATGATGATGAGCATCTTCCATGTGCTTTTTGGCCATTTGTTCATCATCTTTGGAGAAATGACTATTCAAGTCCTTTGCCCATTTTTAATCTGGTGATTTTTATCATTTGCTCTTATTTTTAACCCACTTTCAAAGCCTGTATCCAAGAGGTCTGGGGAGGGACTGTGGTATCTGTAGATAGAAAAAGCATCACAGATGTTTCTGAAACAAGTAAAGTTTGAGAGCCGCTGTGTCACATGGCAAGAGTGTTGTCTCTGCCAACTTAATTAAACATGCACATATTCATATGAATGATCCAATGTTGTCCAATTCCTCTCTATGTCAAACAGAGTCGCTATGATTGTGTTTTGGTCATGAATTGTCTAGGCCTCTTCTTTCATCTTTAGACAACCTCAAGGTTAATGCTGGTCACTAGTGGCTGAGGAGGCTGAGCAAAGAAGAGGGAGCTAATGTCTAACGAAGTAAAGAGCTTTAGTTAGGAAAAGGCTGATGCTGTTCTCCGCAGTGCTGTGAACTTCATGTTTTTATTCTTCTTGGGACCACACTGCATGAGTGGACAAAGAACAGACTTCAGGAACCCTGAGGGGAAACACCATATCCAAGATATGACCAAGAAGGAGCAGTCAGTCTAGGTCTAATAGGTGGCTTCAGCAAGTGGATTTCAAATAAGACCAAGAGTGCTAGGAAACCAGGAATCCAGAGGTGTCAGTCAACCAGAGATCTGTTGGTTGCAAGTGACAGAAACATACCTCTAACTGACTTGGGACAAAAAGGCACATTGGTGTCTCATCTCATGGGGAAGGCCCATGACATATACTCTACTGGTCTCTTTTTTTCTCTGTCTCTCTGAATATCAGACTGGAAGGGAACACAGCTGCTGAGAGGTCCTTGTTGATAAGTCTAACCATCTGTCTCTCCTAGGCTTTAGTTTGAAAATTCCAGGCCAGGATTCTGGTTGGTGTGATTTGGGTCACTTGCCTGTTGATGGATCAGTCACCTGTGGCTGGGTTAGGGGTGGACTAAGACTGTCAGTCCATGAGAGAGCCCTGTGGTTTGGTTGGGTGAGGAATAGTTTCTCCCAAAGAAAGGAGGTCCTGGCTGCTGGAGTGAATGCACACACATAAACATGAGAAGGACGTGTAGGGAATGGGGACAGAGCACAGACAGCATTTACTATACACAAACATACACACACACACACAGACACACACTCATTTAGTCCTCAAAATATTCAAAAGTGTCATTTCGAATACAGTTACCTGTATGGTTAAGAGCAGGCTTTGTCAGATGGTCTGGTGTAATTGGTAGGTAATGAGGCACACCAGGAGAGTCCTAAATACACTATCCAGTCTCCACTGCACCTGAACATGCTTACCACAATTTTGGTTGTTTAAGAATATTAAAAAATTATTTCGGTGGTTCAATAATAAAAGGGAATTTTTAGGAAAATGGGCCTAAGTCTTAGACTCTGTGCATATTTGCCTACACCTTGAGTGTCATATTTAGCTCATGATTCTGTAGGTTGTCTGGGCAGCTCTTCTGGGCTGGGTTGTCCCGGCTGACTCCTGTTGTACTCTTGCCAATGTACATCTGTGGGGTGTCTTGTGACTGGATGACCAAAGATGGCCTCATTCGCAAGTCTGATGGTTGGGCAGGTTGTTAGTTCTTATCCATGTGTCTCTCATCTTCCAGCAGGATAGCTCGGGCTTGTTCACATGGTTATCTCCAAGTGCAGCAAGAGGGCAATGCTAAATGCTTTTCAAGTCTCTGCTTACATCATATGTGTTGATATCCACTGGCCAATCAACAGAGTCCTATGGACAATCTCAGAGTCAGGTCTGGAGGGCACTACCGGGGGCGGGCTTGGGTTACTTCCTTATCATAGGTGGCCACGGCACATATTCAACAGCTCCTTTAATGGTCAGCTTTCCCTATATTTTCATTTGACTTTTAATTCAGTTATGAGATTAACCAATTTTGAGATTATAATATTTTATTTCATTAATTTTTTTGAGATAAAAATCTCGTTCTGGTACCCAGGCTGGAGTGTAGTGGTGCAATCACAGCTCACTGTAGCTTCAACCTCCTGGACTCAAGTGATCTTCCCCGTCAAGCCCCACAAGTAGCTGGGACTACAGGTGTGCACCACCAATGCCCGACTAATTTTTTAAATTTTTTGTAGAGAGAGGGTCTCACTATATTGCCCAGGCTGGTCTTAAACTCCCGGGCTCAAGTGATCCTCCTGCCTTGGCCTACCAAAATGTATTTTTTTAATTAAAAAAATAAAAAATAAGAGTAGCCTTTGGATCCCAACCAGATAAGGACTCTTCTCACCTGGCATTAGATCCCATCATTCTTCACTCAGAAGGGTTGTTTGTCAGGCATTTCCTTTTTCTGTGTGCCTTGGCTGAAGATGTATGAGGAGCTCACATCAATGTGGTTGTTGTTCTGTCAATGAACAGACCAGAATTTGCAAAACAAAATCATGTGGAAGCAAGGTCACTCAAGGTTGGTGAGCGATACTTCACTCCCTTAGGTATGCCCTATATTTTACCCATGATTACTCCTGAAAGTAAATTTTTGGATTAAAAAAATGGACACATTTTAACAAATGTGTAACCAGTAACATTCAACAGGAGGGGTAACCCAAAGAAACTCTTTATGATGCCAAATGTAGACCCAGGTAGTAAGTGCCTTCTTTTTCTTTCTCCCTGATTAAGCGCAAATATATATATATATATATATATATATATATATATATATATATATATATATATATATATATATATAGTCTCTTCTTGAGGAGTAGCAATGTTCTGGTGCTTTCCCCATCAGGAGGAGCAGTTTCTGCTTATGTGCCCTTGTCCAAAACTTGAACGTGTATTTTAAAAATGAGACACCCCCACCCCACCTCTCCCAAACACACAACCCTCAGACTTTACATTTCCCGTTTTCTCTATGTTGAGTCAATGTACCTACTAGTTGTGGAGCTGGTGTTCAGGAATAAATGATACACTGTCCTCAGTCAGCTTTGAATCTGAAGTCTGGGTCAGCAGTTAGGATCAGAGCAGGGGGTGGACCCAGGTCACCTGCACACAATAACATATTTACTCAATGGTAAGCTGGTTTGGGCTATTACTAGAGCAAATGCCACCTGGTTCTGGAAACATGGCAGGTGGCAAAATCCTTGCCTATGTTTAAGGACTGGCTTGGGAAGTAGGGAAAAGACTGAAGCTTAGACAGGCCAGGCAACTGTGGACTCTACAGCCCTCAACTATCCTGGCAGAAATGAGCCAGTGAGCTTAAGACCTCAGTCTGTGACAGACAGCTCCTTATTTGTGAGTAGTTAATGTTTCTTAGCAAGCACTTCTAAAAGAAATTGGTATGTAATGACAGCACTCACTGGAAAACAGGCCGATTAGAAAATGCACTAACTTATCTGGTATTCATTTGAAAAGTAAATGGATGCACGGCAAGGTGAGAGTTCACTATCAATTCAAATATTTTCCCTTAACGGGCTCTAGCACTCCTGCTTTAATTCAAGCAGAAACACAAGTATGAATAATCAAACTAGATGACGCTCATCAAGAACCTTTGTGCCTTCCACCATTTCAAATGGTCATTGAAGCTTAATGGCAAAAAATTTACATTCTTCCTTTAATTTGTATTCTATTCCTTCCTTCTGAGTGATGTGATTGTGGCTTGCTGTTGCCTGCTGTATTATTTTGATGCAAATGCTATGTTGTGTGTAGCTGAGTCCAATTTCCTGGCTTTTGCTAGCAAGAGGAGTGACTGTGAAAATAGTTGAAAATCAGGGTTATTTAAAGAGTTTATAACTACTGCTCCTAATGAGTGAAACAATGCAATTGATGAGCCCACTGTTTGGAGACACCTTGATGGCCCTAGGTTAACAGATGCCCACAAAGGAAAATAAAATCAACAGGAAAAAAAAAATCACTGTTTGCTTGTGTCTGTTTCCCCAGCCGGAATATTAGACTTTATTCTGGCTGCTGTCTACGAAAGAATTAAAAAATTTGTAATCCAAGCCAAACTCCCCTTCTTGCGACATACTCACCCGGGAAGGAATGCTTTATTGAGATACGGGGGGTTGCTCGCCAAAGACTGCAAACACAGGGCCCCAAGGGCGATCCTTGAACGTAATGTATGCACAAACTAATTTATGGTACTGTGACTAATTTCCATTTCTTGTGCTTAGAGTTGCCTGGCTAATTACAGGGATGTTTTCTTAACTTTAGTAATTACGCTCTGTGCTTTCGACAGGCAACGGAGCAAATGAGTGAGGGCGGATTGTGCAGTATTGGAGACAGGCACGTCCAGGAGAGAGGGGAACGCGCGCGGCCCTCGCAGGGCCGGCAGCCCTGATCACAAGCCTCGCCAGCTTTGACCAGCGCCCGCAGGCTGCATCGGAAGCATCTGGAGAAATATTTGATGGAACACCCCGTAATTAGATGGACTGGCTTAATTAGGAGAAGTTTGCGGGCAGAGGGAAGCCGGGGGGTCTGTGCTGGGATCTGAAGGTTTGCAGCCTCGTCCCAGGAGGCCCGGGGCACAAAGCTCTGCCCGCTGAGCGCGCACGCGCTGCTGTGTCTGCACATCCAAGGCGGCCCCGTGGGGTCTGCGAATCCAAGCTGGGGGCCAGGGGCCTGCCCCCCGGCAACAGCATTGCCAAAACGACAGCAGCCACGCTGCATCATCCGATGCCCCCACCGCGCGTGTAGTCTAACAAGGCGGACAGGATGAAAACTCGATGCAGTCGCCCTGTGGAAGCTGGCTGTGGGAGGCATTTTTCTGAGACTGGGAAGAGGTGGGTAGTGGTGGTGGGGATGAAGGGACCGAGGTATTTCACTCATTATCTAAGGCCCCCTGCCCCAGCACGGAATTCAACATTCCAAGCAAGCACTTTGCTCTTTAGGAACCAAGGTCATAATTGTCTAACCCCATCAGTCAGGGCTTTCAAGCAAACAAACGCCAGGCGCTGCCCATAGAATCAGGCTCCCCAGGAGGGCAGAGAAAGGGGGCTGGGCAGGGGCTGTGGGCACATCTTGGAGATATCTACCCACTGTTTGGAAGCAGGTGTTTACTAAACACTTACAATGCTCAGGATTCTAGGTATTGTGGCTTGAGCACGCACAATATGAGGGAAGAATCGGACGGAACGTTTCCACCATCTGGAACCACAGCAGCCAGAAGCAGAAAGGAGAGGTAATTGTCACCAAAGCATCACAAACTCTCCATGTTTACTTACTCTGCTCACACTTCTGGAGACATCTTCTCTTCCTCCCATATGGGGGGACAGCAAGGGAAAAACTGAAGGTGCATGTGAGCGTGAGAGAGTGTGTGTGAGTGAGTGTGAGTGTGTGTGTGTGTGTGTGTGCGCGCGCGCGGCAGGGTAGAATTGTTTTCCCTCAGCTCAGAGATTTTTGCTTTCTGGAACATCAAGGCTATTTATTGCTAACATACTATTAGAAAACATGAGAAGATATCAATAATTTGTTCCCCCTTTAGCAAATTAGAATGATTCTCCTTCCTTATGAAGATGAGGTGATTTTTGTACACCAGGCCATTCAAGATATAAAAAATGATCTGTCCCCTAAATATCTCATTAGATATAAACATTTGATGAAATGCGCTTTAAGGCACTTGTGATATCAATTTTAAACTAAGCCAACCAGGTAACCTGCATCAAAACAGGCCACACCAAGCTCAAATCTGTTGTATTGTGAATGCACCATTGAAAAACATGAATGGACTTTATTCTGAAATTCTAAAAATGATTTTCAAATGCATTTGAACAAAATTCTTCACAAAATAATGAAACCTACATCCGAGCTACTACTAAGTCCCCTTTTAAAGTTCGGCTTCTGAGTTAAAGAGTGAATGTTTCGGAGGATATCACCTTTAGTAAAGGAAAAATAACACAGTAGAGGGAATTTGCTAGTGGCAGGAGTATCTGCAACATTGCAGACATCATACGGGACATTCGCAGGGCAAATATTCCTGACAGTATGGCTTCCTAGTCACCTGAGAAAGAAGAGGTATAACCAAATCCACAATGTTGGCTAGAATTAGCTCATGCAGTGCCTAAAATCCCAGTCAGCCATGACGGAATGGAGGCCCTCTCACTGTTGGTCCTGTGTTCCTCTTAGAACAGCCCTCACTGAAAAAACGTCCTTCTTTCATCTGTTCAAGTGAGGCTGATGTGCTTGCTCATGTGATGTGGAAGAAAGGAAAGCAACAAGAAATGTAATTATTTTGACACATTCTTTAAAAAAAGGTTATTATTCCTACTTAATGCAAAGTGGTTTACACTGCCATTATGAAAGAGAGTCCACCGTCCTTGGTCTCTATACTGTGAGCGCGCCGAAGATTCAATGCCAGACACAATCGGCAGTCACTAATAGTTTGATGACAAACTGCGGGGAACGATCATCTCAGGGCTCTGAGAAGTGTGGAGGTTCCCTCCTCCTTCCAGCATTCTGTATGCCCTACATTTTACCCCCTTTTACAAGGAAAAGCTTATTTTTACCATGTGAGACGGAGCAAACAATTTTGAGGGTCCCATCCCTCATGATTCTATTGTTTTCTCCCCAAGTGACTTATTTATCCTGGAACACCATTGCATGAGGCCTAGGTGGTGTGATTCTTTTGAAAGAAGTTCTGGATGAGAATTGCACCTTCGAGTTATCATGGCACTGTCCTGCCTGCTGCGAGAGCAGTTGTGGGTGCCTGTGAATCATTGTGTGTGAATAGTTGCTCCTTTGGGGGAGAAATAGGCTCGTTTCTGTCCCATCCCATTTTGTCCCGAAGACGGTTTAATGCTAGGAGATGGACATCTTACAAACCCCAAACTCTGCTCAGCTTCGACCCACCCTGCAGCTACAGAGGGGGCTCAGATGTTCCACCACAAAATACCATTTGCGAGCAGGAGATCAAAGCCACTCTGATAACTCACCCGTCTTATCATGCTCCTCGGGCATCCGGGGGAAGGAAAGGATCAAAGTCATAAATAGAGGCCATATCACTGATGAATAATTTACATGCACAGTAGGTGGGAGTGAGTTAGTACATAAAGGTCCCTTTGAAGAGGAGAAAAAAAATTGCTGCCTTTCCTAGCGAACACTGGCTTTGGCAGAAGCCCATAAGAGGGAACCTTTTCACGAAAGGATTTAGCTTTGCTCGGACCATGGCCACAATGCTCTGAGAGTCATATATGCACACTGGGGCAGGCCTAGCAGGCTCAGAGGGCTTTTAAACACTCATTTATTCATTCATTACCCAAGTGGTGAGAGCGCTCAGACTCCATAGCTGAGTTAATAACTCCAGCCAGAAGCCTGCAATGAAGGAATTCCAGCATCCCTGGTTTTCTCATCATGATAACTACCTTTCCCTACTGTGTCCACTCTCATCTCTAGGGGTTCTAATAAAGTTATTTTAAATTAAAGACAGGCTTAAAACTCCACCAAACCAAGAGATTCATACCAGATTTTCCCGCAGAGTAATAATTATATTTGGAACAAAAGTGCTTTTAGGTATATGTGTATCTGGATTAAGTGAGGCTGCTGGTATTCTACTATAAATGGAAATTTCATCTCCCTTTTCAGGATGTAGGCATAACAATTGGCTTTTGAAAGCAGTCAAATTCATGTTTCTGAAAAGAGGAAAAAAAGCAGAAAGAAATAAAGATGCATTTAGCTTTTTACTCGAGAGCAGGCACGTTGTTCTCCCAGTCTGCCTTAATTTTGGATGCTGACATCATTCATGCGTTTTAAATTATTAGATTGATAATCACTTCCTTAAAATAATTTCAGCAGTCAGCTACGATAAAATAGATTTCTTTCAAAGACTCCTTAGTTAAATGTGCTCAGTGCTACTTTCTGTATCATGCAGGTCAATTTAATTCAGCTCAGCTCCTCTACCCAGCTAAACAATTGCTTTTCAGTCTCTGGAGAGCGTGGTGAATACAGCCAAGAATACCCATCTAGAGATGGCCTTGGACACTTTTGCTCATAAAAACTTGACATCTGAAGTCCCACTCTTTATTAATCTCTTGTCAAAGAGTTAGTCAAGATTTCTGAAAAAAGTCAATGTCATATAAATCATTACTAATGATTCAATAATGAGTGAGATTAAAATGGAAGAATGCAACATTTTAAGAATAGCTGGTTAGGCGTCCTGTCTACAAGCAACTCCTCCCACGATGGCTCCACCTTGCCATCTGCAGCCTGCTTTTCTCTGTAGCTCCAGACTATGGCAAGTAGCCTCCCATTGCATCTGATGGTTTCCATAAGACCAACATTGCAGGTATCTGCATCTGTGTGTCTCTCTATCCAGGCATTTTCCCCATGCCTCGTTTTTTCTCTCTTATTAACATGGCCTTGCCACTTGCTTTACTTGGAAGGCATCTTTGCCTGTGTTTCTCCAGAAGCAGACCCTCAGAAAGGTGTTGAGTGCAAGGTGTTGAGTGGTTTATTTGACAGGTGACTGCAGAAAGTACAGGTGGAGGAGAGTGCAAGTGAGATAGGGAAGGGAAGAAATCAATATGTTTGCATAAGGAGCAGTTTACAGGTGTGGGCAACTGAGGCTCAGTCCTGCTGGGGACCTCTGGGAGGTAATGTGGGACACGTCTCAGACTTGTCCTACCCAAGGGGTGTGGAAGCTGGGGTATGTACCCCCAGATTTTGTTTGTCTTTAGTTGAGAGGCCAAGTATACCTCTTCAGCCAGAGAAAGCTCTCTCTGAAGTTGCTGGCTCACACGAGAATAGTGAATGTCCAGAGGAAACGGAAGGGGCACCGACTGCCTCGGCCACACCAGGCAGGCTGAACTCACACATACAAGGTGCTCATACAAGATGCTCACACCTGGCTCCATACCCAGCGTGTCACTAACAGGCTGTGTGTGACTTCCAGAAGTCATGTACCCTCCTTGGGCCTGTGTGGTATGAAATTGACTAAAGGATTCTTTGGAGCACTCCAAGCTCCCACAGGAGTCCATGGTGGGCTCCCTCATCCTTAAAGTACTGCGCTAAGGCCTCCCACCAAAGCTGCCCATCATGTGATTGCCCCACAGCCCTGCTGTCCATGTGGGTTGGGTCCTGGATCCATCTCCCATCCTAGAATACAGTTGGTTGGATGAGTGACCACCTGATCCTAGGAAACCAATCAGAAAGTGGGTCAAAAATATTTTGTGACTTGATTTGAAAAGATAAGCTGGGCCAGAGGGCTTTTTCCAAGGATCTGAGCTAAGAAGCAGGGAAAAGGTGCCCCTGAATGGCGGGAGCATCTGCTAGAAGTTCATAAAGTAAAGTAGAACTTTAGCTGAGAAGAGCATGATAGAATCAAGGTTGATGAGGTCAAGCATATTTGAATGACTGACACAATGCCCAATTGATTGATTTATCTCATTGACCCAACGCTGCAACCCCAGGGCTTAAAATAGCACCTAGCACACATTAGGTGCCAAGTAAACATTTGCTGAATCAATGAATGAATTTGCTGTACAAGCCGAAGTAATGGAGGAGCAGTAACTCTGGGTCACTAAAGGAAGCCAGGTGGAGAGAGAAGAGTCAGCAGTGAAATTCATTCCTTGCAAGTCGTATAATACATACATAAATAGTTAACCCATCATATAAATGATCCTAGATTACAACTTCATGTAATAGGTACTGGATTGTCCATTTTAACAGATAAGGAAGCAGAAGCATGGAGACATTAAATAACTTTTCCAGAACAACACTGTTAGTACCTGGTGGAGCCAGGCTTTGACAGGCTGTCTGGCTCCAAAAGGGTGCTCTTAATACTATGTTTCCCCTATATTAAAAGCCGCAGAACTCCCTGCATCCAGAACAGGTCCCAAAGTCAACTGCTGAGAGGTGCAACTCTATTTCCTATAGACATATTCCATTTCTGGCCTTAGATTTGTTCCTGACTGCATCCCTCTTCTGTTCCAGAACATCCCTATGATAACTTTTTCCCTAAAAAGTTATTTTAAGGAATAACTTTTCCTGAAAGAAAGTTTCTGGAGACAGCCTCAGTGGATCCCATTTCTTGCAATCAAGGAACAATATTAAAACAGAACACAGATAGCATTGAATATGCAGTCCTGCAGCTCCCTCCCAAGTGTTTTGCATGTGGCCTGGCCTGGGTTCTTTGAGAACCACCCCAAATGGTATAGTCCTGATGTCAGAGGGTGTTTGCTGAATAAATTCTGAGATAGTCACCAGAACCTGAGTCTCTAAGTCAAGTACCTTAGGCATATCGTTGTGTTTTTGTTGTGTAAATAAACCACTTCAAATTTTAGTGGCTCAAAACACCAGCACATTTATTTTGCACATGAGTCTGCAATGTGGGTGGAGGCTTAGCAGGTGTTACAAGCTGACTTGTGTCCCTTGAATAAATTCATGCTGAAGTCCTAACCTGCAGTGTGTCAGAATCTGTGTTTAGAGACAGAGATGAGTTAGTGAAAACAAGGTCATTAATTAGGGTGAGCCCTAGTCCAATATTACTGGCATCCTTATAAGAAGAGAAAATTCAGACATAGGCAATGACAGAGGGTGACATAAAGACACACTGAGAGAAGACAGCCATCTCAAGCCAAGGAGAGACACTTGGAGCCAATCCTTCCCTTCCAGTCCCCAGAGAGGACCAATTCCAGCAGATACTTTGATCTTCAATTTCTGGCCTCCTGAACTGTGAGAAAATAAATTTCTGTTGTTTAAGCCACCCAATCTGTGGTTCTTTGTTATGGCAGCCCTGGCTGACTAGTACTGCAGAGGTAGCTCATCCATGCTGTACGTGGTGTTAACTGCGGCAGCTCAGAGGCTGGGGGCTAATTCATGAAAAGACTGCTTACTCACACCTCGGATGGTTGATGCTGGCTGTGGGCTGGACCTCAGCTGGGGCTGTTGGCTGGAACACCTGCCTGTGACCACTCCACTTGCCTGGGCTTCCTTACAACATGGTGGCTGAGTTCTGAGAGTGGGGCCTGTCAGGTGGAAGCTGAACCCATTGTGACCTAGCTCAGAAGTCACTCAGAGACACTTCTGCTGCATTTTATTCATTAGAAGTGAGTCCAAAAGGCCAGTTCATATTTTATAGGAGGAGAATTAAACTCCACATTTTTCGAAGGGATGAGTGTCAAAAAATTTGCAGGCATG
Organism: Homo sapiens; assembly: GCF_000001405.40. Lineage (NCBI taxonomy): Eukaryota > Metazoa > Chordata > Mammalia > Primates > Hominidae > Homo > Homo sapiens. Next base: position 21,013,727 of record NC_000020.11, on the reverse strand, counting down.
TTTTAAGATCACATTAGGCAAACAAAGCAATATCCTTGCTTAAGCAAGGGCCTCAAGATAGCATAATTCACGCTGTCTTGGACTCCCACCAAGATTCTTTGTAATTTGTTCACATGAGTACAGTTTGAAGAAAGGATGCTCCAAATGTGTGCATAAGGGACATCACTGTCATGTGGCCAATGTCCATTGAACTGGACATTGCCAGATATTTAAAGCTAATACAAACCACAGAAAGCGTGCAAACTCTAGCATTGTTAATTCATTGAACTGTGGCTATCTCAACCTCCTCTGTTGTAAAAGGGCATCCCCAGGTGATGTTTGAACGGATGGGTCACAGGAAATTTAGCCATTCAGAAATTGGCAGTGCCCTGACTCCAGCCCATGGAATTGGTTCTTTAAAACCAATCTGTCAGAACTTGATAATGAACTGAAAGATCAAGGTTGATATGACATTCTACAGGCAATATAGACAAGTGAATTGCCCATGGATAATAACTGGTAATACTTTACTAAGGTTTTACACATTGAAGAAAAGGTGATGGGAAGCAGACAACATGCAGGGGCAGGAATTGGAATCAGGGTGCGTAAGGAAGCAAACTCGGAATGCTTTGGATGTGCAGCTTGTCCCTGGAATAGCTTCTGCCTCTGACTTCACAGCAAGAGGGAAGTTTGTGGGTGGGGGAGGAAAAAAGAGCTGTCTTCTATCAACCTGGGGGCATCAGCTACTCCTTCACCTTTTCTCCAGCCTCTCCCACAGCAGTATTTCAAGGCAGCCAACTGGATAGTTGGGGACTACTGTATGGATATTCCCTCACCAAGCCAATTTCTCCTTTCCTGTGACAGGAAGACTGGAAGCTGCTATATCTTGAGAAATGAATGCTACTTATTCTTTTAGGGGCACCTGCCCATGGCTGCGAATCACCAGGACACCTATGACTCTCAAGAAGCATAAAAGCTCATGGGTACTTGGCCTATGCCATGGGGGTCAAATAACTCTTATTACAACAGAGGTAAGATGCAGCATGACAGTGGGAAATGTCATTAGGGAGGCATGTGGTGTATGCATTAAGCAGTGTTCTTCACCATGGACATGGCTGGGAGGGCAAACTTGAGAAGTGAGAGCATCGTAGGCATTCCGCTGGTTCCAGACCTGTAATCCCCAGTGCAAAAATCTCTTTCATCTGGGCCAAGTCTTTATACCTACCAACAGTAGCATTGTAGCATCTTTGCTCTGCTCCTCTTTCATACTCCGCCTACATCAGCAAAAGGACAAAAGATAGAGGGAACATAATCCATCATCAATGAAGTAGAAACTGCCACAGCATCACACCACAAACCGCCACATTCCTGGCAAACATAAGGAAATCGAGGCCAAGAGCACACATGCTGCCACAAACCTGAGTAGTGTAAGTACCTCTCCAAAAGCATTTCTCCACATCAAGAAAAACATATCCAAGGATTCTTAAAGGGTCAAGATCCAGTTTCATGGGCGGGCCAGGGGAGAGATGAGAATGTCCTTTGTCCACTGCTTATAGCGAGGTCAGGGATGAAGGGGTGGCTAAAAAAGCAGTGGCCATGTGGGTCTGTTTCTATTGCTTGTGACCTGGTCTCCTAGTCAAGGAAAACTTCCAGAGAGGAAGCGAGGGGAGGGGTGGGGAAGGACAATCAGAGCCTGCTCACAGCCCTGAAGGTGTGTACCCCGAAGAGCTTTGCTATTAGCAACAGTAGTCCGGGACACAAGACCTGCGATAGGATGCGTCCTTGTGATAAGGAAATTAAGGGATATGGGGGAATATACCTGAAGATAAAGTCAGCCTTGAGGTTATTGCACAAAACGAAATGGTAAAGTCAACATAAACAACAATTGCAAAGAAGATGATAGATATGGAAGACAAAGGAGACCCTCATATCCATGATTACTGTTTCTGAAAAAGAGAACAGGAAAATGGAATGAACTACTCAAAGATCTAATATATGCGAACTTTACTAAAATAAGGAAACATTGATAAAACAAAGTGCCCCAGGAAAAGATTATATACGATGATCAACACTGAGATATATCTTGGGGAAGCCATTGAACTCCAAGGTTAAAGAAAGAATCATAAGAACATCTAGGAAGAAATATTTTGTAAAAAAAAAATTTCAAATAAAGAAATATGTTTTAGAGACAGCATCTTGCTGTGTTGTCCAGGCTGGAGCATAATGGCGGGATCATAGCTCACTGCAACCTTGAACTCCTGGACTCAAACAATCCTCCTGCCTCAGCCTCCTGAGTAGCTGGAACCACAGGTGTGCACAAATGTTCCCTTCTAAGTAGAAACATTTCAACATTTAACAAATATTTTTTGAGAGCCTACTAAATGCCAGGCACTGCACTAGGCTCAGAGGGTTCCATGATGAACAAGATAACTAAAGTTCCTGCCCTCATGGACTTTTCCAGTGTAGAGTTTGGGGTGGGAGGTCTGGAAAACAAAAAATGAGCAAGTAAATGAATAGGATATTTAACATGATCTTTTCCCCCTAGTTGACTTCCTATCTATATTTTGCTCATTTGAGTTGTGTGAGTCAAACACAGAGGTCCGGGATGGTGCTCACCAAATGCTGAAAATCATGATTTCTAGTCAGAAAGGTTTTGCTCTTTTTCTTTGTACTTTTAGGCATCACTTGAATATTTCATAATGAGCATGTATTTAAAAAGTCAAGATAAAAACATTATTCTAAAATCAATAAATAAAAGCATAGTGTCAGGGCCTATGGCATAATAAGAAACATATATTAGGTCTCTCCCCACTGGTTCCTGGCACAGAGCTTCGGAAACCTTTGTAACTTCCTGAGTGACTGGGGTGATAGGAGCAACTTTTGTTATAATATTTGTTTTTTTGTGCCTGAAAACAGAGCTTCTAAAATCCTTGGAATTTTCTGAATGAGTGGGGTGAGAGAAGTGTCCTTTTCATAACAAGCCCCTTTCAGCCATATCTGAGTTTATGCTAATGGGGTGACTCTTGGTGGGGCCCTAGATGGCTTCAGGATGGGAGTCGTTGTCAGAGGAACCCATCATGTGATTAGAGGGTTGGAACTTTCAGTCCTATCCTTCAACCTCCATGGAAGGGAGAAGGGCTAGAGATTGAGTTTAATAACCAATAGTCAACAATTTAATCAAACATGCATGTGTAATGATGCCTTCATAAGAAACATGAACACTGGGGTTTGGAGAGCTCCTGGGTTGGTCCCAGGAGGGTGATGCACCTGGAGAGGGCATGGAAGCCCTGAGCCCCTTCCCTATACTTTGCCTTATAGATCTCTTCATCTGGTTGTTCATTTATATCCTTTATGATAAACCAGTAAATATAAATAAAGTGTTTTCCTAAGTTCTTTGAGCCATTACAGCAAGTCATCGAACCTGAGGAAGGAGTCATGGGAACCTTCAACTTGTAGCTAAGATGGACAGAACTGTGGGTAACCTGGGTATCAATTACTTGGAGTTGGCATCTGAAGTGGGGGGCAGTTTGGTGGAACTGAGCTCTTCACTGTGGGGTTTGTGCTGACTCTGGGTCATTAGTGTCAGAATTAAATTGTGGGACACCCAGTTAGTGTCTGCAGAGAATTGGCACACTGCTTGGTGTAGAAAACCCACAAATTTGCTCTCAGAAGTGTTGTATCAGTAGAGAAAACAGTTTTTCCTTTTAGGGACAGTTGATTCCCTTTCCATCCCTGACCCGCTAATTCCTCCTTATTGCAATACGCTACAGCTGGGATGGCTGAGGTGGTGGATAACTTACATGTCCAGGCTGAGGCGAAATCCCAACACTTTGGGAGGCCACGGGGGGAGCGGATCACCTGAGGTCAGGAGTTCGAGACCAGCCTGGCCAACATGGTGAAACCTCATCTCTACAAAAAATACAAAAATTAGCTGGGCACGGTGGTGCACACCTGTAGTCTCAGCTACTTGGGAAGCTGAGGCAGAAGAATCGCTTGAACTCGGGAGGTGGAGGTTGCAGTGAGTCAAGATCACGCCACTGCACTCCAGCCTGGGTGATAGAGTGAGGCTCCATCTCAAAAAACAAAAACAAAAAACAACAATCAAACAAACAACAACAAAAAAACCATATATGTCTACAGATCATCTGGACTGAGCTAGAGGTGAGGAAATGAGACATCATCTGGTGATGCTATTAACACAAGGGTCACGGGAATAATATGTTGTTGTCTTGCCTTCTGGCTTTTAATTATTTATGAATAAAACCTTCAGGCCAATCTCTCTGTGCCAAGGATGGGGCCAGAATTCAGATGGGAGGAATCACAATCCGTTGCTATTGCTGAGATCAGAAAACAAATGCTGCCTGTAGCGAGCCAGAGAGCAGGGAGGGCTTGTAGAAGACTGTCTTTTTAACAGTTCCTTAGACACAACATGGGCCTGGCTCTCCCAGGAAAGCACTAAGTGTTTTGATGATGGAAACGAGGTTCGTTTAAGGAGCAAATGGTCATTTTTTTCTTGATGGCCTACTATGTGGCAGGTGCATCGTTTCACTTCAGAATCTTACACTATTTTATAGCGGAGGAAAGTGAAATTCAGAGAGGGTGAGTAAGTTGCCCAAGGTCACACAGCTACTGAATGGCAGAGTCAAAAACTGAAACCAGGACTGTCTGAAAAACTAGTATCTCTTCTCACTGAAGGGCCTCCAGACAGGAGAGACTTCTGCCCACAGAGGGAAAGTTTGCGGGATGTCCAAATCCTTCTGATTTTATCGTCAAACCAATTTAAGAGGGCAGCGGGAAGAGCAAAGACTTTGGTTGGTGTTGCCAGCGTCCCTTATAAATATCAGTCCACCAGTCTTGTAACACATAAGCCAATGGCTACGGGGTTCCTTCATGGCTTGAACCATTTGGGGAGCCAGAGGACCATGAGGCAGGAAGACAGTGGACTGGTCTGGCATATGCCCGGCCGCCTGTCTGCAGATGCCCAGGTTCAAATGCTCAGTGGGACATTCATTATTATATTTTCATTTCATTATTATATTTGTAATAATGAAAACTGGAAAGAAGCATAAGTGTACATCCAAGAGGGAATGGTTAAATAAACTGCAGCCCTACCTAGGCAATCATAGATAAGAATAATATCAAGCTCTATGTGCTCATGTAGAATGATCTCCAAGATATATCGGTAAGTAAAAAATCCTGGCTGGGCACTGTGATCATACCTGTAATTCCAGCACTTGGGAGGCTGAGTTGGGAGGATCGCTTGAGGCCAGGAGTTCAAGACCAGCCTGGGAAACACAGTGAGACCCCATCTCTATAAAAAATTTAAAAATTAGCTGGGCATGGTGGTGAATACCTGTAGTCCCAGCTACTTGGGAGGCTTAAGGCCGGAGGATCACTCGACCCCAGGAGTTGAAGCCTGCAGTGAGCTATGATGGCGCCACTGCATTCTATCCTGAGAGATGGAGTGAGACCTTGTCTCCAAAAACAAACAAAAAAACCCCAAGATGCAGACCAGTTTATTGGTTAGACTCTTATTTATTTAAAAATATTAGATTGATTGATATGACATTGCTACTTTTATAGATCAAACATGTTTCCACAGCGGCAATTTCATATGGTTTAATCTACTACACAGATGCTCCTCAACTTGAGATGATGTCCCAAAAACCCATGATTAATTGAAAATACCATAAGTTGCAAATGCACTTGATACACCGAATCTAGCAAATATCGTAGTCTAACCTAGCTAGACTACCTTAAATGTGCTCAGAACACTTACATTAGCCTACAGTTGGGCAAAATCTTCTAACACAAAGCCTATTTTATAATAAAGTGTTGAATATCTCATGTAACTTATTGAATACTGTACTGAAAGTGAAGAACAGAATAGTTGTATGGGTACTCCAAGTATGGCTTCCACTGAACATGTATTGCTTTCATACCATTGTGAAGTCAAAAAATCATTAATTGGGGAGTGTCCATTTACGTGTAACACACATGTACATATGTTTGTGTGTATAAGCATACAGGATATAAGAAACTAGTAATGGGGGTGCATATTGGGCAGGTGACTGGAGACTAGAGCTCTGGGGTAAGAAGAACAGGGAATTTACTGCTAGGAGATAGTATTATTTCTATGAAATAAAACTAATAATAATAAAAAATAGATGTATTTGACACCTTTAATCTGTTGTTATGGGTTTCTCAATTTATTGCAGATTTATTGATCCAAATAATAAAAATAGTCATATTTTTCATTTCCTCAAATTCTGATGTAAGAAACAGAGTATATTTACTCTTTTATTTCAGAACACTTTAAATAGGAAGGATCATTAAACCAAAATAGGCCCCACTCCACTGGGGAGAACCTAGTATGGATTGGGGATGGGAGCAGATGTTTAAAAATGGAAGAGGGGGCGGGGTGCGGTGGCTCACGCCTGTAATCCCAGCACTTGGGAGGCTGAGGCAGGTGGACCACCTGAGGTCAGGAGTTCGAGACCAGCCTGGCAAATATGGTGAAACCCCGTCTCTACTAAAAATACAAAACATTAGCCAGGCATGGTGGCTCGGGCCTGTAATCCCAGCTACTTGGGAGGCTGAGACAGGAGAATCGTTTGAACCTAGGAGGGGGAGGTTGCAGTTTGCCAAGATTGTGTCATTGCACTCCAACCTGGGCAACAAGAGTGAAACTCCGTCACAAAAAAAAAAAAAAAAAAAAAAAAAAAAAGAAGAGGGAAGCCAATCCAATTCTGCCCAGTTTTCTCTCTCCCTTAGTTTTCCCTCTTCAGTGGCACAAACCTCTTCCAACCCCTCTCAAATTTCTCAGGAGCAGAAGACATGATACAAGATGACCATCAGAAGAGGTAACACAAACCACAATGGCCAATTAGATTTCCACCTGGCTGAGTCAGAGGAAAAAAAAATGATTTAGATTCTGTGGTTTTGTGGATTATAAAGATGGCCAAATGCTGCTAGGGTCATAACTGAGGCCCAATTATGTGAGTTACACAATGTAACATTCAACTCTTGAGAATGTTTGGGCATCACAGAGGGCCTAGGATGTTAAGCAATCTCAGAAGAACTGTTATCTTCATATAGAATTATAGCCTCAGAAAGGATAATATCTATGGTGGATTCATTACAGATATGGTCCAAGTTTGTTCATTCCTCTCTATATACATGCCTTTTGGTAGTTCCCTCTTACATAGACTCTAGGCTAGATCATGTAACTTGCTTTGGTCAAAAGGACAGTAGCAAATGTGATGTGAGCAGAGACATGAAAAGCTCTTGAGCATTGGCCCTCTTGCTGCTTTTGAGGTCCTGCTCAGCCACCATATCGATAAGCTTGCTGGAGGATGAGAACCCCCATGGAGCAGAGACAAGCCATCCCAGCTGAGCCACCCTACACCAGGCAGTCTCCAGCCACCCTGGCAACTGACAGCAGAGCATGCCCAGCCAAGGTCAACTGTGTCTGGTCCAAATAGGCAGAATTGCCCAAATGAGCCCAGCCCAAATTGCCCTTCCTTAGGATAGTGACTAAATAAATGATCATTGTTTTAAACCATTATAGCAATGGTTTATTACAGCAATAGCTAAATGATACATCTTTGTTTTTTAATATCTGATTTCAAAGGTACTAAAAATAATGAACATTTTTGGTGTATACATACCCACATTTTGGTATATATTTTATACATAATATAAGTTATATATATGTTATATAACTATGTTATATAACTATATAAAATATATTATAAATTTATAATTTATATTAATTATATACTTATAATTATAAATATGTATTATATAATATATGCATAATATATATTACACATATATTTCTTATATTATACATATAATATATGTATAATATATAATATACATATAATATATAATATATATGTAATTATAATATATATTATATATGTAATATATAATATATATACTTAATTATAAATATATTATAAAATATATATAATATATAATTATAATATATTATATATGTATATTATATATTATATATAAATTAAATAAATATATAATATATAGTATATAATAAAGAATTAATATATATTAAATATATAAATTATATATTATAAACTTTACATATAATATAAAAATAAATAATTTTTATAAAAAGGAACTTTTTTATTAGCTCTCCAGAAGTGATATTTTACTAAATCCAGCCAACTCTTAAATTGTGGTAAATATATATATATATACACACACACACAAACACATACATATATACCAAAAGTGTCCATTATTTTTAGTACCTTTGATATCAGATATTAAAAAGCTATATATCTTTATCTATATCTATATCTAGAGAGAAAGAGAGCATGGAATACTACTCAGCCATAAAAAGAATGAAATTGTGTGTTTTGCAGCCACAAGGATAAAACTGGAAGCCATTACCCTCAGTGAAATAACTCAGAAACGGAAAGTCTAATACTGCAAATTCTCACTTATAAGCAGGAGCTAAACAATGTCTACACTTGGGCATACAGAGTGACATAATAGATGATGGGGGAAGGGTTGAAGGGGTGAGGGTTGAAAAACTACCTGTGTGATACAAAGCTCACTATTTGGGCAATGGGTTCACTAGAAGCCCAGACTTTTCCACTAGGCAATATATGCATGTAAGAAATCTGCACTTCTATGCCCTAAATATATAAAAATAAATAATTTTTATAAAAAAACCTTTTTTATTAGCTCTCCAGAAGTGACATTTTACTTAATCTGGCCAACCCTTGAATTTCTAGATAAATGCAGGACAGAGACATGATGAAAAAACAAACTTCAGAGACAACCCAAATTCTCCAATCTGTTGAAAAAGTTCTGGAGGTGATGGTGGTGATGATTGCACAACAATGTGACGGCACTGAATGCCACTGAACTGTACACTCAAAAAAGTTAAGATGGTAAAGTTTATGTTTTACATTTTACCACAATAAAAACATGAAAAACTTATATTCTCTGTTACTGGTTTAAACTTCATTCAGGCAGACCTGAATCTATAGAAAAAAAAGAACTTCCGTGGTTCTGATCCCACCATTGCGCCTTTGCCATGGGTGCTAATGAGCAGTGAAAGGGAAAAAGGCGAGCAGCTCGTAGGGGTGGGAGGAGAAGCAGGAGATCTGAATCATCAGTTTCTGGTTAATGAGTCAATGAGCACCAGGGGTCTACTGGAGGTGAGCACTTTTCCCTCCTGCATTCTTTTGATCAGCTTGAATCATAATCAGCTGAGACGCACCGCGGCTCCTCCATTACACAAATCCAAGGTTCACTTCTTAAATACACTCCAGTGTAATATGTGACAAACCCTAATGAATGAATCTTGTTTTTGAAAAATAATGGGTACTCTGCCTACTTCTAAAAAAGAATTTGAGGTGGTGGAAAGTCTGCCATGGTAGAGACGGGAGAGGGATATTTGTACTGGGAGCTGGTGGTTGAGATACTGTGAGTGCCCTGCCATATCTCCTTGGCTTGCCCTGGAGGTCTCCAGTAGATAGTCCTGTACATGCTGATGGCTTTCTGTGACTCTCTAGGTGGGGCAGCCCAGAAGTGCTATTAAGTGCTCCCAGGAGTGACCCCCAACCAGTGAAGGACAGGAGATGGTGGACAAGGACCCAAGCTTCCTTGACCACAGTGGGGCAGCCAGGCATGGCTCTACCCAGTCCCAGGTTGCCCTGTGATAACCTGTTCATTAACACAGTTTATGTTAGCTTTTTGCCCTTCCCTGCCTCCCCTCCCTGTTCCCTCATAGTGCTTTCTGGAAGCATTTGACGAATAAACCACTTGCGCCCAATTCCTCAATTTAGAGTCTGCTTTGTGTTGGGTGGGGGGACCCAAATCACAACAGAGTTACAACTGGTATCCAATATACTCTTAGCTTCCCAGCTAGCAAGAAAGGTTAAGAGAAACACAAATTCTACTATGCAGTGGCACCAAGTATAAACCATTAGTTATTAAAATACTCTCCCTTTTCAATGAATCATCTTGGCCTTATAAGGGACAGCTTATTCCTTCAGGTCACTGTCTCAGAAGCCTTATCCTGTTAACGGGAAGGAGTCACCCCAGAGTTGGGTACCATCTTGGGCCCTAGAAAAGTTTCTCTGGGATGGAAAGTTTATAAGGGTTCTGAAGAGGAGACTAGCTCTCCCGGTAAGGATAATGTGGGAAGTCATCACGTGGAGGAATAAACAGTAGGACCCAAAAGTACCAGTTAGGTTGCTTGTGGTGGCTTAAAAACTCATCCGAAAATTATTTGAAACTCCTCCTATCAAGAGGTGAAGTCTATATCCCCTCCCTTTGAAGGAAGGGCCCACCTTTGTAACTACATGATGAATAGAATTTGGGGAAAGTGAGACTGTGTGACTTCCAAGGCTGGGTTAGAAAACGCCTTGTCTTTTCTTTGGAAACATTCTCTCTGGAGGCCTTTGGCTGCCATGTAAGAGGTCCCACCTGATTTCCCTGAGGCCACTAGATAGATAGACATAGATGGATAATAGATAGATAGGATACATGGATGACAGATAGCTGATAGGTGATTGATAGGTAGATAGATAGAATAGATATATGTGATAGGATAGATACGATAGACATATGGCAGATAGGATAGACATATATGATAGATAGATAGATGACGGGTAGGATAGAGACAGAGAGAGGTGACTGGGGAACCCCAGGTCTTCCTGCCCCCAGGTCTTCCTACCCTGAGCTGCTGAGCCTTCTCAGCCCAGGTGCCAGGCATATGAGTAAAAACACCTTCAAAATGACTCTATGCGCAGCCAGCATCTAATTGCAACCACATGAGAAACCCATGCAAGTATCACCCAGCTAAGCCATTCAACCACCAGATTCATGAGTAAAATAAACGCTTATTTTTCTTTTAAGTGACAATTTTAGGATTGTTTGCTATACAGCAACAGATCTATCTGGTGGCAAGTGACGGAATATCCCACTAAAATGATGTTGAGTTTTCTTTCCGACAGCAAGTCTGGAGGCAGCTTGTTCTGGGGTCCATTCATTCAGCTGCTCGCAGATGTCAGGGCCCTGAGTCAGCTCCTCTGTGGACATTTTTACTTTCTCCTCAGATAGCAAGACAGCTGCTGCAAACCCAAACAGCATATTCTCATTCGAGATCCAAAGGCGGGGTGGCGGGGAGTGGGAGGTGGGGAAGTGGGGATGGTTAATGGGTACCAAAAATAGTTAGAAAGCATATATGAGACCTGGTATTTGCTAGCACAACAGGGCGACTATAGTAAAAACAAATTTAATTGTACATTTAAAAATAACTAAGAGTATAATTGGATTGTTTGAAACACAAATGATAAATGCTTAAGGCGATGGATAGCCTATTTACCCTGATGTGATTATAACACATTACCTGCAAGTATAAAAATATCTACATAACCCATAAATATATATCCACATAACCCATAAATATATACACCTACTATCTACCCACAAAAAAATTTAAAAATCAAATAAAAGATCCAGAGGTGGGCACAACAGAGCATTTTGTCCTACGTGGTGCTCTTTTTATGAAAAGTCTTTCCAAAAACCCCGTTTGCAGACTGCCCCTTGGGTTCCACTGGCCATGACTTAGCTACAAGGAGGCAGGGAAAGAGAATAGCTCATCATTATAGTCTCTTAAGTAGCAGGTGGGCTCTGCCATCATGGAAAAGAGGGCTGGATAGCTGTTGAATGGACAACCAATAGTGTTCTCTAAAAATGAATTTCTAGATAATTGAAGTTACCTTAGGCGAAGTTTTATTTTAATGATTTATAATGAAAATCTAAGTGTTTTTTTTTTGTTTTTTATTTACTTCTGGTTCCTTTAACCACCTGGAGCCAGTTCTGTCCCCATTTGGGGCATGGAATCTACTCAACAGCATGGGGAATTTTTCCAGCCCCTCATGGGCTGCTTGGTTGTTGACTTTGCCATCTGTGCTGAGCCCTGTATTTTCACCCTGGCCTAGTTCTGGACTTCCTTCTTGGTTTAATGTCTGGATCTGCCTGGACCCCAGCATTTGGTACCACCCACAGGTATACAGACTCATGCTTTGAAAACATGCTTTCTGCACTAGTTGTCTATTGCTGCATAACAGATTACTCCCAAACTTACTGACTTAAAACACCTACTATTTATTATCTCACATCTTTTCTGGGGGCCAAACATTTGAGAGTGGCTGAGCTGGGTGGCTCTGGCTTACGGTCTCTCTAGAGACTGCAGTCAAGATGTTGGCAGAGGCTGAGGTCTCCTGAAGGCTTGGTGGGGGCTGGACAATCTGTTTCCAACAGCTCACTCACACAGCTGTTGCCTGGTGGCCTCAGTTCCTCACCTTCCATAGGGCTGCCTGAGTTCTTTAACATGGCAGCAGGCTTCCCCCCAATCAAGCAATCCAGAAAAGAACAGTCAGAAGCCAATTTATCTTTTGGAACCTAGTCAGCAGAAGTGACACACCATCACCTCTGCCATATTCTATTGGCTACACAAACCAACCGTGATTCACTGTGGGAAGAGCCTACACAAGGGTGTGAATCCCAGGACAGGAGGGTTGTGATGGTTAATACTGAGTGTCAACTTGATTGGATTGAAGGGTGCAAAGTATTGAACCTGGGTGTATCTGTGAGAGTGTTGCCAAAGGAGATTAACATTTGAGTCAGTGGGCTAAGGAAGACAGATCCACTCTTAATCTGGTGGGCACAATCTAATCAGCTGCCAGCCAATATAAAGGAGGCAGAAAAACGTGAAAAGGTGAGATGGTCCTAGCCTCCCAGCCTACGTCTTTCTCCCATGCTGGATGCTTCCTGCCCTAAAACACTGGACTCCAAGTTCTTCAGTTTTGAGACTTGGACTGGCTCTCCTTGCTCTTCAAGCTTGCAGACAGCCTATTGTGGGACCTTGTGATTGTGTAAGTTAATACTTAATATACTCCCCTTTATGTATCTATGTATCCTATTAGTTCTGTCCCTCTAGGGAACCCTGATTAATACAAGGGTGTTTGGGGCCATGTTGGAGGCTGCCTCCCCAACTTCATAATGAGTCTAACAATACTACCTGTCCCCTGTGATGTTTTGAGTTTTGTCCTGATTTTTGAAAAGAATATTTAATTGTTCCCCTTCTTATACTTTCTCCCACTTTTTAATACTTTTTTCTTCTTTCTCCTTATGTCACATGCCCCTTAAAGTTTTCTACCTTTAGAAGATTCTGCTAGCACTTTGCCTATATCTCCTCAGATACCTTTTCCCTTCTCTTGGGAGGGTCTTCCTCTGGCTTTGAGGTGCTTTGAATCTTTGCTTCAGGTTGAGATAACTGTGAGGTGTAATCTAGGCTCTGGAGTTCCCCTGTGAGAGGAGGCTCAGGTTATCCTCATGCAGGACTTTGCTTAAGACCACTCTCTTGCTTGGCTTTTTAAAATTTTCCTTTTAATCTTTTCCTATCCCCTTCCTGTCTTCCCTAGGAGCACTTTCATAAGAAAATACCTGTTTAGGAATACAGTCTCTGGGTCTGCTTCTGGGGAACCTGCCCCAATATAGCTGTTGTTCTTAGAGGAGAAAATGTCCTTGTTTTATAAGCTATGCATATGTGTTTGTAAGCTTCCTCTGAAAAGGAACAAGAAAGAATTTCTTTTTAAGATTACTCAAGATTTCAAAATAAACAACAAAACTCATTTAAACTAGACATATCTACGTATATTAAAATACAAAAAAGTATGTCCGAGTAACAGAAAAATGTGTTGTGCCTTTATGTATCTGCTAAAGCACTCCTCGGTGTCTTCTTTGCTCAAGCTCTGAGTATGCTGAGCACCTAAAGAGAGTCAGGGAGTCAGACATCGTGTGCTGATGACACATGAGTAGGGTCATTAACTTTTGAAGGGCATATGCTAACCTACTCTGCAGTAAGGAGCTATTAAGCTCACTTAACACCTTTCTCTAGGAGCCCTCTTTGCTGCTCCCAAGTCTCTGGAAATATGAAGAGGGCTATCAAAATTGCTGCCTCCAAAAACAGGCATGCATTTGGTTGATGGCCGAGAATCCTTGATCATCTGGCACATGTTTATTATTAAGATTCCAGCTTCTCATGCAGTGCACAAAGTAAGGCTCTAAAGATGCCTTCATTAGCCTGTGAACGGAGGAGAAGTGACCTATCTTGCTTTTCAGATCCCTGCAATTTCTAGCTTATCTACCACGTTCATGAATCACTGGTGAACTTTTTTTAAGGAGTAGAAACCTTGTAGACACTCCGTTCACAGGAACCTGCTAACATGGCCATGCTGGTTGGTTTACAGCGTCTCTACTCCGCAAAGACTTAGAATCTCACTCCTGTAGGCACCACTTTTGTTGTTTGGGTGTGTATTTTAAATGTGCGGTTTGTCCTGGGAGCCATATTTTCTCCACATACCCTCAAGCTTCGTTTGGGACCCCATTTGCAAACCCCATTGTGGGATACATCACTTGGCAGTGAGACACATTCACCTTTGGAAGCATAAGCATTTCCAAGGACACCGTTGACATTCTTCATTCCCAGCACAAATTCTTCTCTACAAAGGTTTCGGTGTGTGCAGAAGGCTGCAAACAACAGTCCTTTATCCAGACCTACTGGGGAACCCCTTTTTCCTCCTCAGAATGGACTCTGTACTAGTCTCCTTCCCCTCCAAGAACATATTTTTCACTTTTCATAGTAAGCGCCAAAATGACTCAATCTTCACTAATACTCATTTTTGCTGTTTTGATTGTTTTAGTGATATCTGGAAATTTAAGTTCCCACGAAGAACATCTTTTCTTTTTGTTTATTTCACCTCTTTTCTCTCTAAGATATATAATACTTTTTAAAATGTCTTGTTTAAACCAAATCTCTTTGAAGTTAACCCAATTGATGTTTTGTTTTCTTTAGGGGTTTCTTAGACCAAGATTATAGCTGGATCTGTGGACAATTTGTCCACCAAATAAATAAACTCACAGTTAATTCAATCAAACCAGGCCTCACTCTTTTCAATCTCTCACTTATTCATTTGTCAAGTCAGACAAAATAATCAGGCTAGCATAAGGTTCTCTAAAGAACCTGAAACAGTCTCTCTCTGAGTTTTTTGGAAATTTAAATGAAAGACTGGCCATCACTACAAGCGATTATTTTATGTATAAAGAGGTTGTAGTTGCAAGCAGTGAAGAACAGAAATAAACTGAAGGTACACAAATGTCCCCTGCACTGCAGGAATTTCCCTTCCTCTCTATTCCATAGTCTGCACAAAGAGATAGCAGCTACATGTGCTCTGGCATTGGGGCACCATGATGCCTTGGGCTTAGCTCTGGTAGAAATCCATCATCTGTACCCATTTAACCATGACACATGTGGACTTACTAATGAAAGGAATTAGACACACCACACACATATGCACACATGCTGTCACTCCAGGGAGAGCTGCATTCAGAAAAAAATCCCGCCAGCATTTACCTATTCAAATTCACAAACTTGCCGCAAATTATTGTTCTTGGTTACTTACGTCTCAACCACTGAGGCTGAGAACAGTCTCAAAAGGGAAGGAGGAGCCTGGCACATCATGGGAAGCTGGCCTCCCTGGGGCTCTGTGGTGCTGCTGCACACACAACTAGCTGGGAGCTATCTTAGGGGACTCTTTTATTGAAAGAGAAGGCATTCCTCAAGCTGGACAATAATCATGCTAGTATTATGTACAGGGAAAAATATCCTCACTTAAAGCTTCACCTTTACCCATTGGAGTTTGTCTTCATTCAGAAACAAGGGAGGCACAATCCATTCAACCAATATTTCTGAACTCCCACTTAGTTCCAGTACATGATAAGTGCTGTGGGAGAGTCCATGATGAAGCTGACTTTTCTAAATCTAGGGGCATACGGCGTTGTTGGGAGGAAAGTTCGTGCAGGTACATGTGTGTGCACACACACACATCCCCCAGTTGCTACAAATACAGTGCCTATTAAGGTAGATCCTGAGGGATCTGTGAGCATGGAGGAGGAAGATGTACTAACTAGGCTCGGCTGCTGCGCCAAACTACCATGTCAGTGGTTTATGCAACAAAGGTGTGGATACCTGCTCCAGGTAATCTGGGGCTGTCCTCCACTCACTCAGGGACCTGAGGTGATGGCGGCGCAGCCCTCTTGTAGCTGCCTCGTTAGAACCCTGTGGCTCCTGAGGTTGCTGTAGCAGGAAGGAAAGAAGGGCTGAGCATGGGCTTTTCACGACCATATCCTGGAAGTGTTCACATGGTTTTTGCTCACATTTTATTGGTCAAAACAAGGGAGGCTGGGACATGCAGGGGACCATGCAGGTAACAGCAGGGTAGCTCTATTGATCTGCAACAAAACTCATGAAGTCCCACTGTGTGTCTGCTTCTAGGTACCTACCCAAGGGAGCAGAGGGTTTATGAAAGAAAGAGCTTCTTGACTGTGCCTTGAAGAAATCATTGGTTTTAAATTGGAAGAAATAGATGGAGGAAAAGGAGGAAATTCCATCACAGATGCCTGTGGAAAAGGGGTGGAGACAGGGAGGGACAGAGCAGGTTTGGAAAATGCGGAGGGATCTGATCTATTACAGATCTCAGGGCTGTGCGTGCGATCAGATCACAAAGTGCTTTGGCTGTCATAGTCAAGGGTGGGTTTTGTTTTCCAGGCAATGGAAGCCTGTTGCTCAAAGAAATGGCATCATAATCGTCAATGTTCTAGGAGCCACCATTTAGTCAGTGTGTCCAATATATACTAGGCTCCATTCTGAGAGCTTTACATGGATTATATCATTTTTATCCTCATAGTAACCCTTAGGGCAGGTACTTTTCTTTTTCCTATTACACAGATGAGGAAACAGAAGTTCAGAGAGTTTGAAGAACCTTCCCAAGATTACATTGCTAGCAGATAGTGGAGAAAACCCTATTTCCATGAAAATAATTTAGAATTGGGTAGATTCATTGATATTATCATGCTTATTGGTATTATTAAAAACAAAAACAAAAGTATTGTTCTGGTTTCATGTTTTAAAAAGACGAAGAGCCTGCTAAGAGTCTTGTGTAACAAGATAAAAATGTGTATGCTGTTGACTGTTTTTTCTTTTTGAGACGGAGTCTCGTTCTGTCGCCAAGGCTGGAGTGCAATGGTGTGATCTCGGCTCACTGCAACCTCCACCTCCCAGGTTCAAGCGATCCTCCTGTCTCAGCCTCCTGAGTAGCTGGGACTACAGGTGCATGCCACCACGACCGGTTAATTTTTGCATTTTAGTAGAGACGGGGTTTCACCATATTGGTCACGCTGGTCTCAAACTCCTGACCTCAGGTGATCCACCTGCCTTGGCCTTTCAAAGTGCTGGGATTATAGGCATGAGCCACCGCGTCCGGACTATGCTGTTGACTTTTATTTTTATTTTTTGAGACGGAGTCTCACTCAGTCGCCCAGGCTGGAGTGCAGTGGCGCGATCTCGGCTAACTGCAAGCTCCGCCTTCCCGGTTCACGCCATTCTCCTGCCTCAGCCTCCCGAGTAGCTGGGACTACAGGCGCCCGCCACCAAGCCTGGCTTGTTTTTTTGTATTTTTAGTAGAGACAGGGTTTCACTGTGTTAGCCAGGATGGTCTTGAGTGAACACTAACTTTAATAAACCCTATGTCTGGGCAGATAAGATGAACAAAACAGACTGCCAGAAGGAACAAATGAAGGTAGAAAGTGAGTTTGAAGGCTAGTTAATCGTCCAGGGACATCTCCATTTTTCTTTGGAAACAAGCCAAGCAATTTACATTGCAGAATCAAGTCCAATTAGCACGTGACTTTGTCCGATGAATGATGGCTTGTTTCTGCACACCTTTTTTCCCCACATTAACAGGGAGCTTGGGAGCTGCCCTTCTGGAAGGATTAGAGACTGCGAGTTTTATGTTCTGCAGGCTGCTGTCCCTCTGGGATGTGATTACCAGAGATAAAAATGCTTTCCTTGAGCTTTATTGTTCAGATAGGGAAGCTATGTATAAGTAGTAATTCTGAAAGGGTGTCTTTTCATTCACGTGACTTGATTTGGCAAATGCATTAGAAAAGCTACGATTTGAGGCAGGGCAGGAAGAATTTGTGAAATGTTTGTAGGAGTTTGGGAAGCAGCCCTGGGGCACCCGAGTCTTCACCCCTATGGTGGTGGCATCTGTAAGCAGAGCAGACCACTAGTGACATCCAGCTGTGAAGTGATTTTTCTGTCCTTAGTCCCCTTGTACTACTTTTTTAAAAAATTTCAACATTTATTTTAGATCCAGGGGGTACATATGCAGGCTTGTTACATGGGTATGTTGTGTGATGCTGAGGTGTGGTGTACTGATCCTGTCACCCAGGGAGTGAGCGTAGTACCTGATAGGTAGTTTTTCAGCCCATACCCCCTCCTTCTCTTCTGCCTCTAGCAGTCCACAGTGATGACTGTTCCCATGTGTATGGCCACGTGTGCTCAATGTTTAGCTCCCATCCCTTGTGCTATCGAGGCAGACAGAACACACAGATGCCTCATATATTGCCTTAAAAACATTAAATTAAAATCTTTTTTAAAAAGTGTAATGTACACACAGAAAAGAACATAAATCAGTAAAGTTTTCAAAACCAAATACAATACTATAACCAGCACCCAGATCAAAGACAGAACATTTTACCAGCAGAACATTTTACCAGCCCCAAGAAGCTCCTCATGTGTCCTCTCCCAGTCCTTACCTCCACCAAGGGCAATCACGATCCCAGCTTCTCACACCATAGAGCAGTTTTACCTGCCTCACAGTCCCTATTAATGGAATTCTTTTCTTTCTTTTTTTTTTGAGATGGAGTTTCACTCTTGTTGCCCAGGTTGGAGTGCAATGGCGCGATCTCTGTTCACTGCAACTTCCACCTCCTGGGTTCAAGTGAGTCTCCTGACTCAGCCTTCTGAGTAGCTGGGATTACAGGCATGCGCCACCATGCCCGGTTAGGCTAATATATTGTATTTTTAGTAGACACAGGGTTTCTTCATGTTGGTCAGGCTGGTCTTGAACTCCCGACCTCAGGCAATCTGCCTGCCTCAGCCTCCCGAAGTGCTGGGATTACAGTCATGAGTCAACGTGCCCAACCTGGAATTCTTTACATATGTACTCTATCATGCTTGGTTTCTTTCATCCAACATCCTGTTTATGAGATCCATCCACACAGTTGTAGTTCATTCATTCCGATGACTGTATGGTATTCCACCAAAAACCAACTCCTAAGGCATTCTACTGTTGATGGGCATTTGGACGAATTACAGTTTGGCATTATCATGAAGGATGCTGCTATGAACATTCTAGTTCATGTGTTTTGTCAAATACACACTTGCATCTCTGTTGGTTATCTACCTAGGAACAAAATTGCTGGTTTTGACATTCTATGCATGTAACAAATACTCACATGCACTTTATAAATATGTAAAATATTCTGTATCAATACAAAATTTGCTGGGTTTATATATGTCTGGCTTCAGTAGAGACTGCTGCTTTTCTGAGGTGGTTTTAGAAATCAGCATCAGTAGTGGGATCTGGTTGCTCCAGATCCTCATTGACACCTAGTGTTTTCCAAGTTATGTGTATTTTTTTGTTCTGCAGCAGTGTTATTCTCAAAGAACCAGGAAAGATCAGGCCTGGTGTAAGAGTAATTTGATTCAGTTAATGTCCTGAAGAGGAAATCCACAATCCACACACCAAAAGCCCCAGCAAATGATGTTGGTAGTGTCACCACGATTGTTTATAAGCTCCAGCCACCCTGGCCTCCTTGAACAACACAGGTGGCCTGGGAAACCCTTCTAGAGGCAAATTTGTGCAGACAACTAAGAGATTAGCCAATGGCTATGCTTCTGCAGCAGTGATCCCACCTTTCCCCTCCCCATCCTTCTTCCCTCCTGCAAGGCCACCACCAAAGGCTCAAAATGAAGCCGACTTCTACGTCTAAATCCTAATAATAACTCAGCATCTCCACTGCCTGCCTGACAGCCAGAGCCCGCTCTCCTGGCGTGCACAGTGCCTTGGTTTGCTTGCCAAGACAGAGCACGGTGAAGCTTCCACATAATCATTTCCAAACATTAAAATGGCCCCATTGTCATTACAGCAGGGAGATTGAATTCGCCTCATCAAAGCGGAGTGTGACAGGTGACTCAATAGGACAGTGCCAAGCGCAGAGGCAAGAAGATTAGCAGGGCACTGATATCATTATTTCCGCCTATCACAGATTCGGCAGGGAGGCAATTGTAATTTCTGGGCTTATTAGTCTACATTCGGAGGGAAAAACTGAGTGATAAAACTCACGGTGACAGCTAGGCATTTGTGCAGCAAGTGCTGTCACGGTGACACTTAGAAAATGCCAATGTGGCTACGTCCTCATAATCCTCACTAATAGAGGTTAAAGCCGGGCACAAAGGCACCCTTATCAGTGATCAGTCCACTAATAACATTTGCATTTTTAAGTTAAATATAGTAAGTAAAGGAGTAAGTCGTTCTTTGCAGTTGGGACAATTAATTTCACACTGGAATTAGAGAGCAAAGCCCAAAATTTCCAGCTGCTCCTATCTGTTCG
Organism: Homo sapiens; assembly: GCF_000001405.40. Taxonomy (NCBI): domain Eukaryota; kingdom Metazoa; phylum Chordata; class Mammalia; order Primates; family Hominidae; genus Homo; species Homo sapiens. The sequence continues at coordinate 20,993,180 of NC_000020.11, read as the reverse complement.
ATCGCTTGCAAGAATCCTCCGAGGAAAGACATGAGTGAACGGTGTTAAGAACAATGTTACCCGCAGTATCTATTGCCTGTGAAGCCGTCAATAGGAGAACATCACTAAACTCCTGAAATTAGATTTCTGCCCCCTCCAACCAACAGACAATGCGGCTCAAGGACTTAAAACTAACAAATGCAGTGGAAAATATCTTCAGATGCTTAACATATTCCTGTCTTAACGCTTCCTATTTTGCCAGCCGGAGGTATATTAAATCACATAATCCGAAATCCAAGAGCTGGGGAGGGAAAGGCAGTATAACTGTTGGCAACGGAGACAGATTGCCGCCTATTTTAAGGGCCACTTCCAGGAAAAGCCTTCCTAGCCCAGCTGATTTGCATAAATCTCTCCAATTAATATGTGTCTATATAGGCAGTTTTCACGGCATTGGCAATGAAAAAAATTCAGAGAATTTTATTTTTGAGATCATACAAGAATGATATTTTCATGGCCAAACCTTTCCCTAGAATGGGGAAAAATATTAGAATTCTAATTTTATTTTGTTGGAAACGTATTACAGGTGGCAAGCCGTTACTTTCTCACATTTAAATAAGACACCAATTAAGAAGACTATGTAATTCAATTCTTGAGTGAGTGCCACTGAATTCAATTTGTTTCAGGTCAACGAATGCAACGCAAAGTTATTAACGAAAAGGTCAGGGGCTGCGTAGAAAGCGTACACACAGGATACAACAGGGGTAATTAGTACACATTTCAAATGGGTTGTTGTGCTGGCATATGGTGGAGAAAATCTTAACAGGATTAGATGCTAATAAATTTTTAAGTCTGTCTTTCCTCCCCACCCACTTCATGAAGAAGGCTTGAGTTGGTTCCTCAGTCTCTCCCTCCATCAATACTGTAGATTAAACACACAGTAGTTGGTTCCAAGGGCCCACCTATCCATGAGCAGCCATGAGAATCCCTGCTGCTCAGAGGAGGGTCTAAATTAGGAGTCTTGGACTCTATATTGAAGAGAGTTCTGATAAGGCAGGTGCCACCCATGCCTGTCCCCATTCTGAGTTCAGAAATCCAATCTCCCAAATTTACCAGAGGAGGCCAATGGGAAAGGGCAGGGCATGCACGATTCAGAGTGTTGTTTTGTGTGGGAAGGAGGAACGTGGAAGGACACTGTTTAAAAGCCTCTGCAAGTAGAGCATGTGGAGAGACACAGGGCTGCATCCTGAGGGAGCACCAAGCCCTCCCTGCAAGCACAGTGCCTGTGGCTCCCAAAAGGCGTAAGTCACCTTCTGCAGGAAGAGGAGAGTGGCACAGGCTGCCAGGGCCCCACACGACCCCTGCAGACCTCATTGCCACCTCTAACAACAAACAGGGCTGCAAGGAGTCTTGTGGATCAGTTCCCCAGTGTGCCTGGTGGGCTACACATGCCCCTGCTGGCTGGCATCCCTGGCCTGTCTCACTTCTCTGCTCCCCACCAGGTTTTCCTTGTCACCTCCTGCAGAAAATATCTGCACTCTCCTTCTCTCAGGGTCTATCTCTGGGGAAGTCCCATGACGGGATAAGCAGGAAACCCAGAGAAAGGAAGAGAGAAGCTGTGGCTGACCCTCAGCCCTGGTGTGGGAGCGGTCAACCAGCTGCTATGCCCAAGTACAGCATGTTCTTAATGCAGATTGGCTCACTGGGAAGGGGCCTGTCCACTGGAAGGTCTAGGGCTCCAGCTGGCTTGATTCCTACTGCACCATGAATTGGCTCCTTCCTCTCCCTGCCTGACTTCCCCTCTCCCCAACGGTGTTTCCTGGGATCACCTACCAAGTAAGCTACTTGCCCTTTGTTGTGGACAGAATGCTTGTGCTCTCCCAAATTCATAGGTTGAAAGCTAATCCCTAATGCAATGGCATTTGGAGGTGGGGCCTTTCGCAGGTGATTAGGTCACACGGGTTCCATCCTCATGAGTGGGATTGTATCTTCATCAAAGACACCCTGGAGAGCTCCCTCTCCCCTTCTGCCATGTGAGGACGCGGTGAGAACATGGTCTTCTATGACCCTCACCAGAACCAGAGTCTGCCTACACCTTAACTGCGGACTTTCCAGCCCCTAGACTGAGAAATAAATTTCTGTTGCTTATAAGCCACTCTGTCTTCGGTGTTCTGTTATGGCAGCCTGAGTTGACTGAGACACACCTGAATTCAGGTCTGCTCAGAATCTCCTGGGAGAATCCAAATAAGGCAGTGGTCAAGGGTGGCCTCAAGAGCTCAAACACCCCACATCCCTCTCACAATCATGCCAGTATGTCATTTTAAAAGTAAAATCTCATAAAACAGTCTTTCAAATAGTTATAAAATATTTATCAGCCTCTGTGTGCGAATAATTAAAAAATCACAAACAACCTATTTCCCCTGCCTGAGATCATATAGGGAGCAAAGAAAAACATGTCCATTCAATTTTCCCCTTTGACAAGATGCTATCTGTAAGGCCACTCTAGATACAAATGAATGAGAAATACGAAACCAGAATATGAGGCTAGTACCTGTTGCTGACACATGGCTGAGGTATTATCTAAAAAAAAACTTGATTTTCATGTTTTTAGGTAGGAACCATTCAGCTAAATGCTTAGTGCTAATGTCATCTAATTTCCAGCTCTGATTATGTGATATGTGCTCAACCTTCCTTTGCACCCACTGAAGGACATTAATCTTGAGTTGAGGGAGGTAAAATGACTCTTCTCTATAGTTGAGTTGAAGACCTCAGTAGTGTGGCGATTAACGTGCTCGTATACATACCCAGGCACACACAGAAGGCTGGTAAACACACTCCTGTAAAGCGGACTACCTAGAACCAAAAATGGAGAAAGGTGTGCTTGGCCTGTCCTTCTTAAAATTACAGAGATGTTTGTGACATTGAGCAAGGTAATTCGTGTCTCGGTTTTTGCATCTGTGAAATGGGCATAAAAGATCTAACTTTCAGGAGATGAATCAGCTACTGCATGCAAAATGCCTAGAACATGGTAAGCTCACATTGATGGGGTCATAGTTAACATTTAGGGGTTTGCGTCAAGAACTTGATTCTCAAGGCAAAGAAACTCTCCCCTCTTTAATATATATTTAATAACTTAAGAAATACATATTTAAAAATTAGAAATTACAGATAAGCAAAAAAACTCCCATGCAATTCTATCATACCAAGAGGACAGTGCATATTTTGATTTGTATTTTCTAGATTCCTTCCTGAGCCCATATTGCCATATGTATTTTAACAAATAAGAGATTGTACAATAATGCTGCATAGTAAAGTGCATTTTAAAAAATTAATAGTCTTTGTATTTTAGAGCAGTTTTACCTGTACAGAAAAATTGAGCAGAAAGTATAGCATTCTCATGTGCCCCTTTCCCACAGTTTCTCCTATTATTAACATCTGGCATTAGCATAGTACATTTGTCACAACTGATGAACCAATAACTAATATCGATACACTGTTAACTAAATTCTATAGATTACATTGAGGTTCAGTATTTGTGTTGTGCAGTTCTATAGGGTTTGGCAAATGCGCAATGTCATGAACCCACAAATACAATATCATACAGAATAGATTCACTGGCCTAAAACTCTGTGGTCTACCTATTCAACCCTCCTCTTTCCCCCCAAAACCACCGGCAATCACTGATTTTTTAAAACTGTCTACAGTTCTGCCTTTCCCAGAATGTTGTTTAGTTGGAATTATACAGTGTGTAAGCTTTTCAGATTGGCATTTTTTCAATTAGCAATATGCATTTGAGCTTCTGCCATACCTTTTCATGGCTTGTTAGTTCATTTAAAATTTTTTTCAGAATAATATCCTATTGCGTGAATGTATGACAGTTTGTTTATCTGTTCACCAATTGAAGAACGTTTTGGTTGCTTCTAAGTCTTGGCATTTATGAATAAACCTGCTATGAACATTTGTGCACAGGTTTCTGGTTGGACATAAGTTTTCAACTCATTTGGGTAAACACCAAGGAGCACGACTGCTGGATCATATGGTAAGACCATGTTTAGCTTTATCAGAAACTGCCAAGCTTTCTTCCAAAGTGGCTGTACCATCTTCCCATTCCTACCAGCAATGAATGCAGATTCCTTTCACTCTGCATCCTTGCCATCCTTTGGCGCTGTCGGTGTTTTGTATTTTAACCATTCTAAAAGGTGTGTTGTAGTATGTCACTGTTGTTGTTGTTTTTGTTTTGTTTTGTTTTGGTATTTTTTGAGATGGAGTCTCGTTCTGTTGCCCAGGCTGGAGTGCAGTGGCAAGATCTCTGCTCACTGCAAGCTCCGCCTCCTGCGTTCATGCCATTCTCCTGCCTCAGCCTCCCCAGTAGCTGGGACTACAGGCACCCGCCACCACACCCAGGTAATTTTTTGTATTTTTAGTAGAGACGGGGTTTCACCATATTAGCCAGGATGGTCTCGATCTCCTGACCTTGTGATCCTTCCGCCTCAGCCTCCCAAAGTGCTGGGATTACAGGCGTGAGCCACCATGCCTGGCCATCACTGTTGTTTTAATCTGCAGTTCCCTAATGACATATGATGTGAAGGATATTTTCATATACTTATTTGCCATCTGTATATTTTCTTTGGTGAGGTGTCCATTCAGGTTTTCTTCCCATTTTTAAATTGGGTTATTTGCTTTCTTATTGTTGAGTTTTAAGAGTTCTTTATATGTGTTAGATACAAGTCCTTTTTCAGATACGTATTTTGCAAATATTTTGTTCTGGTCTGTGGCTTTTTATTCTCTTTATGGTATTTTTTTGTGGAGTAGAAGTATTTAATTTTAATGAAGTCCCACTTACCAATTTTTTCTTTCAGAGATTATGCTTTTGGTGTGGTATCTAAAAAGTCGCCAGGCCAGGCGTGGTGGCTCACACCTGTAGTCCCAACAGTTTAGGAGGCCAAGGCAAGAGGATGGCTTGAGGCCAGGAGTTTGAAACCAGCCTGCACAACATAGTGAGACTCTGTCTCTACAAAAAATTTTCACATTAGCTGGGAGTGGTGACATGCACCTGTAGTCCTAGCTAGGGAGGCTGAGGCAAGAGGATTGCTTGAGCCCAGGAGTTTGAGGTTGCAGTGAGCTATGATCACACCACTGCACTCCAGCCTGGGTGACAGAGCAAGACTCTGTCTCATTAAAGAAAAACTCATCACCAAATCCAAGGTTACCCACGTGTTCTCTCATGTTATCTTCTAGAAGTTTTCTTTTACATTGAGGATTGGATCCATTCTGCATTAATTTTTGTGAAAGATGTAAGGTGTACGTTAGGTTTTTTTTTTTTTTTTTGTCATACAGCTGTCCAGTTGTTCTAGCACCATTTGTTGAAAAGATTATCTTTCTCCATTGAATTGTCTATGCTCCTTTGTCAGAGATCAGTTGGTTCTGTTTGTGGAGGTCTGTTTCTGGGCTCTTTATTTGGTTCCTTGGATCTATTTATCTTTCCCTTCAACAATACCACACTGTCTTGATCACTGATTTTACGGTATGTGTTGAAATCTAGTAGCATCACTCCTCCAACCCTGTTCTTCTTCATAATTTTTTTGGCTATTCTGGGTCTTTTGCTTTTCCACATAAACTTGAGAATCAGTTTGTTAATATCCACAAAATAACTTGCTAGATTTTGATTGGAATTGCTTTGAATCCATAGAGAGGAAACTGTATTTTACATATATTGACAAATTATAAATCATTTTTCTTATTATTATGGAATCTCAAACATGATGAATTTTTAGGATTCAGCATATTTCATTATATATAATGTGATCATATAATTTATCATTCAAACTGAGATACTCAGAGAGTAAAACAGGGGTGCTAATTCCAAGTGCATGGGGACAGGAGGAGTAAACCGAGATGCAAGGCTATCCTACTGGCTGGGCTCCTCTTAACTAATCTACCCTATATGGTTGGACATTTTAGTGCAAACTTGACTGTTTACTATTGCAAACAATATGATGAGGATGAGCATCCAGAAAAATGCAGTCATACACTTTTTTTGATGTTTTGGTTGGGATTAATTACTAAGTATGTAATTGCTTTGTCAAAATGCATGAACAACTTTTAAAAAGACCAACTTAGAAAAATAAAACCTCACTTCATTTTAGAACAAATTGGTTCAAACGTACAAAAAATAGGTTAATGAAGAAAAAGATCTTTCATATTTTTGACCTTTTAAAATAGCTCTCATAGTAACCTACCATTTATTTAATAGCTACTGGAATGCTTAGAATAAAATTGCACTTTCTTGCTGTTGTTTAAGAAACATGCTGATGTTTTTGTTTTTTCTATTTTAATATTACATTGAACTTGGTTATACCACAAGTACAGTCAGAAAGAAAATAGGAACGTAAAAATATGATGACATTCAGGATCACTTAAAAATGGCCAACTACCACTTTAAAATTTCTTTACAAATGTATATTTGAAAGGAAATAAAACTCTTGTTTTAAGCATTTTAAAGTAAGAATTTAAAAGCTTGGGGTTTGTTTTCTTTTCCTCCTCTGTTTCAAGTTCTTACTGTAGCTCATTTTTGTGTCAGTAGTTTGAAAGCTATGTATATTTTATAGATGGTCTATACATATTGTAAGCACGGCAGAGGTAGCTAGCTGTTGACCAAAATCAATATTTCCATAGCGTTTGGTTGTAGTTTGAAGGGGCTGCCCATGAAGGGACTACATTTCGAGCTTTCCTTACAGAGAAATGTGGGAATATGATCAACTTTCATCAATAAAGCGTGAATGGAAGCAGGCGGCAGTGTATCACTCTGCACAAAGGCTGAGGAAGGGGCGCTTTCACCATGCTCTTCTCTTAACATCAACTGAATAAAAACAGAGGTGAGGACTTAGGAAATGGAGGAGCCACAGATGGAAGAAACCCAAATTATGGCATGGTTTGGAGAAGTCAGCTAATTGTCATGCGAATGAGAAATAATTTTCCATTGTACTTTAGCCTCCATACATTTTGGGGATGCATGTGTTACAACAGCTGTATGTCTGTTACAACAGTTTGGCTTACTCTAACTGATACAGCAAGGAAACTTCCTAGAATAACACAAATCTGACATGAGAAATTCATGATTCCTTGCAGCAGGATTCTTCATCAGCCAACTAGTTGGATGTCCTTGGTGTGATGCCTCTGATTTTCAGAAAAATCCCATTCATATGCTCTGTTTGGAATTATCTATTCTTCTAGGTTGCCCTGGGAAACTCCTTTTCACTTCTACAGAACCATTTCAGATATCATCTCTCTTATGAATTCTTGTGTAAGCTCTATACCCTTTTTTTGGACACAATAATTTTTTTCATCATGCCATTTAATTCTATTTTTGTATCTTTTGTATACTATTACAACTACTTGCTTACATATGTCTCCACAACAGATGTAAACAGAGAACTGAGTTCTGTAAATGCAGGAATAACATAGTATTTAATTTTGCACCACTTGAATCTAGATGGTACTTTGCTCATAGTAGGGATGTAAAAAGACTTGTAGAATGAATGAATGAATGAATGAATGAATGGTGAATGGCTCCCATATTGCTAAAGATTTATTGATTTTATAATCCATAAAGGTAAAGAGTATCACTCTACAGCACTGATTTGGAATTTTAATTACTCTTGATTCCGATGGTTCCCATCTTGGAGGCAATAATTTCTGACTCAGAACAAAGGCAACCTCAGGTGGCAGGATTTTCGGTTGGGTATTACAGTGTGCCCAAGGGAGCTGTTTGTAAGCTTAAATGTGTAACAACTCATTGAGTGAAAAGCCTTGGGAGAGAGGGGACTTGGCAGCATTGGTAACTGGGGATGCTTCAGGTTCCATTATGGCAGGCTCTGCCTTTGGCTGGGGCAGATTTCCGCCATGTTTGGGAAACACACAACTACTGGCTCCCTTGAACTCAGCACCTAAGTCAACCAGCGAATGCAAGCTGGTCTACTAAAGCTGGAAGGAACCTTAATGGTTAGTAGGCCCAACCCTTTTATAAGAGAGAATGATGGTTTGACTACCAATGATCTCCTTTTTTACTGAGGACTTTGCCCTACAATCACTGTCGTGGTTATAGAGGGATCCACCATGTTATTTCACGACCATAGTTGACAGTATAAAGCAAGTCAAGTAGAGTCTTTCTCTGGAAACTTTGGAGCTGAAACATCTAATCTCCTCTTGGTGGCTGGGCTTTAGGACATAAATCTTGGAAATTATCTAGGCTGTATTTTACTTTATGAGCCAGAGGGACAGAACAAATAAATTCACAGTAGAGAGAAGAGTAATGCAGCTGTACAAAGAGGGACACATCCAAAAGTTGGAGAGAGCACCTACCTGGGGACTGACTGTGTCCCCTGAATCTAGTTGCTCCCGAGGCTGAGCACATTCCTCTCACAGCTCTAGGTTGCTGCCCTTGTTCCTGTGAAACAGCCCAGGACCATTATGATACAATCCCTTTGTATTTAAGCCAGTTCCAGTTGGGTTTCTGTCACTTGCAATCAAAGCTGTCCTAACAAACAGGCTCCACATTTTAAAGGGAAGGAAAATGATTCTGAGGAAGAAGGATGTATTTCAACACATGATATTGGATGTGCATTCTGTCCTGAGAAAAAAGAGCATTCTCTAAATCATAAAAGTATATGCCAAACAACGGTGCATGTTATTAGCAGCTTCTCTGGAAAGACTTTACAAAAAACATTTCATTTAGAGAAACTCTACTTCTTTTGTCTTTAATTTTTGGTGGGGGCAGGGGCATGGGTGGGGAATGGTAATCTTGGAGAAACTGGGCTGACATGGCAGCTTCAGCCTGCTTTCGCTCTGCCAGTCCTCCATTCTTGCCCCAAGGGCCTAGGTTCTGATGAAGCAGAGCAGACCCCTGGCCTTGTGTACATCCCTTGTGGGGCCACCAAGAAACCAGAAAGCCAATCACCATAACATCTCTTTCACCTCCTGAAGCTGGGATGCCCAAGCCAAAGACTGATTATAATTCTCTCCAGAATCAATTAAAAGAAAGATGTTTCTATTGTACACAGGCCTGAAATGGGAAATTGGGAAGTTTCTGAGGTAGAGCCAAATGAATTTGCACATAAGCTTTGGAGTTTTGTTCATAATGCAAGGAGACTTCTTATCAGCTAAAGGAAAATAGGCACAGCTTCTCTTAAAATAAAATGAAATTTATGGACACAGGATTATAGCTGTTCCAAGCTGCCAAAAAGGCAATGTTTGTAGAACCCAAATCCTTTAGACACTCTTCCAAATCCAAGCACTACATTTTGCTGCTGATATCTGTGTTGGACCTGGTACCCCATGCACTCTGCTTCCTGCCATGTATAGTGACTGCACATCAGGGAAGGCCACCATGTTTAAAAAATTCTCAAGAAAGTTCTTGTGCTATGTTAGGTAGCCTCAGAAGCAAATGCCAGAAAGCCATAGAGCAAATGTGAGATCATTATGGTCTTTCTTGAGACCGTTGGAGAAGGGCAAACTGAAGATAACAAAACAAAACACCTCAGTGGCTTAGCCAAAAAATAACAATGAAATCTGAAAATGTAAGAATGTATGTAGGAGACTTTTTTGTGTTCTGTGTGACATGCCCTTAGCTGGCCTCTGATTTTGGCGATGGCAGACATCTCCTAAGTATGTGTTACTCTCTTACTTCAATAACCTATCACAAAGCTCTGTTTGCCTTGTTTAGGCTCTCTGGAGCCATGAAAGTTTGCTCAGCCACAGGTGCCCCAGGTAGGCTGGAAGCAATGCCTCCTGGGGTAGTCCTAAAACAATGGCTGATAGCAGTTAAACATGGATTTTCCAACTTCTAGTCTTTTGAAGGGAGGATAATGAAGTGCATGCTATAGGATTTACCAGCAGAATTGAGCCTCAGTTGCCCACAGCAGTAACAAGCTTAATAACATATATTTTACTAGATTTTCCTCTTCTGTAACACTTCCCACCTTCCCTCCCTGGAATCACCTCCCAAATTAACCATCAGCACCCAAGTCCCTAACTAAGACAGTGCTTTAGTGGAGTTCAAACTAAGACGGTATATAAATCTAGCCCTTGTTTTCATGACCATATCATTTCAGACCAACTTCCTGTTCCTTGGTAAGATCCAGTTGCCCCAAAGGCACACTTCCTTTACTATATGCAGATGCTCATTGTTCTTTTACCTCAACATCACCAAGTGAAACTGTTCTATACAGAAAGCTTCCATATAAAGGTCTCATTATTTACCCAAGACTGTGCTGCATGAACCTCCGTGTGGAATGTTTCTTTGGTAATATTAATAGAACAGCTACTTGTTTAATGAGAGTCTGCTGTGTGTTGGCCCTTTACTGTATCTGTTTATTTGGAATGTCCCTGCAAGGTAGGCTTTAGCAGTCCCACTTTTCAGGTGATGTTGAAGATTACATAGCCAATGGGTGGGAGAGTGGAAATCCAGCACAGATATATAGGGATCCAAAGTCTATGTTCTTTCTATGGGTATAGACTTTTTGAGTTTCTCTCACTTTCTTCTACAAACTTTCCCTTTCATCTGTTTTTCAGTCAATTAGACTATCATGACCATTTGCTATGGCAACTGTGCACTAGGAAAAAGGAAATACACAGATCTTTACAGAGCTATTTGATATAGAACTGAGCTGACATGGATACTAGGGGACCCAAAACAACATTATGGGCTCCTATTAGAGTGGGTTTTATGGAGGTCAGATGACAAGTGGAATTCTGGACAAGTTGATCTCACAGTGTGTCCAATGAGGCCTCACACTCAGATGCATAATTAGGATGGCAATCATTAGCAGCTGAAAGAATCCTCACATTGATTTCCTGTTATGTGGATGAAGAGGTATTATGGAAGGAAGGGCCGAGTAGAATCCCCTTAAGCTGCTCCTTCCCTGTCCTGGCCAAAGTAGTAAATCAGAAAAACATATCTCAGGAGCCATTGTGCCACTCTCAAAGACTTTAAGAATGAAATGTTGAAAGCATTCCCCCTAAAAACTGGAACAAGACAAGAATGGCCACTCTTACTGCTCCTATTCAACATAGTACTGGAAGTACTAGCCAGAGCAATAAGGCAAGAGAAAGAAATAAAAGGCATCCAAATTGGAAAAGAGGAAGTCAAATGATCTCTGTTTGTTGATGACATGATTGTATGCCTAGAAAACCCTAAAGACTATTCCAAAAGATTTCTAGACTTGATCAGTAAGTTCAGTAGTTGCAGGATACAAAAATCAACGTACAAAAATCAGTAGCATTGCTCTACGCCAGTAACGTCTAAGCTGAGAACAAAATCAGGATGCCATCTGATTTATAAAACACACACACACACACACACACACACACACACTTACACACACACAATACCCAGGAACACATTTTACCAAGGAGGTAAAACACCTCCTAAAGGAGAACTACAAACCACTGATGAAAGAAATCACAGATGACACAAATGGGAAAACATTCCAGGCTCAGAGATAGAAAGAATCAATATCATTAAAATGACCACACTGCCCAAAGCAATCTACAAATTCAAAACAATTCTTATCAAGTGACCAAAGGCATTTTCACAGAATTAGAAAAAAAACTATCCTAAAGTTTATATGGAACCAAAAAAAGATCCCGAATAGCCAAAGCAATCCTAAGCAAACAGAACAAATTTTGAGGCATCACGTTGCCTGATTTCAAGGTATTATACTATTAAAATAGCATGTAAAACTAAAACAGTATGGTCCTGGTACAAATAGACACGTAGATCAATGGAACAGAATAGAGAACCTGAATATAAAGCCACATACCCACAACCAACTGATCTTCTACAAATTTGACAAAAATAAACAATGGGGAAAGGATACTCTATTCAATAAGTGGTACTGGAAAAATTGGTTAGCCATATGCAGAAGAACGAAACTGGACCCCCGTCTCCCACCATATACAAAAATTAACTCAAGATGGATTAAAGACTTAAGTGTAAGACCTAAAACAATAAAATTCCTGGAAGAAAACACAGGAAAAACTCTTCTGGACATTGGCCTAGGCAAAGAATTAATGATGAAGACTCCAAAAGCAAATGCAATAAAAACAAAAATAGATAAATGGCCTTGCTTCCCCTTTACTTTCTGCCATGATTGCAAGTTTCCTGAGGCCTCCCCAGCCATGCAGAACTGTGAGTCAATTAAATCTCTTTTCTTTATAAATCACCCGACCTCAGGTATGTCTTTATAGCAGTGTGAGAACAGACTAATACACACATATATGTCAATTGGATGAGGAAATGATGAGGACCTCCCACTCTTTCATTCTTTGTTTAACTGAAAAAAGTGATTTTTTAATTCACTAATTAATTTTTTTCCAAATGTCTTGTAAAGAGTCGTTAAATGTACACATGGACATAGAGTGTGGAATGATAGACAATGGAGACTCAAAAGGGTGAGAGTGGGAGGGGGACAGAAGATGACAAACTATTTAATGGGTGCAATGTATGTCATTCTAGCAATGGATACACTGAAAGCCCTCAGTCCATGACTGTAGTGAATGGTTTAGTTGGTTGATTAGAGGTCTGGAGAGAATAAGATTGGAAAAAGGAAGACAAAGGCATCTGGGTATGAGTACGAGAACTGACCTATGGCAGTGGGTAGGGGATGCTGTGTCTTATTCTAATGCTCTGAGAGGTGGGCTTTTCCTAATGAATGACTCATCCTCTGAATATCCCCTAACTTCTTTCCTAGGCTACTCCAGTATTTCTGAAATGGGTTCCTGAGTAGATGACCATTGTGGTGGGGATGGAGGCCATGTGTGTGTGCCTTCTTGCCAAGATGGTGCTAGCTGCTGCCACTGCCCAATGCCCAACCTGCCAACAGAAAAGACAGAAGTTGCACTCTAAGCATAGCACCATCCCTCAAGGACATCAGCCAGCCATTAGATAGCAGGTTGATTACATCAAACACCTTTCATCCTGAACTGGGAAACAATTTGTTCTTACTTGAATTGACACTACTCTGGATATATGTTTGCCCTGTTTGAACTCAATGCCTTTGTCAACACCACTCTCTCAGGGTTTACAGGATACCTGATTTACTGACATGGGGCCCTGCACATTATTGTCTCAGATAAGGGACCATTCAATGGAGAAGGATATGTGATAACAGACAAATGACCATGGGATCCACTGGTCCAACCAGAAACAGCCAGCCTAATAGAATGACAGAATGGTCTGCTAAAGGCTTAGCTAAGTTACCATCTCAGGGATGTATCTTGTGGAATTCGGATACTATCGTCTGGGAACCATTATATACAGTAAGCCAGTGACCAGTATAGGGTGCTGTGACCCTGTAATTAGAATTCACTGGTCAGGAAACCAAAAATTGTTAGTATGATTGGTCTTTCTTTGTATCAGTCCCAGTAATCCACTTTCAGATGTTGTACTTACATCTCCCAACTGTTTTCTCTGAATTAGAGGTCTTGGCCTCAGGAAGGGGAATGCTTACACAGTAGAACAAAGAAAGGGATCCACTGAACTGGAAACTATGAATCTGGTTATTTTGGACTCTTCATGCTCGTGGACAAACACAGGAGTTATTGTTCTGGTGGTAGTAATCAGCCCTAATGCCTCTGAAGATCTTTGTTACACTGGGGTGTCTCTTGGTGTTTTCACGTCCAGAGGTAGCTGTCATTGTAGCAGCTCATTAAGGGTGAAGCAACCATAGACTTCCTTCAGTGATGAATGTCTAGGTCACAAGCAAGCCACCTAGACTTTCTGATGTACCAATTGAGGGTTAAGAAAATCTGCATTCGTAGATCCTAGTGGACTGAGGGATGGACTGTATTGGTTGTATTTTTTCTCTGTTTACATTTTCTTTGGCCATCTTTTATTCTAACTGGTGATGTGGCAACCACCTTCATGCAGCAGTAACCTAAAAGGACCATGCCTTAGTTGCACCACTGGACCACTTCTATCTCACTTTCTGCTTGGGGCGCAGAATATCTGTGGGAGCCCTCTTAGCAAACCTGGGAAAACCTGGAAATGCTGAGTTATGGACGCCCTTGACCTGTGGGGGATGAAAGCCCGTGGATAAATGCTTCCCTCTGCTGTCCCTTGGGGCCCTAATTTTGAGGCTGGGTAGAGCCTCACTGCCTTTGTTTAATGCATAGCTGTACTGGCTTTCCTTATTTCACTGTTCCCAGCCCCTGCCCCACTCCCTGGGAACACTTCCCAAAATGAACTATCTGCAGCAAGCCCTTATATCTGTTTCTGCTTTCTAGGGGAAGCCAGGTCAAGACAGAAAACCACTCCTCTCTCTTTTTCTTACTCTATGAGGTTTGGATAGAGCTAATCACTCTGCCCCATCAGACTTAGGATACATAAACCATGCATTCCCTTCCCATTGCCACAGTAATTGTTTGAAGGAATAATCTAGACATTTCTTCATTCACTGGGTAAATATCTATTGCCTGAGCACTGTGATAGGCTCTAAGAATTCAGCAATGAACAAAACAAAAAACAAATTCTTTCTCTTATATTCCAGTGGTGGGGGCAGCAGACAAACTAAGAAAAATAATAAGTATATCATGTATGAGGTGCTGATGAGTACAATGAAGAAAAATAAAGATAGACCAGGATAGGGCTTGATGGGCATAGCTACTTTGGATAAAATTGTCAGGGAAGGCCTGGAGACCTTTGATAAAGAGACATCTGGCCAGGTGCGGTGGCTCATGCCTGTAATCCCAACACTTTGGGAGGCCGAGGTGGGTGGATCACCTTAGGTCAGGAGTTTGAGACCAGCCTGGCCAACCTGGTGAAACCCCGTCTCTACTAAAAATACAAAAAATTAGCTGGGTGTGGTGGCAGGCACCTGTAATCACAGCTACTTGGGAGGCTGAGGCAGGGGAATCACTTGAACCCGGGAGGTGGAGGTTGCAGTGAGCCGAGATCATGCCATTGCACTCCAACCTGGGTGACAGAGAGAGGCTCCATCTCAAAAAAAAAAAAAAAAAAAAAGAGACATCTGAGCAGAGACCTGAAACAGGTGAGTGAATTAGAGAAGTAGATCTGGGAAATTACCTCAGACAGAAGGAATGATAAGAGCAAAGATCTGAATTGGGAGCGCGCTTCACATCCTGGAGGGCTAGGAAGGAGGCCAGCAGTAAGAGTGGGCTGAGATAGGCAGGCAAAGCCAGGCCCTGACGTCATGGGAAGCTGTTGGTCAGATCAGGCAAGGCTTTGGGGTGGACTTGGGTTTTATTGTGTCCTAGATGGAAGCCATTGGAAATTTTTGAACAGAGGAGTGATGTGATCTGACAAGGTTTGAAAGGATCACTCCAGGGGTTGTATAAATAGTAGACCGTAGGACGGGCATGGTGGCTAACACCTGTAATCCCAACACTTTGGGAGGCCAAGGCGGGTGGATCATGAGGTCAGGAGTTCAAGACCTGTCTGACCAACATGGTGAAACCCTGTCTCTACTAAAAATACAAAAATTAGCAGTGCGTGGTGGTGCGTGCCTGTAATCCCAGCTATTCAAGAGGCTGATGCAGGAGAATTGCTTGAACCCAGGAGGCAGAGGTTGCAGTAAGCTGACTGCACTCCAGCCTGGGTGACAGAGTGAGACTCCGTCTCAAAAACAAAAAAACAAAAAAACAGTAGACCGTAGAGGTCAAGGATAACAATCAAGAAGACCAGTTAGGAGGCTATGGCCGGGCTGCAGATGAGAAGTAAAGATGACTTAGGTAGCGGAGGCTAAGTGGTGGAGGTGGTGATAATTTACCAGATTCAGGATCTAATTCGAGGAAAGTGGACATGATTTGCTGACAGTGTAGGATGTGATAAAGCAGAAAGGCGTCGAGATGGTAAGCTAAAGATACTGATTCTAAAATCTGTTGGAAGTGTGGGATTGCTAATGTGAGAAAAGTATAGGCCTGGGGGCTTCGGAGCCCAATCCATGGAGGGGGTTTCCTAGATGAAACCGAAACAGAAGCCACCTGAGCTGAGCTGTGGAAGGACCCTGGGTCTAGCCAAGTTCAAAGCCACATCTGTTAACGTGGGTCTCTTTTTCTTAATCCAGTTTGAGTGGGTTTGCTTTATGGGTAACCAACTGAAGACAATGAGTAGTAATGTCAATTTCTGACAAATAAGTCAATTATTAAGCAGATGATTTATGAGAATTAAGAGAGAAACTATAGTTGTTAAGAGTCTATTGAGATGTGCAAACGTGTTGACAAATATTCTTTTCTCTTTTGTAGGATTTAATAGGTCAGGTCAGGGGAATTCTGTACATAGAGTACAACCTGAATTTACCCTAATGTTAGACAGGCGCTTGCCACTGGGAGGCTTTCTCTGACATTATCAAATGGTCAGGTGCTCTCTCTGTCATACTTGCAAGATTGAGTACTTATAGGGCCAAGCAAGGACTGGGAAATGAGCATAGCAGGTACTCAGACAATAGTGAGTGGTGGGGTCTGTGGCAAATTGGAG
The DNA here is from genome assembly GCF_000001405.40 of Homo sapiens. NCBI lineage: Eukaryota > Metazoa > Chordata > Mammalia > Primates > Hominidae > Homo > Homo sapiens. The sequence continues at coordinate 20,976,712 of NC_000020.11, read as the reverse complement.
AGTAATGAATAATGGAAAGGCAATACAATAGTATTAGTTTAAATATATTTCCTCCCATGAGACGGAGAATATCTCTCTGGGACTAATACTTACCCATCTTATTATAAATTTATAATTGGAGCTTGGTAAATGTTTTTTGAGTGAATGAATGGAAACAGTGGGCCCAGAAAGTATTGGAATTTCTAGAACTCAGGTCATTAGCTCTGCTCTTATCCTCAGGATCTGTACGTTGATTCATCAGCTCAGTTTCAGAGAGAAATAAGATTTCTCCCCAACATCCTTTTATCATAGAATAATAATGACACAGAATAGCTTTCTTTTCATTTTCTATTTTGACACAATTTCAGACTTACAGAAAAGTAAGAATAGTACAAGGAATCAAAACCACAATGAGATACCAATGTGAACTCCCTAGGATGACTAGAATAAAAAAGACAGAAAATAAGTGTTGATAAGTGTGGAGAAACTGAGACCATCACACACTACAATGTACAATGGTGATGGGACTGTACAATGGTGCAGCCACTTTGGAAACAACTTCCACTTCCTCAAAAGGTCAAAGATAGAGCTACCATATGACCAGCAATCCCACTCCTAGGTATACGCCCAGGATAAATGAAAACGTACGTCCACAAAAACATTTGTGTGTGGATGTTCATAGCAGTATTATTCATAATAGCCTCAAAGTGGAAATTGATGAAGGGCTAAACAAAATGCAATATACCCATACAATGAAATACTATTCAGCCATAACAATAAGTGAAGTGCTGATGTAGCTACAAACCTTGAAAACATTACACTAAGTGAAAGAAGCCAGTCACAAATGACTACATATTGCATGATTCCATTTGCATTCAATATCCAGAAGTGGCAAATCTATAGAGACAAAAGTAGGTTTGTCATTTGCGATATTGTCAGTTTTGAAAAGTATAGGTCACCTGTTTTACAGAACATCCCTCAGTTTGGGTTTGTCTGATGTTTCCTCCTGACTGTATTGAGGAGATACACGTGGGGCAGGAATACCCCAGGAAGACTGCTGTGGAACCCCTCTCAATGCATCCTATTAAGAGGTGCATGATGTCAAGTTGTTCCATGACTGGTGATGTTGGCTCTGATCACTGGCCCATCATGTTTCTTTACTTGAATTGACTATTTTTCCCTTTGTAATTAATAAGTGTCTTGCAGCAGCTTTCCAGAGGCTGTGTAAATATCCTTAGTATAGGACCTTTTGGTCATGGAAGCTATGCAGCCCAAGAGTCCAATCAGAAGTGATGGAAGACCAGGTGTGGTGGCTCATGCCTGTAATCCCAATGCTTTAGGAGGCTGAGGCGAGAGGATCGCTTGAGGTCGGGAGTTCAAGATCAGCCTGGGCAATATAGTAAGACACCCCTCTCTACAAATAATTTCAAAAGTAAGTCAGGCATGGTGGTGCATGCCTGCAATCCCAGCTACTCGAGAGACTGAGGTGAGAGAATTGCTTAAGCCCAGGAGTGCAAGATTACAGTTAGCTATGATTGCACCATTGCACTCCAGCCTGGATGACAGCGTGAGACCCTGTGTCTAAACAAACAAACAAACAAAAAGAAGTTGAAGATGGAGTAAGCTTCTGCTGACTTGCCCCACCTTCCTCTTACCCCCTGGGATCCTTCGCCCTTTCAAGAAAACAACAGAAACATTAATGCTCACTTAGAAGAGAGCTCTCAGCTTCGACCATAGTAGACAATGAAAATCATTGTCACTGCAGTTAAACACTACCCCTCTAGACTGACAATTACTTGAAGGTTGGATGGTCATTTTGCCTTTGTGGCTTTTTCACCTTTCCCTAACCTCTTCCCCTGGCAAAGTCCTACCCTTCCCTCAGGCCCTGGCATAAATGTCACTTTCTCAGGGCTGACTTTCTGGACACAAGTGCCCATCCCAGGCTGGATGGGCTCCCTGTCATCTGATCTCTGCCGTTCCCTCTATGGATCTCACGCTTCACAACGGGAAGACTGTCCTGCTCTCTACTGCAGTCCTGGGGCCGAACATGGTGCCCACAAACTCACATTTGCAGCTGGATGAATGAATGAATGAACAAATGAATGACGAGCACTTTGCCTCTCTTCCCAGGATCGATTGCATGTTGTAGGCTGAATAACTCATCCCCTCCTCCCCCAATGCCCTTGTTCTAATTCCTGGAACTATGCATGTTACCTTCTATGGTCAAAGGGACTTTTCAGATGGGATCAAGTTAAGGATCTTGAGATAGGGAGATGATCCTGGTTTACCTGGGTGGGCTTGATATAATCAAAAGGATCCTAATGAGAGAGAGGTAGGACATCACAGTGGGAGAAGGTGACATGAGGACAGAAGCAGAGGTAGAAGCAGAGGTTGGAGTGATGCAGCCTGGTACCAAGGAATGCTAGCAGCCTCTAAACCCTGGGAGAGGCAAGGGAGGGACGCTTCTGGAGCCTCCGGAATGAACCAGCCCAGCTGATACCTTTAAGACCCATTTTGAACTTCTGACCTCCAGAACTGTAAGAAAACTTATTTAAATTATTTTTAGCCACTAAACATACGGTAATTGGTTACGGCAGCAATAGGAGACTGATATGCTTGCCAAACATTGCTGGCACCTCCTGGGTGTTCATCAGGTATTGAGGGCCATGCAAATGGGAATGACCTTCACCTGTGTCTCTGAGAAGCTATTATGGGAGGTCAAAAAGATGTTTGGCCATGTGATGACACCACATCACATTATTAGAGAGGAATGGGCCCAGTAGAATTGCAAAGAAGAGAAAATAACCTACGTGTGAGTAATATAGAATTCAAAGAAATGTTTTTCGAAAAAAGAATTTGTCTCAGCTTTCTTAACTCCACTATTCGTAGGAAAGGCAGATTTAATTTACTAAGAGATAATATCAGTGTTTCATAACCATAGTTTTGTTAACATTCCCACACAGGTATAGTGATCCTGTGATATAAAGCGGTACAAAGACTTCCCAGAATGCTATCAGATCCAGCCAAAAAGAAAAGAGCCCGTCAATTTTGTGCAATGGGCTGGAGTTATGGAAGAACTCACTCCAGGCAGAGATTATGGCTCTGCGCTGATGGCCCATCCAGCGTGTGTTGTGCTCCATGATTAGATCCAATTGCTGTCTTCTCGGAATGAATCAGGAGCCACGGCTCATCTCAGGGAACCAGAGGGGAGGGCACCTTTCAGCTGAACAAGGGGAAAAGGGTCAGTTCACGGCCATTGTCCACAGTCCAGATAAGTTGCTAAAGCGTGACTCTTTGGCAGCGATCTCTGCTGACTTGGGGCTCAAGTGTCACTGTGGTCTGAGAGGCCTAAAGGAGGCCTGGATAATCAAAATTTCTGTCCCACCTTCAGTGAAAAGATTCTGTGAAAACTGAGTGGGATTTTGTTATTGAAAACATTCAGTCAGGGGGACTGTGTGAGATGGGCTTGTGCACCATTTCTGCCATTGTTGTGGCTTGAGCTGTTCTTTTCTTTTTTTTTTTTTTTTTTTTTGAGATGGAATTTTGCTCTTGTTGCCCAGGCTGGAGTGCAATGGTGCAGCCTCGGCTCACTGCAACCTCCTCCTCCCAGGTTCAAGCAATTCTCCTGTCTCAGCCTCCCTACTAGCTGGGATTACAGGCGCCCGCCACCAAGCCCGGCTAATTTTTGTATTTTTAGTAGAGATGGGGTTTCACCATGTTGGCCAGGCTGATCTCCATCTCCTGACCTCAGGCGATCCACCCGCCCCAGCCTCCCAAAGTGCAGGGATTATAGGCGTGAGCCACCATGCCCAGCCATGTCTTGAGCTTTTCAAGGGGGCGAAGGAGAGATCAGTAGAAAGGAAGGAAGGAAGGTGTCTGGGAAGGGGATTCTGGTGGGTACTTAGGGTGTAAAATTTGAAGAGACACTGGCTCTCTAGGCCTGGCCCTGGAATCTGGGGTCCAGTGGTAATGAAAAGCCTGTGAGACTGCCTAGGTTCAAGGCATGGCTCTATGGCCACTGGTGGAGTGAATATGGGCAAATTATTTTCAGGGCCTCAGTGACTCATCTGTAAAATGGGCCTAATGATAGCAGCATCTCATGGGGCTTGGGGGGAAATCAAATATTCGGTGCCTAGAATAGTATCTGGTAAATAGTGAATACTCAAATATTGTAGCTTAAATCATTTTATTACCATTATCCTTAAAGGCAATTTGAGGGACTAAAACAATTTGAGACACTAACATTTCTCAACTAACAAGAGGCAACAGAAATAAGAGGAGGGCCGTACCCCCGTAGGCTTGTAGTCAGCTGAGCTTCCTGGGAAACGGGAAAGACAAGCTGGCACCGGGGCAGGAACGGAAGCTCCTGTCTCTTCAGTACTTTTGTTCTACCTCACTCCGGCATTGGAAACCTGGTCACAAATGCCTTGTCATTTGCTGGGCTCTGCCTTCCTCCTCATCCATCAAGGGTTCTCCTTGGCTCTTCAATCCAGTGTTCTTAGACCTTTAAAACGCCTTTATTCTCCAGCCAGTGCTGTTGGCCTTTGAGATGTCATTACTGTGCACGTAGCGGCTCCGGTGCCTACACAGTGGGAAAAACCATCAAGAGTACACAGATAAACCCAGGCTGCCAACTTCACACACTCAGCAAGTCCCCTCTGTGGACAATTAGGGCCAAAAGACAAATATTGACACATTAGACTATTTCCTCATTTATTTTCTGTTGATTGTCTGGGCAATCTGATGGGGCAAAATTCCACTTTTCTGATAACTGATTCTTGGCTAATGGAAACAAATAAAGTAAAGGCTTCTGTCCACAATGGGTCGAGGCCCATTTTGCGGAACTGCTAATCGGATTAAATGGACTCCCAGCTCTATTTGCAGCCACCAAACTCCCTTGAACACTTTCCACATCTGAAGGGTACCCATCATGGTGGCTCTCTTGCTGTTGAAATCAAATGGAGAGGAGCACGCAAAGTCTTGAAACTGCAGCGAAGCCTTCTCCAAGCGAACAAAATACAGGGATGAGGAGAAATGCGTGCCGAGTCCTCCCAATTAAGTGGACAGACAGAGAAAGTGGTTCTGGCCAGCGAGCTGCAGAAATCTATTTTCCTCCTTATAAACACATTTTTCCCCTATTTTTCTTCTTCTTCTTTTTTTTTAAACTGATAATGAGAGTAGTGAACGTGTAAACTTCCACTACTGTGATCCTCATCTCCCGAAAAACCAGAAGTCCTGCAAAAGTCGTCCTCATCGAGCATTCTGGGGGGCAATGCATCTTTCTGATTTTGCCAATTTATCTAGAAAATATTACAATTTAATCTATGTTAATAAAAGACCAACAGGGTAACAATGCCTGGGGTTTTATGTGTCTGGCTGGCGTCTATTAGCATTTAAATCTGCATCCATTACGTTAGTCCCTTAAAATAAACACAAACATTTATGCGAGCGACAATTCGAGTTAGCCTTAGTCAGTCTTAAATAATGTCACTCAACTCGGTATTTGGACCGAAGCCTGTGAATCATGAGGTATATTTTTGCCTACAGTCTGATAATTTTCAAAGCTATTGGCAACCTGGGAATTTTCCTTCCTTATCACCAGGGCTCAGCTAACTTCACTAAGACTAATCAGGCTGGGAATCATTCATTCAAGGATTGCATGATCATGTTTTTCTTTAGCTGTGACAGCTGCCTCAGTCACATTAGCAATGCAGATTAGCCAGCCTAATAGGTTAATGCAGAACACACGAAAATTAGGTTTAATCCCCAGTGAAATAATCTAACATTTTCACATTTCTTGATGTTGGGATAGAGACATTGCTGGTGACTCAATTAGGTGTAATGTAGATCAAAGCAAATTTACCTTCTGGCTGAACCTTCCCAATAGTTTAGACAGAAGAATATAGCAAGGGCCCTCTACTAATTGGTGAATAGCTGTGGGGAAAATTGCATTAGGAACATGTAGGATGTGAGCAGAACTCTTCGGCCGAGGACAGACAATTGACGTATTTTGCAAATATCCACATCTCTCACTTTGCCATGCCTCCCAATGATGTTGCAGCTCAGCGCAGATGCAAACACCTTATGTACCAACCCATTCATCCTTTGGGCATAACTGCAATAAATGGGAACACACACACATACACACACACGCTCTCTCTCTCTCTCTCTCTCTCAATCCATACCTTTTTCACGTCCTGTCCAGGAGTATCACAATTGTGTTCTGAATGGGCCTGCATTGTGAGAGGAGCAGAAAGAGAACGAGAGGGTGTCTAATGTTTTCATTCTGGCGAATAGCATCTCAAACACCCATCTCTTTCAATCATAAAGGGAAGGACACAAAAAATTACATGCCCTCAGTTGCCAAATTATTTTTTGCCTTGACATCTTAATTCTTAATCCTTGTATGTGGTCAAATCAGTCTACTATAGGCAACCAATCAAGCAATTATTTCTAAATTATATTTGCCCAACTCACATTGATTGGCCATTCTTTTCTTACTGGGTTAGCTCATTAATTCTGAGCAGCTCGCTTATTATGCCTTCCACATCATTTTCCTTCCGAGCCTATCTGCTCCAGCCAGCCTGCTGATGTTTCAAGATGCCATACAGGGGAGGGGGAAAAAAGCAACCAGCGATCTACGCATTGTCTCCTCTAGCAATTACAATTCACATTGCTGATTAACTTTGATGTGAAAACTAATGAGATAAGACAAGTTATCAAGGCGGGCCTGATCATCATTCCATTTATACAGCATTTGCCACCGGTGAATGACAAAAAACTAATGAAGACATATCTGACAGCAGGCTGAGCGGAGGCAGGTTTCGGTTCCCCATCAGCCAGAGCTCGGCTCCCTTCTCATGGTCTATCTGAGACACGTTGGAATTAGCTTAATAATGAAAACACTTCATCTAAACGGACACATGTTTACATTAAAATAACTACATGATAAATAGATGGCGGAGATTTTATGCCTTCTTGAGTCTAAACAACAAAGTAAAAATGTGTTCTAGTATTCACTAAATCATTCGAAGGAAAATTCAATTTAAGCTATTATACTTATCACTAAGCGTCCCCCCCTGCTTATGGGTAACAAATGTTGGTTTTCAGAGGGTGGGGGAAGAGATGCGATCTGGGAAGAACAGGAGTGATTTACTTTGTGAAGATGGTAATGGCAGATAAACAGAAGTACAATATTGGTAAAGCTAATGAACATTGTTCACACAGTAATAACTTCGTGGTGGGGAAGATCCACTGGAATGGCATTCCCAGCTGTACATTTTTGTAAGTTCTCTTCATTTTCTGAACTCCAGCACTGAAGATCTCCGCTTTCAATTCACGTGTGAAGATGGTTCCATTCCTTTCTACACAAACATCTATGACTTTAGAAAAAACCCAAAGCATTTCCCTGGATATGTTTGTATATATTTTTTTCTAACGAATTAACGAGGCAAGGCAGATATTACACAGGAAATGTACATTTTCTTTGGATACAGTTTTTGGTGCTGAACATTAAATATTTTTAAAAAGTACATGCTTTATTTAGTTGGTTAAATAAAGTGGTTACATAGGAGCTGCAATAAAATTCATAAGTGTTCATATGGTTAAAAGGATTCGAGTTCATTTTTGCCTCTGCAACATCCTTGTTACATTAGCCTTATAAAAATGAAAGGAAGTCAAAGGCTGATTGTTTTTATAAATAACACTGCTTTCCCAATGAGTTATTTTGTTACTTTGATAAATCATTTCCTAAAACATAAAAAAAGAAAAAAAAAGTTCGTTTTCCTAGAAGCAGCTTTCTTCCTCATAACATATGCAAGTGTATTCTGTTTTTCATACATAAACATCATAGCATATTATTCCACTCAAATATCATGGGAAAAGCCAGAATAAAAAAGCAAAAATAAGTTCTGGCATTCCTTTTTTTAAAAATAGGTAGTAGTTTTTATTTTCTTTAGGCGAATATGATTAGAAATATTTTTAAGGCAACCGTCCACAGGTATTTCCAGTTATGTACTTTGAACTTTAAGAAACAGAAATACAAGAATAATATCAGCGACCATCATCAAAATCTCCCCCACCCTGTTGTTCTCCCAGCAGTCACAAACAAAAACAGCCACAAAACAAAACAAAAAATTAACACAAACCTATGTTTCTCGAGTGGCCATACTAAAGAAATCTACCGTTTCTGATGAAAGTTAACCGAAAGTACTGGTTTAAGGATGAAGAAACAAATTAGTACTCCAGTGAGGGATTAAGTTTAAAAGCTCTTCTCAGAACCGAAGATAAATCCTGTATATTAGAAGACACTATAAAAGTACTTGCGTAAGAGCTAAAGGCACAAGTGGAAAAAGTTGACCCCCAAGATGGTTTGATGATGGTGTGCTGTTTATAAAATTCACCTGCAATGAAAGGCGCCTGCAAGGACAGCACCCACTAAACACAGAAGCAATTGTACTAGAAAACAGGTTTCCAGTTTTGACTCAAGTGACTAAATTAAACCCATCTGAACAAGGGCTGACCGATTTCTTCTCTCCAACCCGTCTCTTCCCCCTCCTCTCTACACATTGGCTTCTCTTTTAGCCCATTTCTCTCTTGAATGCTCTCCTAGTTATGTTTACCACTCAATTCTAATGTTAATTAGAGACATACACATCAGTATTAGTAACCCACGTTTTCATCAGCACAGCCCACCCTGCCAAATGAAAAACCCGAGCGTGTGTCTGCGTGTAAGCCAACAATGCAGACATGGCCGTATTCTTGAAAGCACATATCTAACATTCCTTCCTCCCTGGTGTTAATTTTCCCTTTCTATGTACTCTTATTATGCTATCTCTAACATGGGTGGCGGGTTCCTTTTTAGCCTATTTCTTTAATCTATTTTAATAAATAATTACAGGCAGGCGGCAGGATTTATTCATTCCAGAGGGCTACCTCCTTCACATTTTTTTCCAGAGGCGCAGCTCAAGGAGACATGGTGATAATCACAGAGGCCTGGAATCCCTTCCACACAATGTCATTATGAGCTCCCATTTAAAATGAAAAATGTATATTACACTCAAAAGCGATACAAGGTTAGCGCCTCTTTCCCAGGAATGCTTCACAACAAGGGACACTCTGGTTCCATATTCAGGAAAGGAGCTGGAGGAAGAAGGAATGAAAATAAAAATCACTACAAAATATTTTTAAGACATTAAACAGGATCTTCATCGGGAAAAAAAGATCATACTCATTGTTTTTGCTACAATAGGGAATACTTATCTTTCACAGGGTTGTTTGAGAATTTTATTCCTAAACGGATCAATCTACTTTGTTAGTATGGTCCTTGGGGCTTATTATTATTATTATTAAAAGCAAAAAGAGATCTTACTCTGTTTTTCACAATTTCTGCCATGTTCTCTAGGATGTACTATAATTTCTAATATATTGATTTAAATGCTCACAGAAAAGGGTTTTCTCCCAGGGCTGAAGTTCCACTCATCAGCCTTCATGACCCTCATACTACAAACAGGTTTGTATAGAGCTGAGCCTGTAGCTGAATGTTTTTCTTCATTTTTTCAAAATGCCCCCCCAGATGAGCACCCTGGGTACATTTCACTGATGAGCTTCACTTCTTCAAAATCAATTTTACCCCCCATCTTATTCAAGCAAACATTTAAGAGAGTCTGCAACAGAAAACTAACTTCGCAGCTTAGCTGTAGAGTGGGTTTGTAATATTTATCTTTGGAGGACTGGGAATGAATTCCTTTATTAAGTGCTTGCTTGCTTGAAGTGTGTTGCTAAACAGTTCCTCCGACGTGTATCCTAAAATTTGTTAACTGAGCTCCCTTCACATAAATGGAAAAAAAAAGTATTGCTTTGAATTTATATATATTTCAGTCTTGACTAATGTTTTATTTAAAACAGTTACAGTGCACCTTTTGATTTGAAGTTTAAAGTAAATAATATTTGTACATCTGAAACATACTCAAGACAAATGAAAAGCCTCTAGATGCTTTTGTGTGAGATGCTGAAGGGCCCTACAAACTTAAAAGGACAACCTCAATTAAGCTCATCTTCATCTGGAAAAAAGTAGCAACGGAAAGCTGAATATATTAGATAATACACACTTGCCGAAGAGCATTCTCTCAGCTATTTAAAAAAAATTTAAAGGAAAAAAAGAAAGGGAGAAAAAAAGAGAAAAATATTCTTGATAACCAACCCAAAGCTGGCCCGAGTGTGGCTCGATGCTAATCTTGTTTGAAACTGTTCAACTAACTCTGAATAGATATCCATATTCCACAAAGACGTAATTAATGGCAACGTTTCCTTCAGCCTCAAGACATCATAACAAGCTGCAAAGTACAAAAAGATTTTTATGGGAACTAATTTAAGGACAAAGGGTTGACCTCTCGCATTTCATTAAATAACCAGAGGGAGGAAAAGAAGAATGACAGCGCTCATCCCCGTTCATTTCAAGCAGCCAATTTCAAAATGCAAATCGCAATCTGCAGATGTTGGAGGCTGATATAGATATTTTTAAATATCATTTGTTCAATTTAAGGACATCAGACATTTGAATTTTAAATAAAAATCAAAACCAATTTTGGGATTCGTTTTTATTCGGGGAATGAATGTATTCATGGTGCATTGAAGGTCTTTAGGTTAGCTATGTTTTCAAGTGTCTAAAACTATTCTTGTAAACCATTAATTTTATATATTATTTCCAAAACCTTTTAATGGAGAAGCTCCATTAAGATACACATTATTCCTGATTATTGTACCAAGTGAGAAGTGGTGCATTTTGAGTACAGAGTTGAGAAGGATAAAAGCAACTGTTCAAATCAGACACCTGACTTATGGGTGTATTCAAAAACTAGGTGCACTAGACTCTCCAGTTTGCTTTTGGCAGTACCTAAAATAAAGTCTGAGAGTTTCACCTTTACAGGACATTCACTGGGCATGAAAATTGTTCAGTCTGCCACCCCTTTCAGAATTCTGACCTTTCCTAACTTGATTCTGGCTTTACTGCTTTTTTTCTATAGCACTTTCACTGTCTGACTCATGATATATTTCACTTTTTTATCTTATTGTCTGCCCCACTTCCTTTTAATGGAATATAAACCTCAAGAAAGTGAGGATTTTTAGCTGTCCTGTGAATCTTCGGTGTCTAGTCCCTCACTGTGCGATATGGTCGTCACTAGTCACGTGTGGCTATTTAAATTTAATTTAAAATTAATTAACATTAAGCAAAATTAAAAATTCACTTCTTCTGTCACACTAACCACATTTCAATTGCTCAGCAACCACATGGCTATTAGACCGTGCACATACAGAACATTCCCATCACAAAAACTTCTGTTGGATAGTTCTGGTCTGACAATGCGTCACACATAGTGGGCACTTAATAAATATTTGTTGAAATTGAATTTGAAGGCCGGGAAAAGGCTATTTCCAGGGATAAGAGATGTCTGATACTTTCCCCCATGGTCATATGCTTAGACGGGATGAGGGAAGCATGGTGCCCCGGAGACCTCAAATCACATTGTCCTATGTTGTCTTGTTTATTCCATTAATGAAGGTAGATTGTATTTCATCGTTTGTTTTATGTTTTTGTTTCTGAGACAGAGTCTTGCTGTGACACCCAGGCTGGAGTGCAACAGCATGATCTTGGCTCACGGCAACCTCCGCTTCACTTCCTGGGTTCAAGCGATTCTCCTGCCTCAACCTCCCAAGTAGCTGGGACTACAGGTGTGCACCACTACACCTGGCTAATTTTTATATTTTTAGTAGAGATGGGGTTTCACCATATTGGCCAGGCTGGTCTCGAACTTCTGACCACAAGTGATCTGCCCACCTTGGCCTCCCAAAGTGCTGGGATTGCAGGTGTGAGCCACTGCGACTGGCCTTTTCATGGTTTTAAGCAGGAAAGAGCCTTCAGTTCCCTTTCTCATCTCTTCATGTAGGGCTTATGAGGGTGTTGGGGAGATGGGAAATGAAGGCTCTGGGGGAGTAATGGCCCAGTGTGAGGAGGTGGAGAGTTCACCGTGGGGCTCCTGCTCTCTGGCTCCATCCAGAGTTGTCCTCACTGGTGCAGCCTTCACCACGGGCACCCACAGACATCGCAGGGAGGCGCGCAGTAAGTGCTTCATTGGAATGAATTAAGCAACACTGAAAAATAATCAAAATTGGCTTCCACTCATACACCATCATCCCCACCACCATTTGTTACATGTGACTACATGCTGGACAATGTGTGAGGGTTTCACACGTATGTTCTCATTTAATCCTGACAATCGTTCCGTAATGTAGACAACGCTTCCCCAAATTTATGCCTGAGGAAATGGAGGTTGTGAGGAGTTGGGGAGATGAGATGCAGGGGAGCACTGCACTCCCATCTAGAAGAACAGCGGTGGGAGACTTCAACTGGAGTCGGGGGAGCTGTCAGGCACTCCTTGCATAAGTGGTGACATCTGCAGCCAAATTTACTTGGGTTAATATACTTTATTTCCTTTCACCTCAAGCCATCTTGTCTTCCTTTCCCCCTACAGACAAGCAGAGTTTATGGTACAATAAGACCTGTTGGTGCCAGATGTGAGGAAAGGTGCCAAGATGTGGAGGGAAGTGAGCATTCGTTTGGAACCCTGTAAGGGCTTGTGGATGGTCTGGACAGAATGTGACACTGAGAGCCTGAAAGACGGGAGGCCAAGATGGGATGCAGCCATCCCCCCATTCTTCTACCTTCACTTCCATTGCTTGCCATGGGGGCAGTTTGTCATCATGATGGTGCAGCTGAGTGGGGACAATGGCACTTGCAATGGGAGGAGGGCTTGGATTTATATAAACCTTGACAAAATGAATTCCTTTCAACCAGGCTCAAACTGTCCACACTGCCTCATGCTAGAAGGCATTATAGCACCATTACACCCAGATCAGCCTCTGTGTTCTCCATGTTATTCTAAGCACCCCACAAGGGCAATGACCATAAACATGGGAGAAGTTAAAAATGGGATGGGAGTCCATATAGAAATGTAACTCTGAACTCTTGAGTATCCCAGCCCACACTCTTGACCAGTAAACTGGCCTTTTGGATAGATACAAAAGGTGTCATCATCAGAGTTGCCAAGGAAAGCTTCCTATTTAAACCAAAGGAAGGATTCCACTAGCAAAGGACAGGGGCTTGTGGGACCTTGGGCTTCATGACTTCGGGAACCAAATCTCAACTCCTGGAGGCTTTAACCTTTGGGATTGTTTCCAAATAAAGAAGTAGAGAGGCTCAAGTATTCTTGAGGACTCATAAAGAGGACAAACTACAAATGGACATCACATACACACACACACACACACACACACACACACACACACCACTTCTCCCGTGATCACATGTACAAGGCTAAAAATTAGGACATCTTGTCACACCTGGTCAGTAGCTGATTATCAGGCCGCTTCTGAGTGTGAATGACAGGCTGGGAGATGAAGTTTCAATTTCTAGTATGTGGTAATGTTGTCAGAAACAGCATTTTAAAATCAAGGCAACCTCAGAAATTGGGGATATAAAAACTTCATCATTCTTATCCATTTTTAGTTTTATTTATACTACTTTATTTCTAGCGAACTTGTGACTTCACGAATAGCACTATTGATACAACTTTTGCTGAGAAAAAATATTAATATGTAGTATAATTATTAAACGGTGTAATGACCCAATAGTCAAAATGAAATAAGCCTGATAAAATAAAAATAAGAAGGTATCATAGATGTAGGTTGATTCTTGTGGACAGTTGGTTGTCTAGTAGAAACCCAATTAGAAAGAAAATAAATAAATAAATAAATAAATATATAAAACAGCCAAGTATCTAAAAACTCATTTGGGATTGTGTTTTGGGTGAGATTCTGAAATAGAAGGGATCAGTGTTGGTTGCGGGTCCTACCTCTGTTCTAGCTCCGCGGGCAAGTTTGCAACCTGTTTCTGCCCCATTCTGCTTTGATCATTGTCAAGGCTTTCTAACTCCGTGTCACCATCTCAAAGAATCTCCATCCTGTCCCTTCACTCTGGGCATGTGCTGGGTTGTCAGAAGGTGGCGGCTTTCACAGAATGAGTCTTGGGGGACTGAAAAGAATTTTGTAGATGGAGACAAGTTTCATTCCAAAGTCAGCCATGGATGGGCTGTCTACCGGGAGCAAGGGCACTACTGGACAGCCGTGATGGGCCATAAGGCTACGCTGCCTGTGTGCTCTCTCCCTCACCTCCTTCATAGCTTGGCTGCAATCTGGCTTGGTGAAGCCCACTGCTAAATAACTCCCCCAAGCCACTCTGATCCCCCTACCCCTCTACTTTTCTTTTATTCCTGGCATAGATCATCCCCTAAGAGGCTATGTATTTTGTTGATTTCTGCTTATTGTGTACTGTCTGTCTTTTCTGCTGGGTTATAAGCTCCATGGGGGCAGGGATCTTTTTCTGTTTGGTCCATGGATATATCCCAGGTGCACAGAACAGTAGTAGGCATAGCCCAGGCACTCAATAAATACCTGTTGAATAAACACCTGAACAAATTCCTCACACCTCCACACTACGGCTTATGAAAGGCAAGCCTGCTCTGGTGTTCTCTCTTGGTTTCTCAGCCTCACCCTCTCTTGGGCCTGTGGTATCTTTCCCTCCTTTGTGTGCTCAGATCATGGCAACTTTTGTTTTTTTAAATAGAGATGGGGTCTGGCTATGTTGACTAGGCTGGTCTCGAACTCCTGGCCTCAAGTGATCCTCCCATTTTGGCCTTCCAATGTGCTGGGGTTACAGGCTTGAGCCATCAGGCCCGACCAGATCACAGCAACTTTTATCTCCTGTCTTGGAGCAGGAAAACTCTGCAAATTATGCCTCTGAATGTTTCTGTTACATGCCAAGATCTTCAGCTTGCGTCTCTCCTTTCCCCCCTTTTTCCCAGTAGGCAATATCTGTAGATCTGGCTTCTGATTCAGAAGTACATGATTTCTCTGTAGGGGCTGGAAGAAGCTCCTGGGTTTCAAGTAAAAGATTTCCATTATTAATACTATGAACTACTACCTCATTACATTAGCTTCAGGCCAATGGCATCCTCTCCATGTGGACCAAACTCACTCTGTCCCTTTGACTCCAGTGTGGGAAATTCTCCTCTGTGGCTTCCTTTTGACACTGTCCATCATAATCATCTCTCTACCCCACTACTGCCATTGCATTCTCATTGCTATTCCAACAGGCTGTTCCCCCTTGCCCTTTTCCCTTGAGTGTGCTCTGTAAAAGCCTGGAAGGATTCAGCCTGATTGGGGAACAATCTTACGTGATGTCCCTATTCCTCCTCCTCAGCCATTTAAATCCCTTCCTTGGGTCCTCAGCAGAGCAGGCCCTTGTTAAAATTATGTAACAAGCCACACCAGTCTTTGGAGTTCTCTTACCAACCTCTAGCCCCAAATATCATCCTTATGCTCTCTATTTTGTCCTTCCTATCAAGTTGTGGTGGTAGTAACTCCAAGAATTGCCCCTTGCAGGGAGATTTGCATATTCAGTGAGGTTGCTAGGAAAGGACAATGCTAGCTGCTCCCATAAAGATCTAACACTTTGCCTAGGCCAATGACCAGAAGAGTTTTCCTAGATTTTCTTCTAGGATTTTTATAGTTTCAGGTCTTACAGTTAAGTCTTTAATCCATCTTGAGTTAATTTTTATATATGGTGAGAGGGGTCCAGTTTCAGTCTTCTGCATATGGTTAGCCAGTTTTCTCAGCACCATTTATTAAATGGGGTGTCCTTTCCCCATTGTCTATTTTTGTCAACTTTGTCAAAGATCAGTTGGTTGTAGGTTTGTGGTTTTATTACCATGTTCTCTATTCTGTTCCATTGGTCTATGTGTCTATTTTTTGTACATGGACCACGCTGCTTCGATTACTATAGCTTTATAGTAGAGTTTGAAGTTAGGAAATGTGATGCCTTTGGTTTCGTTCTTTTTTGCTGAAAATTGCTTTTGTTATTTGGGTTCTTTTTTGTTCAATATGAATTTAGAATCATTTTTTCTAATTCTGTGAAAAATGAGATTGGTAATTTGATAGAAATTGCATTGCATCTGTAAACTGCTTTGGGTAGTGTAGTCATTTTCATGATATTGATTCTTCTTATCCATGAGTATGGGATGTTTTCTTCCACTTGTTTGTATTATTTACAATTTCTTTCATCAGTGTTCTCTGTACTTCTCCTTATAGAGGTCTTTCATCTCCTTGGTTAGAAGTATTCATAGGTATTCTTTGTGTGTGTGTGGCTACTGTAAATGGGATTGAGTTCTTGATACCAGATGCCCAAACCCTAGCATTATACAATATACCCATGTAACACACCTGCACATGTGCCCCCTAAATCTATAATAACAGAATAAAACTAAAGCTGTAAGGCTGGCATCTCAGGCGAGGGAGTGAGATGATGGTGAGGGGTCAATGGGGCTTTATACGTCTCTCATTCTATATTCAGAGCACCAGTGCTCATTCTCAACACAGCACAGCCCTGCAGTTTAGCTGTGACATAGAGATGTGCACTATTTTCATACACTCTACTCTTAGTGAAAGCAGAGGAAGAAATTCTACATGGCTTCATTAACAGATGCACTTTACCTTTCCAAAGCATCCAGCTCTATGCTTCTGATATGCGCTCCCAGATGTTTGCTGATGGCAGATTCCCAAGGACACCTTCTGACCAATGAGAACACAAAGGAGTCAAAGCAGCAATCACATGGAGTTATTTCAAAACAAGATTTCAACATTACACGTCAATTTATACGCACACATACCTCTCTGCCTGCAAAAAGATATTTTCTGCTTATGCCCATTAAGAGTGAAATCCCACAGAGAACTGAGCTGGACATTTTCCTTTTAGGTCTCCAAATGAAGGATTCATTTTAGCAACATAAATTCCTTTTTTTCAGAAGTTTTTTTTTTTTTTTTTTTTTTTAAAGCTTATTCAACTGGTTTCTTAATTGGTCAACCTGTACTCATCTCCCAGTTGGGAAGCGGGTCCTCTTCTTGCCTCCAACAAAGCCAGGCCTCACCAAGAGTGATGGCGTCCATGGCCTTGCCATGCTTGCCAGCTCCCCTGCCTCCATCACATGTCAACAGCCTCTGCAGATGTCTCAGGGCAAAATAAATGACTTCCAGATGTGAAGAAAAGAACTGAGTGCATTCATGCAGAAGTGAAGGGGGCATTGTTTGCCCTATGTTGGGGTCTCTTGGAAGGTATCAATGAACAACAAATTCATTCTTAACATATCACAGGAAATCTAAAATGGAATGTATCACCCAGCAAATAGTTTCCTATTTTCCATGCTGAGAAACCCCACTAATTTCTTGTTAAGTACCAAGGCTTACATTCTCTAGAAAAGCCTCTGACTGCTTACCCACCAGTCTGATTTGACAGTGGATCATTCCAGTTTAAATCTCAAAACTAATGCAAAAATTTGCAGGAAGGGCTTTATATGAATTTCATAAATGGGTATTTCTTTTTTAGGGCCGCTCTCTTCGCTGGGGAAAGTCTGTCGCTTTCTTGAAAATACTTTCAAAGTGAAAGCCCAGATTCATACCATCTGCCTGTGTCATAAATAGATAATGTAATTTTCAATGTTCAGGAGGAGAAAAAATGACTTTTTTTCTCTGAAGGTGCTACCACCTATAATTTTCTATTTGGTTATGTATACATGTGATGCTGCTGCTGCTGATGTGTTTGTGTGTATATATTTTTTTCTTTTGTTTTCTTTTTTCTTTTTCTTTTTTTAGAGATAGGGTCTCACTCTGTTGCCCAGGCTGGAGTGCAGTAGCATGATCATGGCTCACTACAACCTCAAACTCCGGGCTCAAGTGATCCTCTTGCCTCAGCCTCCTAAATACCTGGGACTACAGGTGTGTGCCACCACATGCAGCCATTTTGAAATTTTTAGTAGAGACAGGTTCTCGCTATGTTGGTCTTGAATTCCTGGCTTCAAGTGATCTTCTGTCCTTGGCCCCCAAAGTGCTGGGATTATGGGCATGAGCCACCACAGTGTGTCTGTGTTTTAAGGTATAAATCATAAGAACCATGAACCAAGTTAGAGCAAGGATGAAACCAGCATCCCACCTAAGCCTCTCTCTCACCCTCATCTCAACCTTCTATAAGCTCCTGGCCCAGGATATACCTCAGAACCTTGAAGTCCATGAGGATGATTAGATTGGATCCTTGGTTTAATATTTGCTTTTTAAATAGAATGCTTTTTGTGTGTTTAATGACATTCTTAAAAATCTGAGTCACAAAAAGAAAAGGGGCCAAGTGCAGTGGCTCACGCCTGTGATCCCAGTACTTTGGGAGGCTGAGGTGGTTGGATTACCTGAGGTCAGGAGCTCGAGACCAGCCCGGCCAACATGGTGAAACCCTGTCTCTACTAAAAATACAAAAATTAGCCAGGTGTGGTGGTGGGTGCATGTAATCCCAGCTACTCAGGAGGCTGAGGCAGGATAATCACTTGAACCAGGGAGGTGGAGGTTGCAGTGAGCTGAGATCACACCATTGCACTCCAGCCTCGGCGATAAGAGCAAAACTCCATCTCAAAAAAAAAAAAAAAAAAAAAAAAAAAGGAAAAGGGACGGTGGCTTTGCACCAAAAACTTGGCTTATGATAAATTTTCTCCATTGACACTAAATCACCAGAATCTGTTACTTATACCTTCCCAGAATGGGATTATATTTTGAATCAGAAATTTCCTGTATCTAAAACCAGACAGCTGAACTTGGCCTTATCTAAGATTCCCTCAAAGGTATGGGCTCCACTACCTGCTTCTTGGCAGCATTGATTTATCTTGTTTTCCACAGGAGTAAACACGGGAGTCTGAAAAGCCAAGTAAAACACTGGCACAAGGGCACCCCTGCATTTTTGTCCTCATCTGAAATGAACTTGTTCATCACTTGATCACTCTCAGTGCCCCAGCCTTCCATAGGAATGGGAACTCGTGACAGCAGGGACTTAATCTTGTTCATGGCTGTGTCCCTAGCACCTATAGTAGTTCCTGGCCCACTGTAAGGATTTAATACTTTTGTAGAATGAATGAATTGGGGCAGTTGTGATTCATTCCTTGTGGCCACCAGGAAGATCTAGATGTTTTTTGTTTGTTTGTTTTTACTTTACTCTTATTTATGTATTGATTTATTTCAGAAGTGGGACCTCACTCTGTTGCCCAAGCTGGAGTGCAGTGGCACAGTCATCACTCACTATAACCTCAAAATCTTGGGCTCAAGCAATCCTCCCACTGCAACCTCCCAAAGTGCTGAGATTGCAGGTGTTAGCCACTTGACTAATTATTTTGTATTTTTACTTTTAGAGGTGAGGGGCTTGTCGTGTTGCCCAGGCTGGTTTTGAACTCCTGACTTCAAGTGATCCTCCTGCCTCAGGCTCCCAAAGTGCTGAGATTACAGGCATGAGCCACCATGCCCAGCCCCCAGGTGCTTTTTAATAGCATTGGCTAATGACTAACTGGTTGGCACAAATGTAACCAAATAATTTGGAAATATTGGCTATAACACGGGATGGGCATGGCCCATTCACTCATGTCTATTTAATAGAATGGAGAGGAAATTAATGTCTTCTTACAAAGGAAATAACCAAAAGATAAAGCTGCAGAACCCTAGGAGATGTATGTCAGGTTATTAATATTTTAACACTCATACAAATGAATGTTCTTTAAAACCAATTAGGCCCTTTAAAGAAAACAACCTCTAACTATGTTGTGTAAATTAATTCCAATCACATCTTCAAGTCCATTTACAGCCAAGCTCGGAGTCCTCCCCTTCCGTCAGCTGTTGACTTTCTAAGTGTCCCAGGCAGCTGCATGTCTGTCTGTGGTTCCCTGCGATGACTTGCCAAACCTAGGTTTCTTAGGACTGCTGACTTCTATGGGGCGCCCTGACAAAGCCTCCACTCTATGGAGGCTGCGAAGCGCAGGCATCCAGCCCGCCTGCGGCAGGAGTTCAGGGAGCCGGGAAGGCCTCTTTAAAACCATGTCACGCTCCTGTGACAACTGCTCCTCTGTGCTTATTTGAACTGTCCCTCCCAATTAGCAGTAATAAGTGACTCTGTAAAGATGAGCAAACACTGTGCCTTCATTAGTCCGCACCAGCTCTCCTCGCCCCTCCCACGTCTGCATTCCCTGCCCTGTGCCAATCAGCCCCCACAAATCCCCAGAGGATACCTCCAATAGTGTTCCGAGAAGGCTAAACACATCTTACTCCGAGGGAACAAGGACCGGCAGAAGGCAAATTAATGACAACCCATTTGAAGAGTTTGCTTGAAATTATTGTATTCTGCCCATCCACCGAAAAATTGATTACTCCCAGGGTAGGGGGAAAAATCCAAATCAATAGACTAAAGCAAAATGGTCAAAAGGCATGCACCAAGCCCATTTATTTTATCTATTTACCCTTCCCTGCTGCCCCCCTTCCCTTCCTCCTCCCTTGCATCCCTCTGCCCCTTCTCCATCCACACACATTTTTTAAAGAAATGAGATATAATTTACAGGGCAGGAGCTGTTTGGCCTTTTCAGATAAAGCGCTAATGGCAGCCCTGGGACGGCTGCATGGTTATACATCTCCCAGATGAACTAGGGCCTGTGAACACCTCCAGTTCCAATTGTCACCAGCATAGTGTCGGGGGTGATGTGGACTATTCCCTCCAGTGGCAGGGCAGTCCTTGCCTGCCAGAGAGATATGCAAATGAGGCCTTTGGCTCCCGATTTCAGCCAGGCACACAGTGTTTACTGTGATGTGCCCTGGTAGACCAGGAGGCTGGGGTAGGCACTGCTTCTCCACACCTATTAAACAGCCCTGTGTTCTTAGGGGGTCTCCAGCGACTCTGGGTGTCACCTTCCTCAATGGAAAAATGAGAACCATAATAACAGATTTGGATTTTGCCCTCCCTCTCTCAGAAAACAGCAAGGATCTCCACCTTTATTTCAGGATAAAATCCCAGCTCCTTCACCTGGAATTCAAGCCTTGCAAAACCTGGTGCCTTGAAGCCTCCACATGTCACCTCCCACTCCTCCAGGGATCCAGCCCCGCCATTCCTCTGAGCCCTGGTTCATGTCATTCTCCCAGCCTGGCAGGCCTTCACCCCAGTCCTCCATCTCTTAAGACCTTTCCAATCTTCTAAGGCCCAACTCAAATGCCACATCATCTTCTGTAATGGTCCCTAATCACTCTCTCTGACCCCTCAGCACATCTGTGCCTTCACTGAATAGATACAGATGGCAGATTAATCAGCAGGTACATTTCCGAACACAAAGGGTCATATTTAATGGCATCAAATGCTTCTCTGCCTGTCTTTCTCGGATACCTATCTAGCCCCATCATCTAGTTACCCCCCTCCACGTCTCTGTTAAGCTTTCCAACCATCTTAAGCTCTCAACACATCCAAAAAAAAATGTAGCAGTATCTTCTGGCCCCCACACACTCATGGTTCTGCCATTTTCCCATGTTACAGGCTAGGAGACCATGGGGTTGGTGCCGCTTATACCTCCTGTCCAGGAGTCAGATGGCATTTTTCCTTTTCATCAATTTGAGTAATGCATGGACCCATCTTAAAGGGAAAGCAAATTTTCGTGAATCCCCGGGGATAACTTATTTTTATTAAGATAAAACTGTTATTTATGTACAAATGCATATTAGCCTTCTAGGATTATAATTCTTATGCAACTATTAAAGATTTTGCAAATTCAAATAAAAATATATCTACAAAGCCAAAAACATTCAAATTGTTAAAGCTAATTTAACATCAAGAATCATCTTGGAAAGTCTGACTCTTCACTAACAGCACCAATAGGGTACAGGACACAAGGTGGCACCGTCTTTCATTCTCAGCATGGCTGCACTAATCTGGACTCCAGGATGCCTAAATCCTCTTCCCACCCCACACTTTTCCCAATTGAAGCCACTATCAATCTTCACTGGTCCAGCCAGGATGCCATGATGCATTTGGGTGTGAGTTGGGGCAATAGGGATGAAGGATAGATTGGAAAATGAGGAGTGAATTAAAAGAGCTATTTAGGAAGCCAGTGACTGTTAATAAGATCTTGCCTCTTAGCTCCAAGCTCATTCCTCTATACGGTGTTTTGTGATCCTTGTGAGGTAGGAGATCAGAGGGATTTGTTTTCATGACCCTGCTGATCTGAACAGGATGCAGCAAAGAAACCGGCCAAAACCAGCTAGGACTAGGAATTATAATATATTTGCATAAGACACTCTCATCAGCTCCACCACAGTTTACAAATGCCATGACAACACTCGACTTGGAAGTTATCTTAAATGGTTCCAAGAATTCTCCACCCCTTTTCCGGACAGTTTGTGAATAACCCACCCCTTATTTAGCACATAATGAAGATTTGCAGTATCTTACACAGGGTGTAAATAGAGCTAGCCAGCAACCCACGAGTGCTACTGTGTGCTCCTCTGCCTATGGGATAGCCGTGTTCTGTCCATGAAGCAGCCATCTTCTTCAACACGTTGCTCTAATAAACACAGTTTATTAATAAATGCAGTTCTTGACAGCATCTTCTCAGTCTCGCTTCCTCACTTCGCAGCGGCTTTCTTTCACTGTCAGCTTACTCTTGAATTCTTTCCTGAGTGAAACCAAGAACCCTCCTTGGCAGGACCCCAATTTGGGGGTTTGCCTGTATCACTAGGGCTGAAGCCTTATTTCTGCTTTACTAGCTGCTTCTTTTGGGGCTTTGAAAACACAGGGTGTTTGCAGGAGCTGCAAGGCTGAAGTGAGAAGGGACCTGTGCCCTTTAATTGGCTTCCTGTTCACATGAGCATCACCCAGCCACACTTCTGGCTGCTTCCTTTACTTTCAGTTCTTGACAGCATCTTCCCAGTCTTGCTTCCTCACCTCTCAGCGGCAGTTCCTTCCACTGCAGCAATTTGCTGTTGTTATATAATACGTGCAGAGCTAACCTCATTGCTTCTGCTGGGAGACACCTGCCCAAGCTGGCCAGGGCCCCTCTTCAGGGGTCTCAACTTCAACTCCATGGTGTCTCCTCTCCATACTTCTAGGTTTCAGTAGTTCCAACCTTTTCCTTTTTACCCCTTAGCCTTAGACTGGTAGCTGCTTTCTGAAGTTGCTACCTCTGTGACATCTTAGAGGTCATGTTTAACTATTTTAGTTACAAAATTAAGAACCATTTATATGAACTTCTCTCTGTTAAAATAACAGATAAGGTTTCTGTCTTCCAACCGCTACTGACACCATTCGGCTGGCCTGGGCATGATCAAGACCATAGTTCACAATGGGAATGGAGGGAAGTGGCTGGATTGAGAAGATTTTTAGGAGGACAATTAATAAAAGGGTCATGCAAATTGAAAGATGGAAGAGAGAGGAAGAGGAAGGACTTCAGCTTCCTAGAATGTGCAACTGGTAGAAGGAGGTGCCAGAAACTAAGGTAGGTGAGGTCAACATTTTCTGGTGCCTTTGGCCACCAGCATTCATTCCTTCTTCTCTTGCAGGCAGCATGCCTATTTTTATTCCCACGTCCATCTGTAATCCTCCTAAGGATGACATGATGGTCTTTGGGGTGGGACAGGTGGTTCTGTCGTAAACCAGTCAGCACTATTCCTTCCTCTTGGCCATCATGATTGGTTTAGGAATAAGGAGATAGACTAAATTGATCCAATCAAGCTAAAGCCCAGTTATTGGTTTTCTGTGGAAGAGACCCCACTAGCACCAGATAGGAAGGAGCACATAGTCAATGCTGGCCCACAAGGGTGACTCTGTCAGGAATGAATGTGGAGAGGGCAGAGCTAGGACATGGAGAGAAAGATATAGGTCTTGAGCAACCGGGCCCACTTGGCCCAATACCAGCCCTTCCACGATGTTTCCGTCACATGAATTGATTGACTCAAAAACTGACTTATTGTTTCAGCCTTTATTTCATAGTCCAGTGTATTAGTCTGTTCTCATGCTGCTTTGAAGAAATACTTGAGACTGGGCAATTTACAAAGAAAAGAGGTTTAATTGACCCACAGTTCTGCATGACTGGGGAGGCCTCAGGAAACTTACAATAAGGGGGAAGGCACCTCTTCACAGGGTTCCAGGAGACAGAATGAGTGCAAGCAGGGGAAATGCTAGAAGCTTATAAAACCTCAGATCTTGTGAGAACTCACTCACTATCACGAGAACAGCATGGGAAAAACTGCACTCATGATCCAGTCACTTCCCACTGGGTGCCTCCCACGACACGTGGGGATTATGGGAACTACAATTCAAGATGAGATTTGGGTGGGGACACAGCCAAACCATGTCAGCCAGTTTGGGTTGATTTTAGCAATTAGCAGCTAATCCTTCTAAGTAATACAGTGGAGAGCACTAATTAAAAAATGGGTTTGGGGGAAACTGGTGCGCTCAGCTTAGGACCAGTTTTAGGCTTTCAGGAGGAGACTTTCTAGATATAAAAGCAACTGGTATTTACTGCACATTTGCTACAGACCCTGTTTTAAAGGTATTAGGGATACTTAATATTTATACAACCCATGAGGTGGTGGTTACTATTGTTACTTCCACTGTACAGATAAGAATACTGAACCATAGCAGTTAAGGGCCTTGTGTGAGGTCCACCTTGCTCCCTGTAGTCTTTGTTACCTATTAATAGGGTAATAAAGACTTGTGACCCTGAAGCTTGAGAGGGAATTATCTAAATATGACTGTTTTTGGAAACTGATCACCATCTCATGTAAGACTGATTAGACTAATAAATAAGCAGGACTAAGATTTCAAGTCTCATTTGTAGGACATCCCAAACTGTTTGATTCTTCTATCCATCCCCTTTCTTTTGTCTCAGGAGTGTACATTTTAAATTTAGGTTGGGATCCTCCAGAGGCTGACCCTAAGACTGAGACTTGAATGCAAGTCATTTATTTGGAAACAATGCCAAGCAGCACTGGTAGGGGAGTGAGGAAATGGAGTGGAAAGAGACACTTGATCCTGCTGGGGACCCCTAGGATCCTGTGTACAACATGCTTTAGACTCATCCTGTGGAGGTAAAGACACCCTCCACCCTGTGGAGGGTTGCTCGTGGGACATGAAGTCCCTGGCACTTCTGGCCTGCCTCAGGCATGGGCTGAGCAAGTTCTGGGGCAAGAGAGGGCTCTGTCTGACAGCTTTCAATGCCCACCAGCATCATAGGTGCTAATGGTAGGAGACAGTAGGGTTGGCATGTGCAGGAAGGGTGGATGCAAGGCATTGTGAACAGGCATGGGCAGCATCTCCTACAGAAGCAAACATGGCATCAGCTTCCAGCCCCTCAGAGAACAGCTGGTGCATCTCTAACATGAGGGCTGTGAGGAGGAAGCACAGCTTTTATCATCGTTATGGTCCAGCCATTTCCTAACACCCCCAAACTTGGTCTCCTGCACATGGCCTTGTGGTTTGTTGCAAGGGCTGTGGCCAGAGCATAGCATCTTTCTTTGAGCCACTTTCACAACATCTCCATAGGCTGCATTGATCACAATTTGGGTCATGGGCTCAAGTTAGGAACCAGTGGTCTACATGAGATCAAGTATCTAGAGGTTTCCAAGCTTGTTTTAATGTTTTTACTTATAAGACACAAATATTTGGCTATTTCAAATTATCCATTATGTTTTCCTTTTGAATCCAGATATTTGCATATTTCCTTCTTACATCCTTGATGGTGAAGCTCCAGCTCTCCTGTGGAGCCAAAGTTTACTGTTTCTATTTTTGCTCTAAGGGAACATGCGGCAAGTTGTATTTTCCAAAAATGGCCAACTCAATATTTTTGACTCCACATGTTCTTCCAGAGCCTTTCCATTCACTCACCAAAAAGTAAAGTCCATTTCTTCTCCCCTGGAAATTCAACGTAAGTAGATGCTGGGGGAAGTGATGCCATGTGACTTCAGAGGCCAGGTCATAAACAGCCATGTGGCTTCTACCTGGCTTTGTCTGCTTCCAAGTACTCACCCTGGAAACTCAGTCACCATGTTGTGAGGAAGCCCAGGACACAGGGAGAGACAACATGGCCAGCCCCAAATTCCAATGTGCAACTGAATGTGCAATGTGCTTTCAAATGACTCAGGCCCCCAGCATTGGAATCTTCCAGCTGAAGCCCAAGAAATCTTGGACTGGAGGCAAGTTGCTCCTACTCTGTTAATTTCTCATCCATAGAATCCATAAGAAAAATAAATAATTGTTTTGTGCCAATAAATTTTGGGTCATTATTTATGTGGCTGGACAAGCAAGTCTTTCCTTGAAAGGGATTTGGGTGGTGGATCTGTAATGTCTAGGGGCTGAGGGCTTTCAAATTATGCTAGGGAGTCCTAGTCTCGACTTCTTCTCATTCCAGAGAATGTGCCTGAGCAAATCAAGCAACGAACTTGAATCAAATATACAAAGACTGCAGTGTCCCCAACATTACCACAGGGACCTGGGTTGGCCAGGATGCTTTGGTTATGAACAATAGAAATAGATCCCGAACAACTTAGGCAAAACAAGGATGTGTTAAAAGGGCAGGGGCAGCTCTCAGGGCCTGTAGGAAAGCCTAAAGAGCCAGGGCTTGGGGAGGACAATGACCAGTGCCAACTAGAAAGCTGGGAGGTAGACACAGCTTCTTTATAGCACCTTCATGGCATCACCTGAATAAACTGGCTCCCTGACTTTTTCTGTCCTTTCACTTGGTTCAAGAATCAAATTCCCGGGAGAAATGGTCTGATCAGCCTGGCAAGGGTCACATAACCACTCTGTGGAATGGTCACGACATGCTGACTGACTTTCCTATCAAAGCTCTGCCAGATGGCAGGGGTAATAGTGATATCATGGATTGAGCACTTAGCCTGTGGCAGGCTCTTGGATGCAGTCACTTAACTCTCACCACGATGGACCTGTGACTACTACCCTCATTTTGCAGATGAGGAAAAGAAAGCACAGAGAGGGTAAGAAACATGCCCAAGGTCACTGATATGGTTTGGCTGTGTACCCACCCAAATCTTGAATTGTAGCTCACACAATTCCCACATGTTGTGGGAGGGACACAGTGGGAAGTAATTGAATCATGGGGCAGGTCTTTCCCGTGCTGTTCTCATGATAGTGAATAAGAAGTCTCATGAGATCTGTTGAATTTATAAAGGAGAGTTTCTCTGCACGTGCTCTCTAGCCTGCCACCATGTAAGATGTGACTTTGCTCCTCTTTTGCCTTCTGCTATGATTGTGAGGCCTCCACAGCCATATGGAACTGTGAGTCAGTTAAACCTCTTTTCTTTATAAATTACCCAGTCTTGGGTATGTCTTTATTAGCAGTGTGAGAACAGACTAATACAGTCACTCAGCTGGTAAATGGCATCACCAGGGCTCAAACACAGCAGCTTCATATTCTGGACTCTGAATTCCTACATCACAGCTTCTCATAGGCCTTGTGGCTAGAATCCTGCTTGTAATCACAGTTCCCCAAAGGTAAATCAAAGGATTACTTGCAGCAGAAAGAAGAATGGAGACTGGGCCAGGAAACACAGCAGGTGCCTAACACAGACCCTAATGGTCCAAGGGACAAAGAGGAGGATGTTTGGGGCCAAGATCTGGATCCTTGAGAAGAGGGTAACTATTAGACTCAAACGGAGTACTGCAGAGCCAGGATGTGCCCCCCTGGCCAGAAGATGTGTTTATTGGATATAAACGTCCCAGAATAATTCCTTTAAAAAGGATAACTACTTACCTTGGGGCTACAGGCACGAGAAGTGCTTGTGGATTGGTGTCTACAGCTGCCTGGGACACTCACCTGCCTGACTCCTGGACACAGCTGGATTAGAGGCTCTCCTGTGCAAAGCAAAGCCCCTCATGGTGCTGTCAAGGGTATCGCTGCACATATTGCTCTGCCTGCGTCCTTTTGTCCTCTAGATCTGAACCTCCTAGGTAACTAAACTATCTTTCTTTCAATGGCCTTGAAAACCACTTACAGGTAAAATCCTCCTTAAGCAGACATTAAAACATGTCCAGCATGCAATTCAGCGAGACACATAAAACAGGTGCTCGATGCATGTTTACTGTTGATAATAAAAAGACAAGATGCTGGGAAAAGTCATATTTTGATGTGGGGTGTCTCACTGCCTCAATCTATAAAGCAATTTCACCAAGAAAGATTCTTCCTGGAGAACTTGCTGGTTTCAGCCTGTGCTCACTCAGTTTAATTGCAATGGAATTCATGAATTAGTCCCAGTCCAAATGAAAGAGAATTTTGTTTAAAAATTATAATCTCACCTCTCTTTGTGCTGGTGGTGTCCTTAACTCCTTAACACAGCACACTTATATTCTTGTTCTTGTTCCCAAAGGACCAGACATAGGAGATTCCCAGATATGGCCCTCATTTGAATTGATGTGGAGATAATTCTGAGTGATTTTCTAATATTTCAAACAGTAATCTTTTTTATCAAAGACAAATGAAAGCATTTTTAAACACTTCTTCAATTTATTAAGAGGAAAGATTTTTGTTGTGTTTTTTTGTTTTGTTTTGTTTTGTTTTTTGACAGAATCCTATTCTGTGGCCCAGGCTGGAGTGCAGTGGTACCATCTTGGCTCACTGCAACTTTCACCTCCCAGGTTCAAGTGATTCTTCTGCCTCAGCTTCCTGAGTAACTAGGATTACAGGCGCCCTCCACCATGCCCGGCTAACTTTTGTATTTTTATTGGAGAAGGGGATTCATCATTTTGGCCAGGCTGGTCTTGAACTCCTGACCTCAAGTGATCCACCTGCCTTGGCCTCCCAAGGTGCTGGGATTACAGATGTGAGCTACCGCGCCTGTTCAAGAGGAAAGTTTTAAAACATTTTAGGTATGTACAAAATTTTCTCCACCTCTCATTTTTTCCTTTTCTTT
The DNA here is from genome assembly GCF_000001405.40 of Homo sapiens. NCBI lineage: Eukaryota > Metazoa > Chordata > Mammalia > Primates > Hominidae > Homo > Homo sapiens. The sequence goes on along the minus strand of NC_000020.11, from coordinate 20,947,864 downwards.
CCTAAAATTTTGGGGAGCCAAGCAAATGCTTTGTGATCTTATCATTGGCTCTGCCCTGTAAGCCCGGCCATAACTAGGAGTATTCTGCAAAGATGGTGACAAAATCAAGCATGGTGCTGTCAGGCAAAGTCATGAAGAAGGTTACTAGAGTGGGCTCCAGCAGCATAGGGCAGTTCTCTGGGAAAGAGGCAGGTTCTTGTAAGGATAAGCACATCAAAATCAGGGGCCCACAAAAATAGTAAAAAGTGATCCCAGGGCACCTGGGAGAAGCATCAACATTGTCCGTGGCACATTCTTCTTTTTTTTTCTTTTCTTTTTTTTTTTTTTTGAGACAGAGTCTTGCTTTGTTACCCAGACTGGAGTGCAGTGGCATGATCTCGGCTCACTTCAACCTCTGCCTCCCGGGTTCAAGTGATTCTCCTGCCCCAGCTTCTCGAGTAGCTGGGATTACAGGCACCCATCACCATGCTCAGCTAATTTTTGTATTTTTAGTATAGGCGGGGTTTCACCATATTGGTCAGGCTGGTCTCGAACTTGTGACCTCAAGAGATACACCCACCTCGGCCTCCCAAAGGGCTGGGATTATAGGCATGAGCCCCTGTGCCCAGCCCACGGCCCATTCTTTTTTTTTTTTTTTTTCTTTTGAGATGGAGTTTTGCTCTTGTTGCCCAGGCTGGAGTGCAGTGGCGTGATCTCAGCTCACTGCAACCTCCACCTCCCAGGTTCAAGTGATTCTCCTGCCTCAGCCTCCTGAGTAGCTGGGATTATAGGTGTCCACCAACACACCTGGCTAATTTTTTATATTTTTAGTAGAGGCAGAGTTTCACCATGTTGGCTAAGCTGGTCTAGAATTCCTGACCTCAAGTGATCCGCCTGCCTTGGCCTCCCAAAGTACTGGGATTTATAAGCGTGAGCCACCACGCCTAGCCAGCCCATTATTAATGAAGAGAGAGTAGCGTCGATGAGGATGGCAGTGGGGGAGATAAAATGGGAAGTGTTCAGAGTCTAGAGGGTAGGGGATCTCCAAATCTTTGAATATCTTCCAGATATACCATGTTTATTAGCAAAGTCTAGTCTTTATCAATCAGATACTTAACCTGGGTGATAGAAAATGTTAATATTGGGAATTTCGCCCATGCTGCAATTCAGCAATGCATACGGCCATTTTTAGACTTGCTTTTCAATGGACTCATTGTGTCAGTTCTAAGCATAAAAGGCATTACTTAGTAGGGTCACACCATGTTCCCAAAGGTCTGCTTTCAGCTGCACAACCCAGATACAGAACTTATTCTTCAGCCACTGGAAATTGTTCACAGCTGTTTTGAGCCCCCACCTTATCTCCTTTAAACAGCTCTGTGGCTACACAAACCTCCAAAGCCTCACCCATGGAGGTAGTCTGAGTCATAGGCAACCACAAGCAGCAGCTTAATGTACCATTACATTGCTCTTTATAATGGAATGATTGCCTTTGATCCCAGGTTATAAAGACTGTCTTGCTGCCCTGATTACTATTCCAAACACCCTGCACATCTTCTGAGTGTCTGGTTCCATGAAACCCCACTCCTGGCACTAACTTTGTTATAGTAAGTCTTTTTGGTCCCAAGGAACAGAGATTCATTCAAATGAATTAGGAATGAGGAAATTTATTGTAATTTATTACAAGTAGGCAGTTGAACTTGGAATGACATTGAAAGCCGACAGGGATTTTTGAACTCTCTTGGAATCCTTGCTCCTCTCTTTATCTGTCCTCGTTTTTCCTCTTATCAGTTGATTCCATTTGTTTATTCTCTCTATATTTTTCTCAATCTCATAGTTTCTGCTGTTCATGGATTCTGCTCCTTCATAATTTCAATTTAATTTGAATTGGCACATGATGACCTCTTTTTTTTTTTTTTTTTTGGATGGAGTCTCTCTCTGTCACCCAGGCTGGAGTGCAGTGGCACCATCTCGGCTCATTGCCACCTCCACCTCCCAGGTTCAAGTGATTCTCCTGCCTCAGTCTCCCGAGTAGCTGGGACTACAGTGTGTGCCACCACGCCTGGCTAATTTTTTGTATTTTAAGTAGAGACAGGGTTTCACCATGTTAAACAGGATGGTCTCAATCTCCTGACCTCATGATCCACCCACCTCAGACTCCCAAAGTGTGGGGATTACAGGCATGAGCCACCGCGCCTGGCCTGAACTCTTTTAATGCCATAAATGTTCTGCTTCCACTGGTGACTAGCAAATTTTCTCTATCATTTTAGTGATACAAGCAGAGGTTTGAAAAGTGCTTGTCTGGCTGGGCACCATGGCTCATGCCTGTAATTTCAGCACTTTGGGAGGCCGAGGCTGGCAGATCACTTGAGGTTAGGAGTTCGAGACCAGCCTGGCCAATGTAGTGAAACCCCATCTCTATTAAAAATACAAAAAATAGCTGGATGTCATGGTGCATGCCTGTAATCCCAGCTACTTGGGAGGCTGAGGCAGGAGAATCGCTTGAACCCAGGAGGCAGAAGTTGCAGTGAGTTGAGATAGCACTACTGCACTCCATCCTGGGCAACAAAGTGAGACTTCATCTCAAAAAAAAGAGAAAAAGAAAAGAAAAGTGCTTGTCTTCTTATGTTGCTCTTACAGCCCTTTGAGCACCCTGTAGATAAGTCCAAGTTAGCCTTCTGGAGAGGCCCACCCAAAGACACCTTTGCCTATTGGCCTCCTGTCATACGAATGAGGAGTTTAAGATCATCCAGCTCAGCAGAGCCCCATGTGCCTGACTTCAGTCACATGAGTGAGCCCAATATTAGTCCAGGCAGGATCAGCAGAAAAACCATACAGTTGAGCCTAGGTTAGGTTACCAACTCACAGAATCATGAGCTACGACATCATTGCTGTTTTAAGCTACAAAGATGTGAAGCTTTTTGTTATGCTGCAAAAGCTAACTGCAACACCAAGCAAGTCAATGGGCCAAGTCTATTGGATCAATGGATCATGTTAGTGGATATGATGTTTTCACAGAGTGAGGAAGTGTGTATTTGGAAAAACTAATATAACCTATCACAATACCTGTTTTTCATACTAAATATGATGATGCTCATCTTGGGTCTTGTTTATTTAGTCCCCTCATCACTCCGCACAATGGATGACTTGTAGCATATACTTTCAGATGTTGGTGAATAAATGTCACAATGAAAAAGGAACATTCTCTACCCTCAAGCTGCTTATTGTTTAGATATGGAGATAAGACACAAATTCAGTAACTCTCACAGAAAAACAAGAATAATAGTGCCATGGAAAGTGTCAAGCTCTACCAAGGCAGATGACAAATATTTCCACTTGGAGGCAGGTGAAGGAATAGAAGAAAATCAGGGGAGGCTTCCTGTAAGTCACAGCATTTAAACTTGGCTTGAAGGATGGACAGAATTTTAAAAGGAGCTGGTGAACAAGACAGTTTTTGTTCTTTGCGTGAAAAACAAATGAAGATGCTAGAGCTACTCTCCTGTTTGGGATAAGGCAAAAATCCTGACTTGATGGAGGCATGCTGTGATGTACAGGCACTTAAGGCTAGAAAGGAAGAGTGCTGACAGGCTGAGCTGTGTATTAACACAATGACTCTCAAATAATCCAGGAGCAGCTAAATGATTCAGCATATTATTGCGCTATTGTGGGATGGGATATTTGTAACCATAAAAAGTTTGCTTTTGAAAAATGTTTAATAACATGAGTTGTAGTTAAATGACTAAAAATTGTACCAATCTAGTTTTATTAAAATTTATATATTAATTTTAATATTTATTATATATATGTATATTTATATAGAAATTTAATAATTTTTGAACTCTAAACTGAGAACATTCGTAACTAAAATCAAGCCATTAGGCTGGGCACAGTGGCTCACGCCTATAATCCCAGCATTTTGGGAGGCCGAGGTGGGTGGATCACAATGTCAGGAGATCGAGACCATCCTGGCTAACACAGTGAAACTCCGTCTCTACTAAAAATACAAAAAATTAGCCGGACGTGGTGGCACGTGCCTGTAGTCCCAGCTACTTGGGAGACTGAGGCAGAAGAATCACTTGAACCTGGGAGGCAGAGGTTGCAGCGAGCCAAGATTGTGCCACTGCACTCCAGCCTGAGCGACAGAGTGAGAATCCATCTCAAAAAAAAAAAAACAAAAAAACAAAAAAACAAGCCACTAATCAGAGAGGCAATAAATTGCTGGTAGTATAATATTGTCAGCAACTGTCCTAAGTGCTCTGCACACATTAGCTCATTTCTTCATAATGAGGTCATTTATTCCTTCCCCTTATGAAGTTAGATGCCATTATTATCCGCCTATTGCCAGTACGGTGAAACAGCATGGTTTGTAGGATATAATCCCAAAGTAGCTTCCTTTGTGCCACTGCCTTTTAAAATGATCCCTTTGGACTCATTCTCCTCTTGCCCATAGATTAAAATTAGCATGTCTCATGTGTTTTCTGCCCATTTTCCTGTCAATAGCTAATATGCCTAGTTCAGGGTAGTAATCAATACTTTATGCATCATTCATGGTTGCCATTATTCCCCTTTCCCAGCCTGGGAGAGTGACTTACCTGGAAGTAGGTGGGAGGAGCTGGGCTGAGGAGGAAAGGCGGGAAAGGGGTGGGAACATTGTTACTTGGCTCCTGGAGAGCGTAGAGAGCTGGTGTTGGCACTCTCTGGATTTGCAGGTGTTTAAGGCTCATCATTTTTGTCAAGGGCCATGTTTATGGGTTCTCTTACTTCCCTAGGGATCTGCCATATTCAGTTACCTTATTGCTGATGAAAGCGTCTCTCTTTGGATGGTTGGTTATGAACTCCTTCTCCAGCCAAAAAGCATCTGGTGGTATCTCCATCTCCTTTCAAAGGTGATCTTTTTGCTTCTTCAGATGACTCCCAGGCAGCTTCTGGGATGACTCCAGGAAGATGCTCCTTCATGCATAACACACAGGAAACACTTGTTTATCCTTTGTCCTCAGAGACTCTGGGAGTGAAGTTTGCTCAGGGCAGCCACTTCATTTTGCCTTTTGCCATCAGAACAGTTAGCTTGTTTCTTTCCATTTAAGGTGTCAGGCTTGGGTCAGACCAGTCCACTGTGTCTTCATGACTGCAGGAGACCTCATCATGCCCTCAACTTCTCTATAGGCACTATTCCTTTGACTTGAGATGAACAGAACATCTAAACCTTTCTATTCTGTGAGAGTACAGGACTCAGAGCAGAATCAATTCTTCCAAAAATTATCTTCTTTCTTCTCCGGTAGCCTCCAGTCCTTTTATTCCATTTCTGTGGGTGAACAATTAAGTCACAAAGCAAGCACGAGTCACTTCTTTCATAAAACCTATATCATGGACTTGCAACTTATTTGGAAGGAGCATCAATTGTCTTGGGCTGAGACCCGCTTGAACATCTTGTTAGATTCCATTTGAGCAGCAGAGATGGATTAAATAGTTAGCTAAAGGTAAATGCTGCAAGTGGAATTCCAGTCTGGACAGTCAAGATTCAAAATCCAGACTCTTTATCTTTGATTGAAAGTCTTAGAAATAAATTTTATTTCCCTCTCTATGTTTGTCTGTATATTATATATTTTCCTATATATATGTATGTATGCATCTGTATATGTACAATAATAGTTGTACAATAAGTAAAGTTATATTTTAAAGATTACGCAAGCAAAAGCATTCAGCGCAGTTTAGTGTGATGGGAAATTGCAGACAGGAATAGTGGATAAGAGGTTGTTTGAATAGTCAATAATTAACACTACAACAATATCAATCATAATAAAACTCACTCCCCCTCCCCTGCCTTTTCACAGAGCATGCCCAACAATGTCCTTACAGCAGATACAAACACAAGCATCATGAAGGTTTCCCCTATAATTTCCTCTGTGATACATTGATAGGGTCATGCCAAAACACAACCTGGTAGAAGCTGTTCTGAGAGAGCAAAAACAATTCAGTCCTAGGACACCAGCTCTCTGCCACCTGAGATTAATGCAGCGAGACATTTTACAGGACTCAGGCAATGGCTGGATGGCATAACTTTCAGACCGTCCTTTGTAAATATTGTTTCTTTTAATCAAGCCTTTGATAAATATTGAGTGGCAAGAAGTTCAAGGTTGCCCAGAGTAGTTAGAATGAAGCTATTCACTATGTTGGTTAATGCAGACTTCAGCAGGTAGTCCAGCTGGGAATGGGGCAGTTATGCTTCCAGGCAGTTTGACAGGCTTGACAAGGACACCTGGCTCTATGGTGGCAATCAATCACTGCCACAGTTATACTGTGTAACAAATCATCCCACAACCCATTGGCCTAAAACAAGGATCACATATTCCCAAAATGTCCAAAGTAGCTGGACTCCAATGTGTTTGGCTCTGAGCAGCCATTTGGGTCTACCTCTTCCCCACATCTTTCCTCCTTTACTGGATCAGTGGATTAGCCAGGATATGTTCTTGTGGCACTGGCAGAAACATAACAGGGCAAGACACAGCACAAGGATATTCCATGCCTTTGCTTCCATATTGTCCATTAATCTTCCACTGGTCAAGCCAAGTTTCATGGTCAAACCCAGTATCAATGGGGTGGGGAAGCCTACGCTTTTCACCATGGGAGGGAAGTCAGTAAACAATAGTCCAAATCATCACATTCTACTTAAGAAACAATTTGGGCACTTTGATGAGAATGTCTATAATTAAAAGAGAGTGACAACATCAAATAGGGATGAGAAAGTTGAATAACTGGAATTCTCCTATAACTTTTGTGGGAATATAAAATGCTACAACCACTTTGAAAAACAGTTGGCAGATTTTTAAAACATTAAAAAAGTGCCAGCAGCCTTCCACTCTTAGGCATTCAGCCAAATATATAGAAATGAAAAGATGTATATGCTCTTCAAGAAAAAGACTTGTATACGAATGTTCATAGTATCCTTATTCTTAATAGCTCCAAAGTAGAAACAACCCAAATGTCCATCAAGAGGGGAATGAATATTCAAAATGTGTTTTTTTTCATATGAGATACTACTCAGCAATGAAAGGAACAAATGATTGATATATACAATAAAATGGATAGATCTCAAAAACAACATGTTGAGCAAAGGGAACTAGACACTAAAGAATACATGCAATGTGAAAACATTGATATCAAGTTCAAGAACAAACAAAACTAATATAAGGTCATAGAGATTAGATCAATGGTTACCTTTGACTGGAAGGAGCATGAAAGAACTGTCTGGGGTAAGGAAAATGCTCTATATCTTGATAGGAATTTTGGTTATTGACAGTCATTGAATTGTTCACTTAAAATATGTATTTCACTGTATGTAAATTTATCTCACTTGAAACAAAAAATGGAATTTGGGGTTAGGTCTGGCACACAAAAAAGATTGGACTTCCAAGGCCATGCTTTTAGGCCATCATGGCTGACTTGCCCAGTGTCAACGTCAGCCACGATCAAACTCCTCAAGAAAATGCCCATAGGCTGGTTGATCTTGAGTAAATCATGCTTTTCAAGAAAAACTGGGTGTAAAAGGTTCTTCTAGGCAGCTGTCTTGGGTGGGATTTCTGGGAAAGCTGAGCCAGAGACAAGGACTTGAATGCAGATGGTTTATCTGGGAGGTGGGCCCAGGAAGCAGGAGTGAGGGAGCAGGGAAAGGAAGCAAGGGAAAGAAAAAACACCAGCATATGAGCTCATGCTGGAGGCAGCTGAGCCTGGGTTCCACCAGGAGCTCTGAGGACACTAAATTCCTCCCAGAATTGCCCAGAAAGAACCACAGAGTGGGGCTTTCTTTACAGCAACATAGGAATGGCCTAATACACATGAGAAGCCATACTGATAACATAAATAGTCCATTAACACAGATTTTATATGTTATAGATATTATGCACTATACTCTTAAAGCAAGCTAGACAGAAGAAAAAATCATGGGCCAGGTCCACTGGCTCGGACTTGTAATCCCAGCACTTCGGGAGGCCAAGGTGGGTGGTTTGCTTGAGTCCAGGATTTCGAGACCATCCTGGGCAACACAGAAACCCGATCTCTATGAAAAATACAATAATTAGCTGGGCGGGGTGGTTCATACCTATGGTCCCAGCTACTTGGCAGGCTGAAGTGGGTGAATTGCTTGAACCCAGGAGGTTGAGGTTGCACTCCAGCCTGGGCAACAGTGCAAGACCCTGTCTCAAAAAAAAAGGAAAGAAAGAAAGAAGAAGGAAAGAAAGAGAGAAAGAGAAAGAAAGAAAGAGAAAGAAAGGAAGGAAGGAAGAGAAAGAAAGGAAGGAAAGAAAGAAAGAAAAAAGAAAGAAAGAAAAAGAAGGAAGGAAAGAAATAAAAAGAAAGAAAGAGAGAAAGAGAGAAAGAAGGAAGGAAAGAAAGAAAGAAAGAAAGAAAGAAAGAAAGAAAGAAAGAAAGAAAGAAAGAAAGAAAGAGAAAATCATAAGGCGATGGGTGCAGGTGTAATCCCAGCACTTTGGGAGGCTGAGGCTGGAGGATCCCTTGATCAGAAGTTTGAGGCTACAGTGAGCCATAATTGCATCACTGCACTTCTTAAAAAGAAAAGAAAATCATAAGGAAGAGAAAATATATTTATTATTCATGAAGTGGAAGTGGATCATCACTAAGATCTTCATCCTTGTGCAATGTCTTCACATTGAATAAGCTGAAAATGAGGAAGTGGGGGGTGTCTCAGGAGCGGCAGAAACAGAAGAAAATCTGCATATAAGTGGACCGATGCAGTTCAAGTTCACGTTGTTCAAGGATCAACTGTATAAACTTAATGCTTAATGTAAAATATTGCTTACTGCTCTGTATTTATTAAGTGGGAAGTTGGCAATAATCTGATTTATCCAAAAGTAACATTTAATCATTCAATGTATAAACTTAAGAGACGATGGGCAGTGGAGGGGGAGGGGCGGGAAGGCAGCAGGCACGTCTGTGGCCCCCTCTGCAAACCAGCTGCTGGAAGTGCTGGGGCTGACATCCATGCCCCACACAGATGCCCAGCTGCGGTGAGAATTGTCTTCTCACAGCAGAGAATGTCTTCCTTTTCTCCAGATAACTGTCCTCAGCAGATGGGACCGCCGTGCTTGGGAGATGACACCCATGGAGGCTCCTAGCCAACGACAGAGTGACATGAGTGTGTAGGAAGCTGGCTCACAGGCCTAAAAATGGACTGACTGTATGGCAGAATTCATTCTTCAGAGACCCTGTGGAGCCAGGCTGAGGCTAACCTTCCTCTGAGACCACATCCTTGCTTCCCTTTGCCCCTGCCCTCCCCTGATTCTCTCACCCTCCTTCTCTGGAAGGTACATCTTTAATCCATTGCTTGAACAAGAATCTCACCTCAGGCTCTACTTCTAGAGAACTTGACCCAACACAAAGGGTATTCTGGGTTGAATTGTGTCCCCACAAAAGATACGCTGAAGTCCTACCCCTCAGAACCTGCGAATGTGACCTTAGTAGGAATAGGGTCTCTGCAGAGGTAACTGAGTTAAGATGAGATCATTAGGGTGGGCCCTAGTCCAGCATAACTGGTGTTCTTATAAGAAGAAGAGAATGCCATGTGAGGACTGAGACCCGCAGAGAGAAGGCCGTCATGGGACAACAAGGCAAAAATCGTGGCGATGCCTCTACACACCAAGCAACACCAGGGACTGCCGGCCACCAGAGCCAGGAAGGGGCCAGGAAGGATCCTCCCAGAATCTTGGGGGAAGCATGGCCTGTTGCCTCTGTGATTTTAGACTTCTGGCCTCCAGAAATGTGAGAGAATACATTCCTGTTGTTTTAAGCTACCCTGTGGTATTTAGTTATTGGCTGCCCTAAAAATCTAATACGGGCAGTTGGTCCAGCCCTGACGTCTGGGGTCATTGTAAGGCTCTGCTTCCACGTGAGCTTCACGAACAAAGGGAAGGGGGTGCTGGACATGAGCAGTCAGCCCCAAAATCGTGGCTGTCCACGGTCTTTAGTCACGGGGTGAGTGGGGTCATCAGACTAGGAAGAAATGTCGTTTTTGAGTAGTCAAGGAAACTTCATAGTGGGAGAGAGTTTGGGGTCCTCTGAGTCCCCCAGTGCTATAGCTTCCTTCCACTTTTCTGGGCCCTTATTCTTTCCTGATCCGGGGATGTAAGACTATTTCCTCTGCCTACTTCTCCATCCAATCTCCATCCACTCTCCATCTTCATTTTTATCCATTATGTATTTAAGAGTAAACCCCCCTTCCATGAAAAATCAGAGGGAAAGTGTAGAATTGAATGCCCACCAGCCTGAAGAGATAGTTCTACTTCCATAGAGGACAGCTCAGAGTCACCAGTATTTACTGCTGGGATTTGCTTTATTTCGATTATATCCACCCTCATCAAATATTATGCAAGGAAGCCTGGATAGTGATGAAATCCACCCAGTTCTATTAGAAATTAATTTGATTCTACTGCCAAAAATTTAATTCATATAAACCATGAGTTGATCCTTAAGAAGAAAAGAATACACTGTTGATCCTTAAGAAGAAAAGAATACGTAGTATTTGTTTGTTTGTTTGTTTGTTTGTTTTTTGCACTCTCTGAGTACTCAAACCATCTCTACCAGCATTCAATATGTCTGACTTTCTAACTGGCCTGTGAGGATGGAGTATCATGAGACTGTAGTTAGAGGAAACGATACATAATTCCTAAACTGCTTTTAACCTTCCTTGCCTCCTTCCTTAACAGGCAAATAAACAATGAAGTAATCAGCAAACCTTGAACTTCGATGCTGTTCAGTGCTCAACAGGCTAAGTCTGGGTCTGGGAAGGACAGTGGGTGGTGATGAGTTAGAAAATTGCAAATAGGTAGGCAGGAAGAAAAAGCAACACCATGCATGAAAAGAGATGTTAGAGTATTGCGGTGTATGCAAAATTGCAGGTGAATTATGATGGGAGTCTTGGTTGATACAACCCTTTGGGAAGCTGTTTGGCAATACCTACTAAACTGAACAAAGACATACCCTATAACCTCAAATTCCACTCCTGGGTATACACCCAAGAGAAACGAATATCTCTGTCCACCAAAAAACATGTACCAAAATGTTCAGAAAAGCCTTCTTCATAATGACTCCAAACTTAACTCAGCTGGGTCCATCATTAGGAGAATGAGTGAGCAATTTAGGGAACATCCACAGAACGGTCTCTGAGACAACCCTAAGCATGAAGAAACTATCGCTAAGGCAGCAACAGGCACGGATCTTGCCCGCGCAATGTGGAGCCAAGGAAGCTAAACACCAAAGAGCGGATAATCTGTAATTCCATTCATATACATTTCAAAACAGGCACAACTACACTCTATGGTGCTAGAGATCAGAGTAATGATTTTTCTTGGTTGGGGATGGTGTTGCTGGGGCGTGGAGAAGGTTTGGTGGGACTAGGTGCTGAGTACGTGGGTGTGTTCACTCTGTGAAAATTCACTGGGCTGTAAACCTTTAAATTATGCATTTTTCTCCATATTTGTTAAACCAATTAAAAGTTCACCCCAAAAAAGTGAGTGGAATTTCTTTACACTACTTTTGAACACACACACACACACACACATCTCCATAAAGCATCTTTTATATTACTTAAAACATGCTGGAAAGTGATAAAATAAAGAATACAAGTTAATAATATCTTCTAACTTCAAATCTTTCACAAAACAATCACAAAGCATGTTAAGAAATATACCTGCTTTGAAAATTCAAAATTCAACTCTTCACACAAACATTATACTCCAGTTCACTACAAAGTCTCTCGGAATAATCTGGTGGATTTTTTTCCCCGGAAGATGTTATAAACCCTTGTCTTCTCTTAAAAAGTTCCTTTGTAGGGGGTGAGGGATAGAGGCTGCAAATCGGGTTCAGTGTATACTGCTCAGGTGATGGGTGCACCAAAATCTCATAACTCATCACTAAAGGACTTACTCATGGAAACAAACACCACCTGTTCCCCAAAAGCCTATGGAAATAAAAAATTTAAATTTAAATTTTAAAAAAGTGCCTTCCCAAACAGAAACAGCAGGAAAAATCCAGCTTTATAATTTCAGAACATTTAGAAAGCTGAAGCAGAAAGGAGCCTCCAGTTGGCTTTCTTAAGGGCTTGGCTGAGACTGATTGTCCTGGGATTTGCAGAATACGTCACCTACCATAAAAGCAAAAGGGAGTTTTTCCCCCTTACTCTTTTAATGAGGATTTTGATGAGAAAAATAAACAAATTCTGAAAACTCAAATCAAACAAACTTTGCATTTCCCAAGACTAACAGGTCTTTTCTTTCCTCATCACATCCCATCAACCACCTGCTTGAGACCCCACCTAAAATCAGGCTGAAGTTTGCCAAAATATTTGAGCTCCAGAGAGGTTTGAGAGGTGTCACTGGCAGATGTTTGCTTCTGACGTGTTTCTTCTGCCCTAGCTGTGGGTATCTGACACTCACAAGCAGATCCTCTGAGAAATGGAAGTGCTTCCAAATAAAATACCCAAGCTATGACTCTTCGCATCAAGAAAAACCAGGTGTCTTCCACAAAAGATGAGTTGTCTTCCATTTCTAGGTATAGAAATGTCAGGAGGCTGGAGAGACGGTGTTCTAAAAACCTGGTAGGAAAAATGAAATAAATCTACTGGAAGGAAAATATAAAAAATATAAATAAAACAAAAGGAGAAAGCCAGGGCATAGCAGGTAGTAGGAAGGGTCTCAATGCGAGCTGATAATGGCAAACCTTCCCTGAAGGAATTGTAATGTTTTGTCCAAAGAGTATTTCTCCTCTGGATGAGCTTTCAAATGGATCGCTGTCTAAGCTTCTTGCCCAGGGAGCTGACCTTGTTAGAGCCACTAAAACACCTGTGTAGTTCATTATTCTTACTACTTTTAACAGATTAAAAAATGCATAGATTATGTTCATCCAGGTGACCTTACTCAATGAAGGCCACACAGTCAGTTAGTGGCTCAGCGGAGTGTGGAATGAGGCTTTCAGGTTATAAACAAGGGAACTCTCCTCCTGAGCTTTTTGCACCCTAGTAAGCTCTCCATGTGTTTTCCCCCTTGGCCTGAAGTCAGTTCCTGGTGAGGAACTGGATGTATCATTGACAAATGGTGTTTTGACTATCAATTCTGAGGCTTTTACTGGACTCTTTCTTTGGCCATGTCTTTTTTTTTTTTTAATCTTTGCCCTTTTTATTAAGCATGACATACATATAGAAACATATATCCCTGTATCAATTCTGATGAATTTGTGCAAAATGAACCCTCCCATGTAATCACCATTCAGATCAAGACATAAAACATGACCATCCCCAAAACCCCATCTTGTGCCCTTTCTAGCCATTAACCCCACACCAAGGGTAACCACTCTCCTGATTTCTCCCCATAGACAGCTTGGCCGTTTTTGAACTTTAAGTGGAAACATTCATTATGTGTTCTTTTGTGTCCAACACCTTTCATGTTTGTGAGATTCATTCATGTGGCCGTGAGTAGCTGTGAGTCCTTTACTCTCATCACTGTAGAGTCTTCTGTTTTGTGACTATGCCATGATTTCTTCATTCTATTGGTGGGCATGTGGGTGGTTTCCAGTTTGATGCTATTATGAAATAATACTGCTTTTATGAATAGTCTAGGTCATGTCCTTTGGTGAACCTAGGACGCATTTCCGAAGGGAATGTCCTAAATGTTCAAGTCCTGGCTGGGGTAAAACCAATGCCCCTCGGAGACTGGGCTGTGTAATGGTTAAGAACATAGTCTTTGGGTCAGACTGGTTCATTTTGAGTATTGCTATCCAAGTGCTCCTGAACATTTTAACTAATACCTCAGTTTCCTAGTCTGTAATGGGGATGATAATAATAATAGCTACCTCATAGAGTTTTAGTGAGAATTGAATGAGCCAATGCCAGAAGAATGTTTGACACATGTTAAGAGCTAGTGGAGAGTTTTCTAATATTGTCATTATGCCAGCAACTTGACCTCTACTTCAGTAACGTGGGGTTGTCCTGGGTACTAAATGGCATGTAGTCAGAGGTTTGGAAAGACCCTCAGTAGCAAACTGCTGCTCAGAACCCCGCCTGGCATGAGGAGGACTGGCCCACGTGGGCGCCAGCCTGCGGAAGCCATCCAATCTCCAAGCTCATCGCCTGTCCAGGGTCACAGCTGGGACCTCGCTGCCTCCCACCTTCCCTCCTGCTCACCCTCCCCTCCTCTGCCTGCTGCCACCGCTTCATACCCCTCCAATGTTCTCCTAATTCCTTACCCACTGGGGATGTTTTTACCCTGCGTAGAATACAGATTCTTTTCCGCATGACGCCATTAGCAGAAAGAAACCCAGACCCTTAATAACTGACTGCTTAAAACGGCACAGCTGCCTCAATCAGGGGTCACCACACAGACCAGAAAACAAGGCAGCAGTTTATAAAATATAGTTTTATTTGAATAAGACCAGTCCACATGGGATTAATTAAATACATCCACTGCGAGTGAAAGGATGTATGTTGGTGGATTTGCGCGTCCGCCTTTCCTATCACGGCTCTGGAAGGCTTAGCTTCTATTGCTTTTGTCTGCATGAGATTAAGAAGCAGGAGGTTGGATGGGGTTATTAAAAGAAAAAGGAGCATGCCTGATGACCTAATTCCCTTCTGCATCTTTATCGTGTACCACGGTGTACAAATCCCCATATGGGACAACAATGCAAATGAGTTGTACTGGAGAATAAAACATTTGAGACAAAAAAAAAAAAAAGAAACATGAGTTTGTCATACAATATCACGGCAACTAATAATGCTCAGACTTAAAAAAATGACATTGTATTATGGAGTTTTATTTCCTGTCCTGGTGGGCAACCAACCAGGCATAGCAATTCTGAATTCAAATACTGTACAAGGATATACAGTAACTACGGTTCTCTGAGGATTTGAGGAAATGTCAGAAAACCAAGCTCCAAGTCAAATTTATTAGTTGGTGCAGATATCTAACAATTTTACATAGATGCTGATAAGGCCATCTGGGAATCCCTTTCACCATTAAGTGATTTAGAGGCCCCTATAGAAATGTCCTAACCTGCTACATCTCACTAAGCCACCATCTCCCCCGACAACAGCAAACCATGCTAACACAGCAGCACTAGTTATTTGCTTTTTTAACGGACATATTTTTCTTTAAATGCTTCTTTCGGTAAGACCCACAGATAGAGGGATTTCTCATGAAATCTGTCAAAGCCAGAATGAGAGATGTGAATAAAACTTTTTTAATTTCAGTGTGGGCCTAATAAAGAACAGTCCTTCTTCCAGACCTACTCTCTTCCCTGGTGCATGTTTCCAGTTGAGTTGCTAGAGTTCCGGGGAAGAGAAGTTGTTACTAATGGATGGAAGTTTCCAGCTTCATCTGGCAAAAGCTTAGCTCCTGAAGGCAGCAGAGAGTAAAACTGAGAGAGGCCAGAGTGTTCGTGACCAGGCCTTTATTTTAGACTGGTCACTGGTGGGCAGGATGCACTTGGACAAGGAGCTCATCAGTCCAGAGCTCCGTGTTCTGAACCCGCAATTGGCACTTGAACCAACGGACCCAGAACATTTCCTTCTGGGTCTAAGGATTTCAAACCTGAGGTCCACAGTCCTACCCCCACACTGTGGTTTTCCCGTCTCTCCCTAGATGTCACCTCTCTCTTGCTTCCTTGTCCACTCCATCACCACTCTAATATTGTCTCTCCCCTATTACTGCCAGACTATTCTTCAACCCATCTCTAGCAATGCCAAGGAAATGACAAAACACAGCAACTTTTCCTGCTACGCGTGCCCTCCATATTTGTTGAACTTGAAAATTATCTCAGAACTTGGAAATAATTTTGAAAAGTTGGTCTCTCATACTTTTGATTAGTAATATGGACAGAGAGTCGGTTCTGGAATGTAAAGCCTGGATCCCTACTTTCAACAAGTGTGCAGGTTGGTCTGGTTGGGAAGAGGGACTGGGGAGTGGCTGAGTCTAGGCCTCTTGGTGCACTGGAAGAAACTCCCAGTGAGGGCTCTACTGCAGCCTGGGGAAATGTTAAGATGGCTTCTTGTCCAAGTTAAATCTTCAAAAATCAGCAGGAACCAATCAGCCGGCAAATTCGAGGTAGGACTGTCCAGGTGTTGGTAAGACAGCAGATGCTTTCAGGGAGCTGTAAGTAGTCAGGCACTCCTAGGGTATAAATTACAAGGCTGAGAGTGGCTGAGAGAGAACTGTTAGGCATGCAGGTCTCTTAAGGTGCTGGGAAACTTCACCTTTATCCAGTACTTAACAGGGCATGGGAGGTGTTCAAGACTCTTGAAGAACAGAGAGGTACAAGGTCAGATTTGCATTTCCATTAGGTTGCTCTGTTCTGGTGAATAGGTAAAAGACAGATCTGTGACGGGTGAGGAGGATGGAGACTATGTCAGGAGCGAATGCAGGAATCCAGGCAGGGACGATCCTAAATAAGTAATGGCAGCAGAGGTGGTGTAGTAATCCAGGGCACCCCCGCAGCCACACAAACACACCCTCAAATTTCAGTGGCTTTAGCATCACAAAGGCTTCTGTCCTTGTCCAATGGGAGTGTGCTTCTGGTCATGGGAGGGCTTCACCCACGGGTAGCTCAGCAGCCCCAGATCCTTTCTTTCTTGCAATTTCACAGCCTTGGGGACCTCAAGTCCTGTACATCTAGGCAGAAGGGAGAAAGAGAGAGTGGAAGAGCCCCACCCACTTCTTGACAACCTTGACCAGGAAGACACACACGTCACTTCCATTGTCATAGGTGAGAACTGGGCATGTGGCCTGCTCAGTTGCAAGGTCATCAGCTTGGAAATGTAGTCTTGACTGGCTGCTGCTTCCTGGCAGCAACCCCAAACTATGAATGGGAAAGTTTGAAGTTTGGAGGGCGGGTAGATGTCTCTGCAACAGATGGAGTGGAAGGATCAATGGATAGAGAGGGGGTGGTGAGGATAGAGAGGGGATGGTGGGGATAGAGAGGGGATGATGGGGATAGAGAGGGCATGGTGGGGATAGGGAGGGGATGGTGGGGATAGGGAGGGGATGGTGGGGATAGGGAGGGGATGGTGGGGATAGGGAGGGGATGGTGGGGATAGGGAGGGGATGGTGGGGATAAGGAGGGGATGGTGAGGATAGGGAGGGGTTGTATTGTCAGGATCTGGGGAGCATTTCCATGTGGCTGAAAGTAGCAGGTAAATGGGGAAGGGGAGAACTTCTTCTTTTCTGCCTTAGGCAATAGTGATACCAGTGGAGAGCTGAAATATAAAAGAAGGAACTATATTTTTTTTCATTTTGTGGGGAGATGATGTATTTTGCTTGGTATATATGTTGGGCCAGGTTAGTAGAAATGGAACTTAAGATGAGGTTTGTGTACAGGCGACTTATTAAGGAAGTGCTCCCAGGGGAGACTAATAAGGACATGGAGGAAGCGGGACAGGGAAGGGAATAAGCCCAGCAGGGATGAGCTCTCGGGTAAAGTCCCACCCTCAGCCTGACCCAAGAGGGGAACTCTGGCCCTTCTGGCTCTCTGTATTATGTGGAGAGCCCAGGTTCATTCACCCAAGAGAGTGACAGGTGCAGGCAGGTAGAAGCAAAGCCGCAGAGAAGCTGGAGAAGGAGAACACAGACATGACACACGGGACCCCGGAACATTTGGACGGAACTGCAAACAGCATCTGCTACAAAGTCCCTTAAGAAATACAGTAGGGAATATGAGCAGATGATGGGACACCTGAGTCTGAAGCCTGAGAGAGGGCAGGAAAGAAGACACAGATCCAGGATCCTGCACATGGGTGGAGGTTAAGACCACAGCAGTGAATGAGACCATCATGGGAGAGAGTGCAAGATAAAAAAGATGAGAAGACTAGAACGTTAGAGAACACTAATGCGTAAGCATTAGGAGAAAGAAGAGACAATGAAGAAAACTGAGAATGAGTGTCCACAGAAGCAGAAGAAGCAGGAAAATAGGGGGTCACCTGCCCCAGAGGAGTTCAGAGAGACAAGGACTAAAATTGAATCTGGCATTAGGGAGGCCATTCCCTATTTTGGCTAGGACAGAATCAGTTTCATCCTGCCAAAAACCTCCTCTTTATTTTGTATTTTATTTGGCAACAAGCATGTGGATTCTTATGGAAATACCACAAGGAAAGGGTTAAAAGAACATTTGGGCTTGTTACTAATACCCACAGGAGTTCACTTCTTACTCACGCTCACACCTAAGATATTTATTGTATCACCCTGTGAGATAGAGACTCCTCGTTTCAATTAGTGGAAAGCTCGCCATTAGCTAACTAATTAAGGCTATTCTCTCACATCTATTTTCTAATTACAGTCACCACTGAGATATTTTCACCCAAGTGGCCAGCGATGCTGTGGATTTATTTTAAATTTAGTTTGACAATAACAAACAACTAATTAATGTTTACAAATATAATAAAATCCCTCCTGACGAGTTGTGGGTATTGCATACACTAGCAACCAGTTTATTAAAACATTAATTGCAGTTGGATTTGTTTTGGGATTCATGCATAATCCATTCAGTACATAGCAGGACTAACTCATTTTGAAGGGATTATGAATGAAATCCTCCACAAAGTCTTTCGTTTAATTCACATTGTAGTCAAGGAAGGGGAAAGTTTGCTTTCATCAAATTCTGTGGCTCTTCAGCATTCTTCAGTGTGGTACTTCATTCATTCATTCCTTCATTCATCCATATAGTATTTATCAATCATCTATTGTGTACATAGCTCTGTGAATACATGAAAAATGTGTTCATGGGTTATGCAGATGAAAACTGCAAAATTCAATCAATCAAGTGTCTACATTTCTAGCTGAAGCGTAAATTGGTACCCCCATTTTGGAAAACTGAAAGTGTCTTCTAAAGCTGAATACATCCCTACCTTACAACAGCAATTCTACTTGTAGGTATATACTCAACAGAAACATGTCCATATGTTCACTAACAAGACACTTGTGACTGTTCACTGCAGCATTATTTGTAGTAGCCCCAAACTGGAAACCACCTGAAAGTCCATCAACAGTAGAATGGGTACATAAATTGTGGCATAATCCCGTAATAGAACACTATGTAGCAATGAGAACAAACAAGCTACAAAAACAAGCAAAACTGGCCAGGAGTGGTAATCCCAGCCCTTTGGGAGGCTGAGGTGGGCAGATCACCTGAGGTCAGGAGTTGGAGACCAACCTGGCCAACATGGCGAAATCCCATCTCTACCGAAAGTACAAAAAACAGCCAGGTGTGGTAGTGGGCACCTGTAATCCCAGGTACTCGGGAGGCTGAGGCGGGAGAATCGCTTGAACCCAGATGGCAGAGTTTGCAGTGAGCCCAGATCGCGCCATTGCACTCCAGCCTGGGTGACAGAGCGAGACTCCATCTCAAACAAACAAACAAACAAACAATCAGACAAAACAAACAAACAAACAAACAAGTAAAACTAACAAGTCAGGATAGTGGTTGTCTTTAGAGGTAGGTAGTAAACAAGAGCTTTTGGAATTCTGGTAATGTTGTCTCTTCATCTTGGTTCTGGTTATGTAACTGTGTCCAGATTATGAACATTCTTCCATTGATTATAATTTATGTACTTGTTGTGTATTTATATTTTAATAAAATTTGCAAACAAACAAAAGTAAACATCTATCAGTTAGAGTCTTGCCTTTGTTCTTACATGACTGTGCTTGTTCTAATGAAAGTGTTTACATAATTATTTATGGCTGATCATTGATTGATTTGTTTGTTCATTCCACAAGCATTTTGGGGGACCTAATTAATTTGCAATGCTGGTGCGGATGAGTATGTATGAAGATATAAAAGCACATCAATCATGACCTCTGTCAATCATGGCCTCTGTCCACAAAGTTTTACAGGACATTGGTGGAGAAAATCACATAAAGCAACTGTTATAATACAGTATGGCAAATGCCAGAGTCACAGAAAAAGGGCATTTAAATTAAACCAGGGCAGGAGGAAAGTAGGTGAGATGTTCAGGAAAGGAGTAGAGGACATTTGCTGCCTCACGTCCCTTAGCATCCTGTCACCCTATTTAGGCAACAACCCCTGAGTTTTATTTGTGGACCAATCCATCACCCATTGGTCCAGGTGAGGCCCCAGCCTTTGGCCCTAGGACTACAGGATATGAACCAGGCTAAAGACAACCAGCATACTTCTTCCTCCAGCTTCTTGGACTTGTTCAGAGATGAGCATGTAACCTAAACTAATGCTAGAAAACTGCAGGAATTGTTTTAAAGCCTCTTCTTTGAAATTGAGAAGATTATGAATTAGAGCAGTAGCAGCCATCCCACCACTATTTGGAGCCTGACAATGTAGTCACCACACAGAGATGGACAGGGCTGAATCCAGAGGCCAAGAGAGACAATGTTTTCTGGTGACATCAACTGAGCCTTGGTCAAACTGAGCCCGAAGCCTGTCCTACTTTGAGACTTTGCAGTTAAACAAATTAATAATTTCTCTTTTGCTGAAGCTTATTTGAGTTGAGTAGCTGTTTTTTTTTTTAATTTGTAACTGAAAGATATTTAACTGATACTGAAAACTTCCAAGAGGAAGTGTTTGCACTGACCTTTGATGGTAAAATAGGAGTTAGAATAATGAAAGGGGAAGGAGCATCCCAAGAAAAGTGCAACATCATTCCAGAAGGCAGGGACAGGTGAAGAACTTGAGTCTGATCGAGTTGGTGCAATGAGGATGGGTTGGGTGTGAGTAGCAGAAGCAAGTCAGGAGTAGCACACAGGGCCTGGATCTTGTTGCCTGTGCCACCTGCCACCCTGCTCAGGGCCACTGAACCCGTATAATTCCTGTGCATGGGACAATTTCCTCCAGCAAGCACTTGCCTCCCACTGGCTGTAGGAACAGGGTCTGCTCTGGCTCACATTTAATACCCCAATGAGCAGCCCTCCACCCAGGACAATAGGTGTTAGTGAGAGAATGCCCCAGCTTCATCCCCAAGTGAGACATCTCAAGGCGTGTTGGACACCATCTCCCAGAAGCCCAGTGTGACTGAGCCCAGCTGCCCAAGCAGTGACCTGGTCAAGAATGGCCTGGCATTGACTTAGTCATCTATTGCTGTAATAGATGACTACCCCCAAATGACAGGGCTTACAACAATTATGTATTATTTGTCTTGATTCTGTGGGTCAGGAGCTCAGGTCAGACTCAGCCAGGGGGATCTGCTGCTCCACATGCCATTTACTGGGGTCATCACTCAGCTGTGTTCAGCTGGCCGCAGGGCTGGGCCGGAAGGTCCAGGCAGTTTCCATTCACTCCTGGCCCTTCAATGCTGCTGCATGTGGCTCTCTTTCCCATGCTGTTTCATTGTCTGTGGTCATCCTGATCTTCCTTCCCATGCGGCGGTGAGATTTCCCAGCAGAGAGAAAGAAAAGCTGCTAGCCCTCTTGTGCCCTGAACTCAGAAGTGCCAGAATGACGTCTCTGCCACATGCCATTGGTCAGAACAGTTACAGAGCTGGTTAGACCTGTGAGAGGGATGCAGGCTGCAGCGAGGCAGGAGCAGCGTGCTCACCTGGGAGGGGAGGGGTGTGGTGGCCATCAGAGGACAGCAATGGCCACTTCCCCACCCCCACCCATGCTTCCTCAGGCCACTTCTCAAATAAACTAGAGTCCTTGTCTTCTGGGGAACCCAACCTAAGGAAGCCCAATTTTGTTTTCAGTCTTAGTCTTTATTTTGCTAGTCTTTAATCCTAACTTTGGAATACATATATATTTTTTTTTATATAAAAAGCTGATCCTAGCATGATATATGGGCTGTAAGGCAGAAAGTCTGCACACGCCAGGAGGCTGAATTTATAATCTGCCCAACACTGGGCTCTTAACCATGGAGGTACCTGAAATGCATCTCGATGGCAGCTCCCCTCAACCTCCACCTGCTTCCAAGAGCATTTCACATACAGCGAGTCTAACTCCCTGATGGTGGAAATGCATTTTTCTTCTCTTTTTCTTGATCGGTCTTGCTTAGTTTATTAATTTTATTAGTTTTCCAGTAGCCAGGTTTTGGCTTTATGGATTTTCTCTACTATGCATTTATTTCCCATTTCATGGATTTTTGCTGTTGTCTTTTCCTCTACTTTGTGATTCTTTTTTGGCTTCAGAGATAATAGCTAAATCACAGAATTTCAGCTCTTCTTTTTTTTTCTAATATACCAGCTAAAAGCTTTAGCTACATTCTGTGTGTTTAATATATCTTGGTTTATTTTCAATGCCACCCAAAGGAACTTAGGTTTCCCAAAGCAGCTTTCTAGGTTGCAATTCTACCCACGTAGAGTCCTGTAGCTTAGATCTGGAAGGAGTCAAAGAAGGGTTCATTGTCCTGATTTCAGAATGGTGGAATGTAATCTAGAGCACATGTCATCCATAAGATCCCCTTTACTTCACATAAATGATAATGCCTTTTTTATTTGTGAAAATGAACTTTCATTTGTGCACCCTTTTGGTTTTCAGATTGTTTTTGTGTAGACTTACTGGACTCCACTGCAATTGCTCTTTTAAATGGTTTGGCCCAGCCTGCCCAGGGACCAGGCCTGCCTCATGCATGTCTCAGCCTCAGCTACTGCTCTTAGAGTTTTTGCTGCCCTTGAGGTGGGTTCTGGATAACCTTGGGCTTTTGTGGGCTTAGCTGATCTGTAGCTGACGTGTCTGCTCACTATCCTGGGATGCCACTGAGTTGGACTGCCCTTTGTAATATTTCGCCTGGCTTAGCCCAGCTCCCTGGACCTTGCAAAGGTCCCCACAGCTCACAGCAGGCCTAAGTCCAATCCAGTCTTTCAAGTTAGTGTCAGACAATGGCAATCCTATAAAATAGGCAGACCAGGAATTACAACTCTCTTTTAGGTTAGGTCCTTGAGAAGCAGAGCCTGAGGCAGGGATTTTGGTGTGTGTAAAATGTTGAGGGACAGTTCTCAGTAAGGAAGGGGGTGAAGCAGGACAGGGCAAGGGAAGGAGCCAAGCAAGGAGGTGGTCTCAGAAAAAGCCCAGCTGGGGCCTGATCCATGGGACAGGGATGGGGGCTTCAGAGCACTCACTACATTGCAGAGTGGCCCTTCTTGGAGCAAGAGGTCCAGCTTTCTCTTCCTCCAAGGCAGTCAGTCATTAGCTGGGGGCTGCCTGTGGTGGGAGGAGGGGGGCTGTAACTTCTCAAGTGCAACAGATCTATTAGCTGAGGGCAATTCTCCAGAGGGCGTGGGTAGCTGTGAGCAGTGGGCAGCCATACTTCCAACAGCATGGAGGGCAGGCACTGGTCCATACCAAGGACCGGGGTGGGTGATATGGTTTGACTGTGTCCCCACCCAAATCTCATCTTGAATTGTAGCTTCCATAATCCTCATGTGTCTCGGGAGGGACCCAATGGGAGGTAATTGAATCATGGGGTTGGGATTTTCCCATGCTGTTCTCATGATAGATAATAAGTCTCATAAGATCTGATAGTTTTATAAAGGGCAGTTCCCCTGCACCCGCTCTCTTGCCTGCTGCCATGTAAGATATGCCTTTGCTCCTCCTTTACCATCTGGCATGACTGTGAGGCCTCCCCAGCCATATGGAACTGTGACCCCATTAAACCTCTTTTTCTTTATAAATTACCAAATCTCGGGTATTTCTTCATGGCAGTATGAAAATGGACTAATACAGTGGAGGCACCAAGAGGATATACCATGTGCACCTGTTTTACTGAAGAGCAAATCAAAAGCTCAACCACTGCACCATCACAAGGCTGGTAACATACAGAGTCAGGAGTAACATCCATGCCTTTGAATTCATATATCAGCACGTTGCTTGTCCCATAACCCGTCACTGACAGCACTGGTCTATGGATATGTAAATTGGTTTCATCCCTCTGAACACATAGTCTCACCCTCTTACTGGTATGCATTGCCAAGCTGTTTTGGTATTTATGATGTAAAACATCACCCTCAATTCTTAATTAGTTATAACATGGATGCCCCTAGGTCTCACAGGGCTGTAGGTACCAAATGAGGTCATACTGACATTAGCAACAAATTAGCACTCATTAGCCCCCATCTCTTTAATTGCAATGCTCTGTGCCAAGGTTAGTTAATTCTGGAGTTTCCCAGGGGGTGTCTCATACGTGCTCATTAAAAACTGCAGCCTGCTCCTCTCAGCTGTCCCAGCTTACTCTATGGCTTAGGGTTTAATGCGAGACCCCAATGCCATTGGTACTGTCGTCAATTCTCCCTCCCTCTATGCCTTACAGCTCTCATAAATTATAACATTTACTAAAGCCTAAAGATATAGCAATTCCATATTTTTCCTGTTAAAGCTATGTATTTTTAGAATTTAATTTAAAATTTTTTAAATTAAATTTATTAAATTAATGAAACAATTCAATCTAATTAGTTTGTCATGTCTGATTTGGAAAACATTGGTTGTAGTAATTTAAGATATTTTAATCATACATGCACACCTATTTCAGAAAATTTCTTCTTGCTGACTTTTCATTGTTTTAAAACAGTGGTGGTCTGGCCAATATTTAACAACCAGGTCTCTAAAATAAAGTATGCATTTGTGTATACATAGTTTATTATAAATTTTGCTAGTATAAAGAATTATCACACACAATTTTTAAGTAACAATAAAATATAAAATGTTCTTTATTGTAAATTCCATATAGCCAATTGATTTTCATAGGGTGCTTTCAATGATTTTTGCTAGTCTTTGATCTGTAGCCAAGCTATGGTTGCAATAGATGAAAGAGTGTTGATATTTTTGCTTAAATTAAGACAGAAGTGAAACAATGGAGAAGTATATTGGAGCTTTACTCATGTATCAATGACTTCAGTGACTTCTTTGCTGAATCAGATACTGGTTCTCTAATGATGGAAGAATACCTACTCAATTTGTTATGCTATTCACAATGTAATGTAATTCACAGACACAATACATTTTTAAGTTTAATCTCCATTATTTACATTTTCTCCATTACTTTTTAAAGTCTAAGCCCAGAGATGAGCTACAAATATTTTTTTCTTTTTTGACTTTGCTTACTTTGTCCTGAAGTTGTTTTTCATCATTTTCATTTCAGTCTTTTTCTTTATAGCATTTAGATTTTGAGTCACAATTAGAAAACTCTCATCTCCTCCAAGGTTATAAAGAAATCCTCTTGTGTCTTTTTCTAGTGATTTTAGATTAAGTTTTTAAAATATTTAAATCTTTGACCCAGTTGGAATTGATTCTGTTGTATGCAGGGCAAGGAATAGATCAAGCTTTATCTTCAGGTGGCTTCTCAGTTGTCTCAACTATTGGATAGTCCATCTACAGGTTTGAAATGCCCCTTCTACACTACTTTCTTGTCTATTTGTGGGTCTATTATTGGATTTTCTATTCTGTTCCATTCATCTATCTATTAATGTGCCAGTGCCACACTATTTTAATTATTGGGCTTCATAAGATGTTTGGTATCTTAACCTCCATAATGCTCTAATCCTCCACTAATACAGTTCTTTTTAAGATTCTTCCTCACTACTTTAAAATTGTATTTCCATATAAACTTAAGAATTAATTAGATAATCCAGTTTTAAAAACCTTGGTATTTATATTGGCTTTGTTTTAAATTTCTAAATTAATTCAACAGAAATGACATCTTTATGATGCTGTCATTTTCTGTCCAATTACATGGTCTGTCTTTCCACTTGTTAAGTCTTTTCTTTACCCTACAACGATATTAGTTTCCTTCGTACAGGCAGTGCACACTTCTGTGTAAGGGCCTCATCTTTACTGATATTTTTACAACAGGCCTCCTCTTAGGTCTTTGGTTTGGTTGTTAACTGTATTTATGAAAGTTGTTGGTTTCTATTTACTGATTTTGCATCCCACTCCTTTGCTGAATTTTTGTATTGTTTGTTATAGTTTCTCAAGTGATTCTCTTATGTTTCTTAGGGAAACAATAGTAACATCTGCTGAAGAGTTTTGCATAAGGGTGAAAATGAGGCCATCTGGAAGAAGCAGCAGGGAACTGGCTAAAGCCCAGGCCACTGCCCAGGTCACAGCAGGTGAGTGTAGGGAGAACCCACAGCCTCCACATGACAAAGCTTTGCAGAAAGCACTAACTTACCTGTAAAGGCCTGAGGTAGAGGAGAAGTTTCTCTGGAAGACGTTGAGCATATAGGAAAGTCCTTTTAATTTAATGGACACTCAAGGGGTCTAGAATAAATTGATGACAGGAGGGTTTTCAGTGGGAGGTGAACGTGGGGTTAGGAAGCACAAGGCATTGGGGATGGAAGATGGGCATCCTGAGGAACTGTATTTTGGCTGAGGATACCATGAATGAGTGGCAAAGATTTAACTAGTCTCAAGGTTTTGAACAAAATGTTGGCATCAGGCAGTTTGGGTCAGAAGTTCAGCAGGCCTTTGGAAGATGTGGATGTTCCATTACCACCAGCAGTTGGTGCCTGGGACTGCCAAGTCAGCTGCTCCTGTTTATGCCTTAGCATTTCACACCAGTCCATCTCACCCAGAAGGGCACATCAGAAGCTGCTGTCTGAGGCTCTCCCCCCTCTAATTCCAATGTCCTCTGGACATGAAGGTGGATTCCAGAACATGAACTGTGTAAGAGCCCCCATGTGATTCTGAGGCACCTTCACCCACTTCCACCCATTAAGAAGGATCACTCTGGGAGGAAAATGAATGGCTCTACCTCAATGTTGACTCTTGGTTTGTGTAGCAGATGCTGTCAGTGCTCCATCCATATCCCACTGGCCCAATCAAAAGTCACCTGCAGCTTGAGGAAACTATTCCTGATGACTTCCTTCAACCAGGCAAATCCTTTCCTCTATAGCTTATTCTGTGGTGTCCTCAGAAGAATGTAAGTGCACCAGTGTATTGGGAGAGGCACATATAACTGATTATAAGAAAGAACTTTCTAAGCCCCAGAAGTTTCCAATGGTGAGTATACTAGAACACTAGGATCTCAACACCATTAACAACAATTTAGGGGGCTTCGATGGACATTTGCTCACTGAGTGGTGAGTAAATTACAACAGACGTCCAGATCTTTCTCATCTCCCAGGGAGATGAACATTTCGAATCCCTTTCTGGAAAAGGATTTTTCCAAAGCTTTTTCATGTCCCTTAGAGTCCTTTATTCATTCTCAGTAGATGTGTCATGTCTTCCTTGATGAAGAAAATTAGGACCAAGGTCCGAGAGCCCTGACTTCTCACCTCTCCACCTCAGTATCGCAGGTACTTCCTCGGCCATGCACTTCTTGTTTACTTTCTGACTCAGAGGAATTGCAAATCATAGATGATTGGCTGGAAGAAAAGCATCCAACTCAAACTAGCTCAGTCAAAAAACAAGGGTGGGATATTGAAAAAAAAGGACAAGTAGTGTAGCCAGGTCATACAGAAACTGGCAAGTATTAAGAAACAACCGTCTTACCCACAAAGTTTCAAAATTCATTCAAAAATATTATTGACATAAAAGTTTAAAAAGCATAAAAGATCACAGAAATATAACACAACCTAAATTTTATACAGATTTATTCATTTAAATTCATCCACATATTTATTCATAAATAAATAAATGTTAACAGTGGTTATTTCTATGTTAGTTCAGCTCTACTTAGATGTTAAACAAAGATTAAATACATGTAAATTTTAAATTATAAGTGCCATAAAGAAAGGGAAGAATTTCCAGAGAGCTTATAATGGGGTAGTATGTGTGAGAGAGGGGAACCTAACCCATGATGGAAGGTGGGGGAAGATTTCCTTGTGGATTTAGTTCTTGAACCTAGACCTAAGGATGAGTGGAGTTATTTATAAGCTAGTGCATGGTTCTTTATATTTTTAATTTTAGATGCCTATCAGTTGTGTTATTAGCAAATATTTTTTCCTGTTCTGTGGGTTGGCTCTTCACTTTCTTGATAGCCTTTGACACAAAAATTTTTAAATTTTGATGAAGTCAAATTTGTTTTTTCTTTCATTGCACGTGTTTTTGGTATCACATATAAGAAACCACTATCTAAGGCAAAGTAATAAAATTTACATCTATGATTTATTTGAACAGTTTTGTAGGTTTAGCACTTACATTTTTATCTCTGATCCATTTCTGTATATGAGAAAAGGTAGGGGCCCAGCTTCATTCTTTTACATGTGGCTATCCAATTGTCCCAGAAAAATTTGTTGAAGACTATTCTTTCCCCCATTGACTTGTCATGGTAATCTTGCTGGAAAGCAATTGATCATAGATGTACGGCTTTATTTCTGGGCTCTCAATTCTATTTCATTGATCTACATGTCTATCCTATACCAGTACCACATTATCTTGATTACTGTAGGTTTGTAGTAAGTTTTAAAATCAGGATGTATGAGTCCTACAATGTTGTTCTTTTTCATGATTATTTTGGCTGTTCTGGGTCCCTTGCCATTTCATATGAATTTTAGAATGAGCTCATCCATTTCTGTAAAAGTGGCATTTGAAATTTTGGTAGAGATTGCGTTTAATCAATAGATCAAGGGGGAGTATTGTCATCTGAACAATTGTTCATCTTACCAATATTAAATCTTCCAGTCTATGAACATGGGATGTCTTACTATTTATTTAGGTCTTCTTTAACTTTTTTCAAACAATGTTTTACGGTTTTCAGTGAAAAAGTCTTGCATTTCTTCGGTTAAATTTATTCCTAAATATTTTATTCATGTCAGTGCTATTTTAAATTAAATTGTCTTAATTTCATTTTTGGATTATTCATTGTTAATGTATAGAAATATAACTGATTTTTGTATTTTTATCATATATTCTGCAACCTTGCTGAACTCATTTATTAGCTATTAATTTTGTGTGTGTGGATTCTTCAGGGTTTTCTATATATAAGATTATGTCATGTTCAACTATAGTTTTACTTCTTCCTTTCCAATATGGAAGACTTTTATGTATTTTTGTTGCCTAATTGCCCTGGCTAGACCCTCCAGTACAACGTTGAATAGAAGTAGTGAACGTGGACATCCTTGTCTTATTCTTGATCTTAGAGACTAAGCTTTCAGTCTTGCATGGCACATATTTTTCCATTCTCCCTATCTTTTACTTCCAACCTTTTTGTGTTTTTGAAGATAAAGCATGTCTCTTGTAGACAATACAATATACTTGGGTTAAGTTTGTTTTTTAATACATTCTATCCATCTCTAACTTTTGATTGGGGAGATTAATCTATTTACATTTAATCCTCACTGCTATGATAGGATTTACATCTGCCAATTTGCTATTTGTTTTCCATTTGTTTTATATGGTTTTGTTTTTTGTTGTTGTTCAATTCCTCTATAACTCCCTTCCTTTGTGTTAAATAGATATTTTCTAGTGTACCATTTTAATTCCCTTGTTTCTTTTACTATATACTTCTGAGTTATTTTCTTATTGCTTACGCTGTGAATTACCACTAACATCTTAATTTACATCAATCTAATTTGGATTAATAGCAACTTAATTTCAATAGTATACAAAAACTTTGTTCCTATGTAGCTCCATCTTACCCCCTTTAGGCTGTTATTGTCATAAATATATCTTTACACATGTGTGTCCATCAACTTAAGTGTATAATTATTGCATTATGAAGTTGTCTTTTAAATAAGGTAGAAAAAAAGTTACAAACAAAAATACAGTACATACTCTTTTAGAGTTACCTATATAATTCCCTTTGCTAGTGCTCTTTATTTTCTTCATATGAATTTTAGCTGTTGCCTAGAGACCTTTTGTTGCAGTCTTAAGGACTCCTGCTAGTATTTCACGTAAGACAGGTGTGCTAGCAACGAACTCTCTGTTTTGTTTATCTTAGAATGTCTTAATTTCTCCTTCATTTTTGAAAGATAATGTGCCAGATATAGAATTCTTAGTTGACATTTTTTTTCTGTGAGCACTTTGATTATATCTTCCCACAGCCTTCTGCCCTCCATGACTTTTTAATGAGAAATCAGCTGATAATATTATTGAGGATTCTTTGTACTTGATGAGTTGCTTCTGTCTTGCTAATTTCAAGAGCTTCTCTTTGCTTTTGGCTTCTGACAGTTTGATTCTTATGTATCCAGATGTCATATCTTTGAGTTTATCTTGCTTGGAGTTTATTAGGCTCTTTGGATATGTAGATTAAAGTTCTTCATCAAATTTCATAAGTTTTCACCATTATTTTTTCAATTATCAACATTTCTCCCTTTTCTCTCTCCACTCCTTCTGGGGCTTCTATTATGTGTATATTTGTATGCTTGGTGGTATCCCAAAGGTCTCTAAGGCTCTGTTCATTTTTCTTCATTCTTTTTTATTTCTGCTTCTCAGACTAGAAAATCTCAACCTATCCTGAGATTCACTGATTCCTTCTTTAGCCTGCTCAAATATGCCATTAAGTCTGTCTTGTAAATTTATTATTTCAATCATGGTACATTTTAACTCAAGAATTTCTATTTGGTTTCTTTTGTGATTTCTATATTTTTGTTGATACTTTCTGTTTGTTGAGATATCATCCCCATATTTTGGCTCTTTGAACATATTTAAAATAGCTGATTTAGATATTTGTCTTAAGTCCCATAAACCAAGTGTTTGTGCTGCCTCTGGGGCAGTTTCTACTGATGTTTTTTCCTATGTATAGGTCATACTTCTTGTCTCTTTGTGTGACTCATGTTTGTTGTCAAAAACTAGACATTTCAAATATATAATATAGAAACTGAAAATCAAATTCTCCTTCCTCCTCAGGGATGTTTGCTGATTATTGTAGTTGTTGTTTGTTTGTTTAATAACTTTTCTGAATATGTGAAGTCTGTATCTTAGTCATGAGTGGCCACTGAAGTCTCCACACAGTTAGCTTAGTGGTAGGTTAATGATTCGCAGAGATTGCCTTAAATATCTGGAGCTAATAAATCTCCAAGTTTTTGCCTGGGGCCTCTGTATGTGTATTGATACATGCCTTCATCTCTCAGCAACTCTACCTTAGTCTTCACTTCCTATTTGTGTAGAACCTCAAGGACAGCCAGAGGTGAGCACTTAGAGCCTTCTCAGGTCTTTCTTGAGAATGCTCAGACCTGCACCCAGCCCTGGGCATGCATGTGGCCTTTTAGATTCCCAGTAACATGTTGAAACTTTTCAAAGCCCCTATGGACATCTCATGCCTCAGGTTTGTCTTTTAGATTTTTTGATTATTCCATTGTTTGCCCTAACTGTTATCCATCACCCCAGTCAGCTGTGATGTTAAAACATTTGACAAATGCCATCCTCCTCCTTTTTCCTTTCAAAGGTTTTAATCACTGGATAAGTTCAAATGAAGTCAAATAAAGAAGCCTTCTGAATGAGGGACTTCCAGAGAACTACCAGTAAAATAAGACACTTATTTGGAAACAAAGTCCATTTTGCTCCCTCTGGTACCAGGAATACAGACTGATTTTTCAAGGCTACCACTAAGCTGAGAAGTGGAGGATGGGACTAGAGTAAGTTAAAATGCCACAATCTGTTCTTATCAAGATTCAGTCATATTTTTAAATCCTCACAGGGATGCTACAAGCTTTTGGTTAGTTTCCAAGTTCTGAAAAAGTCAATTCTGCCAAATTTTGCCAATTTTTTCATTGCTTTCATAGAAGCCTGAACTTTCAGAGATCCTTACCTAGCCATTTTCTCTGATGTCACCCTTGCCTCTACATCTGTGCATGTCCCTGTTGTATGTTACTGCTAGCAGAGCTAAATGACCTTACAGTCCTTATGCTAGACCTTCCCAAACTAGACTTCCTGGATCTCTTAGTTCAAATTTCTGTGAGAGAAAATCTGATTGAGTCATTCCAGCCAATAGAATGATTCATTTTATGCCAGTCATCTGTATCTGTGATGGCAGACCATGTGGTATAAATGTGGCCAATTGGCACCTTGTGTTCATCAGGAGTTGTGTTGTAAGGCAATGACAAGGAAAAGAGAGAGAAGCAGGCTTGGATTTCTAGTGCAGACTTGTCACTGTTAATTTCTCCCTCTGTGCCAGTGACCCCATTTTCTCCGTCTTCCCTGGAAACTTGTTTCCAGGAATACCACCCTCAATGATAGGCCAATTTTCCTTTTCCATCTTTGTGTCTTTTCTCAGGCCTCACGAATGTGGTTTCTCCCTTCTTTTATTTTGCCTGGGTCCTCCCCTGCAGAGCTGCTGAGAATGAAGAGGAGTACTTCTCCCACCACTAAGTGCTGCTCTTGAAACAAACATGCAAAGCCCTCCTTATTTTTCAAGAATGTTTTCTCTTTCCAGGGGAAAAGACAGAGAGTAATAGAAATTTAAAAAGTAGCTCACCATTTTTCTTATCTGCCTGCATGGTTCTGCCCCAGTATTGTCCTGACCCTTCAGTGCTGGTTACACCTTCACTTCCAGCTTTGCATAGGACTCTTTTACTTTGGTCTTTGATTAATGAGGTTTTCCAACTTTAAGACTGGTTTCTCATTCCTCTCAATTTTGGACTATGTCCTAGTTTTTCTAGGCTTTCTGTTCTGAGGCTAACATCTGCTGCTATTTCCATGGTCTAAGACTACTCATTGACTCATCAAATCTTTCACAAACAAATCATTTAGTTATCAGAAGGATTATATAAGAGTCAAAGTGAATGGTTTATCTTGATATCCACTGTTGGTTTGTGTAGCAGATGATGTTAATGCTCGGCCCACATCCTACTGTCCCACCCCAAATGTCACCTATTCCTTGAATGAACTCTTCTTGTTTAGGCTGATTATTTTCTACCTCAAACACCTGAGTCTCTGTCTTCCAGGGGACTTTCTCTGGTCTTTGGACATTCTTCACCTACAAGGTGGTCAGGCTGGAAGTGCCGGAAAGTTTATGCTCTGAGAAGCATCCCTCAACCAATAATAGATGGAGGTTGACGAATGAGTGCCACAGCATCCTCATGTGGGACAACTCTAAAGTGTGTTTTTGAGATGGCTTCCCAGAGGTCTCAGCGGGATTGGACTCCAGTTGCTCACAGAATTAGTCTTCCCAGAGCACCCTGTACTGATTCTTTCCCTTTCCTCACTTCCTTGCTTCCACACAGTACTTCCTGGAATCACTTCCCAAATAAATTACTGACTTCCAGGTTCTCATCTCAGGGTTCTCTTTTGGAGGAAACCAAAACAAGACACTTGGATAAATGCCTTCACTCAAAGTTGCTAAGACAATGATCACTTGGTAAGTGATGCCAGGATGAGAAAGGAAAACTATAATTACCCCTTTGCCAGATGCAACTCTATTTGACAGTGTTGTACACTTTCTAGCATGGTAATGAGTTGGGAAGACATCCTGAAGTTTAGAGAAAACTCAGGGGACCAAGATTGAGTTCTAATGGCCTTGGCCAGGCACGATAGCTCACACTTGTAATCCCAGCAATTTGGGAGACCTAGGCAGGTGGATCACTTGAGGTTAGGAGTTCGAGACTGGCCTCGCCAACGTGGTAAAACCCTGTCTCTACTAAAAATATAAAAATTAGGCAGGTGTGGTGGCACATACCTGTAGTCTCAGCTACTCGGGAGGCTGAGGCAGGAGAATCACTTAAACCTAGGAGGCAGAGGCTGTAGTGAGCTGAGATAGCACCACTGTACTCCAGCCTGGATGACAGAGTGAGACTCCATCTAAAAAAAAAAGGAGGGGAGGCCTCACAAAGCCCAAAGATCTATCCAGAGGAGGACGACATGCCATCAGAGCTTGCGTGATGTTTTCATAAGGCAGAAACTGCAGGTTTACAGATCTCATATCAAGAACGTTGCCTCACAAACAGAAAATCCTTATCTCCTTTTAGGTCAATGTAAGGGGCACTGATGTGGTCTCACCAAGGGCCACATTATTATTGCATTCAAGTCAACAAGCACTTGAGAGTTCTCATGTTTTTTAAGAGCTTGAAATTTGGAAGGGGATGGCAAGAACAACTTGACTAAATATCACTTACTGCCATGGTGAGTTGTAGGGCCAGCCAAGCATGTCCCCCCTTCATCACAGTGGCTCACTAGGTAGGTAAAGATGGGAGAGTCTCATGCAGATACACCCACGTGGCTAATGGGGTTATGACAAACCCCGGGCTGCTGAGAAGTTAAAGGAGCTTTCGAGAAAATTAGGGAGGTCCTCAGACACACTTAAGGTGGAGTTAATTAAAAGTCACTAATGCAGTCATGAGTGTTCAGCTCCACATTATTGTTGTCAAAGGAGAGATTCTGCAAGCACATGTTGGCATATTTGGAGAAACCACGAGTAAGATTGAAAAGATAAAAGACATTGCAATGCTATGACTTGTGTCCAAGAGTAGAAAAATACATAAGAAGAATAAAAGAGAAACTCTTTATGCCAGATATCTTATTTATAACCCAGATTTTGAAGTCTTGACCAGTTATTGTCTCATGTCAGGAAGGAAAAGGCACTTGATTAGAAAGGATAGAGGGTGATCTGTTACATAATTTTACATGTGATTTCCTATAATATAGTAGGCGTCTAAAAGCTATTATCTCCCATTTTCTTGATGACGGAATTGAGGTTCAGGGGGAAGGCATGACAACCGGGGCATAAGGGGGTCCAAGTACTGGTCACCTCTAGTTCTATCCTGTCCTTAACGTGGGCTATTATTCCCCAGACCCTGGAATTACCTAATATAGCAAGGAGACGTGTATCCTGCTCTGGGATGGCTGGCTTTACAAGTGTGCTGGTGGCTATAGAAGCCAGCCCTACTCTCTCTGCTCTCTCCAGCGCTGACTGCTCCACTCAGCTGGGGGCCCAGGTCACCTTCTCAGCACAACCATTTCACCCGGTTCTGTTTATGTGTTCTCACAACACAGCTCATTTTTACTTCATGTCCTTCTCTTATTCCACTTCTTCTCTAAAGGAAAATTTGATTCTTTTCTAAAAGGGGTTTAGAACAAATGGTTTAGATTCATAGATATCCACAGTGGGATTGTGTGTTTCTGTTGCCCACAGCTGCTGGTCAGCGCTCCCTGGGCTGCTGCTTTCCCTTTTCTTCTCCTTCCAGACCTCTCACAGTGTTTCCCAGAGCCACCTGCCAGGGAACCTGGCTCACCCACATCTTTATTCTGGCCCCACTGGAGCATCGAATTGTAACCGAGTACGCTCATTTTTCTAGAGGTGGTTTAATTATTTTTTCCCCTCTCTTTCACTTCACCTTCATCAGACATTCCCTACAGGGCAAGTTCTTCCAACTACATGCTCCAAGACACATCTCTCCTAGAGAGGTGACAGTCGGTTTGCAGACCAAAGCATGCCCCCACGGAACTTTCACCACCAGGGTGTTGTCTTGGAACTTCCATCCTCGGAACCTTCATCCACTTGGAGGGCTTATCGAAAGCATGCCCGCTTGGCCACTTTTACAACTTACTTCTGCCCAGGAAGGCTCCAACTCAGCAGTCTGATAGATCAGACACTGAGCTAGCAGGGGACCTCTGTCCTTGCTCATTTCCTCCCTTGCCTTACAGAAGTGCCCCCTTTCTCAGGAGGCTGAGGTGGGAGGATCAACTGAGCCCAGGAGGTCGAGGTGGCAGTGAGCTATGATCACATCACTGCACTCCAGCCTGGTGACAGAGTGAGACCTTGTCTCAAAAACAAACAAATGAAATAAATAAATAAATAAATAAATCTGCTCACTTTCTGCTCTCAAGGTGCAGCGGTGCATATAAAGGCAGGATGCTTTGTGTCCCTTCCCCCAAGCTAGCTTTGGGATAAATTCACTTTTTTTTTGTATCAGATCTCTCAGCCAGGGTAAGGTCCCATAAGTAGATTACTTTTAAAGGCTGACTGACAGTAACAGAAGTAGCAGCAATGTCCAATCATAAATATATCAAAAATCACAGTGATCAGCGGTGATTCAAAGTACCGGCAAGCTTCCCCACCCACTTCAGTGGCCTGAAAGGGGTCAGAGCTCAGGGGTCCGGAGTCATCACCATAATCCCAAGTCATCAGGGATGGGTTCTTATGTGGCCACTGTGAAACGGGAGTGTTCCCTGATTCCCCTCACAGGACGTGAGACAGGGATGTGGCTCACCGGTTCAAAGCCCTTGTGGGAGAAGAAGCACGCAGATCCACAGGTATAGAGGCCAGGGCAAGCGCTTTGGGCTCTGGCCCTGTGGTAGTGTCTGGTCTTGGTTGCCTGCAACCCCAATGTTTAAATGCTCTTTCAGCTTTGCTGAGGTTTTATTGAGTGGTGGAGGTGGCCCTCAGTGGGATGGATGTGGAGCCGGAAGTGGGGATGTAGTGGGAAGGTGATCCTCCCCTGGACTTGGGCTGCTCAGCCCAGACTCCTCTCCGAGCGACCTCAGCCCAACTCCTCTCGGCCTTCAGATGTTCCTCCTCTTCTCCCTTTCCCTAATGAGTCATTCCGCGGTCCATTTGCTGGTCGGCTGGCTTGCTGGTCTGCTTCTGGGTCCTGGGTTTCAGGGCTTATATGGGTGCAGGACAGGGGGTGCGGCGGGCCCCCAAAAGGCAACTTTTTGGGCGCGAAAACAGAAATGCCTGTCCTCATTTAGGGCCACAGGTCTTCGGGCTGGAGGGTGGAGCCTTTGCCGGGGAACCGCCCTCTTCTACCCAGTATTTTCCTGTCTCCTGTCCACATCAACTGGACGCTCTTTAAGAAGGCAGGAGCTGTGAAATCCATTTAGGAATAATTACCCTAAAAAATGGTTAAACTAAAAAATAAAAAGGCCCTTTAAAGGATTGATAAGCTTCTATTATTTTGGAAAATTCACTAGCCTCGATGAGCTCATTCTTGGACAATAGCAGATAAATGAGACTTGATTGTTCCAACACCTGCACCGATGTTTGTCTTGTCTCTGACAAGGCGTGGCTGGGCATTGTCAATGAAGTGGTCTCCTCATTATCTCGGCTATTGTTCCAGGAATCAAAGCTGTTATCAATGCCCATGCCTATTATGCATAACTCAACCACAATACCAGGAGAAGTGAGAAAATAGGTGATAGAGTGAATAACATCTTCTCAGGACCACATTTCATGCGAACCACGGCATTTCCCAGCTGATTCTTTTCATTTTAATTTTTTCATTACCAAGGTAGTACATGATCATCATAAAAACGTGAACAATGAAGAAAAGTGAAAAGCAAAAGCTCTCTCCAATTGTGCAGCCCCACTTCTGGGATGACCCACTCTTGCATTGTGTAAAACAACCAAGGGATGTACCCGAGCACACACGCATGTTGACAAAATGGCACACGTGCATATTATTGAGTCTTTTCACTACCATCTATCTATCCCAGCCATTTTATTCTTTGAATAGTCTCACAGAATTCCACTGTGTACATGTCCCATATTTTATTCATTCGTCCTTTGGACATTTAGTCTGTGTAAATTATTAGACAGTGAGCATCTTTGTACATTAACCTTGTTCATTTATGAGACAATTTCTGCAAAATTAATTGCTAGAATTGGAATTACTAGGTTTAAGGGCATGCACATTTTCCCCTTTTGCTTAATACCTGCAAACTGCCCCTCCAAATCAGGCAAAAAAAGTTCATTGTTGATTTCATTCTCATTTTTTAAAAAACTAGTTACAGTTGAGCTTTTTCCCCTCATGTTTATTGGCCACTTGCATTTTCTATATGAATTGTGTGGAAATAAACATGTATTACCCAAATGAGAACAAGGAAAGACCATTTATTCAGAGCTTGCCATTGCAAGGGAGTCGGCCACTATCACTTGTATTTGCAGATACTCAAAGGCAGGTAGGGGAGTTGGAAAGCCATATGATAGAAGAGAAGTCTTCAGATGTGCCTTGATTGGAGGTCATCAGCATAGGGAGCATGGAAACCGGCTAACTAGCAGTGATACGGACAGGAGGCAGGCAAGGGCCCCCGCTCCCCTCTCCCGGCTTCCCTTCTCCTCCCCCTTTCCCTTCCCTGCTCAACCCCTCGCCAAACCGTGCCTTCAAGCCTAAAGCAGCCTGAAGGCTGAAAAACTGGACTGCAGGTCCCTGATGGATCCCGCCCTTTTCCGGACTGATTCTTTCTGAGTAATGCCCACCTGCGTACTGGGAGGAGGGGTGGGACCTCGGGAAGTTCGCACAGTTTGCAGCAGGGAGGAGCTGGGCCTTCCCTGTTCCTGGGTAGTAACCTGAGATTCAGTCGTTGAAGTGGAGAGCCTATTAGCAGAACCTCATCTCTCTTTGTTTTGTGTGTGTGTGTGTGTGTGTGTGTGTGTGTGTGTGTGTGTGTGTGTGTGTTTCTTTTTCCTTTTCGCCCAGTAAATTCCATTCCCCCTCATCCTTCAAAGTGTCTTCAAGCCTAATCTTTCCCGGCCGTGTGACAAGAACCCGGGTTTTCCTACAACAGCAGCAAGGCATTCTATGTGATTGGTTAGGGGAACATATTTGGCTTTTTCTGATTGGTCCTAAGTTGGACAAAAATTAGGGAAGCTGTCGGTTATGTTCCTGAACTGAACTTGGGCCCACACTCCTGCATGCAAAGCTGAACAGTGACATCAGGATTGCAGCGAGAGAATGTGAGGCATTTATTTCAGGGCACCAAGCAAGGAGAATCGGGCAGCTCATGCTTAAGACCTGACCTCCTGGATGGCTTACAGGTAAGAGCTTTTAAAGGCAGGGAGGCAGAGGTCACAGGCAAAGTCATGAATAAATGCTATACCTTGGTTTGACCTAAAAGAGGCAGGACATCTCGAAGCAGGGACGTCCACAGGTCATAGGTGGATTCAAAGATTTTCTGATTCGGAAGAAAGAACAGTGATTACAGTTCAGTCCTCAGCTCCCCTTTCTCTGAGGTGTGGGTCTGGGTTTCTGGACATATGTTAAGATGTTGTCTTTAGTTTCCATAGGGAACAAAACATCTTGCAACTCTTCATTCTGCATGTTCTCCCCTTGAGCATAACCCTATAAAATGTCCCTCTAGCCCCTGCCTCTTTGCAAACATCCTCTTCCCTGCTGTGCTGCCCACTGCAACCTTGCAACATATTTTCATACCTTCTCTAATAAGTCTGCCTTTCTTTACCTACAACTTTCTTGATAAATTCCTTTACCTCCTGCGTCGCTTGGCCCAGATGACCACTATCCATGACACCTCCTACCTCAGCCTCCTAAGTAGCTGGGACTACAGGCCACTGTGCTCAGCTAATGTTTCTAACATTTTTTGTAGAGATAGGGTCTCACTATGTTGCCCAGGCTGGTGTTGAACTCCTGGACTCAAGCTATTTTCCTGCCTCAGCCTCCCAAAGTGCTGGGATTACAGACATAAGCCACCTCACCTGGCTGTTCCAGTAAGTTTTTAAACTCAGAGCAGGGACACCAATGTTGTGGCTTCAGTCTTTGGGACTTTGTCTTATAATTTAAGGGAAATTCATTTATGTTGGCTTAGGGGAGACTTTTTAAGACTAAGGAGCATGTGTGTTCACGTCTCTCCTGCAATGCAGTTATGTTGCTCAGGATGAAAAAGGGAGTTTCTAGCCTACAAAATAATAAGCTCTGCAGAAACAAAGCAAACCTATTTTGCCCTTGTATGAGGCATATGTAAGGTTGTGGTGTGTGTGCATTATTTGGGACAGAGTTTACTAAGGCTTTACAGAGTGGAGCAGAATGGGATCCTGAGGACACCACGCATCATGAAGCCTCCAGAAGGAAGATCTACAAGGCTGTTGTTTGTACTAGTCTGTGCTATGCTGTACACAACTCACATTTACATGTCTGGGAATCCTCATGATGCTTAAGATAAAAATGTAGAATAAATATTAAACATCCATTCATCTTTAATCTTAGGACAGAGCACACTGAGTTGCTCACCAAAAAGTCTACATGTGTGTCCTTCTAGGGGCAGCAACATGAGGTCAAGGAAGCTGGAGCCCATCACATCCGCTGCTTTCCACGTTGCTGCCTTTGGATTAGATTTTCTACCATGTCTGAGTTCTGCTCCCAACTTCCATATGCAGTTTTTTTGTTGTGTTTGTTTGTTTGTTTGTTTGTTTGAGAGGGCTGCCCACAAGCTACTGGTTCCTTGGCATTTATTTTCCGCTTAGTAATGGAAGGAGGCAAAAGTATGAAAGCCCAACCCATTGGCATGGGTACCATCCATCCCCTACTGTTCTCTACAGGACCCCTCTTTGCAGATCTTGCCTGAGAGGGAGCCTTGTCTGACTTCCTCCTTCGCTCTGTTCTTCTACTCCCACTCTTAACTGTCTCCCTTGAGAGCACCTCTTTTAAAAATCATTTGCACACCAATGATTATTTCGGGGCCTGCTTCTAAAGAAGCTGCCTTAAAACAGCATCCAGATTTTTAACTCTGTCACAAATTTGTTATGTGACTTAGGCAAGTCATATCTTCTCCAAACCTCTGTCCATACCTCGTATATGAGAGTACGGATTAAATTATTTCAAAGGTTCTTTAAAGACTTTGAACTCCATGTCCTTTAAACATGATTACATGTTATATTTCTTTTAGAGAAAGGATTCTGAACCTAGGATTCATGGATGGCTTTCAAATGGTGAGTGAAGCCTCAGAAATTGTATGCAAATTTGTGGGTGTATTTTTTTTTCTGGGAAGAGGGTTCATAGCTTTCATTAGATTTCCAAGGAGTCCATAAGCTTCCACCAAAGTTAGTAACCACTCTTTACAGTTTGTTGTTTATAGATTTCCCAAGGGCTGTGGAAAGAGTATCATCATATACTCTAAAACATTAATCTTTTGAGATTCATAATGATTTGGTTAAAACCACTTAATATCTATTAAAAATGATAGAAGGAAGAATGTGCTAATGGTAGTTTTACAGCAGAGGTAAGCAGTCCTCCTTGCCCAGTCTTTGACAGCCTTTTCTCTTGTAAACATGGTCTTTTATACGTTCATGCTTTTTTGACCCTGCATTTGGGTTTAATATAAACTGCGACCTTTTTTTAGACAAATGTTAGATAAACTAGCCTGGCTTTGCTAAAGAAGAAAATATGTTTTGTCTGTGATTAATAAAGCACATGAAATCCACTTACTTGAGTTTCCCTTCACGTTCCTCTCTGCCCCTCTCTTTTCATACACAAAGAGACAGACGGGCAGACAGACAGATAGATACACAACCACACACAATTGTATCAGAAAGACACCCCAAATGCTTTTCTGAATGCAGGATTTCAAAATCTGGTTTTGACAAAAATAGCCCCAGCTGGTTATATTTAAGTCCCACTTGTTATGCACACAGTAGGTCAGTAATTTATGAGCCAAACAGCTGCTCCAATTTTCAGAACCATTAGGTCTCCCGGGTAAGCCACATGGCAGGGGGGTGGCGGGATGCACAGAAGGCTCTTCTTGAGAAATGAAACATTTCCTCGTGTGCATCTGGGTCAGCCATGTATAGTTCCTCTCATAAAAGATATTTTATGAACCTGAATAATAAGAATTTATATAAAGATGCATACACAAACTCACACAATGCATATGGAGGGAATAAAGAACAAGAAAGTAATGGTGAATTAAGTGCATTGAAGGGTTCAGCCAGCCTTTTAATAAACCACAAGATGGAAGCTTGAGTATTTGTGATGTCACCTTGACATTGGAGGGTATTTATATCTTTAAACAAGGCTCCTGTGGGTTGGACATAAGGGACAAAGGCTCTGAGGGGATTGAACCCCAAACTCTGAGGTAGGCCAACTGCACACAGCATTCATTATTTCATTCGCCTGCTCTTTAGTTTGTTCATTCATTTGTTTAGCCTGTGTTAATTGAATGCCAGGCCCTCCACTTGGTGCCAGGCTCAAATGCTGATGGTCCCTATTATGGAGATTACAATTTGGAAGGGAAGACAGCAATAAACTAGTAAACAAACACGTAAATATCTAACTACTTATGTAAATGTGAAAAGTACAAAGAAGAAAAAGCATTGCATTCTCTCTGTGATGTACAGAAAAATGGGATAGGAAGGTGGTCAGAGAAGACATCTGTGATGGTTAATGTGTCTACCTGACTGGCCTAAGGGATGCCCAGGTAGCTGGTAAAGCACTATTTCCAGCTGTGCCTGGGAGGGAGTTTCTGGAAGAGATCGGAGTCTGAATCGGTGAACTGAGTAAAGAACACGGCCCTCCCCGGTGTGGGTGGGCACCATACAATCCTTGGGGACCTAAATAGAACAAAATGCTGGAGGAAAGGAAAATGCACTCTCTCTTTTTGAGCTGTCCCATCCATTTTCTCCTGCCTTTAGACATCAGAGCTCAGCCTTTTTTTTCAGGCTTTTGGATTCAGATTGGGATGTACACCATTAGCACCCCTACCCCTGATTCTCAGGCCTTCTAACTTGAACTGAATTATACCACTGGCTTTCTAGTTCTTCCCCTTGCAGACAGAAGATTGTAGGACTTCTTGGTCTCCATAACCATAACAATGTAAGCCAATTTCTATGAAAACCTCCTCTTGCATATCTATCTATCTATTATCTACCTATTTGTTATCTATTATCTATCTATCATTATCTATTATCTATCATCTATCTATCATCTATCTATCATCTATCTATCTATCTATCTATCATCTATCTATCATCTATCTATCTATGTATCTATCATCTATCTATCATCTCCTGCTGATTCTATTTCTCTGGAGAACCCTGACTAATACCACATCTTTCAATAGGACATACTAATACTAAAATAATTATTTCTTGTTTATCTAAAATTCAAAATGAACTTGACATATCACATTTTATCTGATAATCTTACACCAGTTTGGGTTGGCCATGCAACTTGTTTTGGTCAGTGGGACAGTAGCAAATGTGGAGTACAGCAGAGGCTCAAAAGAACTTGCACATGGAGGCTTACGTTTGTGTTGTTCTTGGAACCTGGTGACTATTAACAGGTGAAGAAGCTGAGACCAGCCTGGTCCAGTCACACTCATTATCCCAACAGTCAGCTTGTCCACACTAGACATGTGAGTAAAGCCGTGCTAGATCATGTAGATACCAGCGGACTTGATGGCTGACTGCAGATGCCAAACCTTTGACCCACAGAATTGTGAGTAGAATAGAGGGTTATTTTCAGAAGAAGAAGGGGTAGAAATTTTTTTTTTTAATTTAAAAAAGAATAGATACTATCATCCACCACTAAGTTTTGACGTGGTTTGTTATGCAGAAGAAACTAACTGATAAACCTCAGACCCTACTATTTCAGTGTGCTCTGGCCAACTTCTAACTACAAATACATGGACAGAAGTACTAGGAATAAACACTCCCTCACAAGAAACAGCTTTCAGCCAATGACTCTTATTTATTTGGTGTATCAATACCCCAGCTCTCTCCCTAATAGAGCTGGGTAATTCTGAGACATGTGTTTTGCACTGTTTCCCAATTTTCCCATGAGATTAAGCTTGAGTTGTCCAAAGTGACAGCTGGCTTAATAATGCACCATGTATTGACTGTCGTTACTTCCAGGTTTCAGTTCCCCACTTCTCTCCAGTGTTCCCTGCACTTCTCTTGCACCCATATCCTTGTCTTGAGGTCTGTGAATTCACACTAAGATGGAGCTTCTGATAATTGCAGAGCAATGCAGGTTGCTGGTGGCCCTGGAGGCACCTCCAGCTCCAGCATGGGCCCATTATTCCCTCTGGACAAACTCCCTGAGGAAGGCCTGACCTGAAACGATTTAACTTCTATGTGCACACTCTGAATTAGTTTCTGGA
Organism: Homo sapiens; assembly: GCF_000001405.40. NCBI lineage: Eukaryota > Metazoa > Chordata > Mammalia > Primates > Hominidae > Homo > Homo sapiens. The sequence continues at coordinate 20,904,248 of NC_000020.11, read as the reverse complement.
ACACCTGAAAATGCTCCAAAGGTCCCTCTGGAGACCTCCATGAAATGTTGGTTAGTTAATGGAGTGGACCTAATATTAGCCAGTCACTGATGAAGCCAGTTGGGTAGCTGCCTTCATTGACATGGGGCCTTATCTGTTGGTCCTCACTGAGGCTTTGTACCAGACAGAGCTCCCTGACTCAGTCCTGTGCTTGGGAGTCTCCCTTTCTTGGAGCAACCCTCAATATTCAGTCTGTGACTTTGTTCTCTTGCTCCATCCACTATTCTTATGTCTGACCCAGCTTGCACTTGTTGCCAAGAGCTCTGAAGTCTGTACATTCTGCTTTGCTTATTCATGTATTCGGTGTTCATTCATTTATTCAGACTAATGCCCAGATTTTGCATAGAAATTTGCCAACTCCCTTGGGATAGTCCTGGTGATTTCTTGGCCCATTTCCTGATGGGTAGGGAGCTGGGTTTATGGCTGCCACCTCTGCCTGGGTGTTTTCTCACATCCTGTTGTTTATTTTCTCCTATCTGGTCTTCTTCTCCACCTTGTTACTTCCCTCTGAAGAGCCATTTCTGATTGTCTTGACTGGGGCACAACATTCATGCTCTGATTTGGTGTGCAAAGATGGCAGCTCTAATAACCGTAAGTCATCTCAATAGTTCTGGGTGAGGTGATTCCACTCCAAAGCACAATGCCCACCAAGGCAAGAGCTACAAGGGCATTGTGGAGGTGCAACCACTTGTAAGTCGCCCAATTCAGCCTCCAGCTAGCTGGGCTGCTGTCCTGAAGAAGGCCATGGCAGCTGGAACTTTGGCCCCTTGAATGACACAGACCTGATGCAGGCTTACTGTTTGAAGCTGAGAATTCCATACACTGAAAAGAAAAGCAAAAACAAGACGAGACAAAGACTTGAGTAGTCATGTTGTTTGGCAGGCTAAAATCTACAAAGGTAATAAATATCTTTCCTCTTCCCATCAAGTATTTTAGATTTCAAAGGGAAAGTGAAGCATTGGTATTTACTGAGCATATGCTAGGTGCCAGGCACTGGCCTGAAGTGCTTTATGCATATTATTGCATTTAATTTTCACAGTGACCATATGAAGAGGGGTTGTAGCCCACATTTTCAGGTAAGAAGACTGAACCTCAGAGATGTGAAATAACTTGCCCAAGGTCATACAGCAAAACTAGAATCTGAACTGCCTATTTCTAGAACCCATGGTGTTAACCACTTTGTCATATTCTTCAAGCATCCAGGCAGGGATGAAAAGAAGAAGGCATAGAAACTGACCTCACAGGCTAGGCGCAATGGCTCACACCTGTAATCCTCGCACTTTAGGAGGCCGAGGTGGGCGGATCATGAGGTCAGGAGTTTGAGACCAGCTTGGCCAACATGGTGAAACCCTGTCTCTACTAAAAATACAAACATTAGCTGGATGTGGTGGCGGGTGCCTGTAATCCCAACTACTCGGGAGGCTGAGGCAGGAGAATTGCTTGAACATGGGAGGCAAAGGTTGCAGTGAGCCAAGATTTCGCCACTGCACTCCAGCCTCGGTGACAAAGCAAGACTCTGTCTTGGGAAAAAAAAAAAAAGAAATTGACCTCACTTCCCTAGCACACAAAATGCCACAAGACATCAATACTTTGTGTAAAATGGTGAGGGAGCAAGCTGTGATTCAATCTCGTTTTCTTTCTTATAGGAAGTCAAAGAAAGATGTTGCCCATCAAATATGCAAGGGTAAGAAAGAGGTCAATGTACTCTTCTAAATGTTACTTGAAAATGTACCCTGAGCAACCAAGTGATGGAAAGAAGGAAAGAAGAAAAGGAAGGAAGGAGGAAGGGAGGCAGGAAGGATATTTATTCCGAGTTTTATCTGTGCCATTCACTCAATTCTCAGGTTGAAACTTTCCTAATCAGGTGAGTATGTTTCTTGTCAATGTATTTATAAGACACACCATATTCCTTTCTAGGCATTCATCTTGTGTGCATGTAGACTATGGCTCAGAAAGCCAAATCCTGATGGTTGATGTCATCTGTGACCATAACATCATGATATTCACTCTACCAAAAACATCTATCTGTCCAAAAATTATTTATTGAGCATCTGCTCCAGCCCAAGCATTGTACATGGTGCTGGAAATGCCACAATGAACAGGACAGATGAGGTTCCTGCCCTCATGTTCCCATGGGGACAGGTCTACCATGACAAGTAAGCACAGGCTTCACAAGATAATTGATTTCAATGACTTAGTGGCCACAGTACCACTTACAAAAATGAAGAAGACTGAGAAATACTTGGATGATGGAGGCCAGGGTTCAAGGGGTCTATTTTGAACATGTTAAAACCGAAGTGACTGTTAGACATCCAAGTGGAAATGCTGAATAGGTAGGAAGAGATGCATCCAGAGCTCAGGTGAAAGGGTCTGTTTGAGCTAGAAATAAAATGGGGCAGTGATCAGCATGTAATTGGTTTTAGAATCCATGTGCTGAAATTGCACTGAAGCAATGTGAGATGTGACCATTGGGGGAAGCTGGGTGAAGGGTACATAGGACTGTCCACTATTTTTGCAACTGCCTTTGACTTTATAATTATTTCAAAATAAAACATTTTTAAAAATCCATGGAGCTGGCCGGGCACAGTGGCTCACACCTGTAATCCCAGCACTTTGGGAGGCCAAGGCGGGCAGATCACGAGGTTAGGAGATCAAGACCATCCTGGCTAACAAGGTGAAAACCCATCTCTACTAAAAATACAAAAAATTAGCCAGATGTGATGGTGGGCGCCTGTGTTCCCAGCTATTCGGGAAGCTGAGGCAGGAGAATGGCATGAACCCGGGAGGCAGAGCTTACAGTGAGCCGAGATCACGCTACTGCACTCCAGCCTGGGTGACAGAGCAAGACTCCGTCTCAAAAAAAAAAAAAAAAAAAAAAAAATTCCATGGAGCTGGATAAGATTTTCTATAGATGAATTAAAAAGGGATAATATAACAAAATACTTAAAATTTAAGCCACCTTGGAAAATGTAGATTTATAATAATTGAGATCTGTGCTAGCTCAAGTCATCCAAGAGGTGGATACCAGCATGAAATTAGATGTGCAAAGGAAAACACCTGTGAAGGATGAAGGGGAGCTAGCCAGCCAAAGGAGAACCTGCAGACCACATGAAGGAGAGGAGACAGACAGGAGGGGTGGTTAAGAAAGTCTCATACTGCAGGGCAGTTCCTAGGAGATTTCACTCAGGCCAATGTTGCCCAGTAAAGAACCTTATATCTCACAGGAATGGGCTTGAATTGCTACGTGGTAGACCATGGCACACTGTCATTGGAGGGAACAGCCCCCGGTAAGCATGGGCATCTTGGGGATGATATGCCCACCTGGTACCTTCTTCCCTTGGACCATGCTCAGGTAACCAGGATCCCTGAATTCACTATGCACGCAGCCTTGAACCTACATCCAGGGTCTGGACAAGCCCTTGCCCAGGTCTATCCTGTTGTGATTATATAACCCCAGGCCTGGGAGGGCCATTTGCTACTGGATGTGGGTGAGTCTTGATGTCCACATCTGGCCATTTTGAGGTGAAGGAGCGAGCTGGAGGTGAAAAGAGAAGGAAATTAGGACATACTGATAGATGCAGGAGGCAGAGAATGGAGGGTCCCTGGAGAATTTCCAACCTGCCCCACAAGTGTTTACATCAGATGCTTTTGTGCAGATGAGGGAACTTGCCCAGGGTCTTGTCTGGATATGTCTGCAATGGAGTTGGGGGTCCGCCTGAGCACTAGGAGAGTGGGGTAGAGCCACTGGGACTTCATGCCTTATGCAGGGGGAGGATCCTGGCTTCTTCAGCTCATGTGTGGTGGCCTGGTATTCAGTCTGTGAGGTGGGAGCCTGTTGGCAGGACCCCCTGTTTCTTTGCTGAGAGCTTTCTTTTCATTCAATATATTCTGCTCTCCTCACTTTTTAATGTGTCCATGTACCTAATTTTTCCTGGTCATGAGATAAAAACCAGGATTTTAGCTGAACTAAGGAGCAAAAAACCCTACATCATGCTGAGGACTGGGGGCCAGCCTTCCCTGCGTCACCACATGTAGGCTGGGCACTCAGAGGAGTCCAAGAATCCTAAATGTAAACTTGGCCTTTCAGGTCATCTTATAAAATAATATTTTTCAAGGTAAAAGAATAAAACATGTTTTATTAGAAGCTTTATGGGTAAGTTTTAAATATTCAGGCACATGATATGGGGCCTCCATCTGTACCTAGGCCCTGCCAATATTAGAACCACATGAAAATTTAATGAAAGCCATGGTTACAGTTTTCTGAAAAATCCAGATGTAGACAGAAAATAACATTCAAAAGATGGTTTAAGAACTGGCACAGTAACATAAATTAATATATAAATCAACATATGTCTTCCTTATTTTATAAATAAGTTAATTTCTTATAATATATAAGGTACATTATATAGTATAATAAAAGTATATCTTATATAACATATAAAATATATTTTATATTATATATCTTATAATGAAATGGCTTACCAAGTAATATAGCTTATCAAGTTATTCTAATAATTTTTTATTGATTTTGGAAATTGTTGGTGTGACCTTATGTTTAACTCAACCATCACTAGCTAAACAGTGCCCTTTTGTCTATATATGATTTTACACAGGAAGGCTCATCAAACTCCCCCATTAAAAGTTTTTGTCTCCAGCTCCTGGGTCTTTATTGCAGCCAGAAGGAGCTTTACCCATGCCCTGCCCCTCTGTTGCCCTCTCCATCTTGGTCTATGTGGAGCCTGCTGGGCCACCCATCTCCACACTGACCCTATTCAGGGGTTCTATTACCTACCTCCAAGGCCAAGACTTGTTATTTTTATACCACTCAGAGTAAAAGCATTTTGAGAACCATCAATGTAGTCAGTACATTGTTTATTGGACAATATCATTCTGCACTCTTGAGCAAATGTTACCATAATTCCAGATAGTTACTGACCTCTGAATCCCCCAGGTTAAAAATCCCAATAAGAAAGAGTCTGTGACACTCTGGAGAGCTACATGGGAGCACAGATGAACCTCATCTGTCTTAGTTTCCTTGGTATTCAAAGCCTGGTATGTAGCCAGGGCTCAATAGATATCCATTGGTTGATGAAACTATCATCCCATCAATTCAATAGCTTCAAAAGGGTGGTTTAGCTACAGGTCTGTCCAAATCCTCCAGTTCACTTAAGCTCTGGGGACATAAACAGAAGTCGTTCATATAGGAGAGACTGCCAATATCCAGTATTTGGATCATACTTCTGTCTTTGTCCATTCAGGCTGCTGTAACAAAATACCATAGCCTAAGTAACTTACAAACAACAGAAATTTATTTCTCATAGTTCTGGAGGCTGGGAAGTCCAAGATCAAGGTGCTGGCAGGCATAGTGTCTGGTGAGGGTTAGCTTTCCTGTTCGTAGATGGTGGCTTCTGGCTGTGTCCTCATATGGTAGAGGGGATGAGGTGACTCTTTGAGCCTGTGTTCTTTATAAGGGCACTAATCCTATTCATAAGGATCTAATCACTTACTGAAGGCCCCACCTCCTAATACAATCACATTGGTGATTAGGTTTCAACATATGAATTTTGAGGAGACACAAACATTCTGACCATAACAACTTCTCTTTTTCTTTTTGCATCTTCACACCACTCTTTAAAAAATACACATTTGATTCCATTCTTGCATTTTGATGGATTTAAACTTTCAGGTTCCAATGAAGGCTCTTGAGATGCAAAATGAAAGAAACTAGTACAGATGAGTTTACAATTTCAGAAAGGAATGGAACTAAGATGGGGATTTGATAGAACCATTTATTTCCCCTCTCCTCATTAAAGATCACAATTTTGGAAAATCCTCAGGTTGCAGGGGTCTTAGTTCTAGCCTGTCTCACTTGCAGCCAACAGTGTTATAAGCTTGAATGTTTTGGGCAATTGATACTACTACAAATGCAATAATTTTAAGGTTGGTGAATCAACTAATCAAGCATGAGAAACGGTTCCTAACTAGAAAAAGAAAGGAGAGTTCACAGGGATGCTTAAAAAGCCTGGGGACAATGAATTCTCAGCTGCATTCCTCGGAGGTGTCATGAGTGTATCAGATATCAGAACCCAAGGAGGCCAAAACCGGGAGGGACGGGAGAGAGCAGAGGCATCAACAATAACAAAGCCCTGGGGCCCATTCCAAATCAAGGCAGGCAGATCAGATAAAACATAAAGGAGGATAGGAAAGCTAAAGACCCCCTTCTATTGTCCACATGCTCAGCCTGCATTATGCAAAGACAGATTTTTTAAATATGTATCAGCATTCCAGTAAACAGGGCAAGCTTGCTAATAACAGTGCAATTCAGCAATCGCTACTCCAAATAAATACATTAGAAATGTCATTACTCTAATCAGATTAACTGTTATCCTTCATGTGATGCTTTGAATAATCATTAACATTTTTCTTACTGAACTTGGCAAGTACATGTCTAGAAATTCACGGAAGAAATGGTTGTTTGCTGGTATTTTTCCTCTTTACAGAAATTTCTTAAACACTTTTAAATGTATTTATTTTTCCCCTGTATAGGGGACTTAATAATGTAAGACTGACTGTTCAGCTTCATGATTTCTAGCACCAAGACATAATTTTTACACTGGATTCTTTTCTTCATTAGAACAGTTCATACCTTTTACAAGAACAATTGCTATGATAGGTTAAATGTCATTATTTTCAAAACTACCCCCTGGATTAGCTGCAGCAGCACTTTCTGAATACTTGCACTTGAATATCTGAACCACAGATCATGCATAATTGTATTATTCACTGGGCCAATTCTTCTTGTTAATAATGTCTGAAAATGCTTTTTCAATAGCCAGAGATCCACATCTGTGAACCAAACTGTCTCCACCCATTTTGGCTTTGGGTGACAGCTGGGATCTTTTCTAAGTAAATTGAGATCTAGTGGTGAGTTTATTTGTTATTGTAGTTACATTCAGGATGTGAAGCCCATTGAAATTAAGAGCTGTGTTATCTGATGTTCAACATTTTTAAACTCATGGGAGTCAAGAGGGAAAGATACTGTAATAGTTCATTAAAACAATTTTCCTATCAAAAGGAAAATGTTATTTTCTGCTATAGAATGTTTAGAAGCATTGATTCCTAATAAATGACAAACAGATACATTGAACTAAAGTTTCAGCAAACACCTAATGAACATCTACCTGCTTCTAGAATGGAGCAGGCATTTGCAGAGGCATTAATAATCCATCTGAGATGGGGACCTTACTTACGTTCTACATGGACTTTTATTTATTTTGCTTTGGATTCTTTTTTTTTTTGCAATAACTTTTCACCCTGCTTTTCTATCTTGAAAACATCAAAAGTCATTATGATCTCACCATATATAGGGAAAACAGAAAGAAATCCCTGGAAACTCAGCCAGTGGCAGTTGGCCAAAAGTTACAATAGAAACAAATCACACAGGCTTGCTGGACTTTTCTATTTGTTTGCAAAATTCACCTCTCTCCCTCCATGCCCTTTCCACTCCTCAGCTTCAATGGTAATATTTCTTTCTTCTCTTTTCTTTTTTCCCCTAGACAGAGTCTTGCTCTGTCGCCAGAGCTGGAGTGCAATGGCGTGATCTCAGCTCACCGCAACCTCCGCCTCCCGAGTTCAAGCAATGTTCCTGCCTCAGCCTCCCGAGTAGCTGGGATTACAGGCGTGTGCCACCACACCCTGGCTAATTTTTGTATTTTTAGTAGAGACGGGGTTTCACCATGTTGGCCAGGCTGGTCTCGAACTCCTGACCTCCTGATCCGCCCGCCTCATCTTCCCAAAGTGCTGGGATTGCAGGCGTGAGCCACCACACCCAGCCTTCAATGGTAACACTTCTTACTGTTGGGCTTTTTTTAGGTACTGTGTCTCTATTGGTCACACCTTTTCCCAATAGAAGTCCCCGCCATCCCATCATATCTTGAAATACAGCAAGACCATTTATTTTTTTCAAGATAAATTAATGTGGATTTACAGCCAAGCCCATGGTCAAATTTACAAAGCAAGGTAGGGGAGTGCAATTGGGTCCTCGAAGTGAGTTTCTGACTGTGGAAATGTGTAGAGGTCCTTTCATGACAACAAAAATATCCCAACTTCAATTTTCAAGTTCTGTACTCTTTCCTTCATCCCAGTCTTTACTGTGATTTTATACCTCATCACCTTCCCCCTCTTCTCTTTTCCTCCTAAAGTCTATAAAACGTAACTTCATCAAAACAGAAATGTCGACCTAAAGGAAGAAGCTGAGGCACAGATATAATTTCACAAAGTTTACTGGAGCCAAGGTGAGGACAGCTGCCCGGAAGGCTCAGACCCAAGTCACCTTGGATATGAGCTCCATTTAGCCTTTGTTACAAGCGCGTTTTTAAAGGATAAAAGGGGAACGAGGAATGGGCAAACACAAAGGTGTTTGTCAAGAATTCCCATTGGTTGACAGAAATAACATCGATTAATGATTGGCTGGACATTGAACTTGGGGGTATGAGTATGCTGGTGTCCAGCGGAGAGCCGCGTTGGTCTGTTAATTTATAGCAAAGCCGCTCGGGCTGCGGTTAGTCGAGTCCACAGAGCAAGAGGCTTTAAGAGTTAATGACTTCAGCCCAAGAAGGGAAGTGGAATGTAATTGCTGCCTTATTCCTGTGCCTCCCTGGGCATGATCATTTAGAGGAGGCTCACTTTCCTCAGGTAAAACGTTTCTTTTCTTTCTCATAAATAATCCATCGGCCCATCCCACTTGGGAAACCCAAGTGGCCCTGCACACCACCCACTCTGAGCTCTCAGCAACCACAGACGCAAACCCGAAATGCAACTGAGATGGCAGCGAGGACCACGTGGTGCTCTCCCTCTCCCTCTTTCTCTCCTGCTCCCTCTCTATTTTGAGACAGAGTTTCACTCTGTCACCCAGGCTGGAGTGCAGTGGCGCCATCTCGGCTCACTGCAACCTCCGCCTCCCGGGTTCAAGCAATTCTCCTGCCTCAGCCTCCCGAGTAGCTGGGACTACAGGCACCCGCCACCACGCCCAGCTGATTTTTGTATTTTTAGTAGAGACGGGATTTCACCATGTTGGCCAGGATGGTTTCGAACTCCTGACCTCAGGTGATCCTCCCGCCTCGCCTCAGCCTCCCAAAGTGCTAGGACTACAGGCGTGAGCCACTGCGCCCGGCCGCTTCTTTTCCTAAGAGGAGGCAGCGGCAGTGCTGCAGATTCCCTGGGCTTGTTCTTGGAATGCTTTCTTCCGTTTCACAGGATTGTTTACTCAAGTGGATCTCCAGGGCTGCCAATGGCAACATTTCAGAAAAGCTGGCCTCAGGCAATGTCTTTTATTTTATTTCCTGTTCCTACGCAGAAGCGTCCCACTTCCCCCACAGCTTCATGTTTTCTTCTTATTCCCGTGGGGAGCTTATTGATTCTTTCAGGCTCTAAAGCAAAGTTCTGTCCATCCAGTCCTCATTCTGTGACCTGAGACCTAAAAATGAATCAATGAACCAGAATGGCAACTCTATCAAACAGGATGCTCAACTGAATCTTTATTATTAATATCTCCAGTGTACTTGGCTTAAAGATACATTTCTGCATGTGGGCTAACCTAGCATCTGTGTGGCCACAAAAGGCAAAGGATCTTTTTACTGAATCATTCTTATATTCAATGGGAAATTGTTGGCCATCAACTACATGAGGCTCTGAGCCAAAAGCCACGGAGAGAGCAGAGAAGGTCACGGTTCCTGACCTCCCAGAGCTCATAATCCAGCAGGACGTGCATGTAACTCTCAAGAATCTTGCTGAATGGAAACTTACCTGCCCCCTAACACAAGTACCTCATTGGCCAAGGGACAACTCCTTAGAACTCAATGTAAGCTACTCAAAAACTGACTTTCCTGAAGCATGTTTATTCCAGTGGAAAAAAGTAACTGGTAGAGCTAGAAAGAAATTCTTCTATTGCTTTGCGTTGAGTTGCAATGACTGCTTGTGGGGAAATTCAAACAATAAGGTTAAAAACAGGAAAGCTATAAATCAACTAAGCAAATAAAGTAGATTCAACATGTATTAGAAAACAAATACAAGGCTAGGCACTGTGGCTCACACCTGTAATCCCAGCACTTTGGGAGGCCAAGTCAAGAGGATCTCTTGAGTCCAGGAGTTCGAGACCAGCTGGGCAACATGGCAAAACCCCATCTCTACAAAAAAAAAAATACAAAAATTAGCCTGGTGTGGTGGTGCATGCCTGTGGTCCCAGCTACTTAGGAGACTGAAGTGGGAGCGTCTGTTGACCCTGGGAGGCCAAGGCTGCAGTGAGCCCTGATCACACCACTGCACTCCAGCCTGGGCCACAGAGCGAGACCCTGTCTCACAATAATAATAATAATAAGCAAATACAAACTTAGCATTTATTTGCAACTAAAACATTAATATTAGGAGATCATGATGTTAATCAGAACTTACTATAAATGTCATTGCGTATTTTTTTTTTTTTTTTTTTACTGTGGAGCATACCTTTTGCTGAACACCCACTTTGAGTATGGCCCTGAATGTGCCAGCAGCTTGCACAACTGATGTACCCCTGAGATCAATTTGTAATAAGTGGCTTCATATCACCTGTGTAAGGCGAGCCTGCAACTTAAAGAGATCCTGGCATGATTCCTCTTGCAAAGTAGAGAATCCTTTCTGAAAGTAAATCCTGAGAATAAGCTCTCTGCTGAAAGAAACAATCCTCAAATTTCAGCAGCTTAACACAATGGAAGTTCTATTTCTCGCTCATATGATGATTCAATATAAGTGTTCTGAGGCAGCCTTTCACGGGGTGATTCTAAGGCCAGTCTCTTCACAGCCTGAGGTTCCACCATCCCTTGGAACTTTAAGTTCTCTCTTGAATCCTGTTTCTAGCTGGCAGGTGGGAGGTGGGGAGAGTGGGGAGGATCCAGTGGGAGGTTTCTGTGGGACAGCCTGGTAAGGGAAAGGCACCACTTCTGCCATGTTTCATTGGCTGGAGGTCACAGCCTCTGAACCTCAAGGAAGACTAGGACAGGTCATCTACTTGCCAGAGGAAAGGGAAACTGAGTCAGCAACATACTTGCCAGTCTGTTACAAGTCCTGAATGTCTCTAGTGTGGCTTTCATAAGAAAAGAAAGTGCATTTGCCTTTTATAACTGTAACAGGACAAATTATTATGTGCCATTGGAAATTACCTTCATCTTTAAAAGTCTTCATCAGTTTGATCTTCAAACCAATAAAATAACAGATAAAAATAGAAAGATCAGAAAATTATTTTGGCCACATTACTTTTGCATCACCTCGTTGTTACTTTGTTACTTATTATGACAAGACAGCCCAAGTGTATGACCAAGCACAGCTGCTACTGAACTTTCATTTGTAAAACATAAGCTTCTTTGGAAAAGAATTCGGCAGATCAAATGACAAACAAATAGCTGTTCACACACAGGGTTAAAGAAGGATTTACTGATTGAAATCATCTCCAAGATGGATTTTTAAGTGGAAAAAAAGTTACAAAACAAAACAAATAGGAAAACAAGTGTTTTCCAAATACCATTATACTTGTGTTAGTGTTTCATTGCTATGTAAAATATTCCCACAAAGGTAGCAGCTTCAAACAACAGAAATGGATTGTTTTCCAGTTTCCTGAGGTCAGGAGGCTGGGTATGGGTCACGTGGAGCCTTTGTCCAGGATGCCACCCGACTGGGATCAAGGTGTTGACTGGGGCTGTAGTCTCATCTGAGGTTCAGGTTCCCTTTCTAAGCTTATTCAGGTCATTGGCAAAATTTGGTTCCTTATTGACTGTAGGCCAAGAGTCGGTCTCAGCTCCTACGGAACCCCCTCAGGCCCCAGCAGTGTGGCCCGCTGACAATGTGGCAGCTTATTTCTTCAAAGCCATAGCTACAGCACAGTCTTACGTAACAGAACCCAATCACAGGAGCGACATCTCATCATCTGCCCTGGTCCTGCCCACACTCAAGAAGGCGTTTCTACAGGGCAAGTACCTAGGGGGCAGGATCCCTGGGGGCCATCTACCACACTGCTGTTTCTTTTTAACAAATAGGACCAACATTTGCTGTTTACACATAGACTATACATGCATGAGCACAGGAGAAACTAAAACCAGGCTTCTCTCTGGAGAGCAGAACTGGAAGACTGGGAATGGAAGAGGAGAATGTCTATTTTTTTTTGTATTATTCCTGATTGCATAATTATGTCATATTCACCTATTACCTATTCAAACAAAGTCATTGAGTAGAATAAGAATAGCTCTTTCATGCTTTGCTAGAGAAGGAGAGCTGTCCACCAAGGAGCCCGCAAATGTAGCACGCGTGGATCTTGCCCAGAGATGTTGCTGCAGGATGGGTGCTGGCCCTTGTGCTGTCCTGAGTCCGGTGAACACCAGCCCCAAGCAAGCGAGGAAGGGAGGAAGCCTGGTGACTGCTCAGTACTCCCCTCTGGGAAAGTCCTTCCACGTCTCCATGGCTGGAGGCTTAAATTCAAATCGAAGTAGCAAAGCAGAGTAGCAACTTCTCATGTTCCCACCATCAGCTCCCCAGAACCAGCCAGGAAATAGCCCTGGATGAACCGGTGCCTCATTTGAAAGAGACAGTCTTCCTAGTCACCTAGTCTTTACATCCAATTTATCTATTTTTTTGAGACAGAGTCACGCTGTGTTTCCCAGGCTGGAGTGTAGTGGCTCTGTCTCAGCTCACTGCAACTTCCTCCCGAAGTGGCGGGATTACAGGCATGAGCCACCTTGCACTGCCCAATTATTTTTTTTAGATTTTTGTTTTGAATTATAAATCCCCCCAGTGGCATTCCATCCAAGTAGGCTGAACCCAGAAAACACATATTCCTATCACAGCTTTGCACATTTCATTCAGTTTTCACATCTGGCAGTGGATTATGCCAAGAGTAAGGTCTGCTTCTCTCCCAGACACTGATGTGCATGGGAGACGGAAACTGGGCAGTGAATTAAGGAGGCATCAGGAGGAGCATGGGGAAGTGAAGTGAGGAGAGGAAGGGTGGTAAAGGCCCATCCCTCTGGGGCCCCTGGGAGACAGTGCAGTTAGCCCCCTGCCCCAGGGGGAGCTGGGTTTTCTCCAGTAATGCCTCTCAGCTACTATTTGAAGGCTGCTCTCAGGGAAAAGGAGCACTTCAGGTATGTCCCCCTGTGGGCCAAAAAATGCCCCAGCAAAGAGGAGTGGGCACTTGTAGATGGAAACCATCAAGCCGGTGTGTCAGTAGCCGGGTGTGGGGGCGGCCAGCGTGGAGCATCAACAGCGCCTGCCAAATCCCTGTGTCTATGAATGAAGACAGACATCCTCCACCTTGGCTGCGAGTCAACTCAATGCCTTTTGTTTGTTTTTAAATTAATAGACTATTTTTTATTTTTATTTGTTTTATTTTATTCATTTATTTATTTTTGAGATGGAGTCCCTCTCTGTTGCCCAGGCTGGAGTGCAGTGGCAGGATCTTGGCTCACTGCAACCTCCGCCTCCTGGGTTCAAGCGATTCTCATGCCTCAGCCTCCTGAATAGCTGGGATTACAGGTGCCTGCCACCACACCTGGCTAATTTTTGTATTTTTAGTAGAGACGGGGTTTCACCATGTGGGCCAGGCTGGTCTTGAACTCCTGACCTCAGGTGATTTATCTGCCTTGGCCTCCCAAAGTGCTGGGATAATAGGCATGAGCCAGCGTGTCCGGCCTTAAATTAATAGACTATTTTTTTTTTAATTTTTAGTAGAGATGGCATTTCACGGTGTTGCCAGGATGGTCTCGGTCTCCTGACCTTGTGATCCACCCGCCTTGGCCTCTCAAAGTGCTGGGATTACAGATTAATAAAATATTTTTTAAAACAAGTTTTACAGAAAAGGTTTACAGAATCCTAACAGAACCATAACAGGTTTACAGAAAGATTGATCAGAAAGTACAGAAGGTTCCCTTCCCTCCTACAGTTTCCCCTATGATGATGATTATTATTATCAGTGTGGTACATTTGTTGCTATTGATAGATTATTATTAAACAAAGACCACATTTACATTCGAGTTCACTCTATATTGTACATTCTACTTGTTTTGACAAATGTACAATGACGTGTCCATCACTGCTGTTTCACACAAAATTTCCAATGCTTTAAAAAAAAACTGATATTTTCATCAGTTCTTTAAAGACCCCATGCAAATATGGAAGCCCTATGCAAATCCAGTTCTGATTTGTCCAGGAAGAAATCAATAAGACAGTTATTTTGATGGAAGCAGATTAAACTATCCTTAACTTTTTCAGAACTGCCAGAATGGGCCTGGTTCAAGCCTTTGCAAAAAAACAGTCCCTTTGTGAAAACACTCCTAGAAAAAATTGGTGGGTGGCACATTCTGTTTTTCTGTTTTAATCAGGAGATTCCAAGGGGCCCAAGGCAAGGCCCATTTTGGGTGGTGATACAGGCCGTGGAGGAGCAGCAGAGGGCAGGGGCAGCCTGTGCCAGTTCACAGCAGAGGCACTGAGGCCGGGACATGCTGCCAGCCAGCACTGAGTCGAGTCGGGAGGACCCCCGGGTTCTTTGCTCCGGAGCCTGCCAATCCTGGAAAGGGACACGTTAAGCATGGTTGTCAAGACAAATCCCAGCTGCTAAGTAAATCACAGAATAAGGCTGTCAGTCATCCTGACTGGATGAAATGTGGCCCCAAAAGTACAACATACACAAAATGTCACAATGTCACTGCCTGATGACATCCACAGAGCTCCCCTGCAAAGTCCCCACCACCTCTCTCGACACCTCCGTCACCCACACTACCCTCATTGTCTCAGTCCCAGCTGCTTGTCGCCATTCTTTTAAAGAAGCGTTAACTCATCACTTTAATCATAAGCAGCAATTTGGAATTTCAAGTGGTCGTTCCAGCAGACACCTCCTCCCCAAAACACCTCGAAGTGTTGGATGTTTCCCCCTGTGGTGTGTCCCTCCTCTCCTGAGTGTCACTGCAGCCACACTCAAGGATACCGAGGACACATTTTGGAAACCACCACGACAAATTCCATGGGCACACCCAGTGTGGCAGCTGGAGCTCTGTTTTGAAAGATATTTGCCAGAGGAAACACAGCCTGCTGTTTGGGTTGGAAGCAGCACGATGGACTATTTCAACGTGAAATAAGTTTAACAACGGGAACTGCTGGGAGAGGTGTGGAGGACACTTACTCTCATTAGTAAGCAGGAGAGAAATCAGTGTCCCCTAAGCAGAAGGCTAGACTCTTGTAGTGGGCTCAAAAAACGGAACTCACAAGAAGCTACAAATAAAGCCCACCCAGACCATTCTTGGTTTATCTCGTCTTTTCCTTGGGTCTTAATAAGTTATTATGTTTCTTGGGAGTCAAACAAGCCTCCTCGTTACGACCTCCTCGTTACGACGTTCCCATAAAACCAACTTCCTGTTGCTCTGAGAACCGTGGATAGTGGCCCCTAATACATGGAAGTTTGAATACACACTGATAAAAATCAGATTTTCTGCATGTGATGGATATTAAAAATACGAAACTTTTATGATTTTTGAATGTTAAACAGCGTCCACAGGGCTGAGGTGACCTCACGGTATGTAACACAGTGAGACAAAGAAAGACAGGTCAAACGCCGCCACATCTCACATCTTTAATAATTCGCCTGTTCTGCCTTCAACCACTGTGGTCTTTTAATACACAGACTGCCCAGCTACAGTTGTTCCCGTCAATATCCCCTGCGCGGCCGCTTTCCGGGGGCCTTCTCAATCTGCTGTCAACTCGCCTTCGCGGAGCTTCACGAGAGGTACAAGCAAACCAACTTGCATTCTGGTTTCTCTCCTGACACAAAGTTAATCTAAATTCAGGAACAAAAGTATTCATATTTGTCCTTGTATGTCAAGGATTACCACCATTGAAAGTGTTCTCTATTATCAGCTTGTCACTTTCTTTGCTACTTAATCTCTTTCTTTCTCTTGCTCAATGGGCCTCCTCTCACTTTCTTTCCTACTGAAGAAACAGGAGGGCTTTTCCCCCACTCCTCTCTCTCTTCCCTTTTAAAGAAACTCACAAAGTTAAAAGGCTGGCTCAGCCTCACCACCTGGATGAACGGGGAGGCGCTGTCAGCCCGGCACCCCGCCAGCAGCCAGCTGTGACATTGTACCCTGCCAGCTTTGTGAAGGCCCTGCTCGCGGGATTGTCTCAGCTCTGTTGACAACCACCTCCTGCCCGGCCAATGTCCCATTCCAATTGTCCTCAACTTCCCTTGTTTAATGCTGTTTTGCAAATTATTAAGCACTGGAAGTCTGTTAATCACAGTTCACGTCCCGTGTAAGGCCACACAGGGTAGGCAGGGCTCGGGGGGAGGCCTGCTGGCAGGACTGAATGTCTTGGGTGGTGGCCCATTCACACCCCTAACGAGATCATTACCACTAACTAAATACAGGCCTGGCCTTGTGACCCTCTGGGGAATCGAGTGGGCTGGTGCGGGACATCAGTATCGTCTCCAACTCCCACTGCACTGCCTTCCAGCACTGAAAGCTAAGCCCGGGATCAAAAGGTCTCTACGCCCTGGTCTGGCCTCGCTGTCCCCAAGCCTCGAGCCCCTCGGTGACATCCCTGGTGGGCACCTGCCCTCTGTCCAGCCCAGAGCAGTCAGGACTTGGAGCCCAGCTCTTCAGTTAACTTGACACACTGCATCTCCTTCCCAGGACCACCTAGGAGCCTGCTTTTAAGATGACACTGTCAAGTCTTCCCACAGCTCTCCACGGGGCCCAGAGACAAGCTGGATGAACCTTGGTCACAAGTCCGGGCCCAGCATCATCCCAGATTGTAACATCAAAGATGAGGACTTTGTTGTTGCTGTTTCAGATGCCACTGACACCTTGAAGAAGGTGACCGTGAGTCTCGTTGGCACAATTTGATGTTTTATTCAGATCTCATTGTGCCTAAACAGAGAGTGAGAGTTCTTTATTCGCTGGACATGTGAAGAAGGCCACTAGGGCTCCCCTCAGAAGCAAAGGTAAAGTGTGTGTGTGAGTGTGTAGCATGTATATGGAGGAGCATGTTTGAATATGTGAATGTGTATGCACATGTGTGTATGTGTGACTGTATGTATTATGTGTGTATGTGTGTGAATGTATGTGTGCACGTGTGTGTGTTCATGTGTGTATGTGTTCATGTATGTATATATATGTATGTAAAGCTGGGTTATTTGCTATTCAATGATAGTGGGCTTTACATGGGACAATTCTGTCTGCCCAGATGGTGCTGACAATCCAGTGTGATGTGTTGGGAATTAAGACTTCTTAGAGAAGGAAAGAGCTAATGGTCAACTATTTTTTTTAGTTATATTTTCCCACTCTCCTTCCTCTTAAAAGAAATAGAGAAAAAATAAAATATCCCAAAGCAAAGAAATCTTTGAAGTCGTACGCAAGAAATACATTTATCCATTTGTATTATGTTTATAACAATTTATTTATCATGGTAGATACCAAAATCCAACTACGATAAGAACATCAAAATTCTACGTTCTGTTCTTTTTGAACACGGGCTTCTATGGCATCTGCCTGTTTCTATTCTAATCTAAAGGAATGGATCTTTTTGGTATGTTCGCTTTGGTTTCCTCTTTCCTTTATAAGGAAGTACTTCCACTGAAGGCACAGCAATGTAGAACATATGCTCATGATGCCTCTCGGACTTGGATTTCCTAAAGAAATTATAAGGTCTCCCAGACTGTAATTGCCACTACCATCAACAATCAGGATGCTTAATGCTGCATTCAAACCCCATTGAACTTAAACAGTAATAACCCAAGAAAACTGTATAATCGAGAGAAGAAAGGATGGGGTTAGGGTGGAAGGGGATGGTCCATAGATATAGGAACACAAAAATAGAGATGGAGCTGGTAGATTTTCTCATAAATGACCCCACTGCAAACATAGTACTTGAGCCCAGACCAGCCACAAGATCCTGGGATTAGGCTTTGTTTATAGCAAGTTATTGAAATCACCCTTAATTTTAAATGTTTAAGGAAAATCAGACTTCTATTTGAATTATTTCTTTCTTTTCTTTTTTTCTACCAATTTGAAAGAGGCAACCCCATGTTTACAGGGTCCTGTGGGCATTGTTTGAATGTGAGTGGCCTCCTTTCCTTTTCTTTCCTTTTCTCTTTCTTTCTTTCTTTTTTCTCCTTTCTTCCTTCTTTCTTTCCTTTCTTCCTTCTTTCTTTTCTTTCTTTCTTTCTTTTTTTTTTTTTTTTGACAGAGTCTCACTGTCTCCCAGGCTGGAGTGCAGTGTCACGATCTTGGCTCACTGCAACCTCCACCTCCTGGGTTCAAGCAAGTATCATGCTTCAGCCTCCCAAGTAGCTGGGACTACATGTGCATGCCACCATGCCTGGCTAATTTTTATATTTTTTAGTAGAGATGGGGTTTGGCCATGTTGGCCAGGCTGGTCTCAAACTCCTGACCTCAAGCGATCCCCTGTCTTGGCCTCCCAAAGTGCTGGGATTACAAGTATGAGTCACTATGCCCGGCCACTCCTTTCCTTGGCTAAACAAAACAGTGTTCCGGGTCCTGATTGTTCATCTCTCTGGGTGAAATGATCCCTAATGGTTAACTTCACCTGAAGTAGAGCTGGAAACTAATTTACAAGGATCAAAACTCTGAACCTCTTCCAGAAAACAGCAGGGCCCTCATGGAAATAGGCGGCAAATCATTTCAGTTTTTTCCATTTTCTCCTCATGCTGGGTATGTTGAGGCGCACTGCTAATGAAAAAGTCTCCAAAACCCACCTAAAATTAACAACTTTCCTGAGGCCAGATGCATTTGGGATTTACAAACACTGGCAGTGTCAACAAGGCTCTGTCTCCTGGATACCATGGATAGCCCAGCGCTGGCATGGCTGGCATCCCTGGCTCCAGAAGGAGGTGTCTGGAGTGCTCCTCCCAGGGCTCCTGCTCTCCAGGCGCAGGACTCAGCATGACTTAGGGCACCCCAGGGGCTGGGGGCCAGGACTAGCTAAAGTCGTACCTGCTGGAGCAATGTCTTCTGCTCTGCGAAGGAGAGATGGCTCCGTGCTCAGTGAAGCAGAAATGGTGGAGTGCTTGGTCTCCTGTGCGCTCCTCAGCTCTCCTGTAAGTATACAGCCATGCACAGGAAGCATTCATTTAATGGTCCCTTTGAGCATCTCATTATCAACACAGCTCCAACCATAAGAAGAAGGTGAGCTCATGCAGCAAATGACCTTGGGTTCTGATTGTTCTGGACCAGACTTTGTGAGAGCGGTAAAGAGTTGGGTCCTTCCCTCTTAAGCATTGGATGGTGGTTAATGGAGCTGTCTCCCTGGTCACCAAGGAAGAGTCCCCCAGTTCTGTTCTCTTATCTTCCCAGAAAGCCCCCCGGTTTCCACTTGGATGGCCAAATTTGACAGTACCTAAAACTTAAACACTTCCTTCCCCAAACTTGAACAAAAGAGTCTTGCTCTCAAAGGACATGACGAAGCATCAATAGCAGCATGAACCATGAAATTGCTCTCTTCACCTGTGCCTCTCCACTTTGCTAGGTGGGGTTATAGGAAGCTTCTTCCAGCAGAAATCCCCATTTGCCTTAAACAATTATTTAATAAATAAATATCGAGAGTTTCATCAACCAAGAGTAGCCTTTCCCCTCATGACTTAGCAAAAGCAGCATCACTCTTCATAGAGTAATGGCATTTTTGAAACATTAAGCTAGCTTCCTCTCCTTGCCTGACAACCTCTGAGGAAATAGCTAAACCAGAACAGATAAGGGAAAGAGTAAAGGTTTTTCATTAAATCCTTTTCAAGTTTTATCTCTGGCATAGGAATTTTCATGAAGTAGAAACACAATTTTCAGGTTCAGGGAACCAGAATATAATTTGGGTCAGTCTTTTAAGAATATAGCGTTATCTGGGTGGGTTTATTATTTTATAATGTGATCCTGCTTAATCTCATGCCAGGCTCCTGTTTGTTCTGCTGTAGCCATGCTGGCTTTCTTTCTGTTTCTTAAACACGCTGGTTCTACCCCACGGCCTTTGCATCTGCTGTGCCCTCTGCCTGGTCCACTCATCCCTGGATCTCTGCACACTGCCTTTTCTCCCACTCAGATCTCAGCTCAAATGTCTCTTCATTGATGAGGACTTTTTTTTTTACTATCTCAGCACAAGTGGCCCCCACCTCCACTCTGTTGTCTTTAAGTCATTGCTCACTCCTCAAATTTGTCTTCTTTGATAATTGTCTTCTTTTTCCTTGTCTGTCTCCATGAGGGTCTTGTCCCTTATTGTCCTGGGACAAAAGTGCCTGGCATATAGTAAGCACTCAATAAATCTGTGTGGGTAGAACTCCACTTGGAAGATGAGGAAAAGCCATTTAAAA
This sequence comes from Homo sapiens, assembly GCF_000001405.40. Lineage (NCBI taxonomy): Eukaryota > Metazoa > Chordata > Mammalia > Primates > Hominidae > Homo > Homo sapiens. The sequence goes on along the minus strand of NC_000020.11, from coordinate 20,883,826 downwards.
TTCTTATTTGGGGCCTGTTTGGATATTTCTTGCTTCTGTTTCAAGATTATACTTTTTGGTGGCATCAAGCAATTAGCATGCTGGACTCACCCTCATGGACTCTTCACATTAAAAATATGTAGATTGCATACCTGTGTGTCTACATAATCTCAGTATCACCTGCCTTTAGCAACAAAATGTCTGATGTGACCTTTACCCTCATGTTTATTATCCATAAAACTAAATCCACTTCAAACTGCTCCTACACTAAGAACCCATGAAAACATGTGCTATAAGAGCTTTGATGGATCGTTTCAAAAATGCATTCTACTAAGTTTTCTCTCCTCTCCTTCAGGGCTCTTTCTGTACAAAAGTACCATCTCCCATGCTAAAGTAGGCTTGTAGGGAAATAAAGCACTCCAGGCCATAATAGGTTTGGACCAACCATTCCCTCCCATTCATGATGGTTATTTCTTTAAAAGACAATTAAGTTTATTTGTTTCTGTTTACATTTTATTTTAATATTTTTTCTACATTGTTCATTTAATTTTTTTCTGAGTTTGTAAAAATTAACATGGTTCTTTAAGTCTACTCCATTCCTGCCCCACTGTCTCTTCCTCTCCAGCCTAATCCTTTCCATCCCATTCAAACCCCACTATCTCTTCCATCCTGTTCCAACCCATTCCCTAGAGGTAGCTAATCATGTTAGTTTCTGGTTTATCCTCCCTGTATTTCTTTATGCAAAACATTAGCAAATAAGCTTATAATTTTTTAATCTTTCTTACACAAAAGGAAGCATCCTTTAGATACTCTTTTGCACTTTGCTTTCTTCACTGAACATTGGAAATCACTTCATAGCAGTTTACAGTAATCTTTCTCAATATTTCTCACAGCTGCCCAATATTCCGTTGTGTAGATATACCACAGTTTATTCAAATACTCTCCGTGATTGGGTCTCTAGGTAGTTATCAATATTTTGCAATTATAAACCAGGTTGCAATGAATTGCCTTGTGTTTATATATTTTTGTATCATTAAAGGTGTGTCTTTAGAGTAAATTCCTAGAGTCGGTATATCTGGGTCAAAGGCAAGTGCATATGTAGTTTTGTTAGCTGTTTCCAAGTGCTCCCGCTCAAGAGTTGTAGCAGTGAGAGTGCCTATTTCCCGAACAGCCTTATCAATAGAGTGTGTTGTGGAGCTTTTCAATATTTTCCAATCAGATAGATGAGAAATAGTGTCTCAGCCTAATTTTAATTTGCCATTCTCTTAATATGAACAAATTTCAACATCTTTTCATGTGTTTAAAGGCCATTTTTATAGCCTTTTGTTGCAAATTGTCTGTTTGTGTTTTTGTGTGTTTTTCTATTTGATGTTTGCTCTTTTTTCCTTCAATTGTTAAGAAGTCTCTCCATAGCAGAGATGTTAGCCACAGTTAGAGCACGTGTGGAGCCAAAGCGACTCCATCTTAGATGCTAATCTGCCAGGTTGGCTTCCATTAACCCCTGTTCTGAGAAGCCTCTAAGATTTCCCTTTTATCTATTGCTCCTTGTATAGGAGCAGGTCCTTACCGTAAATCCCAAACAACCTTGGTATTACTGTGCTTCGATTATCCTACACATCCCTTCTGAACCACCCCTTCTCTATGGCATAGAAGCCCTGGGTCTGGGGGTGATGGCATGGGATCCACCATCTTATGTCATCGCCACCCAAGACATAGACACAACTTCTGTTCCCAGGTCCTTATTAAGTGTTTCTTTCGAAGAAACTGGATTTGCCAGCCTCTTTCTTGGGCCTTTCAGCTTCCTTGGACTTTGGAGCAGATTTGCATAGACCTGCCCACTGTAGAACAGTGCCCTTCCTCCACAGCAGGTTATAGAGGAGTTCACTGTGTCTTTTCCAAATGCTTGTACAGCTTCCTTTCTTACATTCAGACCTCTAATTATCTTGGTTATATTTATTCTATGTATGGTGTGAGGTATGGCTCTAATTTTATTTTTTTCCAAAACTATTTCATTGTTCCTGTGCCATTGATTAAAAGCCCCATTTTCAAAAGGGCTCTTGGGAGCAAGGAAGGGTAAAGAGAAGGAAAGTAGGAAGGGGCAGATGTCAAACCTTTCCATCCTTCGTCTACCTGTCTCTCCTCCCAGACAAACCCCAGCAGCGAGCATGCCCATGAGGGTGTCTTGACTCTTAGGGGCTCTGCCTACACCACAGAGCAGCCTTTCCCCCTCAGGCCTGAGCTTGTGCTGGAACCTTTTGGCTAAAAGTTGAGTTCATGTGACCAATTGTTCTTGGGGATGGATATCTGGGGTCAGTGGCTCTGGAGTAACAGTCTCCTGAAGGCTGTGTTGCATTGGGTCAGTCACAGCCAGCATTTCTAATTTTGGAGCCCCAGCAAATCAACAGTTCAAACGATACAACCAGGAGTCAGAGAAAGGAGCATGGGCCCACAGGCTCTGGGCTGGAGGGATGTGCAAGCAGATCCGAAGGCGGTGGACAATGACCCAGGGCCCACAGAGGGAGCCACAGAAGGAGGCCTTCATCTCCGCAGCACCAGGTCTCCCTGGCCTTTTTGGCGCCTCATCGCTCTGATCCACGTCAGCATGGAAGTCTCTGAAAGCTTTGACATTGGAGGCTTCCTGAGATGTTATGACTTTGGATTCACCTGAATTGTTATCTGAATTTCTCCCACAGGACAGAATCCTATCCAGTGGTGTCTTCCAGGTTAACTGTCACCCAGGACAATCACAGTAATGACAGGCTGTCCCTCCCTGAGGACTCACCCTGGCCAGACACTTCCTAGACACTGCCTCCTTTACTGTCCCACATCCCCGTGAGATTTGCTTTATTCTTACACCCACTTTGCAGATGAGGGACCTGAAGCTCAGACAGGCTGTGTTACTTGCTGAGGCCATGTGGTGGATGCTGGAGTTGATGGTGGAGCAGGATTTGAACCCAGTACCTACCTTTGCAACGATCATGCTTGCTCCCCAGTGAGACGAGTTTTTAATCGTCACCATGTTTAGTAAACAATAAGTATCTGCTGGGTGTATGATGCTGAATGTTTACTTGCTCATTGCGCTCCTTGTAAGGAACCAGTGGTGCCCCTTTCAATTTGCACACCAGCGCTGAGTCATTGCAACCAAACCCAGGCCTACCTGTCAGGAGAGTCTAAAAGAAATTGACAGGTTGAACTGTCAGCACCATGTTTTCAAAAATAGCTGCTAAGTGCTTTCCAAAGGTAATATAACATTAAGTAGAAAAAATGATTTTCTAGGTAGACCAGGTGTTAGTTATAAATTTAACATGCAAATGGTGTGAGTTAGCTACACTTAAAAAGTCCTGGGGTACAGCTGACATTAAATACAAAATATCCTTCCGGCTCTAGCATTCATTTGCCGGTCACATTGTCTGTTAAAAGTAGTCATTTTGAAAGCAGTAATTCATTCTCTACGGTCCTTCCTTAACACAGTTCTCAGCCTGCAATTTAGATGATAGGAAAATTACAACCTCAGTGCACTATATTATGTGACATAAATGTTATTGCAATTAAGCCTGCTAGGAACACACACACACACACACACACACACACACACACACACACACACACACAGACCCAAATACAGTACAACTGGTCCATGATTTAGTCTAAGTAGCCATTTTCTATGAACCAAGGAGCTTCTGTGAGTCCAGTAGAATATGGGGCCAAAACAGATCTCAACAAGAAACCTAGTGTCTAGGTTTGGGTAAACACTGTAGCAGAATGACAGCAAGTGGGAGACGACCTGAGAAGTCCTGAGTTTTACCTTTATTGGTCAGCATGTGGGCAGGTTGGACTAACCTAAACATCACGAAAGTTACCTGTCAGCCAGTCACTAAAGCTGAAACCTCCGAGTGATCCAAGACGTCTTCTTCCTCAACCTCAGAACCTATTGAGCACCATGACCCGAACCTCCTGGAAATCTTGATCCTGCCCCATCATGGACTCCCCCACAGCCGCTTTCTTAGATCAGCACATCATGCTTTGTTCTAGATTAGTATAGTCACTCCTTAAGTCCTCTGTGCCAATGATACTTCCCTTCCCAGTTTATCCTTCACACTATTGTGCAAAGGATGGCTGTCGACTGCAGATGTAGTTGGGTTATTCTCCTACTCAAAACCCTTCAGAGGCTCCCAGACGTTGTTCCATGGCAGACTGTCATTCTTTGTCAGGAATGTCACTCCCCAGCTCACCTTCCATCTCAACTTTTCCACTTGGACATTCCTGGTCATCTTTATCAGCTGCTTCTGACCCACCTCTTCTGGGAAGCCTGCTCCACTCACCTCCCAAAGGAATAAACCACTCTCTTCATCAATCTGTGCCCCTCCTTTAGCCACTCTATCTGTTCATTGTGGCACTTAACGTAATTATGTGTGATCATGACTGGATACTTGGGAACAGGGACTATGAGAGAATCAAACTGTTTCATTTCAGGGTATTTCTGGTATGCTGAAAAATGAAAAAAAAAGAAATATAAGGTATATTACATAAGGTTATATATTTAAAAATTAGGTTTACGTATATTTAAAGAATATATAATAATTTAAATAATTTAATAATTTAAAACCTTAAATAACATAAGGTTTTATATTATATAACATACATTATATAAGGTGCCAATATAAAGTTTCGAAAATTTTTAGATATTATATGGAGAATATGTTTAATCTTGTTGGGTCATTCTGTGGTTCTGGGTATAGCCTCATTTGAAGGTGACATCAAGAAGTTAACTCCAAAGCCTTGTCAAATGGGGGTTTGGGCCAACTGGCTCTCCTGCTGTCTATCCTGACCTCCCATATGTGACAGGCCCTAGTCTTTATTCTGCATGGAGGTTCTCTCTCTGGTCTGGCATATCAGAAAAGCAATCAATAAATGTTAGTCACATTGAACTGGAAGAGCAACGGCCCCTTCAATTCTAGGTAAATAAAAAGGAAGACCAGTTCCTTTCATATTTATTTACTTTTAATTAATTAATCAATTAGAGACAGGGGTTGCTCTGTTGCCCAGACTTGAGTGCAGTGGCATAATCACAGCTTATTGTAACCTCTAACTTTTGGGCTTAGTAATCTTCCCACCTCAGCCTCCCAAGTAGCCAGGACTACAAGTGTGTGCCACCATGCCTGCTTAATATTTTTATTTATTTATTTTTTTTAGAGATGAGGTTTTGCTATGTTGCCCAGGCTGTTTTTAAACTCCTGACCTCAAGTGATCCTCCTGCTCTGGCCTCCCAAAGTGCTGTGATTACAGGCATGAGCCACCACACCCAGCTCATATTTATTTTTTAATATTATATCTTTAAATCATGGCTAGTCTCTGTAGACAAATTAGTTAGACAGTTCAGGTGCGGTGGCTCACACCTATAGTCTGGAGGTGGGTGGATCACTTGAGGCCAGGAGTTAGAGACCAGCCTGGGCAACATAGGGAATCCCTATGTCTACAAAAAATACAAAACTTAGCTGGGTGTGGTGGTGCATGCCTGTAGTGAGCTGAGATTGCGCCACTGCACTCCAGCCTGGGTGAGAGTGAGACCCTATCTCAAAAGAACAAGAAAAAAAAAAGACAAAGCTAGCTGCTGAAATGCTGCTGAAATAAATAAATTAAGAAGTGTAAAAATGACTCAAAGACCGTAGCAGTCTTTTCCCTCTCGTGCACAAAGTCTAAAAAGAGTGTTCTGACCATTGGGTATCTCTGTCAAGCAGTAATTCTAGGGCCCAAGATCCTTCTAGCTTTTGGCTCTGCTATCTGCTACATGTGGCTTCCAACATTGTCTGATTAAGTTAGAAAAGAAGGAAAGAGTGTTACAAGTAGGAGGTTTTCTATCCACAGCCCATTGGTGGAATGCAGTCACATGTGCACACAGAACCACAGGGGATGCTGGGAGATGCAGGATAGCTTCACCCAGGTAGAAGAGAAAACTGGCATAGTGAGCTTAGCATCTGCCTCATGAATGTGAGGCAAGAATTGTACTGCTTATGACAAAAGGCAACATTGAACGTCTTAGCAAGGAAAAGTAACAGCAAGAATAATAAGTATGATTTCTTGAGTGCTTACTAAATGCCAGGCACTGGTGTCTTCCTACATTGCCCAATTTCGTTCTTGAATGACCTGCAAGGTAGATATTCTTTTTTTGTTGTTGTTGTTGTTTGTTTCGAGACAGGGTCTTGCTCTGTCTCCCAAGCTGGAGTTCAATAGCATCATCAAAGCTCACTGCAGCCTCAACTTCCTGGACTCAAGTGATCTTCCCACCTTAGCCTCCTGAGTAGCTGGGACTACAGGTATGTGCCACTATGCCAGGATAATTTTTGTATTTTTTGTAGAAATGAGGTTTCACCATTTTCCCCAAGCTGGTCTTGAACTCCTGGGCTCAAGCAATCCTCCCACCTCAGCCTCCTAGAGTGTTGGGATTACAGGCGTGAGCCACTGTGCCCAGCCAAGGTAGATATTCTTATTTCTCCCATGAAGATGAAAAAACTGAAGCTCTGAGTGGGAAAGTAATTTGACTGGGGTCACAGTGTAGAACAGGAATTCATGATGTCATGACTGACATCAGAGTCCAGGGTTTTTCTTTGTTATCACGTAGTGTTTCCTTAAAAATTTACCCTCAAAAGTTCCAACATATAACAGACTGAATTTCAGAGAGCAACAATATGTAACTTGCCAGAGAGTAAGGGAACTTTGGGAAGATATCACATAACCTTAATTTACAGGTGAGAAAAATTAAGGTCCAGAGAAGAGAGACCTTCATTTAGTGGCAGAGCCTCTGGCCCCAAGAGCTTCTGATTTCCAGGCTTTTCAAACCCAATGTCTTGTTCAAGGGAGTCATGAGACCAACAGATTAAACAATAGTTGCATTGTTCAAAGTGATTCTCAGAGCTACATTTTAGAGTAGCAGGTACACATGTCCATGCTAGACATGAAACAGGTTGGCTTTTCTATTATTGTTCTATGCTGAATCCTAATAGAAGCTATCTTCAAGAAACTTCTGGAATGGCTAAGAGAAGATAATGTGGAATGGCCTCAAATTCCCAGACACCCTTGTTATACACGTATTTAACCAGATGAGACCTGGAGCTTCTGTTTTCCAACATGACAATGAGCTTAGATTTTTTTTGTTTTGTTTTGTTTAGGTTTAGGAAGAGATGGGTTTTAACCAACCAAGGGACGTAATGGTTCCATTCCCTGGGGTTCTTCCAGTTTTCTATTCCTGGAGGAGAGGGACCAGGACTTTTCCATACTTTGCAACTTCTTACTGCTCACCATCCACCCTCGATCACAATCCCAGATGTGAGTTATGGATATTTAATACAGATTTGTGTGCAAATGAATTGGAAAGAAGGGGATAGAAACATCAGTGGGTTACCCCAAGCGAGTCAGAACTTTTTGCATCAATTTTTTCAGTGTCTCTACACCCAAATATATACGTGGCTCTTATTCTTTCAATATAGATAAAATGGTCTCTTTCCATCCTAAGTTGCCTGTAATGGAGTCAGATCTGCTTCATAGTGTTTGCATCAATAATAGCCAATTGTTTTCAGTTGTATTCATCGCTATCTGGCTGCAGCTGTCTTTGAGCTTTAATACTTTATCAGACTGTTTTATAAAGGAACACATTTTTATTGTGGTCAAGTGTGAAAGTTCAATACATTTTTCTCTTTATTCTCTGTTACGTAAATACAACTTATTTAAATGGGAAAACCGCAACAAAGAAAGAACTGTGGTGTTGGGACGGGCTTCCACTCCACCTTTGTGTTTCGGCTCATTCCCTTCTTCCAACCGAAGAGCCACTTTTGACCTGACTTAAGCAGATTTTCAAAGCTGTGACAAACACTATTAATTCAGAAAATTAGTCCTGACTTACCTGTTTTTCAATTAACAGGAACTGAGCTCATTTGGATTCCGTTCAGACTTGTAGACCTTTTGCTGAGAACAGAGAGACACAGCAACACTGCTGGAATGAAAACGGCTAAGGTTTATTAGTTCACTAGGAAATGTTTTCCGAGTGAGTGTATGGTGTGAAAAGGCCCAATTTTGATAATGGATGTGCCTCTCTGAGCTTTTAATTCCATGTTTAATTGGGCACAAAATTCAGGCTCTCAGATTTAGTGTAGGTGCTGGCCAGAATAATCAAACCAGCAGTAAAATGAATGGAGTATGGCGAGACTTCCAGCTTTGATTCAGCAGCACCAAGAAAGCCCTCAAGTGAAGTTGATAGTTTTAAAGTATATTTTTAATGACCAGAAAATTGTGAAAAATTGCCTTGATTGGGCTAAGTGCCTTGCTGGCATGGAAGAATGTTAAATAATGTACAAAGAACTTTCTAACCTCAACTCTTGAAAGAGCCACTGCATTCCAAGCCACCCAATGTGGCCGAAAGGGTACAAAATTCCAGTTAGATGGGAGGTATATGTTCTTTTTTCTTTTTTAAAGCTTTACTGTGCAGTGTGGTGAATATAGTTAATAATAGAGTGTTGTGTTTCAAAGTTTGAAGAGAGCAAATTTCAAATGTTCTCACCACAAAACAATGTTAAGTATTAATATTTGAGGTGATGGATGTGGGAACTAGCTTGATTTAAAACTTCACATTGTATTCATAAATTGTAACATCGCTTTATACCTTAGATACTTATACAATTATAAATTGTGAATTACATTGAAAAACAATAGGATGGATGTGAGAGAGAGAGAGAGCTATATAGAGAGAACAGAATACTGTATATCAATGAAGATAAATGAATAAACTTACAGCTGCATACAACAACCTGCATTAATTTCACAAAATCTGAGCAAAAGAAGCTAGCTACAAAAAAATAAATACCTACTCTATTATTTTACTTACGTAGTTCAAAGAATAGGTGCACTTACACAAGTTTAGAGAGAAATACTTACGGAATAAAACTATAAACCAAAGTAAGACTGGGTGGTGACTGGGATCAGTCCTGAGGAAGGCACTGGAACGTCGGCAAGTTCTATTCTCTTGACCTGGGTCTCTTGACCTGGGTCGTGGTTCCAAATTTGCTTGCCTTGTGATAATTCGCCCAGGGGTACATTGTTTGTGTTCTCTGTGTTACAATTCACAGTAAATATCAGGCATTGTGCCATTACAAAAAAAAGAAGATTCCTACCTCAACCAAGGTGAGCAAAAAGTGTCAGGGCTGCAAGTACCTCCTCCCTTCACCTTTACCTGGGAGGCCCTTTATGTAGCTCCAACCATCACAAGAGGACCAGTGAAAACTCTCTTGCACAATACACAGTCTTTCTGATTAAACAAACTGAAATGCTGTCTGATTTTTGTTTTTGTTTTTGTTTTTGTTTTGAGATAGGGTCTCACTTTGTCACCCAGGGTGGAGTGCAGTGGCACAAACACGGCTCACTGCAGCCTCTACCGCCTGGGCTCAAGTGATCTTCCTGCCCCAGACCCCCAAGAGCTGGGACGACAGGTGCACTCCACCACGCCGGGCTAATTTTTGTATTTTTTTGTAGAGATGGGGTCTCGCCATGTTGCCCAGGCTGGTCTTGACCTCCTGGGCTCAAGTGATCCTCCAGCCTCAGCCTCCCAAAGTGCTGGAATTACAGGCGTGAGCCACCGTGCTGGGTCCAAAATGCTGCCTGTTTTGAAAAGGTTCACCAATAGTGGTTTGAATACATTATTTAAATAAACTATCACAAACCATCACTCTGTAACCAAAAATTGCAAAGAGAAACATAAAATGACTCACTCTCTGTTTCATTAATTCCTATCTCTATTGTGATTCTTTACCTTCTTGCTTTGACTGTATCCTATTCTTTGCCTTATGATTTAAGGTGAATATTGATGTCTTCCTTATTTTCCAATAACTACATTGAAAAGTAAGCATTTTCTTCTAAGTAGAACCTTAGTTCTGCTGCATGTATTTTGATCTGTGGTGCTTTTGTTATTAATGTCTAAATATTTTTTGCAATTTTCACTATCATTTCTTCTTTAACCCGTGAATTTTGAGATGAGTGTTTTTAGTTTCTAAAAAGTTGGAGGGAGTGTTGTCTTTTTGTTATTGATTTCTAACTGAGGTTCATTTTAGTCAGAGAATAGGATTATTATTATGATTATTATTTGTACAGTGACTTTAAGTTTGATTTGATTTTTTTTTCTTACTGAGTTTTATTTCAGGTTTATGGGGGCACATGTGTAGGTTTGAGGACAGGTCTTTATTAATTCTTCGAGATTTATTGAGAATTTTTTTAACTATTCCATGTATGCTTAAAAAAGAAAATGTATTCTCTATTGGATGGCAATGTCTACAGCTATCTCTTTGCTCAGGCTTATTTGGTTATTAATTTGTGTTATCCTGAGCAATATTTAGTTTGCTTTAATCTCTCTGCTTTTGAGAGTTGGGTTACTGACTTCCATTATGCTTGTAATTTATTTATCCATGGCTTCTTGGTCAGACTTTGCTTTCAAGGTGAAATTTTTTAGGTTTATGATTGTTTTATCATATTTAGAGATATTTCCTTTTAAAAAGCCTGTCTTGTCTATATTTTCTGGTATTAACATTTTTTGCTCTAAATTCTATTTTGCCGGCTATGAACACAGCTGCCAGCTATATTCTTTGGCTTAGTTTTCACCCAGAATATCTTTTCCCAATTTTTTATTTTCAACCTTTCTGTGTCATTTTGGAGTAAACTCAGTTGTGAGGATTCTTTCACTTGTTTTGTTTCTCAAAAACCACAAAGATCACTCAGTAATAAATCTAGCCAAGGCTAAGAGATTAAAAAGAACCATCCTCTGAACTAGGTTCTTCAAATACTTTAAACAACTTGAAAATCTATAGGTATTGCAGAAACAAAATTAGTTTCCTTCTTTATTTGCCCACCTGGACTTGGGAGTTTTTGAAAGCCGGAGCTGCTGGCTTATTTTTCTCTTATCTTTCAGGGAAATCTTGGACAACAGCTCTGGGATGCTCAGCCCTAAAGATCATTTCCCCAATAGGAAGGCAATAATGGTGGAACAGCTCTCCACGCCCTTCAGGGAGTGTTATGTTTAGATGAGAAAAACATCCCTAAAAGCATTTGTGAGAGATGACTGAGTGTTTTTATCATCGGTGATAGGGACTTTCCCCCCATAAATATATGGCATTCAATAACACAATCTCCTTTCCCAGCTACACGCACGTGTCCTTCAAAGGCACTCTCCCTCCAACCATGTGACCATTCAGCAGAGAAAAATCAGCCCGTTTACATAACAGCTGTTAGAGCGAGCGTTGACATATTACTTCAGGGCCTTCCGCCTATAATGGGTTTTTCAAATGTGTTGCCATGTTCAGTTGATTAGTTGTGGGTGATCTGAAATGTCAAACTATTAGCCTTGACAACTACTGCCAAGGTTACTATCTTCGGAAAATATCTTTTTAATAATATAACTGTTTGTAAGTGGAAAAGGTGATGTTCAAAATACAAAGTAACAATAAGTGTGGATTACCGAGCCACTGATGGCTTCAGTTTTTCATTTTTTCTTGGTGATGCATGGTCTGGGGGCTTCTTTTTAACGATTAAGTACCACTGAGGCAACCCTAGGCCTCTGTGAGCTACGCAAATGTAGATTTCAGGATTGGAAATTGAAGACAGGGAAGAAAGGGGGCACTGAGAAAACAAAAACAAAAACTTTGAATTGAAGATTCCACCATCCCCCATGGTTAAAAAGTCACTTCAAATACCAGCCACAGCTGAGGATTTCCAAATCAGGCCCTGGCATGGAGGCGGGTCTTAAAATCCGAATTTACACATTTCAGCCATCAAGATGGTGCAGGCACTCAGGGAACTGAGATAAAAGGAAATTAGTCCTTGGCCCCTTCTTTTTTTTTGGCACATTCACTCTCACCCATACTGCTCCCCACCAAGGGTACCTGGGGTTTTCACTCCTTTCTTCTAATTAGGGATATTCTTGGTTGTAGTCAACTCTTGGCTGGCCCTTTCCTCCACACACCAACTACATTTCCATCACTTTCCATTTCTTCTGTTCCGTTCCTATCCTTTCCTGATAAGCCCTGCCTACATGACAGCTGTTCCCCCAAAGCAGGGAGACTATATAATCTATCTTCCAACTAAGACACTTTCAAGAGTGAAAATGTCACCATACATAGTACCATGGAAGACCAGGTTGGCCTGGGACTCTACCAGACACACAGGCATATACGGTCACCCTATCAATAAGGGGTCAGCAATTGCCAGTGTATTTGCCACTCTTGGGAAAGATATTTTTATTATAATACAGGCTTCCTGGAAATGACACTTTAGTTCAAGGGTTTTTGCTGGGATGGGAAATGCTATAAAGCAGACCAACATCCACCTTTTATTGTCAGAGTGACAGTGACACTCACACAATGAAAGAAATTAAAATTCACAACTAGATCGATCCATGAAAGTCACCACCGCCACCACCATCACAGGTTTCTAAGTCAATGCCCGGACTGACCCATATAATCAAGGTTTCAGCAAAAGAACCAAGAAGCTGTAACGTTTTCTTTTTCCTGCTTTTCACAATATAATCAGTTGACCTCTTCCACAGGAATCTGTATTATTCTGTGGGTAAAGTGGGGAAGGTGTTTACACAGGAAGAGAGAGAGGATTAACGAAGCATTTTCTAATGTGTGAGAATATGAGAAATGAATCTCTTTGCATCATATTTTTGAGCAGGGGCTTTAATATCAAAATACCTTAATTCAAAATCTGATTAATAGTGGAGATCTCAGGCACTGCAGCAGGCTGGTGGGGACAGTATTTGGGGCCAGGAGGGCATTTTCTATTACGGTTTAAAGGGCACTAAAGAAGGCTGTCTACTCTTGTAACAAGCACTTCAAGACAAGTGCAGGGAGCCTCTGTTTCAGTATCACTCTGGCCTTTCAAATCCATCCTTCACCCTGCCCTCAACCCCAGAGCACTTGGAGATGGAGAAAACTGACTTTGATATAAGTTTTTTTTCTGTGAGGTATATGCAAATTCCAAAATGTGGTTTATGTAATCATCTCAATACAAAAATGTTTAATAAAAATTTTAATAAATACAGACTTTGAAATCTGTTACAGATTCTAGTCAGAATAGGCATCTAGGCAGACCTTGAAGAAAAGGTGAGCTACCCTAAGGAAGTCCATAGATCATCAAACAAATTGCATCAAGGGAGTTATAATTCTAAACCTGTGTTTTTGTTACTTGTTCTAAAGCAGGAGTCTCAACTTCTTTTTTTGAAAACAGTCTCAGAATGATGTTTTAAATGCATAAAGTAAAACACATAGTATTACAAAGGGAACCAATACCTTGAAATACAGTTATCAAAATATTACTAAAACAAATGTATATTATAGTAATATGTGTGCTTCTTTGTTAGTGCAATAAATAACAGGATCTAGCGGTGACTTTAATAACCCCCATCATTTTGAGGTGATGATGAGCGTAAGTAATAGTTTGATATTTCTGCAACAACTGCAATGTGATGTGAAAATATCTGATCTCTACTGGTGACAAAATCACAGGTACTGTAGATTCATAATTAAAGGAAACGCTAAATTTCAGTCAGGTTTGAGAAAATAATGGCAACTTTCTTCTCATTTAAGTTCACAGGACTTCTGAATTCCAACCATGGACCTCTCGGCGGGGGTCCACACACCCCAGATTAAGAACAAATATAGTTCTTGTAAGCCAACAATTTACTGTATTAATGGCCTGCCTTTTCTTTAAAGAAGCCACCTCCCGGCCGGGCGCGGTGGCTCACGCCTGTAATCCCAGCACTTTGGGAGGCTGAGGCCGGCGGATCACGAGGTCAGGAGATCGAGACCATCCTGGCTAACACGGTGAAACCCCGTCTCTACTAAAAATACCAAAAATTAGCCGGGCGTGGTGTCGGGCGCCTGTAGTCCCAGCTACTCGGGAGGCTGAGGCAGGAGAATGGCGTGAACCTGAGAGGCAGAGGTCGCAGTGAGCCAAGACCACACCACTGCACTCCAGCCTGGGCGACAGAGCGAGACTTCATCTCAAAAAAAAAAAAAAAAAAAAGAAGCCACCTCCCATCAGAGTATAACACACACAAGCCTACGTCCTCCCGTGAAGGCCCGTGGAGGCCATTTTGGAACTCTACCCTCCTCCGTCTTTGTCCCATTGGGGCATCCAGCTCCCAAATCTTGAGAACACTTCTCCACCTCACACCAACCTGACCAACTGGAAATCCCCAGGATGTGACAGCAGAGTTAAAAGCACATTGCTCACATCTATAATCCCTTCTGAAATAACTGTGGAGCCTGGAAATTCCAAAACTTCCTAATCCTTGGTAAGAAGCTCTAACAGAAAAGTCCTCCTGGCTCTTTAGTTTCTGAAAAAGAAAGAGATGAATAGTTTTCCCAAAGATGCTTTCACTTGAAAAAATGGTTTAATTAATATTATTAAGGAGACAAACGGAAATCAGACTCTATTGAGAGACAACATAACATGGTGGAAAGTGTCTTCTGGCCAAACAGAAGTGGGATCAAATTCCAGGCAGATATTTAATAAATATGACCCTAAGTAAGTACTGAATCTCCCTGAGCCTCAGATTCCACAGAAGTAAAATACAGAGAGTAGCACACATCCCAGACAGCAGTGGGAGGACTAAGTGAAGCAGTGAGGTGCACACAGACACCTGGAACTGTGCCTTAGACAAGGCGCCAAGACAGCAAATGCTGCAGCCATTCCTGCCGCCTCCCTTTTTGTTATGTGGGTTCTTCTAGGAATGGTACAGATGTCAATGTCCTCATCAGAAAAATGCTGTTTCCTCTTCTTGAGATTTCTCATGAACATGTTAATTTGAAAAACATATTTTTATAGCACATGCCAACTCCCAACAAGGAATAAATGCTAAGTTTTTGGCATAGAGAAAGAATTCCAAATAGAGGGGAGAGAGGGAGTTAGAGCAAGAAATTATTAAGAAACAAAACTGTTCCACTGATGGTCCAATAACAGAATCACAAAGAGATAAATCAGGGGTTCCAGCACCACACAAAAAGGTGATTATTCAGATCTTCATGGGGACAGTGCTATTGATTCAAATAACAAAGAACACTATATAAATTGCTGCGTGTTCCTCCTTTTTTATTTTTAGTCTGGCAAAATTGATTCTCCTAAACATTGCCTCAAATCTACAGAAGCAATCAAGTTAAATGCAGCCCATTATTTTAAGCTCCCTTTTTTTTTTTTAATTCAGTTTTTGGTACATAGTTTAGCCAATGATTAGATTGGCTGATGCTGATCAGATAGCAAAAGGGTTTTATTATGGCGTGGATTGCTCTTGCTGTCTCCTGGGTCTATTCAGGAAATGTGGGTCAAATGGTGGGAATTTAAATGTAAGAAGATCACCTATAAAGTAAGCAACAAAAGGCAACCAACCTCCCTCAGACAGGATGCTTATTTCCTCCAACTGCATTTCAGTATCAAACATCTTTCAATACAGCAACTACCATTTATTGAGCATGTACTATATGCCAGTCATGTGAATTACATTTGTCTTTCACAAAAATCCTAGTAGGCAGGTACTATTATTATCCCCATTTTACAGATATGGAAACCTGTTGATAGAGATGCAGTTGATGATGAACAGAAAGGAGAAGGAGAAGTGATTGTATTGATTCAGGTGTGTCTGTGGGACAAAGATGATTCCATAAACATTTATTCTTGCATCGTCAGCAACCAAAATGCAGTATAACGAGCCATCTATCCACAGCTCCTCTTTAAATGAAACCACAGACTCCCCCAAAGAATAGTGGCCCATCAGCTTCCACTGTCCCTGAAGGTGTTTGTCTAGTAAACCTCATGCGGGGTGTGGGAAGCTTCGGCTGCAGGACCAACCAAACACAGACCCAGAAGACGAGGGCTCAATGAGAAGCCTGTGTCCGTTCCTCTGCTTGGCCTCGTCAGTGGCAATGTGAGTGAATGGTAGCCATCCAAGAGAGCCAGAGCACAGGGTGTGGAAGCCCATGGGCATGTACCCCCAACAGTGGATAAATAAAGGGACACTCATCCCCATCCTTAACAAAACTGAAAGGATGGTAAGCACATTTTACTATTCGAAATGGTTACTGTTGCCAGGGGTGGGAGCACTGAAATGAAAAGGAGAACTTCTTGAAAAGTTGCAAAATAAGAAGCATCATGATGAGAGAGTTGCCTTCCACAATGTGGGGTGCACCTTCCAGAACAGCCTAGGGCTTCTGGAGCTGCCTGTCCTCCCTCCCCCCAAAATGTCGTCTCCTATATACATTTTCCCATTAAAATGGTGATGTCAGGGAAAACCTATCTTTGGATCCTAGTGTCCTCCCCAAGAGGCAAGGCATTAGCCCTACAATGCTGCAAGAGAAAGGTTTCCCTTCCAGCTCTCGAGAGTGAGAGTTGCATTTTAAAAATTGTCTGTATGTGCTGAGATGAAGCATTCAGGACATTACTATTGGTTTTTCCCGTCAATTAAAGTAGGCTTATTTGATTAAAACAGGTCAATGAAATTGAGGTTTAAATCAACATTCCATCCTGGTTGCCTTTTGTTTTGTTTTGTTTTTGAGACAGGGTCTTGTTCTGTTGCCCAGGCTGGAGTGCAGGGGCTCAGTCTTGGCTCACTGCAGCCTCAACCTCCTGGGCTCAAGTGATCCTCCACCTCAGCCTCCCAAGTAGCTGGACTTCAGGCATATGCCACCATGTCTGGCTAATTTTTGTATTTTTTGTTTGTCTGTCTGTCTGTTTGTTTGTTTGTAGAGATGGAGGTCTTACTATGTTGCCCAGGCTGGTCTGGAACTCCTGGGCTCAAGTAATCCTCCCGCATCAGCTTCCTGAAGTGTTGGGATTACAGGCCTGAAACATTGCACCAGACCTCTGGTTGGCTTTGTTTTGGCTTTGTGATGTTAGCCAGATTTGTTTTAATAGAACAAATCTTAGTATTTATTTTACCAAGAATATTCCAAACCTAGTAAAGAAAACTGCACATTTTCATTGTGTACTGAACTTCTACCACCTTACTTTTAACAGTAAATACCGCATGTCCTGGCCCACACGTAGAAATGGATCAAAGATCAATGAGAAAATAACCAAGATCATTAACACCATGTAAGGATTCAGCCTCTCAAATTGGTAAGCATTACTTATTACCTTCCAAGTTCCTATCAATTCTCTAGGCACTGACAATAAGTGAGAAAGAAAATTCCACAAGAAGATAATCATAGTCACCATTTATTGAGAATGTATTACATGCCAGGCACCGGTCACGTTACACAGGCATAGGTCTCTTATGCCTCCTCTGGGAGGGAAGTGTAGTGGCTTCCATTTTAGACATAAAGACGCTTCGATTCGGAGAGGCACACAGCTGGTGAGCGGTAGAGCTGGGGCTGGAACCCAAGTCCTTGACCACTGGTCCTCAAGGAACCTCTGCCCTGAAGAACCTTATAAACAACCTGAGGGGTCAGACTGTCATGCACACAGCCTGGCAGGCCGCCCACCTGGGAAAACACTTGGAGGGAGGCCTGGAGGGATGGAAAATGGTTGATTGTGAAACAAGCAAGTCCATTACATGGCCTGCCTTCCAGGATCATCTCAGCAAGATGCCCAAGCCCAGATTTCTCACATTCTACCAAGCTCCAGTCAGAGGTAACTTGACATTCCTATTTAAACTGTACTAATTTATTGGGCAGCTTTTCCCACTTAGGCCATAACAAATAGGCTTTAAAAACTTCAAAAAGTGATGGCATTCCCTTTTATATTCAGATTGACTTCTAATGATATTCTAGGGAATTACTCAATTATAACTCTTACAACATCTTGATGAAAAGATAACAGTATTTCCACTGGGTATCTTTTCTTTGCCATGGGTGAAAAATGAAGGCACATAAAGGCTATTAATGTTATCTAAGGTTTAACAGTAAGTCATATGAAATTATAGGTGTGAAAGAGCTTTGCGAAGACAGTGCTATCCAAATGTAAGGCATTATTAGGAAGAACTCCTAACTTTTTGACCGCCACACACTCTCACTAAATTCTGTTGCCTTTAACCTAGGACATCCTACTTTAAGTGTAATTTTCTAATTCACTCCCTCATTTAACAAATACTCATATGCTAGACACCATGTTCTTGAATTAGGAGCCAGAGGACACAGTGGGAAAAGGAGAAGGAGCAGAGACTAGCTTTCTTTAGTTCTAGTAGAAATTGGAATTCAGGGCAGGCATGGTGGCTCGTGCCTATAATCCCAGCACTCAAGAATTGCTTGATCCCAGGAGTTCAAGACCAGCCTGGGCGTCATAGTGAAACCCTGTCTCTACAAAAACTTAAAAAATTAGCCGAGTGTGGGCCGGGCGCAGTGGCTCACACCTGTAATGCCAGCACTTTGGGAGGCCGAGGCAGGCGGATCACGAGGTCAGGAGACTGAGACCATCCTGGCGAACACAGTGAAACCCCGTCTCTACTAAAAAAAAATACAAAAAAATTAGCCAGGCATGGTGGCAGCTGCCTGTGGTCCCAGCTTCCCGGGAGGCTGAGGCAGAATGGCATGAACCCGGGAGGGGGCAGAGCTTACAGTGAGCAGAGATCCCGCCACTGCACTCCAGCCTGGGCAACAGAGCGAAACTCCATCTCAAAAAAAAAAAAAAAAAAAATTAGCCGAGTGTGGTGGCATGTGCCTATAGTCCCAGCTCCTTGGGATGCTGAAGTGGGAGGATCCCTTGATCCCAGGAGTTGGAGACTGCAATGAGCTATGATCACACCACTGCACTCCCGCCAGGGTGACAGAGTGAGACCCTGACTCAAAAAAGAAAATGGAATTCAGGATATTAGAAACTACAGATTGAGAAACAGGCTGAGCTAAGGAACATTGGTTCTGTCTTGTAGACACAGGCATGTTGTGACTACCACTGAACAGGTGTTGATTAATTGGCAGGCTAAACCAGAGTCCATGAGGCAAGTTGGGAGAGCTAGGTCATTTCAACTGAAGCCAAAGGAAGTTCTGGCCGTAAATCACTCATGGCTTTCTAATGCAACATGTCAGGAGGTGCAAAACCTTTATAAAATATATTTTGCCAAGTAGTTTCTCCATATCTCCTCTCCTCAGAGCAATGCCCATGTGGTCACTTTGGAGTCCAGCTTTTTCTTTCTAAGAATTTGAATGATTTTTTTTTAAGTGCTACCCATGCTGTCTCACAATCCAGCCAGCAACACAGGATCCTGCTATCTTTCCTCAGAAATTGAACTTACCAAAGGCTGGGCCTCTCCTGTGCATGAGCCACAGAATCCATCCAAGTCCAACATCTCCACCTTCAGGAAATAATGCAAAACTCACCTCAGTACCCAGGCCTTTTTTTGATAGAGGATTTAATAGCAACCCTAGAGCAACCTCATTTGGATTTCCTTATTCCTTTTTCCCTACCCCAAGCTTCCAACTCTCTCCCCATAAAAACACCCTAATTCTGGAGGCCAGTCTCAAGTCGTCTTCTTCCCCCAGTCATCAGAAGATGGTAGGAAGAAGGTAAACATTGCGTCTTCCTCTGTTGAAGAGCAGGCATCTTTCAAGAAGCTTTCCAGACATTGAAGCAGATACCAATACCTGAGACCTCCAACCACTGTTCCAGAGGAAAAAGGACAAAATAAAGATTCGAAGAGTCTGCACATTTCTCTGACCATATAATAAGTATTGGCTGGAGTTTCAGAGAGTTATGAAGTGAACAACTGAAAAATCTCAGAACAGCTTAAGCCAGCACTGAGCTATTCCAACTATGCTTTCTCCTCTGAAGAGGTTTTCTGTTTCTTTATGGAGGTCTATGGAATTCAGCTTAAGCCAGCGAGCGATTCTATCCTGACACTCTATTCAATAAGCTCCAGCAACACCAGAGAAAAAATTCACCCCAGTGATGGTTACCTGGCTTGATGGGCCCCATATCTCCCACCAGGGGTAACTCTAGGCCAGCGCCCTGCAGGAGCACTTCCTACACGGATGGAGATGGCCTTTATCTGTGCTGTCCAATGCGGTAGCCACTAGTAACATGTGGCTCTGAGCCCTTAAATGTGGCTAGTGGGACTGAGAAATGGAATTTGTCATTTTCTTTAAGTTTAATTAACTTTCAATAGCCACAGCAGAGTAGAGGCTCGTGTCTCAGACAATAAAGTCACAGGTGGAGTCAGGAGTTTGCCAGGGTAAGGCTTGGGGTGGCATTTACCTGCTGTGTGAGTGACAAAATGGCTTCTTCCCGCCCTCTCTCTGCTTCCACAGACGGGGGCATTTCTATTCTTTATCTTGCTACGCCTCTATACTTTAAAAATGCATCCTCCACCAATAAAAACACAATTTCAGCAGAAAAGTGGCCAAACATCTCAGAGGGACTCCTGGGGCCCACAGTTAAAGGCTTTGTTCCAACACCACATTTTGTTTCCATGTCTTCTACATCTAACTAGAACCAAGCTGGCTAAATACTCCACGGGAATCCTCACTGGTGGGCCTGTCTACTCTCCAGGCAGAAAGATTTCCCAGAGCTCTGCAGGCCACTGACTTACCTCCCTAGGGGACACAGGCATAGCATTCACCTGTGGCTTCCTGAGCCTCCTGGTGTGTGGGATGCCCTGGGAGCTCCTTACATGAAAATGTCAGGCTCCTCCTAGACGGGATAGGTCAGAATGGGCAGAGGCAGATCCCCCAAAGCTCTCCAGTGCTAGGGTAACCGGACGCTAGTACTTAGGCCAGCTTTGGGGAAGTGCTGGCCTATACAACAGTGGGCATGAAATCACCAACAGGGATGCCTTCCTCACTCCAGCCCAGAGCTGGTCCAGTAGGGGGCTGAGCAGAGGGGAATTTTAATGTTGTTAGGAAACGTTGTGGTTTCAGGAGGAAGAAAACCATTTTAAGCTTAAACTCTGATCAGGAAGAAGCTCTTTTCCCCTTTATGGAATGCAAAATGCCCATACCTCCATGGAGGTGTGGCAGGAAATGCTACGGAGCCAGCCAGTGAACACAGATGAAAGCTCAGTGCCCAGGTTAGAAGGCACGAGAAAGCAAGCACCGTGTGGGACAGCCATGCCTAGCATTTCAAACGGTGCAGAAAGCCAGTTGTCCATAAGGGGCTGGGAGCACTGGCAGGAGGACCAAGATCAGTGCAGGCCCTCAGGGGACATCAAGAGAAGAGCAACTCCAAGCCACGCCACCTCTGAAATCCCATCAACTCCTTTCTGAGGAGGAACTAATAGTCTATGTCAAATCTTTTAAAGTGTTCTTACCACACACACTAATAATTATTATAATAGAGGAGATGGGAAGAAACTTTGGGAAGGGATGGATGTCTATGGCCTTGATGGTAGTGATGATTTCACTGGTGTCTGCTTCTCCCCAAACTCATCAAGTTGTACACATTAATTACACACAGCTTTATACAAGTCAATCATACCTCGATAATGTGGTTTCAAAAATATTTTTGTGCGTTAGATTTCCAGTTTATTTTCTGCATGGAAGAATGTATACAGGTCTCTCTCTCTCTGGGTGTGGGTCCAATCATTTACAAGTTCTTTTGTTATCTTCTAAAGATTTCAAATTCACAAACCTTACACAAAGGGACTGTGTGTGGCCACCACGGTTGAATGAAACTTGCCCAGTTATTACAGCCAGGGTTCTGGAGTTCTGAGAGAACTAGGCAAGTGGCTTCCCACACAGAATGATGTCTTACTGAAACTCATTTCTATTGAGTCATTTAAAGGTACAATCTGGCCAGGCATGGTGGCTCACACCTGTAATCCCAGCACTTCAGGAGGACAAGGCGGATGGACCACTTCAAGCCAGGAGTTTGAGACCAGTCTGGCCAACATGGCAAAACCCTCTCTCTACTAAAAATGCAAAAATTAGCCTGGCGTGGTGGTGCACACCTGTAATCCCAGCTGCTCAGGAGGCTGAGGCAGGAGAATCACTTCAATCTGGGAGGCAGAGTTTGCAGTGAGTGGAGATCGCACCACTGTACTCCAGCCTGGGCTATAGAGAGAGACTTCATCTAAAAAAAAAAAAAAGTACAATCTTAAAATTCTTAGGACTAGAGGCCAAAAGATGGTGTCTTTTTTTTTTAGTGCTTCTTTTCACTCCTCAATATATTTCTATGCCAAAGACTAAGAATATTTGCCCAAATTTTGCCAGCTCCATCTCTTCCCTCCTCTTCAAGAACTCTCTCTAGAGGAAGTGAGCTAAGTTCTCCAGAGCTTTCTTTCACGGGATATGGAGAAAACACATAACATCAACCACCTTTGGTGCAGGAAGAAAACTAATTAGATGGGCAATGCTGTAAGCCATATCTATTTGTTTTAGATTTTCTTCAGTCTAAAAGAGTTGAGCCTGAAATGGATAAATGTGTCATTTCCCTTGAATGTGAGTGAGTATTAGAGACTCATTCTCCTAGACCCATTGAGTACTCTGTAATTCAAGGGCTTTTTCTTTATTCCTCCAATAAAAATGTCTTGAGGTTTTCTGGAAGTGGAGACCGAAAACACATGAGGGCTTCCTCTCACTGGTTTTGACTCTGATTTTTCAAAGAAGTTGGGTGCACCAGAGATAGAGATGTGGACAAAGTGGTCAGACACACACATCGTTCACTCCGTAATGCACACTAACACACTCATAGTGATTCCGTGAGCTCTTATTTTCTGCATTTGAACATTTCTTTCTTGCTGTATTATGCTTCTACGCCTCTGTTATTAGATGCACCTGCTCATACAAGTTTGCTATCATTTATCTCACTTACAGTAACATCGAGCACACCA
Source organism: Homo sapiens (assembly GCF_000001405.40). Classification (NCBI taxonomy): domain Eukaryota; kingdom Metazoa; phylum Chordata; class Mammalia; order Primates; family Hominidae; genus Homo; species Homo sapiens. Next base: position 20,861,061 of record NC_000020.11, on the reverse strand, counting down.
TTAGTGTTGCTTAGAATTACCCCAGCTCCAATGAAGATGCCTTAATAGTTTTGAAGGAACGCCACCCAAATTACAGTGTGTGGGTGAGAGAGTTCACCAGTCTATAAATGTGAAGATCTTCAAGCATTGTGCTACATTCTCTTTTATTCATTTTCTCTGAAGCAGGTTAAACCTCTTGAATTAAGATCTATGCTCAGATGCCAATGGAAATGGAGTGTGTTCAGAAACTGATGTTTACTTGAATGTGTTTATTGCTTAAGTGTCATTTCTGCCTTCATCCCTTTCATTGTCTTTTTGAGCTTTGAGAAAGGAATCCAGTATTTCCAGTTTTTTCTTTATCATTTCTCCCAAATATGTGCTATTTGAGTTGTTATGGCTGAGAGCTATAATAACTTTCTTTTTTTTAATTGCCCTACTAAATTTTAAAAATAATAGTTAAGGAAGCTTTAGTTGATTTCAATTAAGAGATGCTATGTAATGCAATTAAGAAATGCTGTATAAATTGCCTTCCATTCCAACAGTGAAAAGAATTCATGTTGCTTTTTAGGATTCTACATGCCTCTTTAAGTCCATGTACAGCCTAACGCCACAGTCATTCCCTTCCTAATTTCTATCTTGCAGAGGCAGGAGAGAATCATGGCCAATGGCAGTATTGCAAGCATTGCTGTGCTTGTGCGCCCCCTGCTGGCTTAGTTTTTGCTAACAGCTGTTGAGGGGCTAGATCCCAGAGGAAACGGGTACTTACTTTGGTTGAAATCAGCAGAAAAGAATGACGATGACTAACTTGTCTTCTACTGTCTAAGCTTTCAGGAGCTTAGACCGTCGCCCAAATGGGCAAGAGTGCATATTTTTAGCAATGTCTTGCTTTTCTCATGACTGTCCCAGGAAGTTAGTTCCTTATGCTTTTAAAGCACCTGTCAACAGCACTGTCTTAACCTTTATCGTAGAAAACGGATGCTCCAGGCAGGACCCTTGGGCATGAGGAAGGGGTGTGTGTGTGTGTGTTTGTGTGTGTGTGTGTGTGTGTGCGATTTTGTCCCGTTGTCCCATTTCCATCAAGTCCTCCATTTTTAAAAATATAAGCAACTGACATTTTCTCAGCCTTCTAAGAGGTGAAATAGACATGTGGCTTCAAGGTCCCCACCTCACTACCAGCCGCTTCCAACCCAACAACGGTTTCTACATAGAAACTCTGGGCCACCCACCCGGCTTACAGTGTGCTGAAACGTATCTGTTTAACTGTCCACTGTTACATAATGGAAATGTTACCAAATGGTGATTCTGAAATTTTCCTGTGCCTCCAAAACATAGCTTATTTTCCATTCTCTGACAACCAGCCAATCCCCTAGGCATTACCATCCCCCTGTAGGTAGCCAGCTGAAGCCCAAGCTGTGTTCATCTCTGGATTGCAACATCCCTGAACACGACTGACGAGTGATGGGGCTGACCTCCCAGGCACATGTTAGAATGGATAGTGTAAATCAACGCTTCTTTGGGACCAAGATCTCAGACTGTCACAATAGGAAAACAGAGAGAATCTCCTTGGATTGGTGCAGAGCAAACATGGCTGTGGTTCTTGGCCAGCGCAGGCTGCCCTGAAGCAGTAGTGCCCTGTACACTGGCGGGATGTGGTGCTCTTCCCCATCTCTGCCACAGCCAGACCCAGTCCATGCTACACTGTCTCTCCTGTGCCCTCACAGCAGCCTCCCAGCACTTCTTCCCATTTCCATTTGTCCTTCTTACAATCCGCTCTTCCACCCTGAGTCAGAGTATTCTCCCAAATCCCAAACTGATCCAGCTTGCCCTTTGGATTAAAACTTTTCAGGGATGGACACAGTGGCTCACGCCTGTAATCCCAGCATTTTGGGAGGCCAAGGTGGGAGAATCACTTGAGGTCAGGAGTTTGAGACTAGCCTGGCCAACATGGTGAAACCCAATCTCTACTAAAAATACAAAAATTAGCTGGGCATGGTGGCGTGTGCCTATAATCCCAGCTACTCAGGAGGCTGAGGCAGGAGAATTGCTTGAATCTGGGAGGTGGAGGTTGCAGTGAGCTGAGATTGTGCCACTGCACTCCAGCCTGGGCAACAGAGCAAGACTTCATCTCAAAAAAAAACAAACAACAACAACAAAACTTTTCAAAGATTTTCTGTTGCTTGTTGAAAAACAACTAAAATCCTCAGCTTAGCTTACCAGGCCAGTGGGACCTCTCATCTATCCTTCCAATCAACCTTAGGTCTGAAGAGCCTCCTCTGTTTGCATTGTGAATTTTGTGTGTGCATCCAACATTGAACTTTAAGCTCTATAAGGACAGAGCAGGAGCCAGTCATTGTATCCATGGTGCCTAGTGCAGAGCCTGGTATACAGTGGGTTATCCATGGTTCTGACTATTTGCTGAATCAATATGTGAATAACTTGGGTGGCAGCATGGAGAGTTTCAGCAGCAGTGAGAGGCAGTGCCAATAAAGAGGAATACTAGTCCCTTTAGGGCTAACAGGAAAGAGCTCCTTGGTGACAGTAGCTTGCCTCCCTACTCACACTGCTGCATCAGCAGCAAAATAATCAACCACAGACATCTCCAAGTGGAGCCAGAAGATGACAGGCACCATGCTTTAACTGGGAGATCTCGTTGGTGAGCAGAGCTGAGATGCCTCCCGCTCAGGTGCTGAGAAATGTTGGGAGGACCAGAGTTCCAGAAAGTTCCCTGCCCAGGGATAGAGCTCAAAGAAATATGTTTTCTTTTCTCATTATCACTTGTTAAGGTTTTAGGAGTAGGCATATAAAATTAGCAAGCAACAGGTATATTTCTGGTAATAGAACACAGAAAGAGAAGTAGAACATAGGAGAGAATAGAAGAACATAGAAGGGAAGTTCAAAGAATGAACAAAAAAGATTCAATGAGTTTTAAGGGTTTTAACCAAGTTTTAAGGGTTTTAACCAAGAACCATAGGCTCTTACCACGAAGGCCTACTTTGAGTCATTGAGATACTGTCTCATCTGATTGTATTTTTTTTTTTTTTTTGAGACGGAGTCTCTCTCTGTCCCCCAGGCTGGAGTGCAGTGGTGAGATCTCGGCTCACTGCAAGCTCCGCCTCCCAGGTTCACACCATTCTCCTGCCTCAGCCTCCCAAGTAGCAGGGACTACAGGTGCCCGCCAACACGCCCGGCTAATTTTTTGTATTTTTAGTAGAGACAGGGTTTCACCGTGTTACCCAGGATGGTCTCGATCTCTTGACCTCATGATCCGCCCGTCTCGGCCTCCCAAAGTGCTGGGATTACAGGCATGAGCCACCGCGCCCAGCCTGATTGTATTCTTTAATCCAATGCTAAGAACATAAAAAATGCTTACAACTTCAAAACATGGTTTAAATGTATCTGACCCTCTTTATAGATCCTATGTTTTTGAGAGATGACAGGGCCTCTTAAATGTATTTTCTAAGAGATCCTTTGTTATTTAAAGGTCACATCAACTTTGATGGGACCTTTGGGTTCATGTCATATATATTATGGCAGCAGTAAGTCATTTAAGGCATTAGTCACTTTGCAAGAGTCAAGTGTACGTCATTACTTCACCTTAAACGTGTTCCGATTCCCAAGAGAGTTTTCCATTCTCACCGCATGTGCGAAGGAGTGCAAAAGGAGGAATGGGTTTCAAACCCAATCCATTAAAAGCACATTCAAATGGATCCCTACAAGATTTCCCTGTGACATAATCAGAGACAGTAGAAAGAAGGGTACCTGGTTTTCTCCAACTGACTTGCTCCAAATGTCACCAGTGCAGAGACTAGAAAATACCATCTTGCTCCTCCTAGAGCTTCTCTAAGTGAATCACTGGGACTAGGGCCTGCTGGAGCTTTGCCTTCTTTTCTTTGGCAAAAATGACAGCCTCAGTGGCACCTCCTGCATGGCCCAGAGGCACCACCCCTTGCTTCCAACTTCAATAATATTCCAAACAAACATGAATCATTGAGTGTGGTTGGGCACCAAAGAAAGCTCTAACTGCACCAAGAGAAAACTTCAGATGACCACGAGGCTCTAATCTCTTGCATCAATTTAACCACATTAATTACGAGAAAAACAGAAAGAGAGACAAAAAATGAACAATTTGAAGGAGAGTTTTCATACTCTTAAGTGGCATATTGCTATTCTTTCTACTAAGTACTCCTGTAAAATAACAGCAATAATTTCTAAACATAACTGTTTTATATGTGTAAATATATGTATGTATACATTTTCATATAAATATTTATATTTATACATACATTAAATGGTTTATAACGTTGAAAATATTCTTTTAGAACATCAAGCTCAACATGTCAAAACACTCTCACTACCTTCACCTTCCAAACACACGTGCCACCCTAACTGTCTGATTTCAGTAAGTGACATGACCATCTCCCGGTAAGAAGGCTGGAAATTACATTTGACTTGTCTCTTGCCTCCTTCATTCGTCGGTCCTGTGGAAAATTCCTCCAGATCTCACTCACATCCACTTCCTCTTTCTAAATTCAGTCCTTCCTCCTCGCAACCTATCTGCACAAAACCACCAGATTAACTTAGCACAATTCCTCTATGATTCAGTCAGGCCCCCAGTCAAAACTTTCAACAGCTCCTCATTGTCGACTCAATCTCTTCACAGTCACTCAAGACCCACAGCATTCCGGCCACACCTATCTTTCTTATCCCTGTACTCCACACTAATCCCATTACTTCCCATTGCCAAGCCCTTCCCTCTGCCAGTCGTCCCTCCTCCAAGAGGGTCAATGCCATGCTGTCACTGCAAGCACTTATGGTTGAACATTTCTAGATGCCTCATGGCCAGAAGGTTCTTTAAGTTCTGGCCAAAGTGCCCATTGCTCCATGCAACTTCCTGATGTCCAGCGCAGAATGCTTTCCTTGACTTCTCCTGGACTCCTCAATTGCCCTGTGATGCTCTGTGCACTAGCTTCTCTTCTTAGAGGGGAGTCACTTTCAAGGTCAGGTGACTCCAATCTAAAGAGTCACATTTTACCCCTTGTGCTCTTTCTGTACCATCTTAGGAGGCACTTACTGTCTTCATAATTGTTTGCTAAGAGGAATAATAGACTATAGATGACTTTCTGATTTGAGCATCTTCCTTTCATCCCAAGAGAAAACAAAAGGACATACCTGTAGGTCATAACGCCATCCATATAAAGGCAGGTCAATATTCAAAGCCAAGAGTGCCTGATATGGTTTGGATTTGTGTCCCCGCACAAACTTCATGTCGAACTGTAATCCCCAGCGTTGGAGGAGGGGCCTGCTGGGAGGTGATTAGATCATGGGGGCGGATTTCCCCCTTGCTGTTCTTGTGATAGTGAGTTTTCATGAGACCTGGTTGTTTAAAGGCGTGTAGCACCTCCCCCTCTCACCTTCTTCCTCCTGCTCCAGCCATGTATGATGTTCCTCCTTCCTCTTCACCTTCTGCCATGATTGTAAGTTTCCCGAGGCCTCCACAGCCATGCATCCTGTACAGCCTGCAGAACCATGAGCCAATTAAACCTCTTTTCTTTATAAATTACCTAGTCTAAGGTAGTTCTTCACAGCAATGTGAGAATGGACTAATACAGAAAACTGGTATTGAGAAGTGGGGCATTGCTATAAAGATACCTAAAACGTGGAAGTGACTTTGGAACTGGGTAATGGGCAGAGGCTGTAACTGTTTAGAGGGCTCAGAAGAAGACAGGAAGATAAGGGAAAGTTTAGAACTTCCTAGAGACTTGTTAAATTATTGTGATCAAAATGCTGACAGTGATATGGACAATGAAATCCAGGCTGAGGTGGTCTCAGATGGAGATGAGGAATTTATTGGGAACTGGAGTAAAGGTCACTTTTGCTATGCTTTAGCAAAGAGGTTGGAGGCATTGTGCCCCTGCCCTAGAGATCTGTGGAACTTTGAACGTGAGAGAGATGAATTAGGGCTGGGCATGGTGGCTTATATCTGTAATCCCAGCACTTTGGGAAGCTGAGGTGGGAGGATCACTTGAGTCCAGGAGTTCGAGACCAGCCATCTCTATTAATTTTTTTTAAAAAGAATAAAAATAAATAAATAAAAAAGGGATGATTTAGGATATCTGATAGAAGAAATTTCTAAGCAGCAAAGCATTCAAGATGTGACCTAACTGCTTCTAACAACATATGCTTATATGTGTGAGCAAATAAATGATTCAAAACTGGAACTTATATTTAAAAGGAAAGCAGATGGGGGTCAATTTGAGTCATGCAGGTTGTAAGAAATGTGAGTTTTCACTTCTGTGGTCCTGGACTTTATCCTTGACCACCAGGTAACAATGATTGTCCCCTTGAGCTCACCACCACCTCCAGGACTGCCTGTGTCACATGAGCCACCCAGACCCCAAGGACTGTTAGGCTGTGGCCCTCCTTAATCTTTTCCTCCTGACAGGGTCATGGCCAGGATGCTGGTGCAGACCATCCACACAGGCACCCAGAAGATCCAAGACATTGAGGCCAAGCAGAACATTGAAGAGAAGATGGTAGCTCCCAGCTACACCAGCTTTAGCATTTACCGTCCCATTACAAAAGAAAAAAGCTCTCTGAGGTGGGCAGGAAAGAAATTTGAGGAGATCCCAACTGCACACATTAGAGCATCCTACAACAACACACAGATCCAGGTAATCTCTGCCACTAATCAGCCCCTTGCCCATACTTCCTGTGGCACAGAGGAATTTCTGAATGCCAAGAAGGGCACAGGCATTAATGCACAGACAACAGGCATAGCAGCCGTGACAAAAGCTGCAGGAAAGGGTGTTACCCACATCTGAGTTGTGGTGAAAGGCCAGGGGCCAGGACACCTGTCTGCCATCCAGGGACTGACCATGGGGGGCCTGGAAGTGATCTCAATCACAGCAACACCCCCATCCCACACAATGGCTCCTGCCCCAAGAAGGCTCCGAGGCTGTGAGGGAAAGGAAGCTTACACTTGAACCTAACCTCAAGTCTCAGCTCCAGTTGGACCTTGCGGAAAGTTCCCTGTCAGAGCTCTTTCCAGAATATGGCTTGTTGGAGATCCTTCAGACAGTATGGGAGAGTTTTGCCTCCTTATATAGTGTCCTTTGCTTGCACCTCCAGCTGGGGGTGGATGTGCCCCAGCAATGAACTTTGCATCCTTAGACAAGAGGGGAGCTATGGGGGCAGCTGTGGCCTAGGCCTAACCTCTGCTCTGAGAAAATAAAATAATGTCTGTACCATCTGTTGTAAATAAATAAATAGAAAGCAGAGTGTAAAAGTTTGAAAAATTTGTAGGCTGGCCGTGTGATAGAAAAGAAAAACCCATTTTCTGGGAAGGAATTCAAACTGGATGCAGAAATTTACATAAGTAAAGAGGAGCCAAAAGTTAATAGCCAAGACAATGGAGAAAATGCCTTGAAGGTGTTTCAGACACCTTCGTGGCAGCCCCTTCCATCACAGGTCCAGAAACCTAGGAGGGAAGAATAGTTTTGTGGGCAGGGCCCAGGGCCCTGCTGTCCTGTGCAACCTCAGGACACTGCTCCCTGCATTGCAGCTGCTCCATTTCCAGCTGTGGCTAAAAGTGCCCCAGATATGCCTCAGGCCACTGCTTCAGAGGGTGCAAGCCATAAGCCTGTGTGGCTTTCATCTGATGTTAAGCCTGTGGGTATGCAGAGAGCAAGAGTTGAGGTTTGGGAGCCTCCACCTAGATTTCAGAGGTTGTATGAAAATGCCTGATGTCCAGGCAGAATTCTGCTGTAGGGGCAGAGCCCTCATGGAGTCTACTAGGGCAGTGCAGAGGATAAATATGGGGTTGGAGCTCCCACACAGAGTTCCCTCTGGGGCACTGCCTAGTGGAGCTGTGAAAACAGGTTCATCGTCCTCCAGACTCCAGAATGGTAGGTCTATTGACAGCTTGCACCATGTGCCTGGGAAAGCTGCAGACCCTCAGTGCCAGCCTGAGAAACCATCCGAGGCAGTATACCCTGCAGAGCCACAGAGGCAGAGATGTCCAAGGCCATGGAAGCCCACCCCTTTCATCATTGTGGGCTGTATGTGAGATATGGAGTCAAAGGAGATTATTTTGGAGCTTTAAGATTTAATGACTGCCCTGATGGGTTTCAGACTTGAATGGGTCCTGTAGCCCCTTTGTTTTGGCTGATTTCTCCCTTTTGGAATGGGTGTATTTACCCAATGCCTGTATCTTCATTGTATCCTGAAAGTAACTAACTTGTTTTTTATTTTACTGACTAATAGGCAGAAGAGAATTGCCTTGTGTCATATGAGACTTTGGACTGTGGACTTTGGAGTTAATGCTAAAATGAGTTAAGACTTGGGGGACTGTTGGGAAGGCATGATTGGTTTGCAGTGTGAGAAGGACATGAAATTCGGGAGGAGCCAGGGGCAGAATGATATGGTTTGGATTTGTGTCCCTACTCAAATCTCATGTCAAATTGTAGTCCCCAATTTTGGAGGAGGTAGTGGTAGTGATTGGATCATGGGGGCAGATTTCCCCTTTGCTGTTCTTATGATAGTGAGTGAGTTCTCACAAGATCTGATTGTTTAAAAGTGTGTAGCACCTCTCCCTTCACACTCTTCCTCCTTCTCCGGTCGTGTAGGACTTACCTCCTTTCTCTTTACCTTCTGCCATGGTTTTAAGTTTCCTGGGGCCTCCCCAGTCATACTTCCTGTATAGCTTGCAGAACCATGAGCCAATTAAACCTCTTTTCTTTATAAGTTACCCAGTCTTAGGTAGTTCTTTATAGCAATGTGAGAATGGACTAACACAGTGCCCTTCCACACTGAACTAAAATGACCTGGTCCTTGGTTAGGCACCGTGGCTCATCCCTGTAATCCCAACACTTTGAGAGGCCAAGGCAAGACAATTGCTTGAGACCAGGTGTTCAAGACTAGTCTGGGCAACATAGCAAGACCCTGTCTCTACAAAAAAAAAAAAAAAAAATTAAAAATTAGCCAGACTCAAGTTTGAGGCAGGGGGATCACTTGAGCTCAGGAGTTTGAGGCTGCAGTCAGCCATGATCACACCACTGCACTCCAGCCTGGGTGACCGAATGAGACCTTGTCTCTACGATAAATACATAAAATAATAATAATAATAAATAAAACAAAACGATCTTACTCAGAAGTTGAAAAGACACGTTTTCCTTATTTTTCCCCATCCAAGAAGCTAAGTGACAAAGGCAGAGGGTAAGAACAAGTAGTTTTCCAAGCTCATAAAGAAGAAGAATTGAAGATGGCCATGCTCAGAGCCAACAGGAAGTTCAGAGTTGGGGGAGGGAATATTGATGACCTTCATGTAAGGATTATTGTCCTTATTTTAGGAAGTTCTTATTCAAAATGTTCTTGTAGACATTTTCCTGCTTTTATTTCAAATAAATACTTGCTTTTGTTTCACTTTCATTCAAGCCTTTGGTTTAAAAAAAGTGAACCAGAAATGATCATTCAGAACAGATGTTCCCAGAGCAGAAAATCTTATTTCCTAACATAGGAAATATGTTAGGACATATGTTTATTATTTCCACTGATTTCTTATAAGTGGTCCAGAAAAAAAATATCTCCTTCTTCTGCTGCTATGAACAGTGATTTCTAGGAATTCTTGCACCAACTGGAGGACAGTTAGCTGGGATTCAATAGAATCGTATTTTAAATATGGTGCTTGACTTCACAGCCACCCTTTCTCCACAATTCTTCTACCATTTCATATCTGGAAGGAGCCACCTGGATGCACCTCTGGAAGGAGCCACCTGGGCCTGGAATGTGAAGAACCCACTTTGAAGAACTAGCACTGATGTAGAAAACATTCTTGTGAGTAAATCATCTCAGCTTCCCCTCCCTCTCCACCCATCCCTCATCCATCTGAAGGTTGATGGACATTTAGATCCAACCCAAAGAAATGAGTTTTTATTCCCTCCTTGTCTCTCTCTTTCTCCCTGGGTCTTCTTGCAATACAAATCTCAACTAGGATTTCTATTAATTTAAAAACTCTTAAGACTAGATGAAAATTCAGATATCTCTTAGTCCATTCCTTGCCTCTGGGCCTGGTTGCTCTTAATCCATCTGCCAGGTAGCTCAGTGGACAGCTGTGAAAAATCTCCGTAGTCAACAACTGCAACTCTTCCACATATAGTGTGTCTTGTTTCTGATTTCTTGAATCCAAAGGATATCACAAAGCTTTATTTTGTTTTCTTCATGGCATTATCTGAGGCCTTGTTAAATCTTGCTTGCTTGTGTGTTCAACTGTCTCCATCTTCTGGCATTTACATTCCCTGAAAATGGAACTTTTTCTTGGTTATTGCTCTGTCCCCAACAACTTGTGAGCTGGGCATGGTGGTTCATGCCTGTAACCCTAGCACTTTAGGAGGCCGAAGCAGTAGGATCACTTGAGCTCAGAAGTTTGAGACCAGCCTCAGCAACATTGTGAGACCCTAAAAATTAAAAAATACATTATTTTTATTATTTAATAATTAAAATTATCATTACATCTACTAAAAATAAAAAAAATTATCTAGCATGGTGGCATGCACCTGTGGTCCCAGCCACTCAGGAGGCTGAAGCAGGAGGATCACTTGAGCCCAGAAGTTCAAGGACGCAGTGAGCTATGATGTTGCCACTGCACCCCAGCTTGGGAAGCAGAGCAAGACCCTGTCTCAATGAATAAGTAAATACTTGTGGATTGATAGCAGTCAAAGTGAGGATATGTTGACAAAACATCCATTTTTCCTGATACTTTCACACAAGGAACTGTGCAAAATGATTGAATTAAATACTAAATGGTTATAAGTAAAGAGATGGTCCAGAATATTCTTCCCATAGGAGGAATGTCAAGCTGTAAAGACTCAAGCCAGCCTGTGAGTGTTAAGCAAAGTCAGTCGGTGACAATGAGCCCACCCATCCAGACAGGGCCTTTAGACTACGGCTTCCCAAACTTCAATGTGCAGGAATCCTTTGGGGGGGTCTTGTTAAAATGAGGTTCAGATTCGGGGGTGGAGGGGGAGTGCTCCAGTCTCTGCCTTTCTAATAAGGTCATGGGCGATGCGGTGTGGGTGACACCAGTCCTTGCACCACATTTTGAGTTGTGAGGCTGTAGATAGACAAAGGTGTTCAAAAGAATTGCAACCCTTATTTTGCCTTAAGGACAGAATGCTGATCAGCTAAAAGTGTTGGTTGTTCTTTTGTTTTTCTTTTTATCTTTTTCCTAGATACCCTAACCCCCACAAGTACACAAACATATAACCACCACAGAAAATATTCCAAATATGGAAATGAGTCGCTTGTTAGTTGGCAGGCTGCTTAATGCATTGGGAAAAAAACAGGGTCTGAAATATTATATGGAAGCAATTTCATTCCCATTTGATGCTTTAACCTGTTTCTTTATGGCCACTGATGTAAAAAAAAGACTCTCAGATTGATCCGGAAGGGAATCTTCAGACTTCACACATATTATTTCATTGCTTCACAGATGTTTGGAAGAGGAAGAGAAAAGCGATTCATAGACCAAGAGCGACTCTTCTTCAGATCCACTCCACACAGATATTTTTCCAGTTCCTATGTTAGTGCGGCCCACACACCATTTTGCCTCTTTGTGGGGGAATATAAGATGCATTCTTCCTTTAAGCTATTTACTATGGCTAAAATGATACTCAGCCCTCCAGATGTTTATATAACAGAGAGCCAAAGAGCGAGAGACAAAAGGAGAACAGTTCTGCAACAGAGACACTGAGGGCTCCATTCATTGGGAAAGACCCGCTGACTTCCACGTTCGGCCCAGCTGTTTGTTCCAAAGTCACCCGGACTGTTGAAGGCTGTTGCCCCCCTGCTGCATGGGCCCCAGCAGGAGAAATCCGAACAGAAGGAGAGTGAGTGGCTGTGGTCTTCTCTGCGGCCTTCACTGCTTGCAAGGCCACAGAAGGGACAATCTTGAGTCTGAGGTCACTCAAAGTTCTGACTTTGCTTCAGCCCTGTCTCTCCGACGGTCATGACCCTATTTCTCTCCCCAGTCCAGGCCACATTTTCTGAAGAATGGAGACCCTCACTCTCCTAGTGTTACAGAAGCCCAGGCAGAGGCCCCAGCAGGGTAAAAGCAACCTGAAGCCTCTTCTGGCTTCCTTTTCTGGCGCTCTCTGTTCAGGGCGAGGGGAGTTATTGTGTCAAAGCTCACTTATCAGTCTGCCCATCTGATAGGTGGAAATTAAACATAGGCGGGCACCTTCTGAGAAAATGAAAGTGGTACTCCAATCCCTGCCTTATAAACACAGCCCACGCTTAGACCTCGCACACAAGGTTATTGCTAGGGTAGCAGCATTCCATCTTCTGGCCACTTAAGAGGGACTTCCCAGCCAGTATTTCACATGTATATGTACAATCACATACCTGCACACACTCACACACCAGCACATGCTCACAACTCCGTACACACTCACATATGGACACACTTACAACTCTACACACTCACAACCCTGCACATTGGCCTGTGTATACTCACATGCCTGTACACACACTCTCACTTGCACACACACCCCGGGCACACACACAGACTGTGGAATAACAATCCCTTCCAAGAAAAACCCTCCATAGTTTCCAATCCAATAACTTCTAACCAGGGACTCCCAACTTGAAAATATCCCGTCCTGTTCCCACTTCCATGGTCCGCTGTTTTCACACCTAGGACCCTTTGGTAGGCCTTCCTGAGAGAGAAACCTAAGAAGTCCTGAGAACCACTTCACAGCACCACAGTTCTTGACCCTTCAGCTGCCCCGGGGTCTGCTTGCTCTTGGAATCCTGCCGGACCTGGCATCCTGGACCACCTACTCGCTCCTGCATCTCTTTCCCCAGTGCCCACCTCCTTCTTGACAACATCCACGGGCTCCAGTTGCCCTGGTCCTGGAATGCTGTCTTGCTCTTGCTCTTCCCAAGGCCTGGCGTCCCATCCCTGCAGCTGACAGACGTCCCCAAGGCCAGCCACCTGCCTGCGTCTCTGAATAGTGCCTGCTTCCATGGCCTGCCTCCGAGGGCAAGTCAGTCCTGTCATCAGGACCCGCTGTCACCTCTTGCTGGACTTCCCCAGCCCCATCGGTTGCCTGGGTGACTGCTAGTTGCCTAGCACCGTATTTAAACAGCCAGATGGGTTTCCTGTCATTGGCCATCCTGGGTCTATCTCGACCCTTCAACACCTGGACCGCCAGGTTCCATCTCCCAGGCTACCCCGGCTCCCATCCCTGCATCCATCTGTGTCAGGAGATAAAATTCTTAGATAAAAAAAAAACAGTAAGATAATCCATTCTAAGAACCCTCTTGGCTATGTGTAATAACACTGATGTATAATTTCAAACAAGCAATGCCACCTACCAAGAAATGGGTCACAAAATGTGCTTCTGATCTCCTTTTACAGCTTGGCATTCTTTTGCTGGCATTCGACTATAACACAGCTAATTGGCTTCATGACAAACTAGATGTTACAAAAGGCACACGAGGCACTCCTAATAAAATTTTTTAAATTCCAACTTCTTAGTTAAGCAAATTAAGAAAATATTTTAAATCAATTTAATGATGTTCAAAGAAGTAGCAAGCAATACTAAAATGATATCACATCACAAAATAGAAACTAGCCACTAAAAATAAACTTTTCTTCAATTAGGAGAAAAGTATATATATATCCATTGACCCTTGAATAACACAGCTTTGAACTACACAGTTACACTTACATGCAGATTTTTTTTCAACCAAACAAGGATTGAAAATACAGCATTCGAGGGATATGAAACCCACTTATATATGGAGGGTCAAGTTTTCATATAACACAGATTTTTCGTATAACACAGCAGGGCTGACTGTGGGACTCAAGGTGTGCAGATTTGGGTATATGTGTGTGCCCTGGCCAATCCCCAACATATACCAATGGGTGACTATATATGTACAAAATAGAAAAAACAAAGCTATCAATAGCTTCTACAAGAAGATGTTTGGCTTACCGATCCATTTCTGTAAATCTGAGCTATTTTCTGACGCTGATGGTGCAAAGGTTCTACATAATCCCTTAGATCTACACATCAACTTTTACCATGAAAATGGCAAGCTCGGGTCCATGGCAAGGCACACAGGTGATTGGGACACCTGTATCAAAAGACAGTGGCCTATCTGGAAAGAAGGAAGAAAGCCAGGTGACTCTGGCCAGGTGATATATAGACAGCAGCAGTGTGGAGGAGAGAGGACAAACCTGCAGGGGAGAGCAGGGGACAGCAGGGAGAGGGCCCAGCCCTGAAGGAGGAGGAGGGCTTTTCCACCCCATGCCATTCCTTCCTCTAGCTCTGGGGAGGTGGTTGAGTATATCTGTCAGCTGCCACATATCAAAGAATGTCACCCCCGAGGGAGCAGGGGCTCAAACAGTCAAGGTAATTTACATTTTAAACAATTATAGGCTGGGCACAGTGGCTCATGCGTGTAGTCCCAGCACTTTGGGAGGCCGAAGCAGGCAGATCACTTGAGGTCAGGAGTTCGAGACCAGCCTGGCCAACATGGTGAAACCTTGTCTCTACCAAAAAATTAAAAAAAAAAATGAGCTGGGCATGATAGCGCCTGCCTGTAGTCCCAACTACCTGGGAGGCTGAGGTGGGAGAATCACTTGAACCCGGGAGGTGGAGATCACAGTGAGCCAATGTCGTGCCATTGCACTCCAGCCTGGGTGACAGAGTAAGACCCTGTCAAAAAAAATTATAAATGTACATTCTGGTGTGAAATGCTACAGTATTTCTGGATGGTTAGAGACTAATGATTTGAAAATTGTTTGGGACATTTAAACAAAAAAGGGATACCAGCTAAATACCATGTCCCTGCCTGGCAGAGCTTATGGGCAAACAGGCCACACTGCAGGGCACCAGCACCTCGCCTGGGAATCTGCACAGAATCCACTGCCCTATTCCTTGACTAGAGCCCACCAACCTGCCCAGTGCCCAGTGCCCAGAGTGGCCACCTGATGCCAAACTTATCCACCATCAGTCACCCTAACTAAACCATGCATCTGTTTCTCCCGGTTTTCTTTTGTGGAAACATGAACTAAATGCCCTTTCTGCTCTCTGTGCAGCTTACTGGGGTGGGATGACTGTGAACCTCCACAAAGATCGGAGAATTTTCCAAAGGCACCAAGTCATTAAACAGAAGCTCCCACCCCAACCTCCCTTTCAAGAAGCTCCCCAGAAAGCACCCTCCTTGTTTATGGGGAGCCCACATGCTGGTACAAGCTACCAGTGTGGGTAGAGGATGTTTGAGGTTACCTTTTTAACCAACTACAAAATATGCCAAACCCTGGCAGTGGTTTTCCTGCATGTATAGAAGTGATTCCTTCTTCCTATTCTCTTTCATTCTTCCTCCTTTTCTTCTTCCTCTCCCTTTCTGCTTCTGTTCCTCCTTTCCCTGCCTCTCCCCATCTCCTTTCCCTGCCTCTCCCCATCTCCTTTCCTACCTCCCCCTCTTCCCCTACCCCTCCCCTTCCATAGTGGTTCCTCATTTTATGTTTGTCACTGCTTTAATTTGATAATCTGATAAAGTTCCCAGCCCTCTCCCTAGAGACTGGGCCTGGGACACACAGGGCAGGTGCTGTGGACTCCATGACTCTGAGTCTTGGATCCCCCCGAGGCTGGAAGTGAAGAAGTCCTTCTCTTTGTTAGACTGTTGGAAAATGCAGTGCCTCTGTCAACCTGGTCTAAGGGAGCTGCCTTTGGAGGGCACAGGATTGTCACTCTGCAGTGCTGACCCTTGCTGGTGGTGATGATGACCCCCCCAGGCCAAGGATAGTGCTTGGATTGAGAGGGGAACTACAAACACGAGGACAAGGTGGCTACTTGGGTTGAGAAGGAACTTCAGGCAGGGAGGAAAGCTCTCGGAACCCTCCTGTGAAGCGTCAGTGCCTCACTGTCTGGCACACTTCTTTATTTTTATCTGTTATAAATGAAGGCATGCATTTGCCCAGATCCCTTCTGTGTTTACACAACACCTCTGCATGCCAGGGTCTGTGGCACAGCCTGCTCCGGTTGCATGATGGTCTTGCTGGTATATTTTGGGCAGGGAAGTCCTTTCCAGCACAACAACTGAGCAACTTTAGTTGTGTGAAAACAGATGAACAGGCCGGGCACGGTGGCTCACGCCTGTAATCCCAGCACTTTGGGAGGCCGAGGCAGGCGGATCTCAAGGTCAGGAGATCGAGACCATCCTGTGAATGGTGAAACCCCGTCTCTACTAAAAATACAAAAAATTAGCCGGGTGTGGTGGCGGGCGCCTGTAGTCCCAGCTACTCGGGAGGCTGAGGCGGGAGAATGGCGTGGACCCGGGAGGCGGAGCTTGCAGTGAGCCGAGATTGTGCCACTGCACTCCAGCCTGGGCGACAGGGCGAGACTCCGTCTCAAAAAAAAAGAAAAGAAAAGAAAACAGATGAACAAATACAACAAACAATGTTGTAAACACGACTTGAAAATCAGATGGGACAATGGCACACAGAAATGTTCTCCAAGGGGAGCTCTTTTGGAGGTGAGAGAAAGTCTTACAATCTCCCTATAAACACACAGCAACCATGCCTCCCATCTCCCTCTCCCTGGGCCCACTCCAAGCTTCACGTGTGCAGCATCAGAGATCTGAGTCTGGAGAGCATCCAGCTGTCCTAGCTGGAGGGCTGTGGGCGACAAGGGGTGGCCGGCAGGCTCTGAGGGGTTATCAGGGAAAGTATCCACGCCTGTAATCATGTCTGCCACGTAATAACTGCCTACTGTAGGCAGGCCTGCTGCACTGAGTCATTTGTAGGTAAAAGAACAGGACGTGGAGAGGGTGGGGAGAGAGGGAAGAAAGGTCTGAGCTGACTGCAGCCAGCGGGACTGAGCTGGGGACCCGTCCTGTGGCTCCCCCTTCTGACATCTCCAGGGGAGCAGCCCAGTTCAAGGGAAAGGAGGAAGTCCAGGCATTTTCAAACAGGTGAGTCCAAGCTTGGCTAAGTTTGCCCCAGAGGCCTCCCACATTCCATCTCAAGATCAGAGAGTACAAGAACATTTTTGTAGTTGAATTATTCAGCTACAAAGGTGAAGGTGAATTATTCCTGGTTCAAACACATGTTGGAGAAATGTCTGAAAGCAGAAGGCTAAAATCTTGCTAAATTGCAACATTCATATTGATAGAGTATGCTTTTAATTATGTGCTGTTGAATCTTTTGAGGTCTGTAACTGTAATAATAAAGTGACAGCCAAGGACAAAGTCAGTGGCCAGAGTGCCATGGCCAGGTAGAGAACAGCACCCTGGGCCTGTGTGCAGGGGTGTCACTTAGAGACCAGGAGGAATAGGATGTGGGCTGGCCCCACCCAGTCAGCCCAACCTCTCTGGAGCACTGTAGTTTCCCATCAAAAATCTGGGGGTCTGAGGGTTCCTCATGCTCCAGACCTTGCTGCTAACTTCATAAAATGACCCAAATATTTATGGATGATGGTTTCTTTTGGTAGTTGGAATGGGGGCGGGGGGAAGCTGAAAAAGTACTATGTCTGAACATGAATTTAGATAGATACAGCAAAAATGCCCAATTAAAGCATATGAAAGCAAATTCCAGAAAATGGTAGAGGAAAGGGGAATGATGCTGTCCGTCATAAAATAGAAATGAGATTTGGTTGTTTTTCCAAATCATTTCTTTAGTATGTAAAATTTTATGTGAAATGGAAGTTGTCATACACATGTCCCCAAAGTCTTCTGAAGCCTCAGCTCCACCAGGAAACATCCCCGACAAGTTCACCCTTCCCTCTCCTCCCCTAATATATGATAACAACCTGCAACTGGGGTGAAGACCCACATACTCCTGACCTAGTTACATGGCTCTTTCCAATGAGCCGATGTTTCCCTCCCCAGCTGCAGCATAAGCTCCTCCAGCAGAAGGACTCTCTTTTATCGCTTCTTACACTTGTAGCAGCATCAGCCATGGTTTTTCATTTATTGCGATACATTTTCGTCAACAGTGGTAAGTTTTTGTTTTTGTTTTTTTTTGTTTTTGTTTTGAGACGGAGTCTCGCTCTGTCACCCAGGCTGGAGTGCAGTGGCGCGATCTCGGCTCACTGCAAGCTCCGCCTCCCGGGTTCACGCCATTCTCCTGCCTCAGCCTCCTAAGTAGCTGGGACTACAGGCACATGCCACCACGCCCGGCTAACAGTGCTGCTTTCTTTTAAGGCTTGTTTGATTCAGAGGTAACAGTGCTCTAATGTGTCCCCTCCCTCACCAGGCCATCTCAGCAGCTGGGTTTGAAGGGGAAAAAATGAGTGTTTGGGACTATGGACTCTCTGCCAGGAGTTCGCATTCTTCTCTCACTCCAAGAAAGACAGGGTTTGGAATCAGGAGAGCTGAGTTCAGTTCCCAGATCCACCATTTATAAGTCATGTGATCTCAATCCTCAGTTTCCCCACCTGTAAAAGGAGAATATTGATAACTGTCCTATATCCTATGTATCTCATAGGACCATCATAAAACTCAGATAATCTCATGTGAACAGTTTTCCGTGTATTACAAAACCGTTCCAATGGAAATACCAGAAAGTGGCGTGTTATCCTGTTGGCCCAAACCACCATCCACTTTTTATTTACTGGGAGGAAATAAAGTGCCCTGAGCTTTGAGAGCCTTATTGAGTGATTTGAATGAGCTGTTCTCCACTTTGTGCATCACAGACCTCAGTGTGGTGAAGTGATATAATGTCCAGAACATTAATTCCTGAAGAAGGAGGGAAGGGAGAGTAGGATGCCACCTGGAGGGTGGAGTTCATTGTCAGGACTCCAGGCAGTTAGGAAGTGGACAGCACTGGACTCTAGACCCAGTAGGACTTGAATATGAAACTGGAATGTAGGCCCAGTCTCATGGCTGAGTTGACAGTGAGACAGGAGACCTGTGCTGGGGAAAACACAGGTGCCTTGAATGTAGCACTTAGAGCAGTGGTCCCCAACCTTTTTGGCACCAGGGACCAGTTTCATAGGAGATAATTTTTTCCACCAACCAGGTGGGAGGGGAATGGTTTCAGGATGATTCAAGGGCATTAAATTTATTGTGCACTTTATTTCTATTATGACATTGTAATATGTAATGAAATAATTATACAACTCACCATAATGTAGAATCAGTGGGAGCCCTGAACTTGTTTTCCTGCAACTAGAGGGTCCCATCTGTGGGTGATGGGAAACAGTGACGGATCATCAGGCATTAGATTCTCACAAGGAGCACGACCTACATCCCTGGCATGCGCAGTTCACAGTAAAGTTCCCGTTCTTATGAGAATCTAATGCCACTGCTGATCTGATGGGAGGTGGAGCGCAGGTGGTAATGTGAGCCGGGGGAGTGGCTGTAAATACAGATGAAGCTGACCTTGCTCTCCTGCCACTCACCTCCTGCTATGCAGCCTGGTTCCTAACAGGCCACTGACCAGTAACCCTGATACCAGGGATTGAGGACCCCTGACACAGGGACTTTTGTTAGTCTAACTAGTACTGAAGGGGCGTTAGGGCCAAGATCTGACGGGTAACTTAAGACAGAAGTTAGGTTATTAAGACAGTTTATTATACCCACCTCCCATAGGGTGTGGTCTGGGACCTAAAGCAGAACTGAATGTTTTGGGCTTGGGGGTGGGTTGAGAATTAGATTCATTTAAGAAGCTTAAGACAGGGCTTCTAACAAGGGTTGTTAACAAGGAGTTGTCTACTGGAAATTTCCAAGCAAGAGTGCATTTCCCAAGAGGATGCAATGATGTAAGGATCACTAGACCACAAAAACAGAATTGTGGCCTTATGTTGCACATTCTTTGATCCTGAGAGCTCCCAGATAATTAAAGATGCTATTAAGGGCAAGAAAAATATTTTCATTATCTCATTTGCATATGAATATAATTGTGCCAATTAAATTTCAGCTGTAGCTAGTGGTATGGGGCAGCCTGCCTATCCATTCACTGGAGCTATTTCCAGTAGCAAGGCTGTAGATGAAGAAATCTCCCACTAGAACTGTAGTTCAGCCTTTTTCTGGTTTTGCTGCTCAACAAATCACACTTAGCTTGTGGCTTAAAAAAAATAACCATTTATTTAACCTACTGTTCTCCAGACTGGCAATTTGGCTCAACTGGGTAGTTCCCAGGGTCTCAGCTAGACTTGCTCAGTCATCTGCACTCAGTTGACCATCAGCTGGATGGCGCTGGTGACCAGGGCAACAGGGGTACCTGGGCCACATGTCCCTTGTTCTCCAGAAGGCCACCCCAAGCTTATTCACATGATGGTTGTATAGGGTTTTAAGAGGGATAGAAGAGGCATGCATGACCGCTTGAGACCTAGGCTCAGCATACCATTGCTTCCTCCACATTCTCTTGACCACAGCAAGTCACAAGATCAGGCAGATTCAAGGGTGGGGAAGTAGATTCTACCTTTCAATGGGAGGAGCAGCAAAGTTACATTGAAACAGGCAGGGATACAGGGAAAGGAATAATTGCAACCATTTTTGCAAGCAATTTACCAGAGCCTCAACCCATAGCAATCTTTGTCCTTTAAAAGATAGGATAGGTCAGGTGTGGTGGCTCACGCCTGTAATCCCAGCACTTTGTGAGGCCAAGATAGGTGAATCACTTGAGGTCAGGAGTTCGAGACCAGCCTGGACAACATGGTGAAACTTTATCTGTACCAAAAAATAAAAAAATTAACTGGGTGTGGTGCCTGTGGTCCCAGATACTTGGAAGGCTGCGGTGGGAGAATTGCTTGAACCTGGTGGGAAGGTGTTGCACTGAGTTGAGATCGTGCCACTGCACTCCAGTCTGGGTGATAGAGTGAGACCCTATCTAAAAAAAAAAAAAGAAAAAAAAAAAAGGACAGAACCTAACCCAAATTCTGGTTCAGACTCTGGCCCTTGCTCCTTAGTTCATTTGTATTGCTTTAAAGGAATACCTGAGGCAGGCTGAGTAATTTATAAAGAAAAGAGATTTATTTGGCACATGGTTCTGCAGGCTGTGCAAGAAGCATGGAGCCAACATCTGCTTCTGGTGAGGGCCCCAAGCTGCTTCCACTCATGTTAAAAGGTGAAAGGGAGTCAGTATGCAGAGATCACAGGCAGAGAGGAAGTAATAGACAGAGGAGGAGGTGCCAGGCTCTTTCTAACAACCAGCTCTCATGGGAACTAATAGAGTGAGAACTCACTCACTTGGTTCCAGATAGGACATTAATTCATGAGGGATCTGCTGCCATGACCCAAATGCCTCCCACTAAGCTCCACCTCCAACATTGGATCAAATGTCAACATGAGGTTTGGGGGGAACAAGCATCCAAACTATAGCAGCTCCCAACCCACAATGAGGAGTTCTACCTCAATCCCCAAAGCCCCCACTCCCATCTCCCCCTGTCTTCCTGGAGCTGACTTAGTTGGAACCTTCTGGACCAACTAATAACCTGTGTCATCCCTGTCCTATCATCATGACATTCAGTGGGTCATGGCCCTGTGTAGGAGAATGTCCAGCTCTCTCCAGATCTCACACCAAGGCAGGAGGAAACCACTGCCTGGAGGCCTTGTCCCCCAATGCCACACTAGTGTCAGCAGCAGAGGACCAATGCTCGGGTCCCCACCTCCCAGCCCAGTGTCCTGTGCTGTTAACATTTCTTGCCTGCAAGTGAGAGAATATGGAAAGGGTCTGCCCATCCCAAGCTCTATCTGTGCATCCAGGAAATGTTTTCAAGAGAAAAGTTAGGAGTTGTGATGGTTGATTTTATGTGTCAATTTGGCTGGGCCGTGGTACCTAGGTATTTGGTTAAACACTATTCTAGACATTTCTGTGAAAGTGTTTTTAAACTCAATTAACATTTAGATCAGTGGCCTTTGAGTAACAAAGATTACCCTCCAAAATGTGGGTGGGCTTTATCCAATCAGTTAAAGGACTTAAGAAAAAAAGACTGGTTCTCCAACCAGGAAGGATTCAGCCAGCAGACAGTCTTTGACTCTTCCCTGGGTCTCCAGCTTGGTGACCTACCCTGAAGATGTTAAGCCAATTCCTTAAAATAAATCTCTCTGTATACATGCATCCTATTCTGTTTGTTTTTTTTTTTTTTTCAATCTGGAGAATCTGACTAATCCAGGGGCGGAGACAGTCTGTAGAAAAGCAAGCTCTATCATTTACTCAAGATTATGAGCTAAACAAGTTTAACAACAGTATCTGAAAACTGTAACATTTATAGTACCCTGGGTTAAATACTACTTGTTTTCAGTGGGTTAATGGGAGAAAGAAACAGAAAATGGACCTAAGAGAGGAAGAAGAGAGGAGACAATTTGTACTTTGTATTTTCATATATATTATTCCCAGTTAAAGTGAATTGAAGCTAAGGGACAATAATTAACATTGATAGTCTGGATGATATGATATGTCCAACTTATCATTTCACTTTTATTTCCATTATATGTTTATGCCTTTCTACCAGAATGGCTGTTAAAATGGGATTCTTATGACATTTCCTGAAAGGACTCAATAGTCTTTTACTTACATCTCTCTCTTTTTTTTTTTTTTTTTTTTTTTTAAGATGGAGTCTTGCTCTGTCGCGCAGTCTGGAGTGCAGTGGCACCATCTTAGCTCACTGCAACCTCTGCCTCCTGGGTTCAAGTGATTCTCCTGCCTCAGCCTCCTGAGTACCCGGGATTACAGGCATGCGCCACCACGCCCAGCTAATTTTTGTATTTTTGTAGAGATGTGGTCTCGCGATGTTGGCCAGGCTGGTCTCTAACTCCTGACCTCAGGTGATCCGCCCGTGTCAGCCTCCCAAAGTGCTGGGATTACAGGCATGAGCCACCAAGCCTGGCCTTTTACTTACATCTAAGTAGCCATTTTGCCAAGGACAGGGAGTCAAAGATGAATGTGTTTTTAAAAATCATATGACCCTCATTTTAATTTAAACCATCTAGAAACCAAGATTTCAAGATGAACATAAAAAAATTAATGTAAACTGCCTTTAAATTGAAGATTTTTCCCCCCACTGGGTTACAATAAAGTTCCCATAAGTCTCTGGAGTATAGCAAAAAAACAGCGAGGTTGTCAGCGAGGGGGAGAACTAGAAACTAGAATGAGCTGGTTGAGTCCTCATGAGCCATCGAAGTCCAAAGTTTAGGAATTCAGAGGCCATCGGGGTGACTGCAGTCTCTCACCCCGTGCGCAATGCAGGACGACCACGCTGCTCCGCTGGGCGGCTCTTTCTAAACCTAAGAACCCAGCATACGACGTGGCTCTCTTGATTCCCTTATCAGAAGTCCTTCTGCATGGACAACTGAAAGGCCTTTAAATTCAAAAGCTCTTCAAGGTTAGTAAGTAAACCTGGCCTGTCTTACCCCAAAAGCCCGATCGCTGCGAAGGGGAGATTTTTATTTTCTGGTCCACACCGCCATCTGCTGGCCTCGCCATCTCTAAGTGAAGCACTCGCTGTATTTTCTTCCAGGAAATCCAGTAGATCGTTTAGACTTCATTCTAAAATCCATGTATATTGAAGTGTTGCTTCACGTGTGAAAGTAGCACTTCTCAATATTTACAATAAGAGTAAGAAAAGCACTTGATAAACCAGTTCATTGGACACAAGTTACTTGCGTTGATTGTGAATATGAAACGAAGTAACAGTTAAGGAGCTAAACATAACTAGGTACCTCTGGGCAGCCGGAGTCTCATTTGGATAATTAGTACCTACACTTGTCAGCCGTCTGATTGCCCAGTAATTATAGTTTAAGTTAAACAGGTAAATCTGATGGGTACGTATTTGTTTGTGGACAGGGTTAACAGCCCCGTTGATGAAGCATCCCTGCATCATCCTTCAGGAGCGCCATGGTAATTAATGGGCTCTTATGCGGTTTTTTAAATATGCAAATAAATATTTAACACGAAAATGTCCCTAGATGACAGACAACAGGTTCATGAGAAACAGCGATTTATCATTAGCATGGACTGCTTCAGGGACATTGGTGAATACAGGTAGTCAGGGAACTATCAACGTGTGTTTGAAAAGCCATTCCAGAGGGTTGCAGAACCGGGTGGCTCACTTAGCTGCTATATACATAGCTTGCAAAGCCCTTCAAAGGTTAATCATTCTTATCCTCCCCTTTTAGCCTCAATTGTCCTCTTTTGTCATGACCTCTTTATAAATAAAGGAAAGGAAAATAAGGAAAGATGGGGAGACAGAAGAGGAGAGAAAAGGAAAACGAGAAAACCACACTTAAAGTCCCTGTGGGTAACTGTTGTACAGTTGCATGCATTTAGGTAAAACCCCTAACCAGCTTAATAATCTATTCTGAGACAAACAGGGCAGCTTGGAGAACCCTGCATTTGCTCTTCTAAGAAAAAGAGGCCGGGCGCGGTGGCTCACGCCTGTAATCCCAGCACTTTGGGAGGCCGAGGTGGTCGGATCACGAGGTCAAGAGATCAAGACCATCCTGGCAAACATGGTGAAACCCTGTCTCTACTAAAAATACAAAAATTAGCTGGGCATGGTGGTGCACACCTGTAGTCCCAGCTACTCAGGAGGCTGAGGCGGGAGAATCACTTGAACCCAGGAGGCAGAGGTTGCAGTGAGCCAAGATCACACCACTGCACTCCAGCTTGGCGACAGAGCAAGACTCCGTCTCAAAGAAAAAGAAAAGAAAAGAAGAGAAAAGAAAAGAAATTATCAGTGAACTCATAGCTTCCCATATTCTCTAGCAAACAAAGAACATGTGGGGGATAAAAAGAGGTTTAATGGAGTAAGCACGGCACACTGTCAAATGATCAGCAATCAGATCTTAAGGACAACTCATTCTTCATCAGCTGCACCTAACTCTCTGGGCCCCAGTGATGTGATTGCTAATGGAATAATGCCTATGCAACCCAGCCAAATGAACCCAGAGCCTTCCCCTCTGGCACTAAGATAGGCCACCGTTGGTTTCCGAAATAAGCATGACATCAGCAGTGGCCACCTCCTGCAGTCCAAACCTCAGAGCTCCTTTGGGGAGGAGGCGAGGCGTGCAGGAGAGCCGTGTGGCTCCAGGATGCTAGATTTCACTCCTGGCTCTGGCTCTGAGTAACATGTGACTTACGACCAGTCGTGTGTGCCAATCAGTTGGAATTATTCCTCTGCTCTCTGCTCTTCAACAGAAATAATGAAGTTGCCTTGGTAGATTCACCAACTTTTAAATGTTTGGAGCTTATCAAGAGAGTCATTTTTAACACTTTTTCTTCCCCTGAAAATACAAGAAATGCGTGGCCGTCGAAAAATAAACAAGCAAAGAGAAAAGGAAAAGAAGCAGGAAAAAAAAAAAGTGGACATAAGACGACTCCTCCAGGGACAGCCTCATCCCTCTTCCCTCCTCGCCATGTGGCTTTCAGAAAGAGCAGCCTCTGGCTCTTGGTTTGCTTGCCTTCCCTTCACACTGCAGCCCTCCTATCTTCTGCGCCCTATGTTGGTACAGCTCAATCCAATGCACATTTTGCAAGCCTTGATTATGACTTTCCAGCAGTATCTCCCCTCGGCTGCCGAGGGCCAAGGCCCCTGCTTTCCTCTTGCTTCTCCGGCCACCTCTCCACCCTTTAGAAGTCTCCTCCTTCTCTTCATGGCCATAATCTGGTGGGTACTTTTCTTTCCACTTGATGCTCTTTCCCTATGTCCGAGGGTCTAACCCTGTCTGTAATGAGAATCACCTGAGGGCTGTTATCATCTACTTATACTTGGGCCCCGCTCCAGGCCAGGCAAGTCAGAATCTCTGAAGAAGGGATCCGGGGAAATTCAATATCTTTTTAAAGCTCCCCAGTCAACTCTTACATTCAGGCAGCATGAACTAACCCTCCAGGAACAGTTTCTCAAACGGGACTGCACAGGTGGAACCCGCTGGGGAGTTTTAAAAGCTTCTGATGGCTGGATCCAGAATATCCAGGTCTGAGGGGTGTCCTGAGATGAGGGACTTTCAGTGCTAAAACTAGGAAAGTCCCAGGCAGACCTGGACAAATGGGGATGAGTTGGTTGCCCTCCCCAGAGATTTTGACGTAATGGTACTGGATGGGCACTGGGAATTTGTTAATTTAATTTTATTTTGTTTTAGTTTGTTTTATTCATTTATTTTTGAGACCGAGTCTCGCTCTGTCACCCAGCCTGGAGTGCAGTGGTGCAATCTCGGCTCACTGCAACCTCCACCTCCTGGGTTCAAATGATTCCCCCACCTCAGCCTCCTGAGTAGCTGGGATTACAGGCACCCGCTATCATGCCCGGCTAATTTTTGTATTTTTGTAAAGACGGGGTTTCACCAGGTTGGCCAGGCTGGCCTTGAACTCCTGACCTCAGGTGGTCTGCCTGCCTCAGCCTCCCAAAGTGCTGAGATTACAGGC
Organism: Homo sapiens; assembly: GCF_000001405.40. Taxonomy (NCBI): domain Eukaryota; kingdom Metazoa; phylum Chordata; class Mammalia; order Primates; family Hominidae; genus Homo; species Homo sapiens. The sequence goes on along the minus strand of NC_000020.11, from coordinate 20,834,711 downwards.
ATGAGCCACCGTGCCTGGCTTTATTTTTATTTTTATGTTAATTTATTTATAGACACAGTCTTGCTCTGTCACCCAGGCTGGAGTACAGTGGTGTGATCATGGCTCACTGCAGCCTCGAGCTCATGAGATCCTCTGCAATTCAGCCTGCCAAGTTGCTGGGACTATAGGCATGTGCCACCACACCCAGCTGATTTTGTCATTGGGATTTTAGAAGCTCCCCAGGTAATTCTAGTGTGAAGCAAAGTTTGAGACTCGCTGCCTGCAGTCAGTGATTTTCAAGCTTTCCTGTGCATGCAAATGCCCTGAAGGGTGTGTTAACAGGGTCTGCAGGCCTCATCCCCAGAGTTTCTGACTCAGTAGGTCTTGGACAGGATGGGGCCAGAGATTCTGCACCTCAAACAACTTTCCAGGTAATGCTGTGCTGCTGGTAGTCCAGAGACCTACTTGGGGAGTCTCCTCCCCATCTTCAGCTCAAGTTACCATCCTACAGTAACAAATGCAAAATGTGTGTCTACTCTGGCCCCTCCTTTGCTCTGTACATCTGTAGAACCAGCAGTGCATTTGATTCTCCATTGGAATGTTTTAAAGGCATCTCAAATTCAAAATGACAAAATGGAATTCACGATCATCTTCTCCAAGCCTGATTTCTTCTAATGGTCTTTATGTGTTGTAGCACAGAAACTTGATGTCATCTTTTATAGAAATCTCCCTCTGCCCACCCCCAGGTTCAAGTCATCGTGAACTTTCGTTGATTTGACTGCTTCGGGGTGTCTTGGACCTACCCATTGTTCTCCCTCACTACCCAAGACTTCCTTGTCTAAGCGCCGTGAGGCCTCCTTGATGGGCGGTGTGGTGTCTCCCAGCGCATCTCCCCTCTTCCTGCTGGCCCGTCTACCCATCTACTCCATTGTCCATGATATTTTTTCAATATTCGGATCCAATCGCCCCTCCCCCTGCTCAAACTCTTCAGCAGTTTTTCATGCCTGCCCAGACTCTGCCTATCCTAGGCCTCCTCTCCTATTCCTGTCTCAGTAAGACATGGCGATGGACACCAGCAAAGGTGTCCAGCCAGCCCCAGCATGGCCTTTGTCATCATTATATGTCTATGGTCAATGAGCTCAGATCCCAGCAGGGGATTGTAAAGGACATAGTCGGGGCCACACCACTCAAGAGCAGGAAAGCTGGGATCATGGCATGGCTCTCCTGCAGTGCCTGGTGCTCCCCACTGCACCACACTGCCTTCCTGCGCCTGTCACGTCCCAGCGTGTCAGACCCGGAACTGAATCTTCACGCAGGTCCCCATGACTGTGTTAGCGTGTGTCTTGGTTTGTGTTCTCTAGCTACAAGGATTTGGGTGCAAATGGTTTATTTGGGCGTGTAGAGAATATGCAGGGGGAGGCGGGATACACAGTGAGGTGGGTGAAGAAGTGAGACCGAGGCGAGAACTTGGCCAACAAAAGGTATGGTTATGAAGCCACCTCACTGTGGACCAGTGGGCACAGTCCTGGGGGGATGTTCTGGGAAGCAGCATGGGACATTATCCCCAGAATGAGCCCATCTGAGGAGCAGGGAGCTGGGGCCCTAATTCTCTGGCATTTACAACCTGCTGGGTGTGCACAGGGAGGTCCTCTGAGACTTTCATGAAATTCCTCCAGTGCTGAGGCAGGCACACCCATGGGATGCAGACTGCTGACCCTGCTGTGTTTCCTACAACCTGCTTCCAGCTCCTCGTGGCTCTTTGGCTCCCAATCCAGGTGAGCTTTCTTGTAAATGCTGGTCACTAGCCACAAGAGGGACTAGACAGAAGAGGACAGGTAGCTCCAGGTAAAGCCACTCTCACTGCCATAGAAAAACAAATCAGCAATGAAATACCACTTCTACTTCTTCCACAGATTAGTTAGGTAGACCTTCCTGTATACAACCTAGCTTCCTGCAATTTTTCTCTGTAAGCAAAATTCTTGCAAATCCAACCCTTTTAATAGCTCAGGGTTTTTTTGTTTGTGCGTGCATGCGTGCGTGTGTGTATGTGTATGTGTGTTTGACAGAGTTTCACTGTCACCCAGGCTGGAGTGCAGTGGTGCCATCTTGGCTCACTAGAACCTCCGCCTACTGGGTTCAAGTGATTCTCCTGCCTCAGCCTCCCAAGTAGCTGGGACTACAGGCACGTGCCACCACGCCTGGCTAATTTTTTGTATTTTTAGTAGAGATGGTGTTTCACCACCTCGGCCAGGCTGGTCTCTAACTCCTGACCTCAAATGATCCACCCGCCTTGGCCTCCCGAAGTGCTGGAATTACAGGTGTGAACCATCGCACCTGGCCGCCCAGAGGTTCTTAAAAGGACTCCCTTGTGACAACTTTTGAAAAGCAAATGTTCCAGCTTTTGAAAATGTTTTGGGGGGCATTTGGATTTCTCAGAGAGGGAGACAGGCAGGCTTAGCCAAAGTCCATTAACTTCAAAGAATGACAAGTGCAAAGTGGAAAGTGGGCGCTCAAGGCTCAGTGGAGCAGGCACTGAGAGGAGGCTAGGAAGGTGCAATGGGTGGTGTTCCACTTAATATGAAGCCTGTGTCTTCAGGTGGGATAAACGCCATCCAGGAAGCAGACAGCACTGTGACTCAACAGTTCACCACTTAATATGGAGCCTGTGTCTCCAGGTGGGATAAACGCCATCTAAGAAGCAGACAGCGCTGTGACTCAGCAGTTCACCACTTAATATGGAGCCTCTGTCTCCAGGTGGGATAAACGCCATCCAAGAAGCAGACAGCGCTGTGACTCAGCAGTTCACTTTCAGAGTCCTCTGACTCTGTTTTCTTTACCCTTCTCCTGCCTCTTCTTGGTCACCACATATTGACTGAGCGCCCACATACAGGACATTTTCTAAGGCTCTGTCCACTCTCCACTCCACCACTGCTCTCCAGTGGACTAGTTTCAAGTTCTTCTCTGCAGACCCCTACCCAGCCTGAGAACTGGCTTATCTAATAACAGTACTCAACATTTGTTCATAATGAGATAACCTGTAAAATGCTTTTTGTAGTAGGCCCTTGCCTCAGTAAACTCTTTGTGAATAGAACAGTGTCTCATCTACTAAAATATCCTTTCCCATTTTCCTTTCTCTTTGAATCCCAACAAATTCCCATGCTTTAATAAATCTCAGTGTCAGGAGGAAAGCAATTCTGGTAAGGAGCAGGCTATAGGATGCAGAGATGGGAAGGAAAGAAAACAGAAGAGAAAACAAAGAACTGGGGACTGGGTGTGGTGCCTCATGCTTGTAATCCCAGCACTTTGAGAGGCTGAGGTGGGCTGATTGCTTGAGCCCAGGAGTTCAAAACCAGCCTGGACAAAACGGCAAAACCCCATCTCTGCAAAAAATACAAAAAATTAGCCAGATGTGGTGGTATGTGCCTGTAGTCCCAGCTAGTTGGGAGGCTGAGGTGGGAGGATCCCCTAAGCCTGGGAGGTTGAGGCTGCAGTGAGCCAAGATTGTACCATTGTACTCCAGCCTAGGTAACAGAGTGAGACAAGAAAGACAGAAAGAAGAAAGAAAATTTTCACACTGCTATAAAGAACTGCCTAAGACTGGGTAATTTATAAAGAAAAGAGGTTTAATTAACTCACAGTTACACATGGCTGGGGAGGCCTCAGGAAACTTACAATCATGGTGAAAGGAGATGGGGAAGCAAGGCACATCTTACATGGTGGCAGGAGAGAGAGAGAACATGAAGGTGGAACTGCCACACTCTTTAAACCATCTGATCTCATGAGAATGCACTCACTATCACAAGAACAGCATGGGGGAAATCCACCTCCATGATCCAATCACCTCCCACCAGTCCCTCCCCGGACACATGGGGATTACAATTTGAGATGAGATTTGGGTGGGGACACAGAGCCAAATAATATCATTCTGTCCCTAGCCCCTCCCAAATGTCATGTCCTTTTCACATTGTGAAACCAGTCATGCCTTCCCACAGTCCCCCAAAGTCTTAACTCATTCCAGCATTAACTGAAAAGTCCAAGTCCAAAGTCTCATCTGAGACAAGGCAAGTCCCTTCTGCCCATAAGCCCGTAAAACTGAAAACAAAATAGTTACTTCCAAGATACAATGAGGGTACAGGCATTGGGTAAATGCTCCTGTTCCAAAGGGGAGAGCTTGGCTAAAACCAAGGGGCTACAATCCCCATGCAAGTCAGAAATCCAGCAGGCCAGTCATTAAATCTTAAAGCTCCAAAATAATGTCCTTTGAATTAATGTCTCAAATCCAGGTTGTGCTGATATGAGGGGTGGGCTCCCACAGCCTTGGGCAGCTCCACCCCTGTGGCTCTGCAGGTTCAGCCCCCATGGCTGCTTTCACGAGCTGGCATTGAGTGCCTGTGGCTTTTCCAGGTGCATGGTCCAAGCTGTCAGTGGATCTACCATTCTGGTTTCTGGAGGATGGTGGACCTCTTCTCACAGCTCCACTAGGCAGTGCCCCCGTGGGGACTCTGTGTTGGGGCTCCAACCCCACATTTCCCCTCTGCACTGCCCTACCAGAGGTTTTCTATGTGGGCTCTGCCCCTGCAGCAGACTTCTGCCTGGATATCCATGTGTTTCCCTACATCCTCTGAAATCTAGGTGGAAGTTCCCAATCCTCAACTCTTGTCTTCTGCACACCTGTAGGCCCAACACGATGTGCAAGCTGCCAATGCTTTGGACTTGCACCCTCTGAAGCAATGGTCTGAGCTGTACCTTGGCCCCTTTTAGCCGTGGCTGGAGCTGGAGCAGCTGGGACACAGGGTGCCATGTCCCAAGGCTACATAGAGCAGCAGGGGCCCTAAGCCCAGCCCATGAAACCATTCTTCCCTCCTAGGCCTCTGGGCTTGTGATGGGAGGGGCTGCCTTGATACTCTCTGAAATGCCCTGGAGATATTTTTCCCATTGTCTTGGTGATTAACATTTGGCTCCTGATTACTTATGCAAATTTCTGCAGGCATTTGAATTTCTCCCTAGAAAATGGGTTTTTCTTTACTACCACATGGTCAGGCTGCAAATTTCCCAAACTTTTATGCTCTGCTTCCCATTTAAACATAAGTTACAATTTCAAATCATCTCTTTGTGAATGCATATGACTGTATGCTTTCAGAAAAGTTTCTGAAATTTCTTCTGCCAGATACCCTCACTCTTCTCTCTCAAGTCAAAGTTCCACAGATCTCTAGGGCAGGTGCAAAATGCTGCCAGTCTCTTTGCTAAAGCATAGCAAGAGTGACCTTTGCTCCAGTTCCCAGTAAGTCCTCATCTCCATCTGAGACCATTTCAGCCCGGATTTTATTGTCCATATCACTATCAGCATTTTGGTCAAAACCATTCAACAAATCTATAGGAATTTCCAAACTTCCAACATCTTCCTGTCTTCTTCTGAGCCCCTCAAACTGTTCCAACCTTTGCCCATTACCCACTTCCCAAGTTGCTTTCACATTTTCAGGTTATCTTTATAGCAGTACCCCACTATCCTGATACCAATTTTCTCTATTAGTCCATTTTCAAACTGCTATAAAGAACTACCCAAGACTGGGTAATTTATAAAGAAAAGAGGTTTAATTGACTCACAGTTCTGCATGGCTGGGGAGGCCTCAGTAATCTTACAATAATGGCAGAAGGGGAAGGGAAGCAAGGTACGTCTTATATGGCAGTAGGAGACAGAGAGAGCATGCGAAGGGGGACATTTTTAAACTTTTAAACCATCAGATCTTGTGAGAATGCACTTACTATCACAAGAACAGCATGGGGGAAACTGACCCCATGATCCAATCACCTCCGACCAGGTCTCTCCCCTGACATGTGGGGATTACAATTTGAGATGATTTTGGGGTGAGGACACAGAGTAAAACTATGTCACCCCATGAGCAGGGTCTCATTTACAGATGAGAAAACTGAGGCTCAGAGAGGTTCACAGACTTGCCTAAGGTCCAACAGCTGGAAAGTGGGATTGAGCCAGCTGGATAACATTGGTTTTACGAAAGGGTAAACAACTAAGACTTAACACTACTAAGGGGCATTTGCATTTTAAAAACAAAACATATGGCTAGAGTTTCAGATAACAAAATGAAACTCTAACAGTGTAATTGGTTCAATGTGGCATGCAGAGTGTGATAAGTAGATGTCATATACTATTAATTATCCAAATAAATCAAGGAGAAAGGCAATTTATATTTAAATTTATATATATATATTAAAAAGAAACAGCCATAGAGGTAAAGGAACTGTATCAGCTGGTGTAGCTTTGGCTGCTGTCTTGTTAACTGAGGCAACGTGACAGCTGTGCCTCTCAGGTTTCCTGCTGCAGCGAGCATAATTGACCAAAGGCTCCAGGTGCTGCCCCTGACTTTAGGCCCAAAGTCTATACTTCCATGGACTGTTTCCAGCCAATGACTAAAAGCAGCAGGGATATTAAGGCAGGTTTATTCTTTGAGACCCAGCTAATTTTGGCTTAAGGACCACCCCCACCGCCCTCGGACTTGCCAAAACTCTTTGAGAATTGCATTGCAAAAACTTTTCCTATCAAATCTTCCTCCCTCCCTCCCTCCCTCCCTTCCTTCCTTCCCTCACTCCTCCACAAGGGTCAGACCTGCATGTTGGCTGAAGGATCTGCCAGCCTCCTCTGGTGCCTTCCTTCCTCCCTCACTCCCTCTCTCCCTGCTTCTTCCCTCCCTCCCTGCCTGTCCTCTCCTTCCCCTTCCTTCCTCCTTCCTCCCTCCTCACTCCATTCCTTCCCTCGCTCCTCCACAGGGTCAGACCTGCATGTTGGCTGAAGGGTCGGCCAGCCTCATCTGGTGCCCTCCTTCCTCCCTCCCTCCCTTCCCCCTCCTCCCCTTCCTTCCTTCCTCCCGCCCCCCCTCCCTCCCTTCCTTCTTTCCTTCCTTCCTTCCCTCGCTCCTCCACAGGGTCAGACCTGCATGTTGGCTGAAGGGTCTGCCAGCCTCCTCTGGTGCCCTCCACAATTTCTCCAATAAATCCCTTAGAAATCTAATTCCACCTTGGCATCTGCTGCTTGGAGGGCCTGGACTTAGACAGTCAAAAAGAGGAATTTATTAGAATATGGGGCAGTTCACAGAACCTTGAGGAAAACTTTCACTAGCAAGTGACAAGAAGAAGCTGGGCAATCCCAGGAAACCAGACAGCGAGAACTGATGGAGGCACCACCCCAGGAGAAGGCAGTCCCAGCCCTTTCCTGCCCCGAAGGACAGGTTTTGGCTGGCCTAGCTTAGGTCAAGACCCACCCTAGGCTGCGTTTGACAGACCCACTAAGGCTGTCTGCATCTGAGCAAAGTGTAGCTTTGCAAAAGGAAAAGTGGGAAGAGAATGAAAGGACGTGGGATGGATGAACACAGCAAATGTTCTCACAGGAAAAGCAAGTACCTGGTCCAGAATGTTCTTTGCTGAGTACAGAAGCGTCACGTAAAACCCTGATCCACGGAGTCTGTAGCAGATTCTGACTGCCCAGATTCCTTTCCCTCTCCCTCTTCCCTGAGTTCCCACTGCCTTCACTGCTGTTCTTCCTCCAAGAGCTTTCGCGAACACCAGAGCCCCTGTGCCTCTCCCTGCAGCTGGCTGGGAGTTCCAGGGCATTAACACAGACAGTCTTTGCCCATCAGCCAGTGACTGTATGGAGCTTGGATGTGAATACACAGCTCCTGCATCCCTCCGAGGCATCTCCACACCGTCTCCCAGAGGTACCGGCGGGATTGAGCTCCAGGTGCCCACAGTGGTAATTTGCTATATAACACACCTATTATTGGCCACCTACCTTTCCTTGTCTCTCTTCCTAATTCACCTCATTTGCCAGGGTTTTCTTCGTCACCCAATAAACTGCTTACACTAGGATCCTTGCTCAGGGTCTCTTCTGGGAGAACACAAACTAATTGTTATGATAAGAGATTGCACTGCCATAATTATAATCCATGCACACAAAAATGTGGGTAAATCTTACACTCCTGATAGGGAGCGAAAAAGCCAGACACTGACGAGAACACACCGCGTAGTTCTATCTGGGCAAAGGACAAAAGCTGGTCACAGGAATCCTTGCTGTTAGAATCAGGAGAGTAGCCACCTTCATGGGGGACGGTGTGAGAGACTGTCTGGGGATGTTCTCTTCCTGGATCCAGGTGCAGAGGTGAGTTTGAGAAACGTCATCAAGCTATACAATTATTATTTGTTCATATTTCTGTATGTACAGTAGACTTAAAATGTTTTTTAAAAAAATACAATGAGCAAAAAGAAAAAAAAGGAATGTGTCATTTGTTTGTCCTCCTATCCATCCACCGATCCCTGCGTCCACAGAATAATGAAATCCTAAGTTCCAAGCTTCCACCTGAAGCTTACAGTCTCCAGAGGAGGCACGCAAGCACATTCCATAGGAGTCGTATTTGAACATGGGGATCTTTTGTTTTGAGCAAAAAGTTCCCTGTGCATAATTTCAAGTGAGCGTTCTATAGAACAGCACTTGTCACTTGGGAAGACCGATATAAAAATAAATTCTAGGCCGGGCGCGGTGGTTCATTTCTGTAATCTCAGCACTTTGGGAGGCCAAGATGGAAGGATCACTTGAGGCCGGGAGTTCAAGACCTGGCCAACATGGCAAAACCTCGTCTCTACTAAAACTACAAAAATATGGCCAGGCGCCGTGGCTCATGCCTGTAATCCCAGCATTTTGGGAGGCTGAGGCGGTCGGATCACCTGAGATCAGGAGTTTGAGACCAGCCTGGCCAACATGGTGAAACCCTAGCTCTACTGAAAATACAAAAATTATTTGGCTATGGTGGTGTGTGCCTGTAATTCTAGCTACTTGGGAGGCTGAGGCAGGAGAATCGCTGGAACCCGGGAGGCGGAGGTTGCAGTGAGCCAAGATTGCACCGCTGCACTCCAGCCTGGGTGACAGAGTGAGACTCTGTCTCAAAAAATAAAATAAAAATACAAAAATTAGTGGGGCATAGTGGTGGGCGCCTGCAGTCCCAGCTACTTGGGAGTCTGAGATGGAAGAATCACCAGAGCCTGGGAGGTCGAGGCCACGATAGAGCATGCAGTGAGTGCTGCACTCCAGCCTAGGCAACAGAGTGAGACCCTGTCTCAAAAAATAATAAAACAAATTATAGGTTTGGTATAAAATACTTAGCCCCTTCAATTTCAAGAATAAATCTTGTTACCACCCTCAAAGCAAGATGGGAAGAGAGGCAGAAACCCCTCACGGTGTACTTGGGGATGAATTTGTCCCCTGAGACAGCTAATCACGCTGGAGGCAGGCCTGCACCCCGGCCTCCCTCGCAGCTCACAGTCTCAGCGGGGGACAGTGCCAGAGTTGGGTTCTTACCCACCAGAGAGGCTCCCAGGCCCCTCTCAGACCAGACTGAAGCAGAATTCTCCTCTCTGCCTTCTAGAATGTCTCGTAAAAGCTGCTCCTCTTGGGGAGGCTCTGGGCTTTGGAGAGAGCACCTGGAATTCCCCACTAGAAAAGCCCAAAAACTGAAAAATATTCATTACGTATTTTCAATACAGAGTTCCTGACGTTTTCCAGCAGAGGGCGCTAGAGAAGAGCCGGCCAAACCTGCAGAGCGTTGACCAAAGTCACAAGAGTAAACCAAACGCCTCGCCCTACCAGGCGTCTCCCCACCAGCTCGACCCCGCGGATTTCTCCCACAGAACACAGCCCCAGCCCTGGGCCTCCACGTGTGGCAGAGCAGGGAGCAGGCCCTGGGACACTTTCCTACTCAACAAATGTAAGCTGTCTATACATGATGGTCACTGTCTTGTGATAAGACTTTGAAGAATTGCTTGGTATTCAGAGCACTTCGGGGCGATCCACGGGGAGCCCCACAGTCTTGCATGGTCCACGCGTTCCTCTGCTCATTTCAGAGTGATCCTTCCTCTGTACCGCCTCTGCTCTTTTTCTCGTTCTTATTTTTTCTCCTTTGAGGGGAAGTAGAGGACTCCAGGTAGCAGTTAGTTGTACAGGACAACCCCAAATCCTACCCCTACAAGGCTTACTTTAGTAAAGCGAGTTGTTTTTGACACAGTAGAATTAGTACTACCTCAACCAGTAGTCTTTGAATTGATCCCTTAACTGATTAAGGGATGATTTTAGCAAACATTTACAAAAGGAAGGAATTTTTTTAAAAATAAAATGTTGTTTTCTAATTTTATTTTTTTCTAAGTCCTCTTTTTTCTCTCTGGAGGCCTGTAGAATCTTCTCTGTATTATTGGCGGCTGAACAGAGCAGAGCGCTGGGTGAATTCTAGAGTTAGATCTCCCTTCTGGAGCGAGGCACTCACACCCCCAGCTGCTGGGAGAGCCATTGCTCACAGCTCACAGCTGAGAGCTTCTCTGGGCATTGACTACCCTGGCCAAGGTTGTGGTGACTCTCTCGGGAGGCAGCTTGCAGCCAATGTCTGGACAATATGGAGGGAAAAGGGCCAGTCCTCTCACCTCAATTCAGGATGATGCCAAAGGGACATCCTAGCTCCAGAGCTCCCTGTGGGATCACTTGAGCCTTTATCTTGCCAGACAACATGCACATCCCTGCCCTAGGCTGTGTCCCCACCTCCCTCCTGGATTCCAGAGCAAGAACCAGGGTCAAGTCACAACATAAACGAGGGGCAGGAACATGAGGAGAGGAACGATTTGGTGATGGAGCTGTGACCCACGCTCCCATGTGCCATCACCCCCACACCAGCGCCCTTCCCTCAGATCGCACTCAGAGGCACATGGGAGAGTCCCTTGTGATCACCTGACAGAGGAGGGGAAAGGTTAAGCTTGGTGCAGGGGTGAGTGAGCTTGAAATGTGGGCACAAAATAAAAACTGGCTGCAGATGTACTCTGGCCGCCTCATTCAGGGTGGTCATGAGAGACGGCGGTAATGGGGAAGCTCTCGCAGTGGGCAGGGCTTCAGGCAGTGTAGAAAGAGAAGTATCCTGAAATCAGACTCCACATTGGCTCCTGGGCAGTCTTGTGTGATTTGATGGGCTCGTCAGGGCCTGGAAGGAGGAAGGTTGAGAACACGGAGGGGAAGAGACATGTGACTGTGTCTATGGAAGTTGGCACCCAGTGAAGATCCTGGCACAGATGTTAATATCCGCCAGAGAGCAAACAACCCAGAAAAGGCTTGACACAGCCAAGGAGAGAGAACGGCTCGGTCAGCTGCTGTCTGTTCTAGCCTCTGCCATCGGTTGTCCCAGTGCTGGCACAACGGGCTCACAAAGGGAAAGGCCATGGTGGCAGGGGTGGAGGCTCTGCATGTGCCAGACAGAAGAGCTCCAACTCGCCAAGGCTGAGCCACTGCCACAGCCAAAGGGCCAATTTGCGAGCCACAGAAACCAAAGTCAAACCCCTAATCTTTCAAAGTGACCGATGAAAGAGTTGGTGGCGAGTTGATGACACTGGATCCCTTCACTCTGGAAGGGGGAGCAATTCATCTTGCTTGGAGGCAACACACATTCTGCTTCCCTGCCTGTAGAGTGTTGGCCAGCACCACAATCCATCTTATAATATTTGATCCACCAACATGGAGCTCCGCTTACTCACCACCACCTCGGATCAAGCAACCCACTTCACAGCAGAGGAGGGATACTTGGTCATGGGTCTAGTAGTCCTCTCTGCAGCACTCACAAGCTGATGCCTGAGAAAGTGATGCCAGAGCCTTCTGAAGGCACAGCTGGGGCTCCAGCTTGGAGATGATGCCCTTCCGGTATAGGGTGGCATTCTCTGGGATGTAGTATATGCCCTGAATCAAAGACCATGGCATGGTGCCATGTCCCCTATTGATAGAGCCAAGGCATGGATATTAAGGCGTGGCCCTACTCACCATCACCTCCAGTGACCCAGGTGGGGAGTTTGGGCATTGTACTCTGCAGCTTTAGGTTCTGATGATACAGAGCTGCACTGGCCAACACAGTAGCCACTATCCCAATGTAGCTATTTAAATTTAAAGTAATTAAAATAAAGTTTAAAATTCACTTTACATATTTGTTGATTTATTTATTTATTGAGACAGGCTTTCACTCTGTCACTCAGGCTGTAGTGCAGTGGTATGATCACAGCTCACTGCAGCCTTAACCTCCAGGCTCAGGCAATCCTCCCACCTCAGCCATGCCTGGCTTATTTTCTTTTTATTTTTTGTAGAGACAGAATTTCACTATGTTGCCCAGGCTGGTCTCAAACTCCTGGGCTCAAGCAATCCCCCCACCTTGGCCTCCCAAAATGCTGAGATTACAGGCATGAGCCACCACGCCTGGCCTTAAAATTCACTCTCCGTGACACACTAGCCAGATTTCAAGGGCTCAGTGGCCACACATAGTTATTATCTACCATGTTGGACAAATCAGATATAGAACATTTCCATCATCATAGAAAGTTCTATCAGACAGCACTAGTCTATAAGATCCCAGTTCCTAGAGGGGTAACACTTCTTCCAGGAGAAACCGTGTGAGTCCTACTACATTTAAGCTATTGCTGCTGCCTTATCACTTTGGGTTCCTCTTGCCAAGCGACCAGCAGACAAGAAAAAGAGTCACCTTGCTGGCAGGCAAATTATCCACATTCCTCAGGAGGAGGCAGGGCTGCTGTTGCAGAACAATAGGTCAGGCCCCCACGTGATCGGCCAGAGCATCTCTTGGTTCCCAACACCCGCCCAATTTTGATGGAAATGAACAAATGCAGCAGCCACGCCTGTGAAAGACTGTGGCCAGGGCTTGCTCTCCTCAGGGATGAAGGTCTGGGTTACTCTCCCAGATAAGCCACCTAGGCCAGCAGAGGCACTAGAGGCAAGAGGTGAGGGTATAAAGATGGAGTAAAATAGAAGAGGAGATAATGAGAATCAGCTACAGCCTCGGGGCTGAATGCAGTCATGGGGATTACAATGTATGTCAATATCCTTTCTGTTCTATGTTTCTCCAATAAAAATGCCCAGCCACCATCCTGGACGAGCTGTTCCCACAGAGGATAAACGTCTATTCAAAGCAGCTGGATTCTAGTGGTGCCCAAGGGGTGGATGTGGTGGATGCTGTGATGCACCCCTTTCAGGTCCCAAGCCTCTTTCCCTGTTACCCAAACTACTTGTTGCTGATGGTGAACTCCTAATCCCTCTCCAGGAATTGCCCGGGGCTGGAGGGAGCTGCTTCGCCCAGGTTACACCCAGACCCTGAAGGCAGCGTCCAAGCACTTGTCGATAAAGGGAGACAAAGTCTAGCTCTCTGCAAGATGTAGATACTCAGCCCTGGGGCATTTTCTTCTATAAACACTTTTTTTTTTCCCAGAATTATTCCTTCAGTATTTTTTGGTCTCTCGTTCTGGGCTAATATCTTGAATTAAACTTCCATGGCTCATCTTTATGGTCTGCGGTTTCTGTGGTTTTGCCTGAGGAACTGGAAGACTTTTTCTGCTTTAGCTTCTAGTCCCTCTGTTGAATTTCATATTTCTCTAATCATTTTTTTTTAATTTCTAAGAACTCTTTCTTATTTGAGCGTTCCTTTTATTCACCAGATGCTGTCCATGTTGAATTGAGGTAATAGGTTTGTTTTCGAGTTCTTTTCTGTTCTCTAAATTACCTTTGTTTCTTCCAGAATTTGTTTTTTCTTAGTTTGTTTTGGCCCCTCTCATTCTTCGCACAGCTGATGTCTCCCTGGGTGCCACTGCATAATCTGACCAGCCTCTCTCCCGAGTGAAAGGCGTGACTGGCAACTGGGAATGCTAATTAGTAGATTTTGCTCGAGGACAATGTGATAAACAATTTCCATTTGTCCTTCCAGCCACTCTTCTCCCATTCCTGCCCCACCCCAGCCCATCTCTGTCCGCTGGCTCCAAATTATGTCCAGTGAATGAGGCTCCCTGGTGAGAGGGTGAGGGAGGGGACAGGCTGTGGACTGGATATTTCCTTTCCTACCTTCCTGTCTGTGCCCCACAATGGAAGGCCTCAGATCATTTTAAGATGACTTTCTCCCCATCTGGTTTTTGCTAAATGCTCCCTGCCCTTGTCTCTTCAAGCCAGGGGTTGTGACAGCCTCCGTGTTGCTGGCTTCAGGTTCCTACACAATCCCTTGCTCTTCCCAACCACACTCACTTTCCACATTAGGTCCTGTCTTACCCTGACTTCCCTAGAACGCAAAGCCTGAATGTGCTATTGTTAAAGGGAGTTCGATCTCAGAGCAGAGGAATAAGAGAATGGGAAGAGGAGGGAGAGCCATCCTAGGAGGTGTGAGGGACAGGCTGCTGCTAAGTGCAGGGGATAGCTCAATGCAACAGAACTGTGCTCTGAGCTGCGTTGTAAGTAGGACCGTCTGCGGTGGGGAGCGGGGAAGAGGCAAGAATTAATCCACCAGCTCTCGTTTCTTATTTGTCAAATATTAGCTCCACAAGGAATTAACTCCCCCATGTGGTGAGCCCTGGGCATGACTGCATGGTGTCCCAGAACTCAGTATGGATCCTCAGGACAGGACGGAAAAGTTGTGCTTCCGGGTAGGAGGGGAGGTGCTGACAGATTGCACCAGTGTAGTGCGGTAAACGTTCGACAACTGGCTCTCCTATTCCTATCTACCTTAAATAATGAAATTCAGAAAATATGATTAAGTATAGAGTTTATTTGATTGCAATGCTTGAGGATAGACACCCGAGGACACTGACAACAAATGGGGTCGGCATTCCAAAGTGCATAAGTTACAGTTTTACTTGTAGAAACAGACAAATTTTAGCAAGATCACAACATTTTACATATGAGACCACTGCATATGTTACAGCGATTTTTTTTCTTTTTTAAACAGGGTCTCACTCAGTTGCCCAGGATGGAGTGCCGTGGTGTGATCTTGGCTCACTGCAACCTCTGCCTTCCAGGCTCATGCCATCCTCCCACCTCACCCTCCCAAGTAGCTGGACTACAGGCCTGTGGCAGCACATCCAGCTAATTTTTTTTTTTTTTTTGTAGAGACGGGGTTTCACCATGTTCCCAGGCTGTTCTCAAACTCCTGGGCTCAAGTGATCCACCCACCTCAGCCTCCCAAAGTTCTGGGATTGCAGGTGCGAGCCACCACGCCTTGCCTTTACAGCAGTTTGATTGGTTACAGATTGCTACGTTCAGAGGAAGATTACTTTATTAACACATGAGTAGGGGCAATGATCTAAAGGGGCCTATCTCTGGTGCCATTTGGTCTTAATTATTTACAGAAAAAAAAGGCAAAATTTGCAGCTGTATACCCCGTGACTCGAGTCAGATGGCCACATTCTTCTCAAGGCTCAGAATAATTTAAAGCTCCAACAGCTTTAAGGTGAGTTACTTAATTTCACATTTCTATGGTATAAATATTCACCATAGCTGATTTCAAGCTACCAACATACTGACTCTGAAGATAACTTGAAAAGATGATTCAATAGATGTAAATAGCTCAAGAGCACGGCTGGGCATGGTGGCTCACGCCTGTAATCCCAGCACTTTGGGAGACTGAGACGGGCGGATCACCTGAGGTTAGGAGTTTGAGACCAGCCTGGCCAACATGGTGAAACCCCATCTCTACTAAAAATACAAAAATTAGCTGAGCATGGTGGCACATGCCTGTAATCCCAGCTACTCGGGAGGCTGAGGTAGGAGGATTGCTTGAACCCAGGAGGTGGAGGTTCTAGTGAGCCGAAATTGTGCCACTGCAGTCCAGCCTGGGTGACAGAGTGAGACTCTGTCTCAAAACAAAACAAAACATAAATAAATAAATAGCTCAAGAGCAAAAATAATAGTAAAATGTCATAAAATAGGGAGTGATGAGTTTCGAGTGTTTATCTTCCTTTTTAATGTAATTTATTTAATTATAAATTTATATCACTTATTTTTTAATAATGGTTGTGTTTAGCTCTTGCAAGCTCATAAGGCCTGGCTACACACCTTGCTGGACTGCACCAGCAAAAAAGGCAGTTGATCACTGCAGCAGTGGCCGGACCACAAGACAGGTGAGGCCCAAAGGATCGGAATTGGTGCATCAGAGGAGTCTGGTAGAGTACCTTGTAAATACACCCTCCTTACATTATTCTAACTTGAGTGTCAGGACCCTCATGATACAATTGAGTAGGTGTGGGACTTTTGCCACACCCTCTTGTAGGGGAGGGAAAAATGGCTTCCCTTCACCCTTCTGGGTCCTTTGGCCAGGCTATTAATTAAATTGACATAAGACAGATTAACAGGAGAAAAACCATATTTAATTACATACATACACCAGAATCCAACAAAAATATGAGGGTCGAGGAAGGGCCAGGTGATTGCAGCTTATCTGGCATCCTGAGCTACAGAAAGAAATGGTGGCTAAGGTCTTCTGGGGTGTAGTAAAAGCAAATTATGGGAGGGCAAGGGGAGGAAATGTATGGTGAATAAAGCTTGTCTTGTTATGCAGATGAAAATTCTCCTGGGTAATAAACGTTGACTCAGAGCAGTTCTCTTACTGACACAGGTAGTTTTACTAATATACATTTCCCTTATAGATGTGGATTTTCTTTACAAAAGGGCAAGTTTTCTCTCTCTTTTTTTTTTTTTTTTTTTTTGAGATGGAGTCTCGCTCTGTCACCCAGGCTGGAACGCAGTGGCACAATCTCAGCTCACTGCAAGCTCTGCCTCCCAGGTTCACGCCATTCTCCTGCCTCAGCCTCCCGAGTAGCTGGGACTACAGGCGCCTGCCACCACACCCGGCTAATTTTTTGTATTTTTAGTAAAGGTGGGGTTTCACCGTGTTAGCCAGGATGGTCTCGATCTCCTGACCTCATGATCCACCTGCCTCGGCCTCCCAAAGTGCTGGGATTACAGGCGTGAGCCACTCCGCCAGGCCACAAAAGGGCAACTTTTCAAACCGGCTCCTGTGTCTGCAGTTTCCCAAAATAACCAGCTCAAAATATGCTGTGTGGCATGTTTTGGTCTCCTATAGTCATATTTTGGGGTGGTGTGTCCTGAACCCCAACACTGAAGACACCAGAGTCAGGAAGGCTTTCTTTGAGAGGTACCAACCTCCACTCAAGAGAACATACCCTTCCCTGTACATTCAACTTCTTTAGAGGCTTCTCAGCTTCTGATGGGAATTCTGAACATGCAAATAAGACCCCTGGGAGCAGTTGTGCAAACACTCTGTCATTCCCACCGTTTTCAGCCCATTCCTCACTCCCTCCAATGCCTGCCAACTCCAAAACTGGAGCCAGTCTTGGAATTCACACAATATCTTAACATCATCCGAGCTGCTCTGTCCGCTCTGTTTTGCCAGCCAACACATTTCCCATACTGAAATTTTCCCAGAAATTTGTTGGGATCTCTCTTCTACTCATCCATAACCCTCAGGTCTCTTTATCTTTATGGGTTTACTTCTTTTTGCACTATTAAACTTTTGTTTCCATTAGATTTTCAAAAGGCAGAAATGATGACAAATTTCTTTACAGATTTAATTGGCTTTTATTTGCAATTCATGAATAGGGGTGGCCTCCATCCTACAAAACAGAATGAGAGTTCCCACTGAGCAATGGCAGAACAGTGGGTTTTGTAAGGTAGACTAGGGAGACAAAACCATAGGAAAAAATGCTGACTGGTTATTGTCAGGTTACTTCAGGTTATTTCGGATTACTTTTTTCTGTAAAGGTTAAAGCAAAGGGACCATTTTTATTACACTCACTCAGGTAGACTAGAATCTCCTGTTTTCAGTAAAAAACTGGTCTGGTCTGTTAGGGGATCTATCTCCTTCCTTAAAGTTCCAGTTTGACTCTGTGGCATTTTGTGTGAGTGACTTTGTTTTGATTTTGTGTGTTCTGCTGGGGCCTAGTGTAGGAAGTTCAGTCTAAAGTGATGGGCGCCCATAATTTTCGTTTAACAGGATGTTAGCAGCCACAGGAGATAAACATATATAGCAGGTCACTTGCTTTTTTTTTTTTTTAAGTCAGCAAAGGCTTATGTGTGATTAAGTAAAGCACAGGAATGAATTTCCATGAATGTGATGACTTATTTCTATTATTACTTATAAGGGAGTTAAAAGTAAGTGAAAAACTTAATGACAACCTTGAACTCCCAAATTACCACCTGTTTCTCAGCAGATTGCATTAAGAAAAACTTAAGTAAATGAAATCATCTCAGTACACTTAAAATCTTGAACACTGACTTGATTTCTGGCCTAAGGAAACTCTCTACAGTCATATTTTGGTGTGATATATACTGAGCCCCAATATGATGTTCATACTATCTACCTGTTAAACAGGCTGAGGTTGCTTATGAAAGTGACATGAGATTCATTTACATTGTTAGTACTTTTAAGTCTGTTGTATGAAAGGTATTAATTCAGGAGTGAGATTTAACAACTCATTTGTTCCCAAGGATTTATTGAGAATTTATTGTATACACAGCCCTGTGTAAACCAAAAATAAAATTAAGCCCTGCAACAAATTGAATGGACTTCCCCACCATTGGCCAAGGGCATTCCAAGGCAAACCCGAAAAACAAGTTCAGGCCATGATGGGAAGAGGGGTCAGACATGCCTCACTATACTCTCCTCCTGTTGGAATTTATGCGGAACTGACCAGCTTTAACATTAAAACAGACATCTTAAGACTGACCAAACAGACTCTTTGTAGCAATGCAATACACCACAAAATGACAGATAGCAGGCCCTGAAATAAATCAAAGCATTTTACCCTGAAATATATTTCTTTGACGTCTGGCAAAGCTGTCTCTTTGGGGGGAAATCTACATCCTGTAGAGAATCCCCCTTCCCTTTCCAGGTCTTTTCCTGATGCAGGAGAGACTAACTAGGAGTCTGGCACCTGGAAGTCTGATAAGAAATATTCACATGTCTCTCTCTGAGGCCTACTACTTAGAGACTTCATCTTCATAATAAAAGTCTTAGTCTCCACAATCCCGTATCTTAACCCAGACATTCCTTTCTGTTGATTCCAGGTCTTTAGATAATAACTTAACTCTTTCAACCAATTGCTAATCAGAAAACCTTTGAATCCACCTATAACCTGAAAGCTCCCCATCCTTCAAGTTGTCCTACCTTTCTGAACTGAGCCAATGTACACCTTACACATACTAATTGATGTCTGCTTGTAATTTCTGTCCCTCCTAAAGTGTATAAAATCAAGCAGTAACCCAGTAACCCAACCATCTTGGGCGTGTGTTCTCAGGACTTCCTGGGGCTGTGTCAGGGGCACATCCACCATTGTGGCAAAATAAACATTTAAATTGATTAAAACTTGTCTCAGATACTTTTTGTTTTATACCTGTATTAGGACATGACAAATTAAAAAGACAAAGAAAGACACTGAATTTCTGTCTATAAAACATATTTATTTTGAGTAAAATGAGGTTATGTTAATTGATTGGTACATATTACAGAGGATCATAATAAAATGGAAAATTGGTAAAAATTTAAAGAAAACATTATGAAGACATTACTAAAAGTTAATTGCCTCATGTTTTCACCCTATTTTTAAGATCTAACCTTATCTTTGCGTTAGAGGTGTTACTGAGCACAGGCTCTTGGGCTCTCAATATGTTAGAGATTGAGGTGAGGCCAGAAGACTTTTTCCAGACAAGGCCTCATTGGAGCTTATGCCTGGACATAAGGGAGACAATGAGAGAGAGAGAGATTGAGAGAGAGAGGGAGAATTCCCTGGCTGACTTTCTGACAAGAGCCTGTAGGGCTTTTTTATTAGGCAAAGCACAGGAGTTGACAGCCGGAGTAGGGTATGCAGGTAGGCATTATCTGGTTGCTGGGGTTATCCTGAGTAATGGACCCCCTGCTGGTCTGGCAGAAGGCAGCAAGTCTGTAAATCAGTTGTTTAGCATTCCTTCCCAAGCTGGGACACTCCGCAACCTTGGTGATCTCCCAAGGCCAGTTCCTGGAATTCTTTAAGTAAAAGGCATGGTTCAGAGATAATGACATCAGTGAGGTAGTGGTGTAGGTTTTGCAATCGTGGAGATGAGTGAAAGAATGCTCTAGCGGGAGTGAGTTGAAGCCAAGCCCCATTCCTACTCTGTCTCAGAGGGACTTTTAATTATCAAACTGAACTTTTTTAAATTTCAATTTTTTTAGAAAATAGAGCATTGAGGCTATATTGGTCAAGTTCTCCAGAGAAACAGAACCGATAGGAA
The DNA here is from genome assembly GCF_000001405.40 of Homo sapiens. NCBI lineage: Eukaryota > Metazoa > Chordata > Mammalia > Primates > Hominidae > Homo > Homo sapiens. Next base: position 20,814,598 of record NC_000020.11, on the reverse strand, counting down.
AACTGATAAGAACCAAACAGAAGAAAAAGAAATTACTACAAGGAATTGGTTCACCACGTGCTTATGGAGGCTGAGAAGTCCCACAGAAGCTGGAGGACCAGGAAAGCCCATGGGATAATTTAGTCCACACCTGAGGACCAGGGGAGCCAATGGTATAAGTTCCGGTCTGAGAGCAGGAGAAGGGAGATGAGGTGTCCCAGCTCAAGCAGTTAGGCAGGAAAAAAGGGAGCAAATTCCTCCTTCCTCTGCCTTTTGTTCTGTCCAGGTCCTCAATGGATTGAACGATGCACACCTACATTGGGAAGGCCCGTCTGCTTGACTCAGCCCACCCATTCAAATGCTATTCTCTTCTGGAAACAGCCTCAAACACACCCAGAAACAGTGTTTATTTGGGCATCCTGTGGTCCAGTCAAGTTGACACCCAGAATTACCCATCACAGTAACCATTCACTGGAGCAATGATTCACCCAATGACTCTAAGGAAAGTGGCTTCTTTTCTATAGATAATGGATTCTCTTAGTGGAGTGAAAGATCAAACAGAAAAAGGTCAGCAGGTAGAGCCAAATCCTTGTGATCCCTGGAGGAATTACTCCCATGATTACATTGTTTATGAAAGCTCTTTCTCTTCCTGGGGACTTAGGTAACATCTTCAAATTATCATGTCTTTAAATTCCTATGTCTGGAAGGAACCTGACAAAATCCATCTCGTCCAAGTCCTCCATCACTGTGACTCAGAGCGATGGAGTAGCTTACGTGGCATCCCAGGGAGCTGCTTCCAGACCCTGCCTCTGCAGAAGCTGCTGAATGAAAGTATATTACTGCCTCCTTGCTTATCTGCTCTTGTGTTAAGGAAAATTGAGAAAATGAGTTTGGACATTTGAAAATGCAATAAAGTAGCTAGATGCTGGCAACACACAAAAAGGTAGGAGCTATTATCCCAGTATTGGTCACAGCGAATGCACTATTCATTTTAACAGAAAAATTATATGCTGGCTGGGCGTGGTGGCTCACGCTTGTAATCCCAGCACTTTGGGAGGCCGAGGCGGGCGGATCACGAGGTCAGGAGATCGAGACCACGGTGAAACCCCGTCTCTACTGAAAATACAAAAAATTAGTCGGGCGTGGTGGCGAGCGCCTGTAGTCCCAGCTACTCGGAGAGGCTGAGGTAGGAAAATGGCATGAACCTGGAGGCGGAGCTTGCAGTGAGCCGAGATTGCGCCACTGCACTCCAGCCTGGCGACAGAGCCAGACTCTGTCTCAAAAAAAAAAAAAAAAAGAAAAATTGTATGCTAGCGTCTATGAAAACACATGAGTTTAGGTTTTCTTACCAGTTCATGGACGATTTTCAGTGCATTGATAACCATGTATTCTCTTGAGATAAACGTTTTAAAAAATTGAAGCCATTAAAAATATTAAACCTTCCCTTTTTCCTCTCATTATTCCCAAATCTCAATAAACCATTGCTTTGTATAAAGGAAACTCAAAGCAGATAAATGGTGTGTCTCCTAAAACTTTTTCGGATGGAGTGCCAATGTTTTGTGGAAATGGGGTTATAAGTGCCTTGTCTGGGTTTCTCAGTTCTAAGCATCGTCTACTCTCCAAATTGGGGTAATACAATCTGTATCCTTGCAATGAGTTTATGATGTTCATTGTCCTCATTAAACCACTATTACAAAATTATAACTGAGACAGTAAAAGAGACCTGACCTAATCAACAATATCTTGCTTCTAACCTCTAAGCTGCCCTTGTTCATTCCCGGGCATAGGCCAAAATAACTTTGGGAGAAACTTTGTTTACAGTTTATAGTTTAAAACAAAGATGATAACAGCCCTTTCCCCACACAAACCTCCTTCTTTCCTGGAGACTAGACTGCCTTTGTAGGACTAAAAAATTAGCCAAAATATTAGAAATTATGGGTTAGGAGTCATGCAGCTCAAGGCTACAAGATTCTGACCCTCCCCAAATTGCTCCTGAGGATAACCTTGAAGCAGCTACGTTGTCTGGGGTAAATACCCGCGGTTTGTCATCTGGCGCCAAGAAAATTTAGGACACTGACACACACAAAAAGTTTAGGAGCGAAGGTTTAATAGGCAAAAGAAAGAGAAAGAAACAGAGAGGAACATAACTCTCTCTCTAGCAAGAAAGAGGGGACTTCCTAGAGGAAAAGGCAGGCTGGCGGTGGATGTGCTGGATTTTATAGTCAGGCGCCTAATTTACATAAGGCTCACAGATTGATTCCATCAGTTATGACATTTACACAGTATGCGAAGAAGGCTGGCTGCCCCACACTAATCTTATTATGCTAATAAACTTTCTCCTTGGCTGGCACCATCTTGTCTGCTCCTTACTGTACACGTGGCTGACAAAGAGAAGGAAGATGGAGCCACCATCTTGAACATGATTGGCACAAGTGCTGGCATCTGTGTCTGCTCTTTTTGTTGATTTTACAGGCTGTTCTTTGTTAGAAAGGAAAATAATTTGGGGCTGCTTTTCATTAAAAGGAAAACCTTACCAAGGACTTCTGTACCCTCACTTATTTTGCAGACACTGCACTTGGTGGATCAGCAGGCACCATCCAGATCGATAAACTGGCTCATCTGATCTTATGGTCTGCACCCAGGAACTGACTCAGCCCAGGAGGACAGCTTTGATTCCCTATGATTGCATCTCTGACCCAACCAATCAGCACTCCTGACTCACTGGCTCCACCACCCACCAACTTATCCTTAAAAACTCTTATCCCTGAATGCTCAGGGAGACTGATTTGAGTAATAATAAAATTCTGGTCTCCCAAACAGCCGGCTCTGTGTGAATTACTTTTTCTCTATTGCAGTTCTCCTGTCTTGATAAATTGGCTGCCTAGGCAGCTGGCAAGGAGAACCTGTTGGGCAGTTACACTCAACACCGACTCTAGATCTCATAGGTAGTCAGAAGTAGAACCAAAGAGTCTGATATCAGAACTTACATCCTTAAACCTATGCAAAAATGCTGGGTGAAAGAAGCAATAGTTCTGGATGGTACACTTTCTTTGGGAGGAAGTAGAAGATGGATCATTGGAATGTGCCTGTTGGTAAACCTGGATGGGAATTTGGTAGGAGTCCCGATTGGAGAGTAGCTCGAGCTAGGACTGAGAAATAATATGTGATGTAAATGCCAGAAGGGAAGATTGGAGTCAAGTCTGGAGATCCTTCAATGCCAATCATATCCATTAGCAAGTGGGTTAGCACTTTTCATAGAGATCCAAATACTGCAACCTAAATATATTAGGGGGTTATTCTCTTACAGAAAACAAGCCAGGAAGTCAGCCCTCCAGTGCTTTAGGGACCCAGACTCTTGCTGCTTCTCCATCCTCAGGGTCACAGGTTGGCACAGGAGCTCCAGCCATCTTTGAAACTGCCTTTGAAAAATTATAACAGTGAAAAAATTATGACAGTGAAAGATCTGACCTAACCAACCCTCAGCTTGCCTTTAACCTCCAAACTGCCCTTAATCACTCCTGGGCCTGGGCCAAACCAACTTTGGGAGACATTTAATTTATAGTTTAATGATAATAGCCCTTCCCCAAACTAAACTGCCTTTGGGAAGCTAATGAAAGAATCAGATCAGGAGAAAGAGGAGACTGGATTCTGCTAAGGTGTAGACATAAATGATTATCAGCCATTTTTCTGGAGGTCACAAGATTTGCAACTCCCCAATTATTCCTGCAGATAACATCATTATTGTAGAACCTAAGACTGGCCTTTTGGGATATCTTTTTAGTTTTTTTCATTTCTGAGGATGATGGCTCCACCTGAACCTGCCAAACATCCTGTGGCCTCACTCAGAAGAGGACCACTTTCCACACCTCCATTCTCTTGCCTGCCAAACTTTCAGGGAGATTGGTTTGAGTAATAACTCCATCTCCCACATGGCATGGCTGGCCTTTTGTCTTTCTTTATGGCAATGCTGTAGTCTCAGTGAGTTGGTTTTGTCTGTGCCATGGGCAGGACTAACCCATGGGGCAGTTACATCTTGTCTGCATTCTAGGTCCAATTCAGAGAAGGGAAGAGTGAAAAGGTGCTAGGTCATATCCCTCCAGCTGAGTCAGCTCTGCTAAAATAGCTTATTATGGGAGTCCCAGTGACCTTGTCTTGTTAAAAGAGAAAGTTCAGCCGAATTAAATTTAAAGGAGTTTAATTGAGCAATGAATGATTCATGAATCGGGCAGCCCCCAGAATCAGAGCAGATTCAGAGAGACTCCAGGGATGCCTTGTGGTCAGAACACATTTATAGACCAAAAAAGTAAAGTGATGTACAGAAATTGGAAGTGAGGTACAGAACTACTTGGATTGGTTACAACTTGGCGTTTGCCTTATTTCAACACGGTTTGAACACTCAGCAGTGTGTGACTGGTTGAAGTACTGCCTCTGGGATTGGCCAAGACTCATTGATTGTTACAGGTGCATACTCCTAAGTTAGGGTTTCAGCCTTGTCTACCTAGTAAGTTAGGTTGAAGTTCATCCACAAGGACTCAAATATAGAAGTACAGAATTCTTCTCAAGACTTATTTAGTTTGCTTTAATAGTCTACATCTCATAAGTCACCCCTGCCTGCAAGGGAGGCTGGAAAATGTCATCTTTTAACTGAACATTGCTTCCTAGAACAAACTTAGTGTTCTAAGGCAGAAATGAAGAAAGGTTGTTGGATAGGTGATGTCAACTTCTCTAGCCTGAAGAGTGTAGACTATTTTCTTAGGCCATGGGAAGTCGTTGGAGAATTTTGAGGAGAGAGGTGATGGAGTTAAGAAGATGAAATTGACAGAAGTGTGTGAAAGCAAATAGATCAAGCAGAGGACGATGTGCATGGATATGCACAGAAAGTGGAAGAATAGTCCAACCTACTCACAACTATCTGGGAAACAGGCATTTGGATGGCCCAGCTTCAAGAAATACCTTTCCCAAGACAGGTGCGGTGGCTCATGCCCATAATCCCAGCAACTAAGGAGGCAGGAAAATCACTTGAGACCAAGAGTTCAAGAACAGCCTGGGCAACATAATGAGATGCCCATCTCTGCTAAAAATAAACATTTAAAAACTAACCAGGTGTGATGGCATGCACCTGTTGTCCCAGCTATTCAGGAGGCTGAGGCAGGAGGATCACTTGAGCCCAGGAGTTCAAGGCTGCAGTGAGTTATGCTTGTGCCACTGTACTCCAGCCTGGGCAACAGAGCAAGACCTCTTCTCTAAAATAAATAAAATTAAAATTTTTAAAAAGAAATACCTTCTCTGCGGCACTTGAAGTTGCAGGTCTGACAGCTAACTGAATCTTTTTAGATTCAGTATGAAAACTGATGTCAGCTTTCATGCAATTAGCAACTTTATCAAATGCTTTCCTTCTAGAAAGCTGCTCTAAAGCATTTTCTCTCCTGTCCTTTGCATTCATTCCAACATTAATATAACATTTTATAATTGAATAATATTTCAAATCCTTTTAAATTTGAACTATGTACAACTGGGCTGGGAAATGTTGTCATCCTTAGGATGTCAGCACCAACTTACATTGAATTTATAGTCACAATCGAATAGGCATTTATTTTTTTATTTTTCAAAAAGGAGCCTTGCTCTGTCTCCCAGGCTGGAGTGCAGTGGCACGATCTCAGCTCACCGCAACCTCCACCTCCTGGGTTTGAGCAATTCTCTTGCCTCAGCCTCCCAAGTAGCTGAGGCTACAGGTGTGCACCACCACACCTGGGTAATTTTTTGTATTTTTAGTAGAGATGGGGTTTCACCATGTTGGCCAGGCTGGTCTCGAACTCCTGATCTCAAGTGATCTGTCCGCCTCAGCCTCCCAAAGTGCTGAGATCACAAGCATGAGCCACTGCGCCTGGCCTCAAATAGGCATTTATATCAGTGAGATGTTCGTGAGCTTTATAACTCAAAAAACAAAGCCCAAATACACTAAATAAACTCAGCAATAATAAATAAAGAATAAGAGCTAGTGTGCACATAGTGTATAATAATCATGGTAGAATCATTGTTGATCTGATGTGACTTTTGAATATAGTCATTATAATGCTTATGAACTTCTTTTAATGGCTACCTGGATTGGACATACTGGGATTTCTGAGATATTTCAGTGGTTTATGGAGACAAGGGGATGGAATATTTGAAATTAGAATTGTTCTGTAAATGGCATTGACTTCCTGCCTTGGTTATCCACACTATGAATATTAAAAATCACAGGGTTTATATTTGAACTACAAATATTTTCTTTTAAAAAGGGACACATAAGTGGTATGATCTATCTTGTTGTCATCGTCCTAAAAGTTGAAAGACTACTGCTATTGCAAGGAATGGCTTGAGATGGCCAGTTTCCAGGCCACAAAACCCTCTGAAGACTTTCAGGGACCGAGTTACAGAGAAACAGGAACTTCTATGTTAGCTGCTTAGAGAATGCTAAAAAATACATACGTCCATGAGATACCTCCTGTTTCCCACTGACTTGTTCTCTTACCTTAGTAGGACATACTTGCTTTAAAGTCCATAAATATATATTATCTTTTGTGGTTTAAAACTAGTTTTCAGCTAGGCACGGTGGCTCACACCTATAATACTGAGGTGGGAGAATCTCTTGAGTCCACGAGTTTGAGAATAACCTAGGCAATATAGCAAAACCCCATCTCTACAAAAAATACAAATTACCTGGGTATGATGGTATGCACCTGTTGTCTCAGCTACTTTGGAGGCTGTGGCGGGAAAATTACTTGAGCCCAGGAGGTGGAGGCTACAGAACCATGATCACACCACTGCACTCCAGCCTGGGTGGCAAAACAAGACCCTGTCTCAAAACAGGACAAAACAAAACAAAACATAACAACAACAACAACAAAAAACTAGTTCTCTTATGAAAAACTGAGATTCTACTTCTGAAATGCAGATGTTAAAACTGATGCTGTCAGGGCAGGAAGTGTCTCCTTTTGTAGAAGAGTTCCATTTTAAAACAGAATCTCCCATCCCAAAGTCTGCACTACCTGCAGAGGAAGGAAAGCATCACATAGCCATGTAATTCCATGTGACTGTAGAACATTAGCAATTCCATAAGCACCTGTTTTTTAGGAATCACTTGGGAAGTTTCTATCTCTCAATGTGCTATGCAAACCTGTATCCCCTTAATTTTGTCCCTCAATCAAGAATTTACCCTCCAAAGGACATCAAATTTTTTGCTGTCATAGCAACTCTTCCTGGCATCTGAACCCACACCAGCTTATGCAGCCCAACTCTTTGATGGAGTCTAGTGGCTAGTGCATGCAACATCCCATAATGCCAGCAATTGTTCCAGCAGTAGATGCCCCAGCCATTTGGGTCATCTCTTCAGTGGTATGTTTTAAAAATATTCTTGACAGATCTCATCTCCTTTGTACAAAATTGTAAGCAGGAGCTTTTCTTGGTCCACACAGAAGGGTAGGAAGCTACAAAATAGAGATGATTGCAGTTCATTACTTCAAATCATACTGCATTTACTCTGTGGGGAAGAATTTTGGTTTGAGTTGGGCACTTTGGCCTCTTTTTAATTTGCTAATTACCAATATTAAATGCTTCTCTTTGATAGTGAATTTCTGGCAAAGCATCTGTTTTCATTCTGTGAACGATTGAGGATTATAAATTCTGAAATCTCCGTAGATGGGTTAATGATGTGCTAACCACGGTTTCACAGGGAGACAGATGGAGGCAGTTCCACAGCACAAGCAGCTGGCGAGGCGAGGGTCTGGACTGCAGGGCCTGGTCCAGGGGACTTATCAGAAATCACAACAATAAAAACATAGGTCTTCATTGGAGTTTGACAGTGATTGTTATTCTTTCTAACAGAGCGATAACTTGATTTGCCTACAAAAAAGTGCATTGTCAAGAACAAATCTAGCAGAGGTCGGGTGAATATTTGGTGGCCGACTGTCAAGGTCTCCTCTGGCTTCGCTCTGCCCATCCCCCATCACATTTCTGCAAATTCTCCCTGCAGGATGCCTTGTTCTTAAGGAATTCAGGTATCACAGGCGGCATCCTTTAGCTTCCTTGTAATATCAACTGACCCCTCTATAAAGCCACCCCAAAGGGAAACCAGGGTGCTCACCATACATTAGAGAGAGGTAGTTCTAATACAAGTTCCCTAATCTTCCTTCCAACCAGATGGCTGCCCCCCAGACCCCGCCTATATGGAAATTTTGGATCAGTTGCTGTTTAGAGGATTAAGTTTATCCCAAACAGACAGAGAGGCTTCTCCCTACATCACAACAAAGCTGGAGAGGGAACCAGCACAAGGACCAGGCCCCTGCCAGACATCTGGACTGCAGGAAGTCTGCTCCTCTTTGGAAACCCATAGAGAGCCAACCAGCCTTTAAGTGCTTTATGAAGGCGAGAGCTGTTGTGTGGAATGTGAGGAGCAACCCTGTCTGACTCTGCCAAAACACCTAAAGGAAAGGTTTGCCCCTGGCCAGGAGTAGGTACCAGGCAGAGCCATAGTCAGCCTAGCCACACAGCCTCCGGCCTCAGCCTCCAGAGACAGGTACCCAGTGGAATTCCTTGCCAACCCTCGCCGCATTAAGTGGTGATGGGAGATTTGGTTGTCCTACCTGCAGTGCACACTTTGGAGAACAATAGGAGTAAAGTACGCAGGAAGAACCCCAGACCTGGCACATGCTACCTGGGCGCTGATCCTGAGACGGGGTAGGGAGATGATTTGGGCCCCACCCACTTGTCTCTCACTGAGGACGTCTACTACAAGCTGGTGACCGGGAGGCCCCAGGGCTGGAGGGAATCCCAACGAGGCCATCCAGACCTTGCCCCATAAATCCTGCTCAAGGCGCCATACCTACAGATTGAGGGACCTGGAGGAAGCTAAAATAAGCAGCTCCCACCTTAAATCTTACTCAAAGGAGTTAACCCTATTGCCTGCATACCCACAAGGCCAGAAGAAAAACTGACCCTTAATCTTAGCTTCATTATAACACCAAAAATCACACCCGGGTAGAGATTTAACATCCTAATGAGACGTGACACAGGAAGAAGTGTATTTTCATCTGCACGGGTGCTAAGCATTCCCGCCTCTACATGCCTAACGCCACTCCTTTCCCGCTGTGGCCCCTATAAAAATGCCTTTCCAACACCCTCCAGGGAGCCAGCTAGGGAATCCTTTCCCTGAGCTGCCTCCCTTATGCCTGGGCACAGCCCCATAAAGCCTTGTTTGGGAAAGCTCTTTTGGCCTCATGACAATTCCTATTGCATTGAGAGCCCAAGAACCCGTGGTGGGTAACGATCTGACCCAGCCGCCATGCCAGGCATGGGGATACAGCTATGAAAGGGAACAGTCCCTAAGCTCAGGGAGCTCATAGGTGGAAAGGGAAAGGAAGCACTGAACAGTGTGGTCAACCGAGATAGACAAAGCCTCGGAGGGAGTGTTTAGCAGGGGCTCTGCAAGAAGATACTGTGGGCCACATTCTCTTGGCCCACCCGGTGCTCACCTCCAGTTGGTGGGCAATTTCTATGCACACTGGGAGCTTCCTACTTCAAGAATATGCCAGCCTCTCCCTTCTTCTCTACAGGAGGACTGCAGGGAGGCCAGGAAGTGTTGAGCACTTAAGGCCCCCAAGACAACATTCGACCAGTTGGTGAGTACACGCCGTGGCTTCCTCCCCACTCTCTGGGGCAATTCTGATGTGTGCTCCACTGTCTCCCAGAGGTCCCTGGCAGCAGTGAGCCCAGCGGCCCTCTGCAGTAACTCACTCATGAGCAAACCCTTTATTGACTTCCCTGCCTCACTTCCCCACTCTTCACAGGGCTTTCTGGGTCACCTCCCAAGTAAACCAGTTGGCTCAAACCCTTGTCTCAGGCTCTGCCTTGAAGGAGAGCCCAGGCTAAGAGGAATCTGAGACATCACATGGCACTTTTGTGCAAATTAGAAGATAGTCCCTTTCCCCCCACCCCCTGAAGGAGGCAGCCCGGGGCAGAGTATATCCAGCAGAGAGTGACCCAGCCTGGATGTAACCATCTTTCTCCAGCTACCTGTAGGACAAGCACCTTTCAAGTAGTGCCTGTGGGGTTCTCTGACACTTCCTGACAGCCAGGCCTCAGCAAACACATCCCTCGTTTCCCTGAGATATGAAGCACAGATACGTGGTCTCCTATACAAACTCCTTAGGCCAGATAAGTATCAGAAATTGAACAGTTCATATCCCATATTTGACATATCACCCCTGGAAGAGTCTGGGACCACACTCCCAGTTTAATCAATCAGTTTAAAATTTCTAGGACAGGCATGGTGGCTCACGCTTGTGATCCCAGCACTTTGGAAGGCCGAGGCAGGAGGATCACTTGAGCCCAAGAGTTCAAGACCAGCCTGGGCAACATAACGAGACCCAGTCTACAAAAATTAAAATTAAAAAAATTTAAAAATAAAATGAAATACAATTTCTGCTTCTGCATGTTTAACATAAGGAGTCTGCCCCGACTCTCCAAAAACTGTTGGTTCTCAGATTTCAAATGGCAGACAAGGGATTGTGGCACTGTTTAATGTCCTGTCCATTCAAATCGTATGACTCCAAGGCCCACTTCATGCCCCTCCTCTTTCATGACCTCTTCTCTGAATTCTGAAGGACTCACGGGGCTCATGATCTATACCATAAAATAAAGCACTACCAATGCAGTACTCTTCTCTATTTTCTTGTAGTTTTTCCTGCATTCGTTCTGTCTTCTGTTTCAGTTGCATAAGTCCTTGAAGGTAGAAATCATGTTTTATGTAGGATGTTGGATTGGACAGGATTTGGGGTTGTGTGAAAAACAAATTCAAACCAGAGTTTTAAAATTTTTTGGCAGGATGCAGTGATTCATGCCTGTAATCCCAGCACTTTGGGAGGCCAAGGCGGGTGGGTCACTTGAGTCCAGGAGTTCGAGACCAGCCTGGGCAACATGGTGAAACCCCATCTCTAGAAAAAAATACAAAAATTAGCCAGGTGTGGTGGCTTGCACCTGTAGTACCACCTACTTGGTGGGGCTGAGGCTGGAGGATTGCTTGAGTCTGGGAGGTGGAGGTTGTAGTGAGCAGAGATCACCACTGCACTCCAGCCTGAGCGACAGAGCGAGACTCTGTCTCAAAAAAAAAAAAAAAAAAAAATCTGAATTTTTGCTTTTGTAATTGAAAAGTGCAGAATTAGCCTTTGATTCAGGTCCAGATGAACTCAGGCGCTCCACCAATCCATTGGGGCTCTGTCTTTTGGTTCTTTCTGTGTCTCTTTTTTCTGTCTTTGCTCCTTCTTTCTTGGTGTTATTCTTGGCTGGCTTTCTCCATGTGGTAGCCCCAAGAGACACAAAGCTTCCAGCAGTTAGCTGAGCAATCCCCAGGGAGAGACAGCTTCTGTGTCCTGATATTTTCACAAAACTCCCACCAAGCCCTCTTATTGGCCAGCTTGGCCCTGACGCAATCTCCTTGGCCAAGGGTGGTGGGCAACCAGTGCTTTCGGATGCTGTTGGTGGAATGCAAAATGATACAGCCCCTAGCAAGGGGCAATTATATATATGTGCATGCTCTGATCCAGCAATCCCACCTCCAGGAGTCTGTCCTACAAGTACAGTGCAACAAACAGCATATGTATGCATAAGGCGATTCATCACAGAACTTCATCATAACAAAACATTGGAAATAATCAATTGTCCATCAACAAGAGATTGGTTTAATCAACTGTGGCACATTCATACAATGGATCTGCTAAAGGGAGTGAAGAATATTGTGATGGTTAACTTTATATGTCAACTTGATGGGACCCTGGGGGGGGCCTAGATATTTGGTCAGTCATTTTTCTGGGTGTTTTGGATGAGATTAGCATGTAACTCTGTAGGCAGAGTAAAGCAGATTACTAGCGCTAAAGTGGGTGAGCCTCAGCCAATCAGTCGAAGGCCTAAACAGAACAAAAAGGCTGGCCCTCCCCTGCATAAGATAATTCTGTCTGGCATCCTTTGAGCTGGGATGTTAGCTTTTTCCTGTCTTTGAACTGAAACAATGGCTCTTCCTGAGTCTTGAGCCTGCCAGCCTTGGACTGAAACCACACCATGATCTCTCCTGGGTCTCCAGCTTGCTGACTCACCCTGCAGACCTTGGAACTTGTCAGCCTCCATAACTGTGTGAGCCAGTTCCTTGTAATAAATATCTTTCTATGTATACATACGTACACATTGACACAAATATATACAACTATATCCCTTGCCCAACACACATCCTATTGAGTCTGTTTCTTTGGAGAAAGAACCCTGACTAAAACAAAAATCAACATTTACCATTATGGAGTAGTCTCCAGTATACTTCATTAAATGACACAAACAAGACAGAGAGAGGTGTATGTGATTCGTTAGCATATATAGATTTTGCTTACATTTTTTAAAATGGAAAGGTAAATAAGAAAAAATCTGAATGGTTATCTGTAGGACACAAGGAAGAAGAAAGTGAAAAAATCAAAGATTTGGCTTTGGAAACTCACACACACACACACACACACACACACACACACACACACACACACATACTAGGCAGCATCTCACTCTGCTCACCCAGGCTGGAGTGCAGTGGCACGAACACAGCTCACTACAGCCTTGACCTCTCAGGCTCAAGCAATCCTCCCACCTCAGCCTTTTGAGTAGATGGCATTGCAGGTGCTTACCACTATGCCCAGCTAAATATTTTTTTTAGATTTAGGGTCTCCCTGTGTTGCCCAGGATGGTCTTGAACTCCTGGACTCAAGCAATCCTCCTGCATCAGCCTCCCAAAGGCATGAGCCACTGCGCCTGGCTTAAATAAATATTCTTAAGTGATTATAAAACAAAATCAGATGAAGTATTTCTCATATTATACTTTCCTAGATTCAAATTAGGAAACCTGGCCTGATGAAGTATGTCTGGGACCCCCCACCCACCAACTGAAAGAGGTCGTCTTGAAGCAAGACAAAATTTTGCATTTTCTAGGATAACGTGAAGCTGTGCAGAACCAATGGGACAGAATTTTTGGCATTGGGACAGTGTGAGCAAATGTGGGGCCTTGTGGTTGCTGCACCCTTTGAAGCGCTCAATAACACTTCCTGATTAAATAAATGTGTCAATCAATTAACCTACATAGGGAGGCTGATATTGCTAAAGTTACTCAGCCTGAAACAATGAGAAACTACTCAGATTGCTATAAAACTATACTATAGATGGAAAGCATCCTCTTATAGGCAAGAAATGGAACAAGGCATGAAAAACAGTAATCCCAGGCAGCCTTGTGAGATGGTGAAAATCTACAAGCCAGAAAAATGTGCACATCCAGGGACATTCAGTCAAGGTCTGAGAAAGAATCTAAGGATTCGAGCAAGGACTTGTCAAAACCTATGCTTCATTTTTGGAGCAGAACAAGCTCAGAAGTTCACATCATGGAAACTGACACAATCTCATCTGAGAAACTGGGCCATTTTAAAGTACTTTGCATCCAACTGCTCAAATTGTGGGCTTTCGAATCATGAGGCTGCAAGGGACTAATCTAACTTATGTGGTAATCCATCACTCCATGTAACAAAATATTTCATGATAAATCACTAAAAATATCTGCTGCTTCATTAAAAGAAGACCTCTATTTGATGATGCGTGCTCAAGATGAAAGAGAAGCAGCTTATGATGGACATCCCATCCTGCTTATCCACAGCAAAGCTGGAACAGGGCCAGGCACTGTGGCTCACGCCTGTAATCCCAACACTTTTGGAGGCCGAGGCAGGTGGATTGCTTGAGCCCAGGAGTTTGAGATGGCGAGACCCCCATCTTTACAAAAAATACAAAAATTAGCCAGGCATGGTGGCATGCACCTGTAGTCCCAGCTACCCGTGAGGCTGAGGTGGGAGGATGGCTTGAGCCCAGGAGGCAGAGGTTGCAGTGAGCTGAGATTATACTGCTGCACTCCAGCCTGGGCGACAGAGTGAGGCCCTGTCTCAAAAAAAAAAAAAAAAAGAAAAAAAGCATAATAGATGCAGTCAATGTACCATAAATGCAAAAATCCAGCCCCCTCTGTCCCTCACAAGTGGCTTTAGATGATTATACCCCAAGAAAAAAACAAGTCAGGCTTGCTTCTGGCATTGTTTAAGTTCATTTGTACTCTGTGATTACCCTCTGGGTCCCTAGACATCGCAAGCATTATCAACTGTGCTGAACTTAAATATGTCAGTATAAGCCTGGCTGACTCTACAACCCCAGCCACAGGGATCGGCAATTCCTTTGCAGGGAAGCCTAGAGGGAGAGGCCACAGAGGCAAAATCTTGGTAAAACAGAGTGGCTCCCATGGCCCTCTCCCTAGTCCCAGCAAAGGTTCCATTTCTTTGCCCCTGGATGAAACCACCCTGAGGCATATCCCCGGGAGGGGGGAAATTGTGCCCTATTTCCAACAATAGTAGCTGCCTCTCTAATATACCCTGTATTGGCTGCCTTCCCTCCTGGATCTCACTTCCCTGTGTCCTAATTGGTACTTCCTGGAATAAACTGCTTACACTCAAATGACTTTCTCAGGCTCTGCTACTCAGAACCCAAATTAAAACAGTCCCAGATATCTACAAACCTCTCTGAGCCCAGAAGCTCATGAGAGGGAATCCAGGCTGTCTTACTAGAGGGTTGTGCTGGAAGAAGTGTCAGTACTGCAAGGAATCGAGCCAGAACCATGGAGACAGAAACAGCAAGGCCAATGGGCAATATGGTGTCTTCATTCTGTTGAGTCGATTGCAGACGGAGAGACTGAGATTTCACGTGACTGACTGCAGGTGCACGAGTGAGCCCAGCTGAGACCTGCTGAGCCTGACACAGCTCAACAGAACTGTAGCCTCCTGAGCAATAACAAATGGTGGTTGTTAAGACCCATGAGGTTTGGGATCATTTGTTATGCAGTAATTGATAACTGCTGCAAGATGCTTGCTTTTTCATGTTTCTATTAAATAACAGGGAAAAACTGCCCCCGAACTGTTAATAAACAAGGCAAGAAAATCATGGAAGGATAGCCCCATTGCCTCAAATGAGAAAGAGAGTGGAGATTAGAGATTGCAATTGGCCTGCAGCTTTTAACTAGAGGCATCAAAGGACTCCAAATACTTCCTTTCTTTTTAATATGTTGTTGCTTGTACTGGGACAGGCCCAACTGCAGGTACCAGGCAGTGCCTTCTCTATCACCCTCTCCAAATATTCACGCTAAGGCCCTGAGCTGTTCTAAATAACGAAATCACCTGCTTTCAGGCAGAGGGTGAGAAAATGTGTCTAGTGTTCAGGCTATGCTTGGTGCTGCACCGTGTGGCTCACAAAGGCCCTAGAAGCCTTGAGGTAGAATTCAAGGTGACCTGGTGTTTCCAACTCACTGTGATAAGAAGAACCAAAGGAAGTTCTGGACTAGAGAAGCAGCTCCTAAATTAGCAGGGACTCCAGAAGGCAACACACCAGCCTGGGAGGACCACTCCCCTCCTTCAGCTCTCAAAATGACCCTTGAGGCACAGAAAATATTTGCAAGACATATAACCAGAAAGGATTTGTACCTAGAGTATATAAATAACTCCTTGCAACTCAATAATAAAAACACAACCCAATTTTTAAAAACTGAGCAAAATGTTTGAACTGGAGCTTCACCAAAGATTTTTTTTTTTTTTTTTCTGGAGACAAGGTCTCACACCGCACTCCCAGGCTGGGGTGCAGTGGCACCATCATAGCTCAGGGCAGCCTCGAACTCTTGGGCTCAAGCAATTCTCCACCCTCAGCCTCCCTAGTAGCTGGGACTACAGGTGCTCAGCGCCCACTTGGCTAATTTTTAAATTTGTGTGTGTGTGTGTGTGGAGATGGGGTCTCTCTATGTTGCCCAAGCTGGTCTTGAACTCCTGACTTCAAGGGATCCTCCCACTTCAGCCTCCTAAAGTGCTGGGATTACAGGCATGAGCCACTGTGCCCAGCCTCAAAGAAAATTTTGAGATGGCTTACATATACATGAAAAGATGTTCAACATTATTCATCATTAGGGAAATGCGAATTAAAATCATACTGAGATAGCTCTACAAATCCACAAGTGTTGGCAAAGATGTGAAGCAATTAGAACTCCCCTAGTCTGCTGATAGAAGTGTAAAATCATACAAACACTTTGGAAAATAATTTGGTGGTTTCTTAAAAAGTTAGACATACTTCCCATATGATCCAGCCCTTTCACGCCTAGGTATTTACCTAAGAGAAATGAAAGCATTATTTCCATACAAAGATGTGAACATGAATGCTCATGGAACCTTTATTTGGAAAAGCTGCAAACTAGAAACAATCCACATGTTCTTCAACAGATCATACTACTCGACGGTGAAAAGGAAGCAGCTGCTGATGTCCACAACAGCGATGAATCTTAAAATCATGATGGTGCATGAAGGCAGCCATGCTGTGCTGACACATATTGTTTCCCGGTATATAAAACTCTAGGAAATGAAAACTAATCCAGTGTGACAGAAAGCAGATCTAGGCATGGGACAGTTGGGGGTGGAGGATTATAAGGGGCATAAGGGAACTTCTGAGTGGTGTCTATGTTTATTATCATAATTTTTCCAGGGTGAAGTTTTCAAGGGTGTACACTCATATCAGAAATCATTGAATTGTGTACTGAAAAAGCATTTCTCCTCAGGCAGGAAAGAAGGTGTGGCACCTGGCACAGTTGGTGCTCCTGTTCCAGAAAACTCCAGTCCCCACCCGCATTCGTAGAGAGGTTTTCTGCCAGGCCTCCAAATTTTCTTTCATAGGCAAAATGGAATGGAGCAAGTATGATCTTTGTGCTGCATCCTGCTGGGGGCCTGGTAACGTCAGAGCCCAGGGTCAACCTCTGTCCTCAGCAGATGAGGAAGACAAAAGGTTATGTGACTGACCCACGATCACTCACCGAGTCATGGCCTAGCCAGTGATTTGTCCTCCTGTATCCCAACTGTGGACCTGAGCTCGGGTCACCGGTTCACACGGCTTCCAAAGCCCTTCGCAGCCGCCTGTTTTTCTGGTGTTGTGCTTTTCCCTCTGAGTGCTGGATTGAGACCATTTTCTCTGAAGTTCGGCGTTTTTAAGGACGCTCTTGGAAACCAGTCCTGGTTTTCAATAGAATCGTATTCCTCATTCCATTGTATCCCTAGGTCACAGATAAACAGCTCTTTAGTCTTCCTGAGTCTCTTTGATCATTGGTCCTTTCATCCCAGATCTATACCAGTGGCCTCAGCCCTCTGGAGCCCCGCATGAGCCCAGACTCTGTAACGGTAATCTGTGGATCAGTCCGACATACATATGCTTAGCCAGAGTCATAAATGCCTTCATTATTCCGGACCACCCAGCTAATATTTTATTTTCAATATGAATGCCCGAGCTGTACAATGGCCTTGTTGTACTGCACACTTAGGCTGTGGCAAAGCCCGACCGTAATCTCCTCGTTCATAAAGGACCCACAGGGCTCAGGTTATCCTTACTACTTTTGTGAGCACATGCAAAATCCTTTGGGAAACCAGTGTAGTTTACAGCAATGCCTTGGGCCACTCATCTCCCCAGCCCCTCCTAGTCATTCATGGGGGATTTCCAAATGGCCCCACACACCACACACAGGGTGGCCACCCCCAGCGCCGGCGCACGCCCACGTGCCAGGACCGACTCGGGGGCTCAACCTGGAGCTGGGGGAGGCTCTCCCCTCTCCCATTCCCCGCAGGCTCCCTCCCTACCCACTTTCTGCCTCTGCTATTTCTCTTGAAAGGAATTTGTACTCGGTTGCACACTTAACCGAAATATAGGAGGGCATAAAGAAATAAAGCCACAGGTGAAATGAAACACTTGCAGTGTTGACCACGGTCCATCCTGCCTCCACATACCCTGCAGGAGAGTAAGAGGAGATGCCTGCCTGGTGTGGATTAAAAACACACACACACACACACACACACACATACACACACACCTTGGCTGTTTATTTTTCCAGTGGTTAAAAATGCCCCTTCACTGCTTGTAAACTGTTGTGGAAGATCCTCAGTTTTAGGCACTGAAAAAGAAGATGCAGAATTGCGCACCAGAACTGCGACGTGCAGAGCTGCCCATGGGCCAGCGGTGTTGGTATCACTTGGGAGCTTCTGAAAAATGCAGTCTTAGGTCCCCACCCTGTTTTTCCAAATCAGATTCTGTAGTTTAACAAGGTCCCCAAGTGATCACAGTCTGAGAAGTTCTGCTCGAAAAAATCACTGTCGAATGTTCCAAAGCAAGAAATTTAATCAGCCACCTTGAACAGACCACCTTGAATATGGGGAAGGGGCTATTGTTTCCCAGGCCTCGCGGGCATTTTTCAGCATTCCAGAATTCCCTAAAAGAGTTGATTCCCCTCCGGATGCAGTGGCTCATGCCTGTAATCCCAGCACTTTGGGAGGCCGAGGTGGTTGGATCACCTGAGGTCTGGAGTTCAAGACCAGCCTGGCCAATGTGGTGAAACCCTATCTCTACTAAAAATACAAAAATTAGCCGGCCATGGTGGCATGCCCCAGTAATTCCAGCTACTTGGGAGTCTGAGGCAGGAGAATCACTTGAACTCGGGAGGCAGAGGTTGCAGTGAGCCGAGATTGCACCACTATATTCCAGCCTGGGTGACAGAGAGAGGCTCCATCTCAAAAAAAAAGTTGATTCCCCAGTGGCCTCGGGGACATAGTCCAGGTTGAGACATGAGGCCTGTGTTTGGCATATTCTTGGGGCAGGGGGTGGGGGATATAGGGAAAGCCAAAAGAGACATCAGCCCTCCACGACCTCAGTAAAAGCCACCCCAGGATCACAAACTCACACAACCCTAGAGGTGACAGTTTCCAGTTTCCATTACCAATCTTAATAATCTTCAATCACATGCCATAAAAACATTGCTATTTAAGATAGCTCTCCGTTGTAGAGGTATTTTTGTTCCTTCTCTTTTTAGACTTGTTTTTCCATGACACACACATATACTTCAACTTGACCTACCAGAAAAAGAGAAGGGAAACATTTTCATTCATATGGCATTGTCTCTGCCTAGTTAATTACTCTCCAGGAAAAGTCAAGTTCATGTCACTACCCTGGAATTTTCTCATTTGATCTGCTACATTGGCTTCACCAGTTTCCTCTAGATCAGTGATTCTCCACTGGGGGAGATTTTGCCTCCCAGGGGACGTTTGGCAATGATGGGGACATTTGAGGTTTCAAAGCAGAGGATAAAGAGGTGGTACTGGCATCAAGTAGAGATTGGCTGGCAACGCTGCTGAATGTGCTGCAATGCATGAAGGAGTTCCCTCAACCTGCTTCTCACACACAGCCATGCGCCCCTCTCCTTTGACAGCACATATGGATTTACTAGCAATCATATACCACACTTACTGAATGCTTCATCTATTCCAGGCATTGCTCTGTGAGCTCTCTATGCACTTTCCAGCAACCTATTTACACTTCAAACAACCCTGGAGGCTTGGAGCCTTGCAAGCTACTCTTATTATCATCCCATTCAACAGATAAGGACAACTGAGACCCAGAGGGCTTTGGCCTTCCAAGTTTTTTTTTGTTTTTTTTTTTTGACAGTCTTGCTCTGTCCCCCAGGCTGGAGTGCCGTGGTGTGATTTCAGCTCACTGCAACTTCTGCCTACCAGGTTCAAGCGATTCTCCTGCCTCAGCCTCCTAAGTAGCTGAGATTACGGGCATGTGCCACCACACCTGGCTAATTTTGTCTCTTTAGTAGAGACGGGGTTTCACCATGTTGGTCAGGCTGGTCTCAAACTCCTGGCTTCAAGTGATCCGCCTGCGTTGGCCTCCCAAAGTGCTGGGATTTCAGGCATGAGCCACCGTGCCTGGCCGCCAGCTAATTTCTTTAAAGTTTTTTTTATAGAGACAACGTCTTGCTATGTTGCCCAGGCTGGAGTGCAGTGGCATGATTGTAGCTCACTGTAACCTCGAACTCCTGGCCTCAAGTGATCTGCCCCTGCCTCCCGAATCACTAGAATTATAAATATGAGCCACCACATCTGGCCAGAAGTCCCATTCTTCTAGAAGAAAAGCTGAATCACACTTGAGGAACAGGTGCAAAACTTTTCTTTAGCATAGTGATTCCCCAAAATTCCACTCCCTTTGAGTGTCTCACCACCCACATGGCTAATGGCCCCTTCCTCACCACCCTGCCTTGCATCTCTAACCCACATTGCAACCAGAATAATCTATGTATTTTAGAAAGACAATCACTGTGCACAGTAAGTACAGCCATCCGTCAGCTTTTGTGGAGAGACATTGAAGTTCAAATACTTAAATACTTTAACGTAAGTATTTTACTGGCACAGATATAATTTATTTAGATGAGGCATACCTGATAAGAATGTAAGCCAACACCAATCACCATATATATCAACCATTTATGGACAGATTCCTGAGTGCCAGGCACAGTTTATGTGCGTATCTTATTCAATCCTCATAACAACCTTGTGATTTTGTGAATGAAGAAATTGAGGTTCAGAGAGACAAAGTGACTTGCCCAGAGTCACACAGCTGGCCAGTGGCAGAACCAGAACCCAAGCCTGTTTCCTACTCATTGGGCTGACCTGTCGCCCCCTGAATCAATTAAGCTGTCATTAAGATGCTCCCTTATTAATTGGGCACCCCTATCCTACAGCACTGAAGCTGTGGCTTCCTTCTCACAGTCTCTTGGAGTCACTCAGCAACATCCCCACATGACCGTGCTGTAAGTCTGTGGAGAATGAGGTCACCCTCCCTCTCAGCTACTCCTGGAGAACCAAGTGACCTAAGGGTCTGTCAGCATGCTGAGCAGAGCTGCTAGGGGCAGAGGCTTTCAGGGGAGAAGAGAGACTTTTGTTCCCTTGGCAAAAAGAAGATGGAAAAAGTGCTGCCTTGCCTAAAGGCAAAAAGAGTTTACAACAAAATTACCATGACAGAATGGGTGGAGGAAAGGGAAGCCGTCAGCACTGTTCCTCTGCCTCCTCTTTCTTGGGATGCTTTAGCTCTATGTCGCGCTTCTCAACGAGGGGACGATTTTGCCAACCAGGGGATATTTGACTGTGTCTAGAAACTTTCAGCTCATAACTAGGGGCAGGGGAGGGCTACTGGCCTCTACTGGGTAGAGGCCAGGGATGCTGTTGAACACCCTACAGCACACAAGACATCTGCAACAAAAAATTATCTACCCTAAAATGTCAGTAGTGCTGAGGGTGAGAAACTATGCTCTATGGGATAAAACATGGAGCTTCACAAGCCCAGGTAAGCACAGCATTTTTGGGTAAAAACATCATCATCTCTCTCATCTCTCATTTTTATCTGGTCCCGCTTTTCTCTCTGCCAACAAATGAACAGGGATTCAGAAATGTGGACTCTTTTTTCCCCATCCCTGAATCTGGAAGCAAAAGAAAATCGAGTCCCGGCCGGGGGCGGTGGCTCACACCTGTAATCCTAGCACTTTGGGAGGCCGAGGCGGGTGGATCATCTCAGGTCAGGAGTTCGAGACCAGCCTGGCCAACATGTTGAAACCCTATCTCTACTAAAAATACAAAAATGAGCCAGGCGTGGTGGTGCTCACCAGCAGTCCCAGCTACTCAGGAGGCTGAGGCAGGAGAATTGGTTGAACCTGGGGACGGAGGTTGCAGTGAGCTGAGATCACGCCACTTCACTACAGCCTGGGCAAAAGAGCGAAACTCTGTCAAAAGACAAAGAAAGAGAGAGAGAGAGAGAGAAGCAGGAAGGCAGGCAGGCGAATCCCAACACAAAATAGGTGTGCTTGCCGCCCTGATGCACCTTGACAATCATCAGTGAGGCTGGGACTACTTTACCCGTCCTTAGAGAAACGGGAGGTTCTGAAAAAAAATGTTAGCCCAGCAGAATGTGGAGAAAAAATGGGAAACAAGAACTTTCGAGAAAGAATTTTCTGGGAACCTCTCTCTGAAGTAGATAAAGTAAATGTGCAATTTAACAAAGAAAGGTAAAACAAGCAAATACCAAGTGGGAAACAAAAGTATAACATAATTATTGTCTCTGTAGCCCAGGACAGGTCAGCATGCTTGCGAGAAGGAACGTGACATTCACAAGACCGTCCTAGGCTGGTTCCTCCAAGAAGCAGACACCAAGATGGAGTTAGGAGTGCAGAGGATTTACTGTGTAGTAGCACCTTCGAATGAAAAAGGGTGAGTGCAATATTGGGATAAAGGGTACCACCCAAACTGTGGTGCAGACATGGCAAAGTGCCAGGAATTGACCAGGCTCCACCTCCCCACCTTGTCCAGTCTTTGGCAGGGGCCCCCCAGAACAGCATGTCCTCAGCCAGCCACACTCCTGGGCAGCACCTCCCTGAAGGGGAAACTGAGTCATGTCTCAGGTTGGGCTCCTCAGAAGGAGACCCTGAGAGAGGGATTTGTGTGAAAGTGATTTATGAGAAATTAATCCCAGGAAACACCTGGGAGTCGGGTAGCAGACCGGAGAAGGGAGGCAGCCTGAGCCAGGGGAGAGAGTAAGCAAAGTCCCACGGAGAGAAACCTGGGCTTAGCCCCGGTGAAGGTCACACCCTTGACCACTCAGGGCTGGCCAGCTGCAGTCTATAACCCACCTGCCCTGCGAGTCACAGGTCAGGGCTGCCCCCGAAGGGTAGTGAATTCCCAGGCACTACTTGTTCCTGTGCCTGCAGGCAAAGTGAGTTCCGGTAGCTTCCGGACAGTGCTCAAAGAGACACAGGTGCTGGCTGTTGGCAGTGAAGACACCCCAGTCACAGTTGTGCCTGAACATGGCCAAGGGCCTGAGGGCACGTAGGCAGAGTACTGGCAGCACCCCATGCAGGTAGAAACTCTCATGTTAGCAATGCAGAGAGGGAAAACCGGAAATGGAATCTATTATTATTATTATTATCATTTTAAGACAAGGTCTCACTCTCACCCAGGCTGGAGTGCAATGGTGTGGTCACAGCTCACTGCAGTCGACCTCCTGAGTTCATGTGATCTCCCCACTGCCTCAGCCTCACAGGTTGCTGAGCCTAAAGGAGCACACCCCCCACCCCCAGGCCTGTTTTTTTTTTTTTTTTATTAAAATTTTTGTAGAGACGACATGTCGCTGTCTTGCCCAGGCTGGTCTCGAACTCATGTCTTCAAACCATCTGCCCACCTCGGCCTCCCAAAGTGCTGGGATTATAGGCATGAGCCATCACACCCAACCTAAGATCAACTACTTTTCTATTTTATTTTATTTTTTGAGACGGAGTCTTGCTCTGTTGCCCAGGCTGGAGTGCAGTGGTGCGATCTGGGCTCACTGCAAGCTCCGCCTCCCGGGTTCAGGCCATTCTGCTGCCTCAGCCTCCCAGGTAGCTGGGACTACAGGCGCCCGCCACCACGCCCAGCTAATTTTTTTGTATTTTTAGTAGAGATGGGGTTTCACCTTGTTAGCCAGGATGGTCTCGATCTCCTGACCTCTTGATCCACCCACCTCGGCCTTCCAAAGTGCTGGGATTACAGGCTTAAACCACTGCGCCCGGCCTAGATCAATTACTTTAAAAGTTTGTTAAACTATTAATTTAAAAGTCAGCTTGATTTTTTGTTCTTAAAAAAAAAAAAGCCGAGTATGATGAAACTTTGCACTTGCTGAGAGCGTGGGAAGCGAGCTTCTCATTCTGTTTCCCTCTCTCTAGAGCCGATGAGGCTCCAGCTCCTTGTCCGAGATGTTTGAGGGGCCCACGGAGACCCACTGATGGTTAGCAGAGTAATAGATACCGAGAGCAACGCAAAGGAGATGCGAAGCCATTTGCTTCACTGAACAAATGTGATGTGTTTCCCACAGTTACAATAACAAATTGCCCCAATAAGGCCTTTGGGGCATAAAAAAGACAGTACGTCTACAGCTTCACCAAGTGCTGAAGGACATAGTTCAGGTAAATCAGAAGTTCTTCTCAAAGTGCTTTACCCCACGTTTGTATTGCAGAAGTTTGCTGACAGGCTTATTTTCCTTTCAGTATTTTTCTCTGTGGGTCTCTACAGAGTTTTCCGAAAGAAACCTCAGGATTCTTATTTCTCAGGTTCTTGTAGGGGTGGTGGATGGGTCAAAGGTGTGTCCCCACCACAAACTAAAGCTCATTTGGAATTCCCGCAGTCAATTTTACCATTGTCAGGGGTGGAACCAGGTCACTCTGATCCCAGTACTGCTCCCCTTCAAATCTGAGTTATCCGTGTGGACAGTTTAGGGCAGGTGAACCAGAAGTCATCAAACTTCCATGTGGTGGTATGTAAGCATATGTTGTATAACTCACTTAATTTGCCTTTTCTTTTGCTTATTATTTTATTTGCTTATTTGTTGTTTTTGTTTGTTTGTTTTGTTTTGTTTTGTTTTTGAGGTGGAGTCTCACTCTGTCACCCAGGCTGGAGTGCAGTGGCGCCATCTCAGCTCATTGCAACCTCTGCCTCACGGGTTCAAGCAATTCTCCTGCCTCAGCCTCCTGAGTAGCTGGGATTACAGGCATGCGCCACCACACCCAGCTAATTTTTGTATTTTTAGTAGAGATGGGGTTTCACCATGTTGGCCAGGCTGGTCTTGAACTCCTGACCTCAGGTGATCCACCTGCCTCGGCCTCACAAAGTGCTGGGATTACAGGTGTGAGCCACCGCATCCAGCCTGCCTTTTGTTTTTTTAAGAATAGTTTCTAATTTACAGAAAAATTGAGAAGATGATAAAGAGTTACCCTATAGCCTCCCACACACAGATTTTCCTATTACTAACATCTTACGTTAGTGTGGTACAGAGACTGCAATTAATGAACCAATATTGACACATTAGTATTAAGCAAAGCCCATAGTCTATTCAGGTTTTCTTAGTTTTCTACCTAATGTCTTTTTATCTGTATTAGAATGTTGCCAGGATCTTGCATTACGTTTGACTGTCATATCTCTTTACACTCCTCTGGACTGCAAGTTTTTCAGACCTTCTTCGTTTTTGATGACTTAGACAGTCTTGAGAAGTACGGGCCAGGTGTATTGTAGGATGTCCCTCTGTTGGGATGTCTCTGATGTTTTTCTCATGACAAATTGGGATCCTGGATTTTAGGGAGGAAGACCACAAGAGATAAAGTGCTTCATCACTTCATATCAAGGGTACACATGATCAATGTGATTACGGCTGTTGATGTTGACATTGATCACCTGGCTAAGGTCGTAGTTCTCAGGTTTCTCCACTGTACATTACCCTTTTATTTCCCTGTCTCATGCTGTGCCCTTTGGAAGGAAGCCACCATGTGTGATCCACGCTTAAGGAACGGGAAGTTGTTCTCTATCTCCTTTTGGCTGGACTCTACATAATTTACTTGAAATTCTGCATGGAGATTTGTCTCTTCTCTCCCATTAATTAATTTATGCATCATTTATTTGTATCAGTATGGATTTCTAGATGTTTATTTTCAACTTTACCTTTGCAACTTTGACTTTATTTGATGCGATTGTATTTATTTCGTTGCCCAAATTGTTCCAGCTCTGGCAATTGGGAGCTCTTTAAGTTGGCTTCTGTGTTCTTTTGACATGCCCCCATCAATGTGTGTTAATTTTTTTATCACTGCCTTATTTTCGGGTACTATAAGTTGTTTCAGGCTTATCTTATATATCTCCTACCCCAGTTCTAGAATGAGACATTTTCCCGAGGAACCATGGTTTATTTTTTTGGAGAATGGTATGTAAATCCAAGATCTGAGCTTGTTGCT
Organism: Homo sapiens; assembly: GCF_000001405.40. Lineage (NCBI taxonomy): Eukaryota > Metazoa > Chordata > Mammalia > Primates > Hominidae > Homo > Homo sapiens. The sequence continues at coordinate 20,788,878 of NC_000020.11, read as the reverse complement.
TGTGGTTACTGAGATGCCATTGATTTTAGGACCTCTCAGGTGACAGAACAAAGAAATATACAGTCACATATTACACAATGTTTTAGTCAACGGCAGACCACGTATACAACAGTGGTACCATAAGATTAAAATACCGTATTTTTACTGTAACTTATTTATATTTAGATGCATTTCAATACATCTAAATATAGACATATTTAGATATATCCCACTGTGTTACAATTGCCTACAGCATTCGGGTGCTGTACAGGTGTGTAGCGTAGGAGCAATAGACTGTACCATGTAGCCTAGGTGTGTAGCAGACCATACCATCTAGGTCTGTGTAAGCACACCCTATGATGTTCACACTACACAGTTGCCTAACAATGATTTATCAGGACATGTCCCAGTTGTTAAGCGATGCCTGACTCTATGTGCATATGTGCATATTCATAAATATGCTCATATGGAATCATCTGTATTTATATTGAGTTAAACATGAGTTGTTATTGATAGCTCCCACTCTAATCCACTACTACATGGGTCATTCGAGTCTCCTCTCCTTGCTCAGTGTAAATTCCTGCTCCAAGAGTAAAAAACCTGGTTTCCATCTTTGCTATTCTTAACTGCTTAGTTACAAGCACATGTATCATATCTGGTTTGTTAGCCCATCCTCTGTGAGAAACAATTTCCTCCGAGTACAGTACTTATGTGCAGTCCTTTTGCCTTTAGTCCTACACATTCCATTTATTTCCAAAGTTCCTTAGGTCAACACCTATTCCCCTACCTCCTTCAGTGAAGTTATTTCATACATTTAATAATACAGGTAGATTATCTTGTCACAGTCTTCATTTTTTCTCTGGATCGCACTAATTTGATTTTGATTTAAAATTTTGAAGCAATTTTTCTATGCCCAAGGAGTCTCCCTGTCAGAGTCTATCAAGTGGGGAACTTGAGTAGCAAAATCATTTTCACTAGTAGTCTCTGGCTACAGAAAAAAGTTGCCAGCAAGTATCTGAGGATTTAGATGGTGTAAGTTACCATGACAGTGCGTGTGTGCACGCCTGTGTGTGGGTATGTGTGGTTTAAGTGAGTTTGACACACGCAACATCTTCAGAACAGATCATAGCACATAGAAAATGCTTCATAAATGCTCCTGTTATTATTACCACCACCAACTTTTCAGCAGAAAAGCACAGTGGCATAAACATTTAAAAAATCACTCTGGAAGCTGAAGACAGTGAGACTAGTAGTAGGGTCACTGGAGAAGCCTGGATGAGGGATGGGGACAGCATGGGGGCAGGCATAGAGAAAGGGAAAAGTTGAGTTGCCAATGGAGATGACGGGGTATGAGATGGAAGAGTCAAAGATAATACCTTGTTTTTGTCTTGAACAATCAGACACCAAGAATGGCGGGGAGGAAGGCTTTGGTTTGGTTAATCCTGAAAGCAGAGCCTGCGACAAGGACTTGGATGCAGGACGTTCATTTGGAAGGAGATCCCAGGGAGCTGGAGTGAGGGATAGAAAGATGGAAGGCAAAAAGCCAATAAAAGATGTGTCATCACTGTGGACAACTAGGCTCAGTCTCACCTGGGGCCCTCAGGGGAACTGTGTGGAACATGCCTCAGAGATGCCCCTCTGAAAGATGGGAGACTAGGATGCTTACCGACCAGCTCCCACTCCCTTGGCAGAAGATGTCCCTGGAGCATTAACTCTCCTTCCTCCCTGCCTTTCCTGCCCTCACTTCAGGCAGTATGGGCTTCCCTGGCTTGGGAGAAAGCCCCATGGCAGAAAAGTGAAGAGCTGCTGTGGTGGCAGAAGTGGGACACTCTTGGTGTAGAACCATCTGCCACAGCTGCAGGAAAACCAGAGCCTGGTGGAGGAGGAGTCCAAAAGATGTTTGCTACACGGAGAAAGATCAGGTTTCCAAGGGTGGGGTGGAGGACAAATTAGGCCTTTCCATTTTCAATTCAATGACTATTTATTGAGTATAAACAGGGTATTCCGTCTGGGTGCATGGGAAGTAGACTTGGAGCAGACTCCAAAGGGAGTAAAGATGTGATTCCTTCTCTCAAGAATTTTACAACTAATAATATAATATAATTAATGGAATATAATACAAAGAGCACTGGCTTTGAAGTCACACACATCAGGTTTCAGTCCACCATTTTCTTCCTAGGCAAACTTAGGACATATTTTTAACCTTTTTGAGAGCATTTCCTCTTTTATAAAATGAGATAACACTAGTTCCTCTTGCAGAAGTTTGTGCTGAGTAGCACATGAAGTAATGCACAGAAGGGGCTGGCACAGGGCCTGGCATAGGGAAGCATCAGGAACCATCAGTTGCTATTGTCGTTGCTGTTGTTAAAATCAGAGATAAGCAATTTGCCACAATCATTATTCAGAAAAAAAAAAGATTTTCTTTCATAAAAAGGCAAAAATCTTCTCTCTCGCCCCCATCCTAGTTACTTCCAGATGCAGAATTTTGAGGAAGAAATACAAAAGTAGGCCTAATATCTGATTATCTAATACATTCTTTATGTCTAGAGAATGACTATTTTTACACAAAAATCACTGAGGAATAATTCATACACATTCAGTCTTGTCCCTTTCTAACTTCAGAATTTAGCTATTATAGCATTAGAATCTCCCGCTCATATCAGGAGGTGGACTATAGAACAATCTTTTCACAAGAACTCTAAGCCATACCATCATTGTTTAATTGCCTACTATCCTAATAGCTTATCTCTATCATTTTTAGTCTTTCTTCTGTAGACTGAAATCAGTGGCTCTCAATTTGAAGAGCGTGTGTTTGTGTGTGTGTATGTTTGTGTGTGGAAGAGAGAGAGAAGAAGGAGGGGGGTTGTATCAGTTATCTACTATCATGATAATGCTGTGTAACAAACTACCATAAAACTTAGTGCCTTAAAACAAAAAGCATTTGTTTAGCTTATGTGTCTGCATGTCAGTGATTCAGGCTCTGGTAGGCTGGGCAGCTCTGATGTCAGCAGGGCCCACGAACATGTGGGACGCAGTTGGCTGTTGGCTGATCAGGATGGGCATGGACTTGGCTGGGATGCCCGGGGCAGCTGGACTCAGCTTCCCAGGCCTCCTCCTACAGCAGACCAGCTCCAGCCTCCTCGTATGGTGAAGGTAGAGGAGCAGGAGAGAGAGCAAATGGATAAGTGTTAACACACACCTCTGTGCACATCACATCTCTGACATCCCTTGGCCAAAGCCAAATCAAAGGCTGAGGAAAGAGACTTGCCTCTTTAGTGAAAGGACTGAAAAGTCACACCACAGATGGCCTGAATACAGGGAGGGGTGGAGAATGGAAGCTACTCACGCCATCTCTCATGGGGTAGGTATCAGAGCTACCTTGGGAACGTTTTCTAACTCCTCACACACATCCTCCATCTGTGATAGGGACTCTGATACACTCTGGTTCCCCCACACTGCACCTTGCTGTGGGAAAACCACTTCCTCACAGGCCCTACATGAACAAGGGCTCCTGACTGGTTGGAGGAATAGCACAGCACACAGTTTCAATGCAGCACAGCAAGGGAGACAACAGAGAAAAGCAAAGCACTGCCATGGGCTGGGAGATTCAGAGGTAAAACCTTTTATTTATTCATCTATCTGTTCTTCTACTTCAAAATGTAATTGAAAAATGAACTCCAGTTTCTTCAACAGATATAGCAGAAGAAAATAAAAAGAGATGCGGGGAAAACTATAGATTAAAAGAGACTTAAGCAACACCTGACACAGCAACCTCATCATAGTGTGGATCTTACTGGGATTCAAACAAACTGAAAAAAATTATGTTGTTTATAAGACAATTGGAAACATAAATGACAATATTAAGAAATTACTGTTAATTTTTTCAGTCTAATAATATGATAGTGTGGCTATATTTAAAACAGTGCTGGCCAGGTGCTGTGGCTGACGCTCATAATCCCAACATTTTGGGAGGCTGAGGTGGGCAGATCACTTGAGGCCAGGAGTTTGAGACCAGCCTGGCCAATATGGAGAAACCCCATCTCTACTAAAAATGCAAAAATTAGCTGGGTATGGTGGCGGGCGCCTGTAATCCCAGCTACTCAGGAGACTGACACACAAGAATCGCTTGAACCCAGGAGGTGGAGGCTGCAGTGAGCTGAGGTCATGCCACTGCACTCCAGCCTGGGCAACAGAGCAAGACTCTGTCTCAAAAAATAAAATAAAATAAAATAAAATAATAAAATAAAATAAAATAAAATAATAAAATAGTGCTATTTTAGAGCAATATACCAAAACATTTGTGAACGACATGATATAATGTTTAAGATTTACATCAAAATAATATGGGAGTGGGTTTGGATGGAGCAGAACTGGCCATGGGTTGATGGTTGTTGGGGCTGATGATGAGCAGATGGGGACATGGGGTCCTGTACACTTTTCTGTTGGCTTTTACAAATTTTTCAAATTTTTCAGATTTTCCACAATAGAAAGTTAAATAAATAAGCTCATCTTCCTTAGAAAGATTGACAGGATTAGCCCATCCGATTCTGATGATTTCCAGGACCCCCCCGCATCACATGCACATACACACACACACACACACACAAACATACACACACTTACAGTTCAGTCCATACTTAACCAACATTGTGCACTGGTTTGGTGCTTTGCTGTTATTGTATTTTCTCTCTTATTGGCCTGATAGCCAATGATTCCATCTGTACAAAAGCAATCTGTGCCCCTGGATCCCTTCTGGCCCCATAAGAACTATGAAGCTGCTCCATCCCCCTTCTCTCCAGGGTCCCCTTGGGTGGTCCCTACCCCTATGCACCAACTCCTGCCATTCACAATCTTGTCAGGAATCCTGATGACTGTTCTGTATTCTCTCTTAGTGATGGAGAGCCACTGGCTCTTTCAAACATGAAAAAACATGAAGTTTAAAAAAAAAGCCCACCCATAACTCCCCAAACAGCTCCCCGGGGATAAAAGCATTCCTTTGCAAATTATTATCTCAAGCTTAAATCCCTGGACCATTTCATGTTCAAAAAATGCTAATGGTTTTCTAACTTTTATCAAGAAAGTCTTGGATACTGATATAACCTAGTCTTTTAGCTGCCGAGGTGGTCATCATATTCTTAGCTGGAATTGGATGTAATAAGAATAAGCAGGCAGTTGCAGCCCAGCTCCAGAATGAACGAAGCCCCAGGCTGATGCTGCATGGTAACTAATGTTGACAATCTTAACACTTCAATTCCCTTCAGAGACTTTGATATGAATGTTCCAGAACAACAGTTCTGTCCAATCTGCTGATCCCACAGACGCAGGAAATGACAAAACACCCTGTCCTGCAAGAAGACCCCGTTGCCTACACGAGGTTTCTGACAAATGCTTTTTCCTGACAAACACGTGAGCTCAGCTTTGCAGAGGATGAGAAATCAGAGGCTAAAAACTGAGGATGGTCTCACGTGGAGCCCAGTCTATAAGTGGAGGATCATAGTGCATGGAGACTGAAGGGTATGGGGAGGGACCATAGGTAGCTTTTAAGCCTATAATCTTCTTACTCTTGTCCAGATGGCTTAGCTGTGTATGTCTTCAACAACGGCTTGACATGGTTAGTAAAGTACTGGACTTAAGGCTCTGGGAATACAAATACAGCTGTCTTTAGGATGCAGCCAGGTAATGCCTGGGTACAAACTGGACAGAGCAATATATGTCATATTAAGCAGGCATGATGGCCTTTGCTTCTAAAAGAAACATGCATTTGCCTATTTTTCTTGAAACACATGGGTTTCTGTATCATTTTCCCTCTTGGTGGGGGCATGTGGGTGTAAACTTTATTTCCCTCTTCCCTGTAAGTAAAATAACATAGCAAGTGGGTTGATAATTGGCAACTTATATTCAGCCCAGTCACAGGAAGGGGTAGGGTGGGGTGGGGATCAGGTATGCTGGGAGGGTGTGGCCACTGCTCAGCTCACTGGGGTTAGTGCCTCATGGAACCCAGCATTGCCAGGTCTTCCCGTTGCTGAAGGAAAATCAGAAATGTAGATACTTGCAAAAAATCTAATTTTTAAAGTTTGGTAACTTATTCAGATCTATACACATTTTTAAATATATTGCAGGACAAGCTAACAAAACCTGTCTGTGGGTGAGCTCTGGCCCTCAAGACCATGTGTTTGCAGCCTCTGCATAAACTAACTGGAAAAGAGTTAACCCTTGAACTTTCTTTCCTCATAAAAATGTCGCTCTTTGGCAATAACACTTTCCCAAATCTTTTTTGTGTTCTGTTTGACTTACGAGGCATAAATAAAAAGTACATCCTGCCATGTGAACTTCTACCTCCTCCACACGGTAGAAACACTTTCCTGTTTCATCGTTGGATGCTATGGTTTTTGAATCCTTTTTCTTTAAGAACTTGCCTTTATCTCATTCCTTTGGGCCAGAAGCCTACTTTGCTGAGAAAACTTGGCAGGTTATATTAGGAAAGTGCGGAGCCTAGCAAATTCCCCTATCAGCTGCTCTGAAACCCATGACCCCACAGAGCGGAGCCTGTGCTCTGCTATTTCTGCCTGCCCTCGGGAGGACGTTTTATCAAAAAACACATGAGGCACTTCTGGCCTGTATGCCCAAGACAAGTTTATGAGCACCGATTTAAATGGGCATAGGGAATACCTCTTGGTAATAATTGTCTTATTTTATTGTTACCTTGATTGCCAGAACAACAACAAAAAAGGTTTTTATGACTAGTAAAAGGAAAGGGGTTAGCCACTTCTTTCCTCTCCCACTAGGCCAAGAATTCACTTCTCACCCCTTCTCCCTGCTTTCTATTTGTAATTAGGCCATAGATGCTATAATCCAACGGGCTTTATAATTTTACCTCCTGGGAACAGCTACTCAGTTGGGTCATCCTCAGGTAACAGGGGTTTATGCCAAGAAAAGATGAGGAACAAAAGCAACAGGAAAATTAGGAACTCACAGACAGTTGTGCTGAGGGAGGCCTCACAGGGACTGAAATTCAGGACTCCTGTCTGGGACCAAGAGCAGTTCCTGATCCCAGGGGCTCAGTTCCATTGAGGAGACATTGAACCCCCAGCCCACAACAGGAGGAGTTCACCCATCCGCCACCTTTATGGATGCTGGACTGAATCGTGTGCCCCACAAATTCATATTTTGATATGCTAGCCCCCAGAAACTCAGAATGTGACCTTCTTAGGAGTTAAGGCCTTTAAACAGGTAATAAAGGTAAAACGAGGTCACACGGGCAGTTCCTACTCCAATGTGACTGGTGTCCTTAGGAGAAGAGGAGATGAGGACACAGGCACTTGCAGGAGGAAAAGCGTGTGCAGACACATGGAGCAGATGGCCACCTGCAAGCCAATGAGAGAGGCCTGAGAGGAAGCCACCCTGCCCAACGAGAAGCCAACCCCGCCGACAACACCTTGATCTCCAGCTCCAGCCTCCAGCACAGCGAGAACTCCGTTTCAGGGCTCAGCCACTTTTGCCCCTGTTGCTCCGCAGTTACCGCCACCACCCACCATCCTAGCCCCTGAATATCTCTGTGTCCCCACTTGAGCTGACTCAGAACTTCTGCCCCTGCAGAGCACTCCGGTCAACCCTCCTTGCAAGGTGCTGGGTCAGGTGCCCCATCCTGTTGCAACCCTATGTCCAGGAGGTCACAGGATATGCTCTGAAGCCACCTAGGGCTGTCTGCCTTGGCATGAGCTGCAGGAAGGGACTCCCTTCCAAGAAAGAAGTACGTCTATACACATGTGTGTGCATATGTGAAACATGCTTAGGTTGGCACATCCCCACCCTCATTTATCCAAAAGCCAGTTTATTCTAGAAAATGTGAACTAGTCTACAGTGATGATGAGGTGGGGGTTTGCAGTGGGGTTTGAGAAAATTTTAGGGAGGAAAGACATGCTTTGTGATTCGATTGCGTCCATGATTTTGATTATGGCCATGGATTTATGTTTATCTTCCCAAAACTCACGAAATCATACCCATTACAACATGGATGCTGTTTATTGCATTAAATGAAACCTCAATAAAGTTGATTTTTGTTAAAGCCACTTTAGGAAGCTAGTTTCTGGATATTTGGCACCATTGGGGTATGACAGAGAAGTCTGGAGGCTTAGGCCAAGTGCTAGAGAGGGCTCAGAAACCTCCCCTGGCTCAGCCTGTAACATGAACCTGCAGTTTCTCCACCTTCTTGGCTTGGCAGACAGTGCGGTTGGTAGGCAAGGACCGGCTGTGTTGCGAAATGCCGGCACCAACTCCCAGGCAGCTAGAGTGAGCAGCAGAGTCAAATGAAGGTGTTGAGCAACCACTAAAGAGGAAGTCTCAGCTAATTATGGTGATGATTGCTATAGTGGTGATCTGACACCTCCTTTTCAGGGAGTATAAGAAAATACCCTCTGGTCTGAGCCCCTCTTGTTCATCCCCACTGTGTTCAAAAACTACATTTTCTCAAAATTCGATTGCAATTGTAGCTCGGTTTCCATTTTGGAGTGCAAGCTTTGATATCCCCATCAGTACAAGTATTTAATGAGGCAATGTTGCTTGCAACATAACCTGGAAGGAATCCTGCTAGCATCTAGAAGGGACACGCCCAGACCATGCCAAGCCCTGGCTTCACTCTTGCTGGGTTTGGTACATGCTGAGTTGAGCAAGGATAGATGGACCAATTACATTGCTATTAATTAAAAAAAAATAGAGTTTAAAGACACAGAGAATTTTTTTAATGTTTTGAAAACAGAAACAAATATTGATCAGATATTCCTTTTTAATAAACCTCTTATTGAGCTACAGCATAATACAGAAATGTGCACCAATTATAGAGGAACAGCTTTATTGCTGTATAACACAGTATTCTACTCTATGACAGCACCATAATTTATTTATGCATTCTACTCTTGCTGAGTATTTGGATCCTTCCCAGTTTGGGGTGCAGGGGATGACAAGGTAATGCCTTTTCCTCACTCATCACAAGGGTTGTGGCTGACACTCTTCTACCAAAAGACAGGCCAGCAAGAGAAAAAGTATAACACATATGTTTATCCAAGTTTTACATGATATGGGAGACTTCAGAAGTGAAGACCCAAACCCCAGGGAAAACTGTTTCATTTTGCCCTGTTTTGTATGCTAAGTCCGAATAAAGAAGTGGATAGTTGTGGAGAAGCGTGATTGGACAAAAAGTCCAATGATAATAAAAGGGATGGAGTGGGAGAACCCAGCAAAGACCCTTTACTTGTTCAGGTTCTTTCCGTTTTTTTCCTTTCCTTTTCTTTCTTTCTTTCTTTCTTTTTTTTTTTTTTTTTTTTGAGACAGTCTTGCTCTGTCACCCAGGCTGGAGTACAGTGGCGCGATCTAGGCTCACTGCAACCTCTACCTCCAGGGTTCAAGTGATTCTTGTGCCTCAGCCTCCCAAGAAGCTGGAATTACAGGAGTGCACCACCACACCCGGCTAATTTTTGTATTTTTAGTAGAGACGGGGGTTTTACCATGTTGGCCAGGCTTGTCTCCAACTCTTGGCCTCAAGCAATCTTCTCACCTTGGCCTCCCGAAGTGCTGGGATTACAATGCAACTGGCCTTTAATTTTTTTCTTAGATTTATCATTTATTTTTTATCTTTTAATTTTTTACAGTTATTTAAGATTTTTAAAATGTTTGTTCATATTATTGGCCTCTGTGTATACAGCATTTCTTCCTCCTAGATCCAAGCAGGATCCCTCTTGGAAGAGGGTCTTATGGCCTACCTTCAGAGGAGGCGTATCAGAGAGTGTCCTTTCTAGCTTTTGTGGCTTGCCTTGGGGGAAAGGAGTTCTAGTTTCTATGACCCACTTCAGGAAAAGAGGAATCCTGGTTTCTATGACATGGCTTGCGGGAGGAAAGGGAGAGGAGAACAAGGGCAGGAGGAGGTCAGAGGCTTTGCTTCTGAGGCCCCTCCAGTCTCCTTCAGTTCAGAGTACTCAGCACGCCAAGGGGCCATACTTCAGGGTATTGTGTGCTGAGCCCCAGGCAGAGGTTAATATGAACTGTGCTGCTGTGAACATTTTAGTACATTTCCATAGATGAGTACATGTTCAGAATTCTGCCAAAAATGCTTGGCTCAGATGTTTAGTTTTCTAACAAATAATTTTCTAAAATGACTGTAGTAACATTTACTTCCACCATTTGTATATAAGCATTTCTACTGTTTCTCCTCCTTGCTAACACTGGTTTTTATATCTTTTTTTATTATAGCCATTCTGGGTCAAAAATTTATTTGAGAAAAAAATTGATAAGCTGGGAAGGAATCGTCATCATAAATATTTTCTATTGGGCAAATTTTGTTTCTTTTTATTTACTTTTTACTTTTATTATTTTTTTTAAGAGATAGTGTCTTGCTCTGTTGCCCAGACTGGAATGTAGTGGCATCATCATAGCTTACTGCAGCCTCAACCCTCTGGGTTCCAGCAATCCCACCTTAATCTCCTGAGTAGCTGGGACTACAGGCACACACCACCATGCCTGGCTAATTTTTTTTTTTTTTGGCCAGGCATGGTGGTATGTGCCTGTAGTCCCAGCCACTCAGGAGGTCTTGCTGTGTTGCCCAGGCTGGTCTTGAACTCTGGGCCTCAAGTGATCCTCCCACCTTGGCCTCCCAAAGCACTGGGATTGCAGGCATGAGCCACCACACCTGGCAAATTTTATTTCTTACAGAATTAAATACATAAAAAGTTTTCCAGCCTCAGACAATCAATTGTATACTTCATATCAGAAGACCTCCAAATGTAATTAAGCCTAAGACTCCACTGAACAATACTGAACAAGACTCAACATGATAAATATTGTAATGTGGTAGTAGGAATGGAAACTGGTGCAGCCATTTGGGCAGGTAGAGTCTATGTCTCTGGAACTAACCATATTTGACTCTCAGATGTGGAGACAAATCAATGTCTTTGGTGTTTTTAGCAATGTACAGTAAATTACTGAGTTTACCATCTCAGACCATGGGCAGAGCAATGCATTGCAATGGAACCTACTAATTAATTGTCAGTGTGCACTGTTTGCTCCATGTTTCCTTACACAAATAAGTTAAGTCGTATACACTGTATTTAAACTCAAGGTTTTGTTCTGTTCCTGGAAGCTATATTGAGGCACCCTGAAAAGAACTGAAATAGTAACAAAAACTCAGCTAATTGAAAAGCAAGACTACTTGCGACCTACCAATGGCCAAGTGTCAGTAAGCGGTGAGTGGGAAGAGGCCCACCATCCCAAGGAAGTTTTTGAACAGTTGCTCAGCTGAACAACCCAGCATTGAGCCCCTGGTTTTGTTCAGTTTACTCTTGAAGTTTGACACCTAGAATTATCTTGCCCACTACCAGTACCAATTAACACAGATTTCATAAATACTGTCCATGAATAGTGTCCTCTTGACATCTTGAATTCTTTTATGTGGTTACTCAAGGGTGGCATGTTACAGCTGGTCTTCTCTGTGATGGCAAAATGAGTGAACAAACTCTCAGCACATGCTTATGCTTAGTTGGGATTTCATTTAAGATATGAAGATCATGCTTCTTATTTAATTCCAAAGTCTTTATTTGAATGCATCTAAATGTTAGACAAAATTCCTGTTCTTTTTTGGCTGCTAAAGAGATTTTTCCACACTTAGAACCAAATGCTTTCATGATAAACTCATAAATGAAGCCCATCTATAACTGTGAGTTCCACTGGACAAAAATAACCGTTGACATTCTCTTCAGAGCTTACTGCAGGAATATGGACTTGTCTATCTATCCTGATGTGGTAAGAACCCTCAGGGGTCATAGCCTCCAGCCCCTTTTCCCCAGGATCTGCCAGACAACCCTAAAGAATACTTCGTTTCCTCTAAGTTAAGAGTGGTTTATTGTAGTTCAGGAGTTCCTGAAAGAATTCAAGGATTACAGTCCTTGGGCTCTGCAGTGCATGTCTGACTTTCCATATATAGGAAGCTAGCTTCCAGACACCAAATGATATGTCAGTTACCTATAAAGTGTATTTTGCAAACAAATTAAAAATACATCCTGGGGGCTGGGCGCAGCGGCACTGGCCTGTAATCCCAGCACTTTGGGAGGCCGAAGTGGGTGGATCACCTGAGGTCAGAACTTCGAGACCAGTGTGGCCAACACCGCGAAACCCCGTCTCTGCTAAAAATACAAACATTAGCAGGGCGTGTCGGTGGGCACCTGTAATCCCAGCTACTCAGGAGGCTGAAGCAGGAGAATTGCTTGAACCTGGGAGGTAGAGGTTGCAATGAGCTGAGATTGCACCATTGCACTCCAGCCTGGGAGACAAGAGTGAAACTCCATCTCGAAAAAAAAAAAAAATACATCCTGGGAATTTCCTCAACTGGACAAAAGGTGTCTATAAAAAATCAACAGCTAACATCATGCTTAAAGGTAAAACACTAAAAGCTTTCCTCCTAACTTCAGAAAAAATCAAGGATACCTGCACTTGTCACCTCTATTCAACAGTATAGTGGAGATTTTAGCCATAGTAATTAGTCAAGAAAAAGAAATAAAAGCCATTCATATTGGAAAGGAAGAATAAAACTATTTCTATGTGTAGATGACATGATTTTGACAATTGAGACACCTAAGGAATCCACAAATAAACCCAAAAACTACTAGAACTAATAAACAAGTTCAGCAAAATTGTAGGATAGAAGCTCATTATAGAAAAACCAAGCTCATTATAGAATTAGCATATTTCTATATGCTAATAATGAACAGTCCAAAAGTGTAATTAAGAAAACAGTTCCATTTACAATAATACCAATAAGGATAAAATATTTCATAATAAATTTAACAAAAAAGTGTAGAACTTATACACTAAAAACTATAAAACATTGTTTAAAAAATGTTTGGATTGAAAACCTTCATATTGTTAAGATGGTAATACTCTTCAAACTGGTTTACAAATTTTATGCTTTCCCTATCAAAATTCCAGCTGGCTTTTTTATAGAAATGAGTAAGCTGATCCTAAATTTCATATGAAAATGCAAAGGTCCCAAAATAGCCAAAACAATGAAAAAATAAAAAAGAAAGCTGGAGGACACACACTTCCCGGTTTCAAAATTTACTACAAAATGACAGTAATCAGGCCAGACGTGGTGGCTCACACCTGTAATCCCAGCACTTTGGGAAGCCGAGGCAGGTGGATCACCTGAGATCAAGAGGTTCAGATCAGCCTGGCCAACATGGTGAAACCCTATCTCTACCAAAAATACAAAAAAAAAAAAAAAAAGAAAAAAAAAGCCAGGTGTGGTGTCAGGCACCTGTAATCCCAGCCACTCAGGAGGCTGAGGCAGGAGAATGGCTTGAACCTGGGAGGCAGAGTTTGCAGTGAGCCGAGGTTGTGCCATTGCGCTCCAGCCTGGGCAACAAGAGTGAAACTCTGTCCCAAAAAAAGGAAAAAAACAGTAATCAAGATTGTGTGGTTCTGGCATGTGTGTTTATTGACCATTCCAATTGAAGTGAAATTTGTTGAAAGATAATTCAATTGTGTTTTTTAGCTCAATTGGAGTTTATTTTTGTTTTTGTTTTGTTTTGTTTTTTTGAGATGGGGTCTCACTCTGTCGCTCAGGCTGGAGTGCAGTGGTGCGATCACGGTTCACTGCAGCCTCGACCTCCCCAGGCTCAGGTGATCCTCCACCTCATCCTCTCAAGTAGCTGGGACCACAGGCACACACAACCATGCCCAGCTAATTTTTTGTATTTTTTGTAGAGACAGAGTTTCACCATGCTGCCCAGGCTGGGAGTTATTTAAAAAAGAAAATTAAAAGCAATTATGCTAATACAGTTTGTATTAAAGATATATAAGATAGGTTCCTTTTCCAGATGCTTTTTAAGCTAGGATGTGTTAAAATCCTAATCCCCGGTACCTCAGAATGTGCACTTACTTGAAATAGGGTCCTCACAGAGGTTAAGATGAGATCATTAAGATGAGGGTGGGCTGTAATCCAATATAACTGATGTCTTTATAAAAAGGAGACATTTGGACACGTAGATGGGCACGGAGGGAAGATGACATGAGGAGACACAGGGAGAGCACTATGTGAAGACAGATCGAAGGGATGCATGCATACGCCACGGAAAACCAGATTGCCAGAAACACACAAGAAACTAGAAAGAGGCAAGGGAGGATTCTCCCCTGCAGGTTTTAGTAAATCATGTATCTCAGTGCCACTTCTGCCACATTCTATGATCAAAGCAAATCAGAGGGCCTGCTCAGAATCAAGGAGAGAGGAAGTTGACTGTAGCTCTTGATGGGAGGAACTTTGATGGATCTGTGTCTCTATTTAATCTGCTGCATATGGTGTGGGACTTCTGTCCAGTACTGGCAGGCAGAGCTTGGGCAGCCTGCACTGGGGTGCTAGGTCTGCTGTAGTTCCTGTCCCGGAGGGTGCAATGGAGGCTCTGGTGAGGACTGACACACCCAGGGAGGACATAAACACCCGGCACTGTCAGGAGATGAGGGAAAGGCAGCTGTGGCCAGACTCACCATGTCTCCAAGGTGGCAGGTGGGGATGAATGTCTGGGGAGATTCACATGTTGGGTTTTGCCCACAGGATTCACAGGTGCAGTATGTAGATGTTCACAGAGTCAGAGGGTGTGTTGAGGAAGACCGAGAGTATGATTATGAAATGGAGACAGGGATCTGGGAAGAGAGGAGGATTCCTAGTGGGGCATTCAGGACAACCTGACAGTTGCCAGATAGTATGATGAGGACACTGGATGTGTAGCCTAGTAAGGGAGGCCCAGGACCCTGTACAACAAAGTTTTCCAGCTGTCTCACATTTTTGCCTGGTACTACCCCCAACAGATACACATATCTGAGCTCAAACCAAAGTATCAGTTAAAACATTATGGCCAGGCACAGTGGCTCACGCCTGTAATCTCAGCACTTTGGGAGGCCCAGACGGGTGGATCGAGACCATCCTGGTTAGCATGGTGAAACCCCATTTCTACTAAAAATACAAAAAATTAGCCGGGCATGGTGGCACGTGCCTGTAGTTGCAGCTATTCGGGAGGCTGAGGCAGGAGAATCCCTTGAATTCAGGAAGTGGAGGTTGCAGTGAGCCGAGATGGCGCCACTGCACTACAGCCTGGGTGACAGAGCAAGACTCCATCTCAAAAACAAACAAACAAACAAACAAAAAACATTCTTTATAAGAAATTCATACCATCATTAGCCTTTTAGTTTTTAGATAATTTTAATGTTAAGCAGACTTCTGGGTTTTGTGAGTTTTACTCTGTGTTCTGCCAGAAAAGCCCCTTAGTCAAGGATAAGAGTCCAAAGGTTTATGTTTGAGGTGACATTAGGAAACACTAGCAGGGGATGGGGATGAGAGATGGGAGGAAAACAGCCACTAAAGGCCCTGTGACCAAGCAGGTAATTGCCAAAATCAACTGGGGCACGGAATGCTGGGAGACCGCGTACAGCACATCTCAGGGTGGAGAGAGTGGGGAAGGTTTCCAGACTAATTATTAATCCATTCCCACCAGCCATGGGTGGAGGGCTGCTCCCAAGGACAGAGGGGCCCCAGAGACCCCAGGAAGATTTTGGATTGGGATGCTGAAAGATGCTGGGTGCTGAGCGGATGTGGGGTGTCGGGGAGGGGAAATACCAGAAATGTGTGCTCTAGTGACCAGAAACACACACCTATTGTTTCTTTTGGCTAAGATCTAGTATCTATTCTTATCAGAAACATACATTTTATGAAATCAGCATATGAAAGATCACATTCTCACTTTTGACTTGTGATGGTGACTTCCAATAATTTCTTTCCATATGTTTCCATCTTTCCCAACTTTGAGTCTCAGAAAATACAAATCACTGATGAGCAGCTTTGAAGGCATAGCCAGTATAGTGCAGTGCACATGATGGGGATCGGTAATGTTTTGCCCTAGGCTAAAATTACCTAATTCTTGTTCAATGCAGAGTTTAATGTAGCAGTTGGCTCATAACCCCTCCTTGTACTGTCAAACTTCCACAGAACATTCTAGTTTGGCAATCCTAACTTCTTGGAGGCCTCAGTGACAATGCAAATTGAAGCCCCTGGGGCAAGGATCGCCTGGGCTCATTGTCAAGTTCACCTGATAGGATATTAAGGTGCTACATCCCAGCAGTCTTGCCCTTGGTTTATTGACTTTCTCCCTGGCTGTGCCAAGTTTCCGGAGGCTGTCCTGGTATAGATGTCAGCAAGCTCAGGCTTCTGCAGGCAAAGAGATCTCATCTTACCTTGTCTGAATCCATTAATAATGTCCCAGTCCCACTTAGCCCTCCCAGTGGCCTGAGGTGCAGTTCTGTGAGAATAACCACTTGGTTTTAGTGGCTATGAAGGGTTTGCAATCACATGGGTGAGCTGGCATTTCAGAGCATGAAAGAAAATGAAACCAGCTCAATCTCCCCATAGAGACAATATTTATAAGTTTTTTAATAAAAGAAGAAATCAACCCTCCTGGTCTTAAAATTTGAAATTTACATTTGTCTCATCTGAGTTCCTTCCCCAGGAAACCCACCCTCAGGCACGGAACTGAAACTCACCAGATCACCGCATCCAGAGGATGAGATCCCAGACCCCTCACTCAGCAGCATTGCTTCCCTACTGCTTCCTAACTTCTTCCTGCAGGTAACTACATCTCTTCCCCAGCTACTTAAACCTCAATTTTAGTCCATAGGCGAGACAGATTTGAGACTTATCTCTTGTTCTCCTTGACTGCAGCATCCAAAAAACCTTCTTCCCTGGTAATACTTGTTGTCTCAGTGATTGGCTTTCTGTGCCTCTAGCAATGGGACCTAGACAGAGACCCCTGGTATTTAGGTAACAAAAAGAGACAGAGAAGGGACAAAGGATAAGAATGTGGGGGGTTGAAAAGCAGGAGAAAAGGAGGAAATAGGAGAGAATATCAGAAAGAAAGATACAAGCAATAAGAAAGAGATTTTACATGGGACGGGCTCAGTGGCTCACACCTGTAATCCCAGCACTTCGGGAGGCCAAGGTGGGTGGATCACGAGGTCAGGAGATCGAGACCATCCTGGCTAACATGGTGAAACCCCGTCTCTACTAAAAATACAAAAAAATTAGCTGGGCATGGTGGTGGGCGCCTGTAGCCCCAGCTACTCAGGAGGCTGTGGTAGGTGAATGGTGTGAACCCAGGAGGCAGAGCTTGCAGTGAGCCGAGATCGCGCCACTGCACTCCAGCCTGGGAGACAGATTGAGACTCTCTCTCAAAAAAAAAAAAAAAAAGAAGTTTTACATGAAAGTGTCATTTGATCAGGGCCTTGGCACATGTAGGTGCCCTTTTGAAATGCACATTGTCTCAGTCTGGAGTCTCTCAGAAAGCGATCCTAGGAAACGGATTGGCGTGCAGAGTTGATGTGAGGAGTGAAGCTAAGGACACAATGTATGGAGGACAGGAGTCCATGGGTGTGGTCCACTCAATGCCTGGATGGGCTCAGCTCCAGTGTGAGCCACCAGCCAGAGTTATCCCACCCGAGGGCAAGGGAATTGCATATTCACTCATCAACTTAGAGTGACCATTGTTTCAGGGCCGCTTCAGAGAGATCTGAACTCCCCTGTGCCTCTGGCCTGTAGCGGGGAAGTGCTAATTGGGAATGCAGTGAGTGGCCATCTGCAATGAGGACAGTGGGCATGAAGTAGGGAGGTGAAGTGGCAGGCAGGCAGGGCACCCAGGGCAGGCCATGGGTATCTGCACAATTTCATTTTCAACCTTCTCCTCTTGTAAATCTCTATTCATGTCATTTCAAAGGAAAACCATGATACCATCTCTGACTTGAATTTGATTCCAAAGCTTTGTTACAACATCTCAGAGCAAGGTGACCTGGTAAATTTTCTCACTGGGGAGTTATACTTTTTTTGGGAGAGCAGAACCCAGACAGACTTACCTGAGGACAGAGCCAGGGAGTTGCTTTCTATCCTCTGGTAAACTGGCCTGAGTCATTTCTTCTAGAGAAAGAAAAAGTTTCTATATGTATTCATCCGAGGGCTTTTCAGAAAAAGGTTCTCATTGTTTGAGATGGCTTTTGCAGGCAGATACAGTGGTCCTAAGCAAAAAAGAGTAAAGAATGGGAGTTTTAAAAATTCTGACTCATAGAACAGGCTGTGGGTTACAGTGATTGTATTTTGGGTCACATTGTCAACAAAGTTCCATTACTGAAATAAAAAGCATCTTATATGTTGGTCTTACTTAACAGGTGGTTCAGGCCAGGCATGGTGGCTCATACCTGTAATCCCAGCATTTTGGGAGGCTGAGGTGGGCAAATTGCTTGAGCCAAGAAGTTAAAGGCCAGCCCAGGCAACATGTCAAAACCCTGTCTCTGCAAAAATTAGCTGGGCATGGTGGTGTGTGCCTGTAGTCTTAGCTACTTGGGAGGTTGAGATGGGAGGATTACTCGAGCCCAGGAGGTGGAGGATGCAGTGAGCCAAGATCTCGCCACCGCACTCCAGCCTGGGTGACAGAGCAAGACAAAAAAGAGGGGGGAGGGGAAGGGAGGGGAGGGGAGAGGAGGGAAGAAAAGAAAAGGGCCATTCAATGCCGTGGATTTCACCGGCAAGTTTAACATGTCTCTAAAAGGGATATGACCTAATGGCAGTCTCAAAGCAATTACTAAATCACTGGTTTAAAACATTCATTTGATGAATCTTTGTTGAGTATCCTGTAATAGGTGGACTGTATTCTCAATGCTGGCAATACAGCAGCAAGCCACATCCACAAGGACCCCTGCCTAAGCAAGCTGGTTATCTGGGTGTGTATTACAAGCCAGAAACAAATAAGCAAAATACAGAGGATGTCAGATGATGGTAACTGTGTCCAGAATTGGTGGGTTCTTGGTCTCAGTGACTTCAAGAATGAAGCTGCGGACCCTCGTGGTGAGTATTACAGTTCTTAAAGATGGTGGGTCTGGAGTTTGTTCCTTCTGATGTTCAGACGTGTTTGAAGTTTCTTCCATCTGGTGGGTTTGTGGTCTTGCTGGCTTCAGGAGTGAAGCTGCAGACCTTCGTGGTGAGTGTTACAGCTCTTAAGGCAGCGCATCTGGAGTTGTTAGTTCCTCGGGTCCAGAGTTGTTCATTCCTCCCGGTGGGTTTGTGGTCTTGCTGGCCTCAGGAGTGAAGCTGCAAACCTTCGCGGTGAACGTTAAAGCTCTCATAAAGGCAGCACAGACCCAAAGTCAGCAACAGCAAGATTTATTGCAAAGAGCAAAAGAACAAGGCTTCCAAAAGGTGGAAGGAGACCCAAAGGGGTTGTCACTGCTGGTTCAGGCAGCCTGCTTTTATTCCCTTATCTGGCCCCACCCACATCCTGTTGATTGGTCCGTTTTACAGAGAGCTGATTGATCCATTTTACAGAGAGCTGATTGGTCCGTTTCACAGAGAACTGATTGGTCCATTTTGACAGGGTGCTGATTGGTGCGTTTACAACACCTGAGCTAGACACAGAGTGCTGATTGGTGCATTTACAATCCTCTAGCTAGACATAAAAGTTCTCCAAGTCCTCACCAGATTAGCTAGATACAGAGTGCTGATTGGTGCATTTACAAACATTGAGCTAGACACAGAGTGCTGATTGGTGTATTTACAATCCTTTAGCAAAACATAAAGGTTCTCCAAGTCCCCACTGGATGAGCTAGACACAGAGCACTGATTGGTGCATTTACAAACCTTGAGCTAGACACAAGGTGCTGATTGGTGTGTTTACAAACCTTGAGCTAGACCCATAGTGCTGATTGGTGTATTTACAAACCTTTAGCTAGACATAAAAGTTCTCCAAGTCCTCACCAGATTAGCTAGACAGAGAGCACTGACTGGTGCATTTACAAACCTTGAGCTAGACACAGGGTGCTGATTGGTGTGTTTACAAACCTTGAGCTAGACACAGAGTGCTGATTGGTGTAGTTACAAACCTTTAGCTAGACATAAAAGTTCTCCAAGTCCCCACCAGACTCAGGAGCCCAGCTGGCTTCCCCTAGTGGATCCCGGGCCAGGGCCGTGGGTGGAGCTGCCCTCCTGCACTCCTCAGCCCTTGGGCGTCAATGGGACCAGGTGCCGTGGAGCAGGGGGCAGCACCCGTGGGGGAGGCTCCGGCCGCGCGGGAGCCCACCAAGGTGGGGGCTCGTGCATGGTGGGCTGCAGGTCCCCAAGGGGTCTCAGGCATGGCAGGCTGCAGGTCCCCAGCCCTGCCCCGTGGGGAGGCGGCTGAGGCCCAGTGAGAATTCCAGCCTGGCGCGGGCGGGCCGGCAGTGCTATGGGACCCTGTGCCCCCTCTGTGGCTGCTGGCCCAGGTACTAAGCCCCTCACTGCCTGGCCGGTGGCGCCGACCGGCTGCTCCGAGTGCCGGCAGCTGAGCCCATGCCCACCCAGAACTTGGGCTAGCCAGTGAGCACCGTGCACAGCCCCGGTTCCCGCCTGCGCTTCTCCCTCCACACCTCCCCGCAAGCAGAGGGAGCCACCTCCAGCCTTGGCCAGTCCAGAGGGGGGCTCCCACAGTGCAGCAGCAGGCCGAAGGGCTCCTCAAGCATGGCCAGAGCAGACGCTGAGGCCGAGGAGGCACTGAGAGCGAGCGAGGGCCGCCAGCACATTGTCACCTCTCAGGAGGTACCATGGAGAAGGACAAAGCAGGGCCAAGAACAAGGCAGAATAAGTTTGGGGGCTGCACTTTCAACAGTGTGGACAGGACAGGGAACCCTTGAGCGGAATGTGGAAGGAGGTTGGGGAGGACACCATTAACACCTGTGGAAGAGCCTTCCAGGCAGAGGGAACAGCCAGTGTGTAGTAAGCCTGAGGTGGGAATCTGCCTACTTGTTAGAGCAAGAGGCTGGGTGGGGCTTTGAAAAAGGTAGGGCACAATCTGAATTCAGGGCAGTTTCAATGTGAATGGAAACCAAAAATAAAATTCTAAGCCGCCCCCCCACCCCCACTGCACCATCATCTGAATGGACCCCTCCTCTTGGCCAAGGGAACTCCAAAGTTAACCTGAAAAAGTAGTTGAGGCCATGATGGAAGTGGGAGTTGGGCATGCCTCATTATATTTTTCTCCCTTTTTAAATTCAGCAAAAGCCAACCATGTCGGGCACAGTGTCTCATGCCTGTAATCGCAGCACTTTGGAAGGTCGAGACGGGCGGATCACTTGAGGCCAGGAGTTTTAAGACCAGCCTGGTCAACATGGCAAGACCCTGTCTCTACTAAAAATACAAAAATTAGCCAGGCATGGTGGCAGATGCCTGTAATCCCAGCTACTCGGGAGGCTGAGGCAGGAGAATTGCTTGAACCCAGGAGGTGGAGGTTGCAGTGAGCCGAGATCACGCCATTGCACTCCAGCCTGGGCGACAGAGCGAGACCCCATCTCAACCAGCATTAACATCAACACAGACCTTAAATCTGATAAGAAACATTTATAATCTATTCTCTCTGAAGCCTGCTACCTGGAGGCTTCATCTGTGTGATAAAACCTTGGTCTCCACAACCCCTCATTATAACCCAGACATTCCTTTCTATTGATAGTAATTCTTTCAACCAATTGCCAATCAGAAAATTTTTAAATCTGCCTGTGACCTGGAAGCCTACTCCACTCACTTCAAGTTGTCCCACCCTTACATTGGTTACAGATAGAACCAATGTAAATCTTACATGTACTGACTGATGTCTAATGTCTCCCTAAAATATATGAAAGCAAGTTGTACCCTGACCACCTTGGGCACATGTCCTCAGGACCTCCTGAGGCTATGTCACAGGTGCATTCTTCACCTTGGCAAAATAAACTTTCTAAGTTGGTTAAGAACTGTCTCAGATACTTTTGGGTTCACATAATCAATTGGGCAGCTGAGATGAGGATAGGCTGTGGGGGTCTGGGGAAAGGGGAGGGCAGGGGAAAGGCAAGAATTACTTAATCTCCATCCTTAGTATGAGTATCTGAGTGTGTTCATTTTAGGAGTAGTAATAATGGAAGGAACTTCTGACAGCTGGTCAGAGGAGCAATTTGCAAAGAGTCAAGGATGCCTTTACATGGGAATGCCTTTTTGCATTTAGTGATTCTAATCTAGGGGCATTTCCCAAGAAAGTGAGATGCTAACTTTAAAAGGTAGGCTGATTTGCATATAAAATGTTCTCATTAGCCTGAGGGGGAAATTGGCATTTGATTAACTGCTCTGGGCTGGGCTGTCTATGTTGTTTCATTGTCATCAAAGCCCTTCAGGGTTAGGGATTAAGTTAAGGACACTCTGTGACTCCTTTTCCACCCACCTACCCAGTGCTCACCAGTCCTTGGCTGGCAGGAAAGGGGGCAGATCTGGTTGGTCCCAATGGGAACATTTTTTGGACTTTCTTTCCCTGAGCTTGGCTCTTCCTGGCCAACAACTGCAGTGATGTTCTCTGATGGAGGCCTGGGCGGATAGAAAAAATGTCCTAAATGCCCCTAAATGGAGCACTTGTTCAATAAATTCTGGTAATCCACTTGATGGAATTTTCTGCAGCCAGTTAAAATATGGCCGTGATGATGAGATAGCAACACAAGAAATGCTTTTGTAAAAAATGAAACAAAATTTAGAAAAATTGAATGGTTACAAAATCCCATGGTTACAAATATACACTTTAAAAAAAAATAGCCAAGAAAAAGAACAGCAGGAAGAGCATGAAAATGGCCAAAGTGTCACAGTGATCATATTCAGCTGTCATCACTGAGTATACATATTTTTTTCTAAATTGTTTTGAACTTCTAGCTTTCTGATGTCTACTTTGCTACAAAGAGAAGGCTAGTTTCCGAGAATTGACAGTCAGCTAACTTGACTAGCAGAGACTTGAAGGTTCTGAGTGGGTCCCGCCTTCTCCTCTAGTTTCTGGAAGCTGGGACTTCAGTCCTATTTCAAAGCTCCCCTGCCCCATATGGGAGGCCAATGTTTGAGACATTCTATCCCTTTCAACTTTCCTGCAAACAGCATAACAATTTCCTGGCAGTAATCACTAGTCATCAGCAAATTAAACTAACAAAGATATACGATATTGTCTTTCCTCCTTCCATTTCCTTTCTCCAGAAATTTAGTCAAACAGGAATTTCAAAGGTCGCTTTCTTGCCATGTGATTTTAATACCTTCTAACACCCTGACACTTTCCTGCAAATCTGATAGATGAACAATCCCTGTTAGACAAATGTCAGGGGAGAAAATTAAAGTTTTGTGTTTCAGCTAGAAAAGGCGGTAAAAAATATGATTTGTAAAGAGGTCTGAGTTAATATTCAGAGTAAAAGATTTAAGATACTTAAGTCCACATGTTTATGCCTATGAAAAAGCTGCTGTTTACTTCTAAACAATTCAATATATATTCTTTGGTGAAGCAATTTATATAATCACTCAGGATCTTAATTTTTCCTTCTAATATAATTTTTTAAAACTTGCTGTCCAAAAGACTGCAATGATAGCTGGTGAGCATTTTATAAATCCAATTTATTTTTTATCTATTAGACAAGTTGCCACCGTGTCTCAAAAGAAAGATTGCATATATGAAATTTTGATTTTCTAGATACACATCTTGTATAACAATTGTAGATCTTTGTGGTTATTTCTCTTTCCTCTTTCTTCCTTTTTTCCTGACTACAAATTAAAATGGTCATTAGTCACCTGTGCTCATACTACTATATTTCCCATAACACTTATTGAGAGTGTTTTACAGGAAAACTTCTTTCTTAATTTTCAGTAGGTAAAAATGCAGCTGGTTACGCTCACCAATGCATTTCTTCTTGTCCTCCCTCTCCTGCCTTGTCTTTCTTACTTTGCCTTTGTTCTCTTGCAATTGGAAATGTGGGAAAGCTATACTAAGATTTTGGGGAACTATAATGAGGCTCCATCACTAATTAATGCTCTAATTAAAGTAGTTGTTGGAAGTGTTCTCCTAACGCGCTGTTGCATCCCAGTCCCCCAGCTTCCACCACACTCTTTGATGTCGCTGTTGTATGACTCTGCTCCCAACCTTACTTACAAAAAGTAGACCCCAAGATAAGTTGGCATATGTGTGTGGTCACAATAGCCTCCTGGCCTTACTACAGAGGCTGTGTAGTTTCTGCCCTGTACTGTGCCAAGCTGGCTTTTCTTTTCTTCTTTTCTTCATTCTGAGGTTGGACATGGCTGGCATATAGATGACTATGATCCAGATTAAATGTTTCTAAGAGTTTTCTTTGACAAGGTTAGCTGTCTCAGTGGTTACCCCCGCCCCTTGACTTCCCAGCCATTGGGAGGCCCTAACCATTGCACTGTTGTACCTTCTGTCTGACTGCCCACCCCTCACTCTGAGACCCAACACAACCTCTGTCAGACTTTCTTCTGCCCAAGCAATGACCCAACTGTGTGGCAGAATTATTTTAGATGTTTCTAAATATAAGACAGTAGATATTTTAGACATAAGACAAAAATCTCTTAACACTTCTTCTAAAAATAGACATCTAGGACCACATCTTTATCACTTTGTGTATGATAAATGCAGTGGAAATTATACAGGCATATCCAATGTGAAAATGATTTCATTTATTCTGGAATAGACATCTAGAATTTATAAGTGGGGCAAACATGCTATAAATAGATTGGTTCCCAATAATGCACTGGTCCTAGTCTAGCAATTTGCTTGCAACACTTGCTACAAGATTTGAAAATATCTAGATGTTGGTGAGGGAAACAATTTGGTGTCTCTGTTTTTGAGTAATTTGCCAATTAGAACTAATGTGTTATATTGATTCAGGTGGTTGCGGGAGTATAAATTTGAACATGGAAACAAGGTTTTATTAGTGTATAATAAACATACAGAAGAGTACACATATCAAGACTATGTAGTTTTGGGAGACTGAGGCAGAGGATCACTTGAGGCTAGGAGTTCAAAAGCAGCCTGGTCAACATGGCGAGACCCCATCTCCACAAATAATAAAAGTACAAAATTGGCCAGGTATGATGGTGTATGTCTGTAGTCCCAGCTACACGGGTGGCTGAGGCAGAGCCCAGTTCTCCCAAGGAGCCCAGGAATTTGAGGCTGCAGCGAGCTGTGATTGCACCACTGCATTCCAGCCCGGGTGACAGAGTGAGGCCCTGCCTCAAAAACAAAACAAAACAAAAACTACACACTTTAATGAATTTCTCAAAAAACTGAACACACCCTTGTAACCAGCACTCAGACCCACAAAACCCCTGAAACTCCCACCTGGACACTTCCCTTCAGCCAAGAGAGCGATATCTGACTTCTAACAGTATAGAGTAATTTTTTCTATATTTATACTTTTCGAGTATGGCTTCCTTCACTCAACATTATATTTGTGATATTTATTTACATGATTGCACATAGTTGTAATCATTCATTTATATTGCTGCAGAGACTTGTATTTCTATGATGTGAACAGACCACGATTCATTCTACTATTGCTGGGGATTTGGCTGTTTTCTGTTTTGGCAGTTGCAAGTAGTTCTACTGTGAGCATTCTGGCACATGTCTTTCAGTATACATATGTGGGCACTTCTAATAGGTATACCTGGAATGGAATTTCTGGACTATAGAGTCATGTTTGATACTGTCAAGCTGTTTTCCAAAGGATGTTGTGTCAATTTACACTTTTGCCTGCAGTGCTTGAGAGTTTCAGTTGTTCTACCTCCTCTCCAGGACTCGGTATTATTTGTCTTTTTCATTTTAGCCATTCTGATAATAGCTATAATTTGCATGTTGCTGATGACTAATTAAATTGAGCACATTTCATATGTTCATTGGCCATTGGATGTACCTTGGGATATAGAGTTTTAATACTTTCAAGGAGTTTTTTGTGTGATAGAAAATGAAGTAGAAGAAACATTTTTCATTAAAAAATAAAAGTACAAAACTAACTTTTCACTCTCAGTTCATTTTTCATCCAGCATACAAACAAGCATACATCAGTTTCCCGGTGGGAAACAATTGAACTTAGATGTTTCCAGAGAGTTTAATGGAGGGACTTTGACAGTGGGGCAGGTAGGGTTAACAGGAGATGGAGAAGCACCCAGGGGCCAATGGAAGTGGGCCGTTGTCACCCCAGACCTAAAGAGGCAGAGGGTAGGAGTAGTGTCCCAGGAGCCCAGTGAGAATAGCTCCTGATAGAGAGACCTCCTATAAGTTGAAGTGATGGATGGATGCAGCCACTGCTGGAGAACATTGCCCAGGGAACAGGGGAAATAAGGAAGAAGTACCCCAGCGTCTTTCTTCCCTGGTCCTCACTCTTCTGCTAGTGCCTGCCATTGGCCAAATCCATCCAGAGTCCAGGAAATAAGGCAGTCCCAATAAGGCAACTGAGGGCACAGAGCAAGAGAAGGGAGAGCCGAATTGACCCACGGGGGGATGGAGGGAGGGAATAGAGATTCACCATCACAAGCAGGTACTGCAGTGTGGTGGGAAGGATGCAGCTCCAGAGGTCCGGGGCTCTGTCAGTCACTAGCTCTGTCATAGAACATGAAAAATAACCTTTTTGAGGCTCACTATCCTTATCTATAAAGGGGAGGCTTTGCCTGAACAGTCTGGTAGGTTTCTGTTAGTCCTTAGGTAGTGTTTTGGTCACACGTTGTTTTGTGAGAATTATACAGTGACTTATTGAGTAGCTGTTGCCATCTTCATGAGGATGGGCTAGGCAGGTCCCCAGAGGTCCCCACCACTTCCTATTGTGCTATACAGCCCCCCCATAGGCATTTGGGTTTACAAACCATGGCACAAGGTTTCTAGGTAGGATAAGATCAATGTAAAACTTCCTGGGTAAATATTAGATTGCTACCTGTAAATATTTCCTGCTTCATTGAAGATGCATCTCCATCTGAAATAGATGATGCAGCTACCCTGGATTTCAGAAGTTTCATTCTTTTGCAGCAGAAGGCAGATCGAATACAGGGCAGGCTCCTTGGGCAAGATCAACTTGCATAAACCAAGTGGCACTGAAGACACAGAGGACAGGGCAAAGCAGCGGCTCTATGTGCTAACCAAATATGGAGGCAGGGGAGCCGGAGTATCAAAAACACCACAGCAAAACGTGACTGTAGCTGTTAAAGCCTAATGCACACACCCTATAATCCAGCAATTTCACTTCCAGATGCTTCCCTAAGGAAGCCCTCATGTGGGTATGTATGTTTTACTTAAGAAAACTTGAACTGGGATTCTACCACTTATTACCCATTCTGTCTGATCAGAGAGTATTCATTGATTGATGATTTATTTTGACACTGTATTAGCAGAAGTTGTTCTCTGAGCTTCAGTGACAGGCTTGATTTTTGCAGCTTATTGGAGTGTTTTTGTTAAGCATCATGCCATCCAGAAAAATTCAATGCCAGGAAGTGTTGCCTAATAGATAGAGGGCCCAAAGGAAACCCAGAGGGCCAGCCACACCAGCCAACCCCTCTGCAGATTGCTGACTGCCCGGGGGTAACCTTGCTCACAGCCTGTTTCTCTTATCTGTGCATGTAGCTCTTTGCCTCAGATCTTGAGGTCACTTTCATTTACAAAGAACCTCAGGAGGACCTTAAGTCTTTCTGTACCTCACAATGGATGAATACCTTTGCAACCATCTAAGGTGAATGTCTCATCCCTTTACCAACTGCATTTTAGTTGTTAGTGTAGGAGAAATAGCTGTTCAGACATCAGCCCATGGAGGTTTTTAGATGAGGCTGAAGTTAAATTGCACTTACAGCCTCAGGCAAGTCAATGAATTTATGTGATGAAAATTTTATTTAGCCAGATAGCTTTTCATCTGTCTTCTAGTTTGGAAGTGGAAATGCAACCTGATTTAATAATCAATAAATATAGAACGCTACCGAAATTGCAAGTAGAATTGTTCAAAATTATTATGGTATTACAAAACATTACGTTTCCTTTGACAATTTGAGACTGTGGGATTAGAGCAAGTCAATCAAGGCAAAGAATTTTAGCTTAGTTTCAATCCTCCAAATCTGTCCAATACAAAAGATAAGCCTTAACTATCAAAGTTTGTTAAGTTCTTTAGGGAAAATTATGTAGTTAAAGAAGTAAGAAACACACCAACAAGGATGAATTTCAGACATAATGTTGGGCAAAATAAGTGAAACACAAAAGGCTATATATACTGTAGGATTCCACATGCATGAAATTCAAAAGCAAACAAAACATCTATGCTGATGTGGCTGCCTCTGGGGGGGTCCTGGAGAGGGACAAGACAGCCTTTCAGGAGCTTGAAACATTCTATGTCTTGTTGGTTTCATGGCTGTAGACATGTCTAAAATTTATCAAGCTGTGTATTTGCAATTTTTGCCCTTTGCTGTATACAGGTTATAACTTAAAAAAAAAAAAAAAAGAATTCAGCAAAAAATCACCAGGTACACACTGGTAGCTTAAGACTACTATTTTGTAAATAATTTATCTATAATTTGGAATTATTCTTTAATATTTTAGGGGTCTCTGAAAACACAAAAAAGATAATCCATGAATAGTTTGATCTATACTTAGAGAATAAATGATTTGGGTGACTAATGAATCAATTTGCTTTATTATTTATTTATTTATTATTTTTGAGGCAGAGTCTCACTCTGTTGCCAAGGCTGGAGTGTACTGGTGCAATCTCGGCTCACTGCAACCTCCACTTCCCAGGTTCAAGCGATTCTCGTGCCTCAGCTACCTGAGTAGCTGGGATTACAGGCATGCACCACCACACCTGGCTAATTTTTGTATTTTTAGTAGAGATGAGTTTTTGCCGTGTTACCTGGGCTGGTCTCAAACTCCTGGCCTCAAGAGATTTGCCCACCTTGGCCTCCAAAAGTGCTGGGATTACAGACATGAATCACCATGCTCGACCAAATCAATTTGTTTTAAATGAATCTCTCAAAATGAACAATAATGAAGCGGCATGATCTTTGCTTAACCTGATTTATTTCTCAGTTATGTGGATAGTAATCTCACTGTTAAAGTTATTTGATATCAATGATTTGGGCCATAGAGAATGTTCCATGGCACTATATGTTTAATTACCTTTATTGTTCATATGCCCATATCTAATTAGAAATAATCATCCTGTAATATCTTCTTGTACATATTTGCTCAGATATTATCTTGTGAGGAACAGGTTGATTAACATTTTTCTTTCAATATGTTTTCGTAGTTTTCTTCATGGTTTTCTGCAAAACATCAGGTGTGTTTCTAAAAATACATCTATTTGTTGTTGTGTTCTGGTTGTTGGATGGAAAAAAGTGTTGACAAATTATTAAATTATTCTCAAAGCTATAATTATTATAATTTCTTTTGCAGCAATCCATTTGAAAGGAAAGAAGTGTCACAGCCCCTGATTTACCAGCGAACAAAAAACACTTGTTAATAAATCTTCTGCACAAAGAGCACTGGAACGTTTTGTTTATTTTCAATTGCATGCACAATGACTGTTTCCAGTTTATTTTTTTTAACTTCTGCCCTAGAGTCCTGGCACTGAATAAAGCTCAGATACACAAGAAAACAAGGAAGTGACTGATAAAATCATGTCACAAAGTCCAGAGCTAGGTAGTTTATTCTGTCCGTAAAGACTATAAAAACTTGGCCTGGTGCAGTGGCTTATGCCTGTAATTCCAGCACTTTGAAAGGCTGAGGCAGGCGGATCACTTGAGGCCAGGAGTTCAAGAGCAGCCCAGGCAGCATGGAGAAGTCCCATCTCCACGAAAAATACAAAAACTAGCCAGGCGTGGTGGTGCATGCCTGTAATCCCAGCTACTCAGGTGGCTGAGGCACGAGAATTGCTTGAACCCGGGAGGAAGAGGTTCCAATAAGCTGAGATTGGGCCACTGCAGTCCAGCCTGAGCAACAGAGTGAGACTCTGTCTCAAAAAACAAACAAATAAGCAAACAAAACACAAAACAAAACAAATGAACAAACAAAAATCATAAAAACTCTTGTTTGTGGTCATGTTTGGTGGGATTCCACCACCTGGACTGGACAAATCCCCATCTTCCTAAATCACAGGTTAGGCTCCCAGAGGTTGGGTGATCTATAGCAGGCACTGTCAGCACTCTGTCTAGAATTTTTTTTTCTTTTTTTCTGAGACAGTCATGCTCTGTAGCCCAGGCTGGAGAGCAATAGTGTGATCTCAACTCACTGCAACCTCTGCCTCCCGGGTTCAAGCAATTCTCCTGTCTCAGCCTCCCGAGTAGCTGGGATTACAGTCACGTGCCACCACACCCGGCTAATTTTTGTATTTTTAGTAGAGACAGGGTTTCACCTTGTTGGCCAGGCTGGTCTCAAACTCCTGACGTCGTGATCTACCCGCCTTGGCCTCCCAAAGTGCTGGGATTACAGGCGTGAGCCACCACACCCAGCCCACTGTGTCTATATTTTCTTGAATGCCTTTTCACTGTGTTTGTGTGCCACTCCCCTTACTCCCCACCAACACTTCAAACTTGGGTGTGCTTTCCTTCCAACAGCCTGATCTACGCTCTTTGGAGGTATGTTCTTCCACTACTGGAACAATTTTGTGCAAATGTAAACATTTTGTGCAAATGTGCAAATAACTTGGAGTGCTGGGAAGTTACTCCTCCAGTGATTATTGGGTGCTGGGAGCTCAGCTCCCTGTCTCAGGGTGCAATTCTGAGGTGTGACTTACATCCCAGAGTCCTTTGCAGGATCAGGCTGAAGTCATACTTTGCAGGACTTTGCTAGACCCTGCAACCTTGCTTAGCTTCCTCCCTGTCCCTTTCTGCTTTCCCATTTCTTTAGTGTGTCCCTGGGGGGCACTCCCTTAATCAATCACTTTCACACAAATATTAATCTTAGGGGCTGGGCATGGTGGCTCATGCCTGTAATCCCAGCACTTTGTGAGGCCAAGTCGGGAGAATCACTTGAGGCCAAGAGTTTGAGACCAGCTTGGGCAGCATAGTGACACCCTGTCTCTACAAAAAAAACAAAACAACAACAACAATACAAACAAAAATGCAAAAATTAGCTGGGCATGGTGGTGCACACCTGTAGTTCTAGCTACTCGGGGGCTGGGGCAGGAGGATCACTTGAGCCCAGGAGGTCGGGGCTGCAGTAAGCCAAGCTTGCATCACTGCACTTTGGCCTAGGCGGTAGAGAGAGAGACCTTGTCTCAAAAAAAAAAAAAAAAAAATTAATGTTAGAATTTGCTTCTGGGGAACCTGAATTAAGATATGACGCTGAATCCTAATCTGTAATCTCCTTCGTGGGTTTCATGCATGCTATGTCATTATCAATATTTGAGGGGGATCAGGAGCTGGTCTGCTCACTGTTACCTCTTTTCTCCACCCTTTTCTGACTTGCAAAAATTCACTACTGCTCTAACTCCTTACACTCCCTTTTACACATTCAGCACCTTCAGGCTGTCAACAATTGCATGGTAGGTTGTGCATACCTTCAAAATGGCCTTTAGTGCAAAAAAGTTGGAACCACGAGTTGCCTACCTAATTCAGCTCTGCTGGGTGGGGGACGTAAACATAAATCCTTCCAATCAAGTTGGTGCAAATCCAGTGTATTAATTATTCCAGTTATTGTTACTGCAAAGCAGCATAGCTAGTTGAAATATAAGGCAATTTCTTACTACTCACACATTTAAAATATATGCAATGAAGAAATAAACCAGATTTCTGCCCATTTTTCACTCCATGTGCACGACTGCAAATGTAATAGTGAAAACTATTTCAGCCCTTTTGGAAAACCGCAGTCAAACATTCTCTCATAAGGCGTGTTCCTGAATTTACAATATTCCTTAATATAGGTGTTCCATTACCAATTCAAGTTTGATGAAGCCCAATAGACCCCGTTTTACAATCTTGTTTGCCATGTCTTAGACAAAGAGAATTCTTACTTTTGTAGTTACTTCTAAAATCTCCCTGGAATAATAAAAAGGAATAATTAGACGTTAGTGTAAATCATTCAGCTTCTATTTTTGTAAATACATTTAAAAATAATTGACCAATCAAGTAACTAAGTTCCCGAGATTATAGCAGATGTTGCTTGCCTAAAAGTAGGACACAAAAACAGGACCATTCTTCCAAACATAGTACTTTTTTCTCACAACTCAAGGATTAAAACAGAACTAGGCAGTTGCGTTATTAATCACTGTGACAAACTGTTTTTTTGGAGGTAGCATTCTTGATAATTCAGGAGGCAGTTCTTATCCTCGACCCCACACCCGTGGCCATGAGGATAGGATAAAAGTGATGTCAAAGCATGGAGACAATCAGCTATTAATAGCTCCTGGTCCTTGGTCTTTAAGGAACCAGCTCTTTACCCAAGGACATGGAACATAAGAATTCAGGAATGGATGGCAATGTTCCACCATGGACCTCCTCAAGCTATTTTCTTATGTCGTACTTGCCTTTTTTGGGAAAGATGTCTGTGGTTTCTACCAAATTCTCAGATGGGTTCACGCTTAGAATTTTGTTTTTAAAAATCCCTGCAATAGGCCGGGCACGGTGGCTCATGCCTGTAATCCCAGCACTTTGGGAGGCCGAGGCAGGCAGATCACGAGGTCGGGAGTTCGAGACCAGCCTGGCCAACATGATGAAACCCCATCTCTACTAAAAATGCAAAAAAAATAGCCAGGCATAGTGGCATGCACCTGTAGTACCAGCTACTTGGGAAGCTGAGGCAGGAGAATTGCTTGCACTGTAGAGGCGGAGGTTGCACTGAGCCAAGATCGTACCATGACATT
Source organism: Homo sapiens (assembly GCF_000001405.40). Lineage (NCBI taxonomy): Eukaryota > Metazoa > Chordata > Mammalia > Primates > Hominidae > Homo > Homo sapiens. Next base: position 20,756,199 of record NC_000020.11, on the reverse strand, counting down.
CCAGCTTGGGCGACAGAGTGAGACTTCGTCTCAAAAACAAAACAAACAAAAACCCTGCAATAGAATGTCCCATTCTGCTCACCCAGAACACGACCTTTGCACCTACCCTGATTTGACCTAATGCCATATCAGCCTCCAAACACCAGGTGAGGGATACTGTTGTTCACCCTGCTACAAGCCATCAGAGGCAGCTTAGGGCTGGAAAGAAGACACCCATCAAGGTGGTTGGGACACTTCTTAAATATGTACACTTTGCAGCTCTGTTTTCCAAGTTGATCGCAACTTGACTGTGAAACTATGACAGAATGCACAGCAGCAACAAAAAGAGAGTTCTAGCTTTGAGTCAAAGAAAGTGAGTAATTGTTGGAGATAATGTAGGTGGCTTGAATCAAGAAGGTAGAAGTTAAGATATAAAAAGTGGTTAGATATTGGATGTGTTTTGAAGACAAAGCCAAAAGAGTTTGCTGATCCATGAGTAGAGGGTGTGACAGAAGGAGGAAAGCAAAGATGGGGTTTGCACCTGACCAACTGGCAGGATAGAGTTGCCATCACTGCAGGGGGAAGGTATGGCTGGGGCACACTGGATGGGAAGATCTGGAGTTCTATCTCTGCGAAATTATGTTTGAGATCCCCATTAGACATCCAAGAAGAGATACTGAGGAGATATTCATGGGAGAGGTCTGATATAAACATGTGAATGTGAGAATCATTAGAATATAGGCTGAAAGCCATGAGACTCTTTGAGATTACCAAGAAAAAGAAGGAAGTGAAAAAGAGAAGTACAAAGACAGAGCCATGGGGACTCCAAATTTAAGGGATAGAAAAGATTGAGAGGAATTCCTAAAGCCAGATGAGAAGGAACTCCTACCCCAGAAGCCATAGGTTATAAGTCGATTTTCTTTTTTTTTTTTTTTGAGACAGAGTTTCGCTCTTGTTGCCCAGGCTGGAGTGCAATGGCGCAATCTTGGCTCACTGCAACCTCCACCTCCCAGGTTCGAGTGATTCTTGTGCCTCAGCCTCCCTAGTAGATGGGATTACAGGTGCCCGCCACCACACCCAGCTAATTTTTGTGTAGTTTTAGTAGACATGGGGTTTCACTATCTAGGCTAGACTGGTCTCAAACTCCTGACCTCAGATGATCCACCCCCCTTGGCCTCCCAAAGTGCTGGGATTACAGGCGTGATGGTTCGATTTTCTAAAGATAGCCTCACCACTATCTCCCTTGCCATGTGAGGTTAACACTGCTCCTTCAAGAGGTAGGGGACAATGTTTCCTCCCTGGGAATCTGACAGGCCTGTGACTATGGTAAAAGTGAAACTGGATGATTTCCAAAGCTAGATGACAAAGACACCACAAAATAGCTTTTGTCTGGCCTCTTTCTCTTGGAACACATGCCTTGGGAGGCCCAAGCCTACAGGTGAGAAGTCTGGCCACAATGCTATGGTTGCTGCCATGCTGGGGAGACCACGGAGAGAGAACAGATAGACAGAGACAGAGAGGCACAAGGATCCTAAGTGTTCCAGCCTCTAGGTGTTTGAGTCTTCCTAGCCCAGGCACCAGGCATATGAGTGAAAGAACTTCAGATCATTCTAGATCCCAACCTTCGAGCCATCCCAGCTGACATGGAGTGGGGCAGAAATGAGTAGTGCCCATGAAGTCCTGTCCCGATGGCAGATTCATGAGCAAAATGAATGAGTTGGTTATTTTAAGCCATTAAGTTTTGGGGTAATTTATTATGCAGTCCCAGTAACTGGTACACCAAATAAAGATGTCGTTTCTCAGAGAAGCACGTTCTCAACTCTGTCAAAGGCCGTTGTAGGTAAATGGAGATGATGACGGAGAACCAACCGACTGCTGAATCAAGGATGTAGAAGGCACTGGAAATGGTGAGGCATAGCTGAAATAACGTGGGTTTAAGAAAAGAATGGGAATTGAATTGGAAACAGCCAGTAATGGCTACTCTTTCTAGGAGTTTTGCTAAAAAAACAGATTTGAGAAATGAAGCAGTAGCTGGAGAGGAGAGTGGGGCCAGGAGAAAGGCTTTGGTTGAGGTTGAAGACAGACAGTACGTATGTTGATGGGAATGATGCAGCAAAGGGTGGGAAATGGATGATGCAAAAGAGAGAGGAGTGAATTGCTGGAGCCAATTCTGTGAGAGATAAGAGGATACAGGGTCCATGACTTTATAACACAGGTGGAGGGAATGGCCTTAGCTGGAGCTCAGCAAGTTTATTCATGGTTACAGAAGTAAAGGCAGAGTCTATGAGCACAGAAGCAGGTGAGTGGTAAACATCGTGGTGGAAGGAAGTTTAAGTTCTTACTTGCTTGCTTCTGTTATTTCAGTGGGAAAGTAAGTGGTCTGCGGCAATACATGGGCTTTACCAACCATCATTAGGGTCCCACTTGAAGTCCATAATCATGAACTTAAAGGGAGAGCAGTTAGTGTGACAATGCTGTTGTCCAGCCACATTCAGTGGCCCAGGTGCGAGCACAAAGTAGGCAGTGCTTTGGACTTCATCAGGGTCAGGGAATTGTCAAGAGAAAACTGGTAAGAGAAAGGGGTAAGGCAGTTGAGAGCTTAGGCAAAGGAGTGGCTGTGGAATTTAAGCTGGGCTAAGAGGAAAGGGAAGATGTCGGGGGTTGAGGGACAGCAAAGATACAGTGGGATGTATGGATTGTAGCTCCCAGAGGAGGTGAAGGATTGCTTGAACTCGTGTACTTTAATTAGCTCCATTCTGAGGATGAAGAACTCCAGCTCAGAGAGGGTAAAGTAGCTTTCAAGTAAAGTCACCAGGGATTCAAAGCTAGGCTGCCCAGCTCCTGTAATAGTGGGAACATCTCTTCACAGCTCAACATTTGATCAGAAAGAAAGAGAAAAAAGAGCAATTGATATTAATAGTCACCAAGAGCTCTGAAAACCAGACCTGGAGGTCTCTGCGAGAGGTCCCTCATGTTGTGAGAGCTTGGTTTTACCTTCTGAGTGACATTATTGCATGCGCTTTTTAGAAGACTCTTGGTTATTTTTCTTATAATCCAATTTTTAATTCTTTGAGTTCTCCCTAGAAAAGGAACATAGCAAAAGAGTTGGCCTATGGGTAGGAAAACGAAAACTAAAGTTTCCATGGATCTTGTGCACCTGGTGCATGTATACTTCCTTACTGACCCATTTCCTGCAGCCCATGGAAGATTTCATCAAAGGAAGTACGTGTCACAATTACATCATGAACCCAATTGTTTAAAGTTTCTATTACAGCCAATTAATTATAATGAGAACCGGGAGGCTCTCTATTTCTGCCCTGATACTTTGGCCAATGGCATCACACACCAATTATGGGAAGATGTCTGTAACAGGAAGTTTTGTAAGAGAAATTTTATAAGGCTGTTTGTGTATTGTGCCCTCAATTGTATTTGCAATATCGTTTCCTACTGTTGATTGTCCCGTAATTCTGGTCATGCAACAACTCCAGCATTGGTAATGTGTTTATTTCCAGAGGAGGTGGTTTGGGTGGGGAAGGAGGGGAGAGCTAAGAGGTTGTTATTTGTGTGTTTAAAAAGGCAGGTTAGCCTGAATATAATTACCTTCTTTTTTCTTCTTGCTAAAGAGAGAAGGAAAAAAAAAAAAACCACATGTAAACTTGATTATTTAGGAGATGAGCATATTAAAATAATTTGATGAAATTGGGTCATATGAAACGAAAATAAGGTTGTGAAGAAGGAGAAATTTTCTCTACTCATTGTTCTCTACTCATTTCCGTATTATTCCCACCCCACCCCACCATTTCACCCTCGCTGGGCTTTCTGGGATCTCTCATTACTTTATAAATCCTGACTTCTGACGTAGAAGAAAGAACAGAAGCTTGGACTTCAGAAAGATCTGAGTTTTTATATAAGTTCCATCTACTAATGTATATCCTTAAGCCAGATAAGGCTCTCTGAGCCTGTTTCCTCCTCCCCATTCTGTAAAGTGGGGATTATAATACCTACCTCATGGGGTGGTTTGTAAGACTTAAATAAGTAGGAACAGCACCTGGTTGCTTACAGTTGGCCCAGTGTCCTGTTGTCTTCTGTTCCTCAACCTGTCCCTTGAGTCTGCCAATCATCTCTTCCTAATCTTCGTATATATTGCCTGCAATGTCTCCTGCACTCTGGCTAATTTGATATGACTTCCCTCTTTCCCTTTCATCCATTCATCCTCCTTTCTTTCTTTCCTTCCAGTCTCCAAAATCCCAATTGCCCAATAAAGCTTATCCATGTATTCTGAAGACATAATTTACATATCAAGTTTACCTCGAAATCGTTTGTAAATTTCCATGACTCACTTTAATATATATGCACCATGACATCAATCATATATTCATTTATTCATTCAATTATTTGATTTGCACAGTGGTCCAACATCTCTCTTTTTGTTTATGTTTCTCCAGGTTGATATTGTAGCTGAAATCTTATATTTTTGTAGTGCTTCATACTTTGTTTCTGACATGTTTTATCATGGATTATCTCAGTGGAACCTTATAACATCATGTGAGGTAAGCAGGTCAGATATTGTCATCATTTTCTAGCTTTATAAATGTAAAAACAGGCTCAGTACAGTAGGTAGTTTACCTACCCAAGATCACAACACTGGTTTGTGGAAACCAAGCCATCTTGACCCAAAGCACACTCGTCACCTCCACAAGCCGCCTCTCACCCTTATTCGTTCCCTCTTATGCTGTATGTAATCCTAATTCTAACAATGAAATTCCCTGGCTGCAGAGCCTCAGAAATATGAGTCTCTTTGTACTCTAGTCACTTTTTCCAGACTACACCACAGAGCCTATTTTAAACAGCTTTAATACTATATAAACCCCATTTTCCTTACATCTGAGATTTCCTTAAATGACGAGGAACCAGAGATACTGATTTTGACTTTCCAATAGTTTACGGCCATCAGGAGCCATACCTTGATCCTCAAGGCAGGGAGATCTCTTCAGCAAAGCATTAGGTTTTGGCTTAAAGAATGGCGTGTTCTTTGACCAAACAGGTTCAGTCATCCCTAATTCTGATTCGTAAGTTCAAGAGTATGCTGATTTTTATTGTAACAGAAACTGCTGGTCTCTTACCTCATGAATGGTTGCAGTGCGTTTAGAATCAGTTGATCATCGCTCCTTATGTCTCAATCCTTATCCTGCCCAGCTTCCATATTAAGTCTCCATAAGCCAAAAATTCTAACACTCCCATGCTGGCAACATAATAACCTCTAACTATATTTTGATTCCAGAAAGACAACATTTGAAGGCATTTAAATGCCCTCAGGCAAATCTGTGGCATCTCAATGGCCTCGTTTGTGTTGCATGGGGCTTCATTTCAAAGTTGAACCCCCTCTCGGGCACATGAGCACAGGAAACACATACAACACTGAAAAACACATTTAATGTTTGAAGCTTTTATTAATATGTATGTTGGCATTAGAAATAAATCAAGGTTCCTTTCCTTCCTGGACCAGATTTTGACTCATAGTTACTTGCTGTTATTCATTTTCACTCCTCTGAATCTCTGTAAATTAAAATAACCTAGCCTGGACAGGTCGGGTACCTCATGCCTGTAATCCCAGTGCTTTGGGAGACAGAGGTAAGAGGATCACTTGAGGCCATGAGTTTGAGACCAGCCTGAGCAACATAGTGCCCATCTCTACAAGATTTAATTATTATTATTATTTTTTTTTTTGAGACAGAGTCTCACTCTGTCACCTGGGCTGGAGTGCAGTGGTGCGATCTCGGCTCACCGCAACCTCCACCTCCCAGGTTCAAGTGATTCTCGTGCCTCAGCCTCCCGAGCAGCTGGGACTACAGGAGGGTGCCACCATGCCCAGCTTTTTTTGTATTCTTGATAGAGACAGGGTTCCACCATGTTGACCAGACTGGTCTCAAACTTCTGGCCTCAAGTGATCCGCCCACCTCAGCCTCCCAAAGTGCTGGGATTACAGGTGTGAGCCACCAAACCTGGCCAAAATTAAATTTTTTTAAGTAAAAAAAAAAAAAAAAATTCTTAAAAAGATCTTGTTTTCTTTCAAATTTATCTTCACACATTTTTAGCACTTTGAGTGTGTGTTTGTGGTTTTTTTATTTTCCAAGGAAGTTTTAAATAGTTAACATGTTCCACATAAGGCTGAATGACAATGGATGTTATTGTTTGGTCACATGAGCTATATTTAAGATAGTCCCACATGCATGCAGGAATATTTGGAAATGAATGTTGAATTCAGCAATATGTGTTGCACTTCTACTTTGCATTAAGTGATAGGAGAGAAAAATATACAAATGTGGGCTTATTATGAGATTTGCCCATAAAATAGGGAACTTTGGTAACTTAAAATAAAGTGCTAAATGGAATATAACCAAAACCTGTAGATAGGTGAGCTCATCTGTGTTGCACTTAGCAGAAAAGAGAATTATCAGTATCAACCCAAATCCTCGAGGGATGAGTGCCCCACGAGAGCATCAGATATCCTGCCTTCTGGATTCCTAACATATTAGGTCATAAATGATGACAAAAAAAGTCTTCACTAGAAGCCAAGACATTTATTGAAGGTCTGTTTCAATCATATGTTGCACAAAAACAAACCACCTCAAAACTTAGCATCTTAGAAACAACAATCATTTTATTTTCTTTCTAACTGTATAGGCTGACTTGGCTCACCTGGGTAGCTCTTTTGCATGTGATGTCAGGTGGGACTCTAGTCAACTGGGTGGGGCCTTGGCTGAGCTGAATGTCCACAGTGGAGAGCTTACATGGCTGGTGGTTGATGCTGGCTGTTAGTTGGGAACTAAGCTGGGACCATAGACTGAGTGCCTCCACTCTCTTCCACCTGGCCTCTCCATGTGGGTTGGGTTCCTTACAATATGGGACTGTGTTCCAAGAAGGAAATGTTACTGAAATACCAGGGGTTTGGCCTACGTCCTGCTGCTCACCACACAGAAAGCCAATCACTGAGACAATGAGTATTGCCAGGAAAGAAGGTTTAATTGGGTGCTGCAGCCAAGGAGATGGGAGATCAGTCCCACATCCATCTCCCCAACTGACTGTAATTAGAGGTTTATAGAGCAAGGAAGAAATGTAACAATGTATGGGAAAACAAGAACTAAGGAGGGTAGGGAAGAGGAGATGGTCAACAGGAAGCAGGTGGTCAGTTAGGCAATCGTGACAGGTGAGGGATCTGACATCTCATGGTCCAGAGGCAGTGATCTGGTGAGTTTCAGTTTCTTGATACTATCTGGGAGTCCTGGTGGTTGGTTTTCTGGAAAAGGAACTCAGATAAGACAAATGTAACTTTCTCAAATTTTAAGACTGGGAGGGCTAATTTCTGTTTATTCAAGAGAAACCATAAACTTCAATTCCATGGGACAAGTGGGTCAGTTTCAGAAGTAGAAGTGTCCAGGCCTTTTAAGGCTTGGGCTCAGAAGTTCCAGATCATCATTTTCTATCATATTCCTTTGGACAAAACAGTCACATCGCTAGCCCAGATGCTAGGAGAGGATAAATAAATGCCACCTTTCTATGGCAGAGTGACAGACATAAAGGTGAAAGCAGGAACTTAGAATGGCTGTCTTTGGAGACTATCTACCCATAGAGCTTGAGTAAACGCACAAAACATGCATGGCAAAGGCAAGACCTTTGCATTGGTCAGCCTGCCCAGGTCACTGGTCAGCCTGCCAGGTCATTCTCCTGGTTCTGCTACCGTCTCCTGCCTTTGTCTTCTTTCTATCTGGCCTTCCTTTGTATAAACTGAACTTCTAACTTCTGAACATCTTTCAAACTCAAGATGCCTGCATCTCTCCTAGAACTGAAAGCCTTTTGCCATGGTATTGCTTCCCAGGCAGGTCTTATCTCCTGCACTCTGAGCCCCACGGGACATCCTTGGTATAGTGGATTCTTTCTCAGGCCTGTGTTTAGGACCCTGATGTCCAATTTCCTCTGTGGAGCTTCATGGACTCCTAGTCGCAGCCTGCCCACATCAAATCTGACCTGTTTCTCCCAACGCCCTAGTTTTAACCTTGATAGAGCATGGATGGGAGTGGACAGATAGTCATAAAAGATCCCATAGATCTTAAGAAGTTAAACGTCTTTGACTGAGCAGAGGGCTAAGCAATGCCATACAACTAGGACTAAGAACAGGATGCTTGCAGAACAGAGAGGGTTGAGGGAAACTCAGCTTGGACGAGAGAAAAGGTGAGGACGGCTGGGAAAATTAGGTTTCAGGGCCAGGTGATAACAATCAATCAGTTTAGATCTGATGTGATATGAAGCTGTAAGCCACCGTGCACTCTTGAGCTGAGGTGTGGCTTGGTGAAATGATGTTTAAGCAAGATTCTTGCAGGAGTGGAATGTAGGGTAGAGTGGAGAAATTGAAACCAAGGAGGCCAATGGTAACTGGGTGCACAGGTGATGAGTGCTGGGATTAAAGGGGACTACAGTGGAAAAGATGTATATGAGACCATTTGAAGGGAAAAAAATCTATGGAGCAGTGATTTCTCCAATATGGGAAATTCAACTAAAGTTGGCCAGTGGGAAGTTGCTGTAGGCTCTGGGGAAGGGAGGGGCTGGGATGATGGACAGCAGAGTGCAGAAAGCAATGGACAGGGTAAGACTGGAGGGGAGGAAAGGTCTCTTAAACAGTACGGGCTTCCTTATCTAAGCTGCTGGATGCTAATGTGAAGACAGAATGACTCAGAGAAAAATTCAAAGGCAGAAGAGACAGGCTTTAATGAAAGTTTCAATTGAGAAGAAAAAGAGAAAGGCTAGGGTAGAAGTGACTCATCTGAATTTTGACAAATTGTGGAGCAAACAACAGAAAGATTGATATGGTAAGGAAAGGCTGGCTTGGGAAAGAAGCTGAATATCACATAGACTGAGTCTAAGGTGACACAGAGCACTCTGGTAGGAAAATCTGAAAGGGCCTAGAGGTGGGGTGAGAAGTTCGGCAAGGCAACATCAAAGTGTAAGTTCCTCGTTCAGAGTTGATGTCCTGTGCCAGTGTAGATGTGGTGCCTGTCTCTGTCCCCAGACCACCTTGTGTTTGCTTTTTGCTATCTTAAGAGTAAAATGGCAGGATAGGAAGGCACGTCACATAGGAATGGTACAGGGAGCCCTGAGATCTGCCTGTTGCCCTTATTCTTCTGAGTTCTCTAGTAAGCTCCCTAATGTATGCTTGATCTCCACCACTCAGCATGAACAGTGCTGGTCACTAGGTCTGAGAAAGCATGGTTACATTTCCCAGGTATCTTCCCAGTATGATTCACATCATTCAGCTTCAAATGAATTTGAAGCTGTGGATCCCAGACATCTGGCCCAGGTGGAGAGATAGTTGAAAGCCTCAAGAATCCCTTATGCACACCTCTTTTGGTAACCTGCTAGACCCTGAGCCCTGAAGTGGTCGTTCAGACTGGGTCATTCTCCTGCTCCTTTCCCATTCCCACAAGGTTGTCTCAGGAGGAATGAGGCCCTCCTCTCCTCCTCTTTCCTCTTTTTCTGACTTGGACATAGATACTGCTCCCAGTTTATCTTTTTTTTCCTGTGTAGTGGAATTTGGAGTCATCTCTCTCAGTTCCACTTCTCTCAATTAGCAGCTAGCATCTAAAAAACCTCCATCAACCTCAAGCTTTTAATCAAGTAGAAGGCTCCCTGCTTTTCTCCTTATCTGGTATCAGCATTTTTCTATCTGTTTTCTCTCCTCTCTCTCTCGTCAGTTCTTGCTATGTTGCTCAGGCTGACAGTGGCACGATCACAGCTCACTGCATCCTCAAACTCCTTGTCTTAAGCAGTCCTCTGACCTCAGCCTCCTGAGTAGCTGGACTACAGGCACGCACCACTGAAATGGTATGAGACTACTCACCTACCCCAGTGCCTACAACCTTTCATATTACCAAACTTATAAATGTTCATCCATCTCTTTCTACTACACTTTCTAAAACGTTTCATATGACAAAGTTTTATTTTAACATGGACAGTGTCTGTCCCCTGCCTGGGGGTGGGATGGAACATATATCCCAAGGGTACTTCTATGGATTTGTGTTCAAAGAGTCTTGAGTATTTTTTTTCCTATTAACTCTGTATGTGGAAGAATTCACTTAGCAGGGAAAAAGCCAAAAGCTTAAGCCTGGACCTTGGGGGATACCTGCCTTCAGTTCAGAGAGTAAAAATAAAAATGGGTGAAAGACAGAAAGAAGTGGTTAAAGCCATAAGAGAAAATCTAAGAAAAATTAAGAACCAAAGAAGCCATGGAAAGAACTGGCAAGAAGGAGTTTGGGGGGCAGGAGGTTTTGTGGGGAACAAGGAACAGCATATGATTCCTGAGCCCTTATGTGCTAGGTTGTATGCTAACTGCTTTGCATGCAAATTCCATTTAACCTTCATAGTTAACTTTACGAGTTATTAACATGCCCACAATTCTGAGACATGTTCTATATGGTTTCCCAGAGTCCTCCCGGGAGGAGTGGGGATGGCATTAAGTTCCAGGTGCTCACAGTAGCAATTTGCTTGATAATGTAAGCTCTAATGGCGTCTCCTTTCCCTGTTCGCTTCTTCATTCCCTACCACATTTTCCAGCATCACCTCTCAAATAAACTACTTGCACTCACATACTTGTGCCAGGGTCTCAGCTGCATCACTGTGGCTAGGGAGGGGAAGCCCTGAGGTAGTTTTCCCAGGCTCCTCATGGGTCCTCTGCCTCTCCGGCTCTGAGTCAAGGACTGCCCTGGGGCCTGCTAAGTGGGAAGGGGTGATACCTTAGCAGAGGCAGGAGTGGGTGCTCAGGCCAACGAGCTGCTGGAGGACTTGTCAGGGCTGGAGGGTCTGCAGTCAGGCAGAGCTAATGAGAGGCTGGTCAGTCACGGGAAGTCGGCTACCAATCCCTGTGGGCATGAGACAGACCATGAGTTCTCTAGCCACAGACGGTTGGCCAAAAGACCAGCAAGGTAGCTAGGATTCAGAGGCATAAGGGCCATCGCCCCAGGAGGAGGCTGAAGGACACCATCCCCAAGGATCCTGTCTTAGTCCATTTGTGTTGCTATAAAGGAATAGCTGAGCCTGGGTAATTTATAAAGAAAACAGAGGTTTATTTGGCTCACAGTTCTACAGGCTGGAAAAGAAGCATTGTGCTGGCATCAGCATCTCGTAAGGGCTTCAGGAGGCTTCCAATCATGGAGGAAGGGGAAGAGGAGCCAGTGTGTGTGGAGATCACATGAGGAAAGAGGGAGCAAGAGAGAGAGGTGGTGCCAGGCTCTTGTTAAGAACCAGCTCTTATGGGAACTAAAAGAGCAAAAATTTACTCATTACCTCAAAGAGGATACCAAGCTGCTCATGAGAGATCCACCCCCATGACCCAAACATCTCCCATTAGGCTCCACATCCAACACTGGGGATCAAATTTCAACATGAGATTTGGAGGGGTCAAATGTCCAAGCCATGGCAGACCCCATATTTTCTTCTCTGCCATATAAGCCATTGATCTCCCATCCAGCCAAAAGCCATCTTGCAAAACATTCTGGGAAAGATACAGAACACACAAAAATCTTAAAGACTGAGCATTGCCTCATAGGATGATTAAATGACTAGATGGCAGATTTAGAAGGTAATTGTTTCCTCTTGCTCGCAGGTGGGAGGAGGCTCAGGATCAAGGTCAAACAATAAAAGAGGCGCTCTTTTCTCTGCACAGCTGAGCTATTTGTGTGTGATTCCACTTGAACGGCCTATGAGGCTGAGCTTTGGGAATCTGTGCTGAGAACCAGTCATCCTAGGATTCAAAAATCCTGGAGAAATATTTTATGGCACCGCTGATGGGTAGAGACAGGAAACACACTTAATGTCTCCTGAACACGCTGGGATTTGACTTGGCCTCTGTTCAATCCTAGCACACTTTCAGGAGTGGCTCTTTGTTTGTTTTAAAGTACCTCTCCACCCATGAATTCTGGCCCTCCAGTAGCAGGATGTTATACAAATAGGCCAAGTTTTCCACAGGACTGTGGCTCTCCTTCCCTCCTTCCATGAGGGTATCAATATGCAGAAAAGGCCCTTGCTGTCTCCTCTGTTTTGTGTTCTGCTGGAGTGGCTCTTCCTGCAATCCGCTAAGACAGGAACTGGCTGCACTTAGCTCGAGTGGGCCCCTATCCAGCCCCTCTCAGCCGGGTCTGTGGTGGCCAGGGCCTCCCTGGCAAAGCTAACACACAACTACTATTGAGAAACAGCTGACAAGGGAAAGGGTGGCGTCTGAGCCTTGAAACTCAGGCTTCTGGCTAAATAACAACACATCGGATGACGGGGGTGAGCCAGGAGCACGACAGAGAAAACAGGAGGCCGCTTTAAGGAATTTACACAGTACCTTTGCATTGGCAGGAGTTTAATTATTCATTCACAGCCAGCCAGATCTCAAAGGCTCAGCTGACAAAGCTTCAGCCCTTCTCTGCAACCGTTAGAGGAAGCAGTCTGAGCCCTTTCGCTTGAGTAAACAGGCAGTGAGTACAGGCTACTATGTCCTGAACAATATCGGAGAACAGGGTTTCAGGCCATTTCCTTTACTGGCAGCGTGGTGACGCTCAAAATGTGAGGGCCAGAGGGTCTACAGTTAACATGGGGGGAGGAGACTGTAACCATAGCAGCAACAAGAACACTGATAGTCGGGATTATGCATTGAGCCCTTTCTATATGCCGAGCCACATTAGGCATTCTTCCTGCACCCAGAGCGAGCCTTTATCATTGTCCCCATGGTGCATTTCAGGAAACTTGGGCGAAGAGAAAGAATTTGCCCCAAATCCTAATCCTATAACTGCTAAGAGACTGAGCCAGAAGCCAAAATTAAAACGCACATCTACTCAGGAAACTGTTTTCTATCTATATTTTCTCTCTTTCTCTCTCTGAAACTTTCTTCAAAACCTTTGATGTTACAATTTTTAAAACTCAGACATATGGTTGACTGTTTTTCTCCCCTCAAAGGCCTAAAATCAAGTCCCTTCATTCATGACTATTCATGATTTTAATTTAAAAATAAAAGAATACTACAGAATACTGACTCAGAAAACTGGGTGTTTGTCATCTGCCATGAACCTGGTTTCCTGCTTGACACAAGGTAAGCAGAGTGAGTGGGTGGTAATTTTTCACCTTTATTTAAATAATTTTTTTTTCAGTAGAACCTTTGTGCAGTCCTACTTTCCCCCTACCTTGGCAAACAAACAGGTGACCTTCCTTTGAAATCTCTGAGATGCTGAATCTATCTTTACGGAACTTCTCCCCTTACCTCTCAACACTGATTCTTGCTCCAGTTCCGGAAATACAGCTGAGAAACAAGGACAAGGCAGAAAAGAGAGCTTCAGTCATCATGCCCCCACTCCCAACCAAGTCAACCAGGTCTTCAGAGAGGGTCTCTTGAGTGCATTTCCCGCCCCCCTGCCACAACATCCAAGACAAGGTTAATGAATGCTAAATTATCTCCTTTTTTTTTTTTTTTTTTTTTTTTGAGACGGAGTCTCGCCCTGTCACCCAGGCTGGAGTACAGTGGTGCAATCTCAGCTCACTGCAACCTCCGCCTCCCAGGTTCAGGCGATTCTCCTGCCTCAGTCTCCCGAGTAGCTGGGATTACAGGCACCTGCCACCACACCCACCTAATTTTGTATTTTTAGTAGAGATGGGGTTTCGCCATGTTGCCCAGGCTGGTCACAAACTCCTGGTGTCAAGTGATCCACCCACCTAGGCCTCCCAACGTGCTAGGATTACAGACGTGAGCCACCGCGCCCAGACTCCTTTTAAAACTAGTGAATCTGAATGATACTTCAGACCCTACGACTTGTACCAGTGATTTGGTTTCAATCCTGTCATATCTTACATGGCAATCACACTGCAAATATACGCACATTCCATACCAAGTGTTGAAAAAATATGGCAGCAGGTGACTGATGTGGATTTGTTTTCTGTTGCCCAGTATACACTAAGGCTTTCTGAGGGCTGGCCGTTTCACACATCTTATTTCCATGTGCCCATTATTACCACAGCCATAAGATCATCTCCCAAAAAGTGTTTCTGGAAAACTAAGTTGATCTAGCAAGGGATTACTAAAAGTGTTTGTGTATTTTAGAGAGCAGAAGCCTCTACTTGGTGGTTTCTGCTGGATTTTCCACTGTCCCAGGGTAAGAATAAAGACAACATGATTCTAAGGTATGCATTAGAAGGTGAATTTTTAATTCTAAACATCTTGGTTGGGCTTTTCTTCATAAATCAAGTTATGCATTGTGCCCTGTCACCTTTAAGTCTCCCCACTCCATGCCAAACTCTATTTGCACTAATTGTTTTGACACAGTGCCCAGAGTGCCGGGATTGAGCTCCTACAATGTTGCCTCTAATCCCACAGGCTTTTGAGATCCTGTGCTTTGGTCCCATTTATACGAGGACGCTCCAAGATCATCACCCTCCCTCGCTTCCTTCTAAATCCACCCTGCATTTGTCACCCACCAGTGAGGCCTCCAAGGACAATGGGAGATGCTTTGATAACAGCACCCACAATTCACATTTCCAAAGCACCTCTGAAGTTCTGGGTCACATGCCAAGTGCTTCAGAGGAACGTTGATTTAATTCTCCCAGCAGCTCTGTGCTGCATGTGTCTGCCTCCACAGCAGGTAACAAGTGGCACTCAAAGAGGCCGGTGAAGGACATTCACAGACATGAGGGTAGGGCTAAGGGACGGTGAAGCTCCCAGGAAATAGCAACAGCCTGAAGGAGCGAGGGAAGAGATAGTCTAGTGAGAGCTGGAGTCAGAGAAGAGGAGCCATTTGCCAAGAACACGGCTGTAAAGGAACACAGCTACATGCAGAGGCTGGGCTGGAAGGTGGTGTGCACAGATAGAGCTGGGAGGGAGAAAGGCATCCATATCCCTGACCTCGCTTTTGTGCCACCTTCCAATCTCACTGGAGCAGCTCCTATTGGCCACACCCAACTGGCAGGCAGGGGAGCCTGGGGGATTCTGACAGGAGAGGTCAGTCTCCTGGGCACAGAACAGGACAGAGAAAGGCAGAAAGTGGACTCAGGGAAAGCAAGTGGAGAAATACCAGCATAATATAGCTTCTCTTTTCCTCACCATGTAAAATGCCCATGTAAAAGATGAGGCAGCTGAACTCAGAGGGTTTCAGTATCTGCCCAAGTTCATAAGTGGCAAAGCTCCAGATTCAGATCCAGGCTTTGTGATTCTGGAGCCCATTGTCGAAAGCACTCTGAATGTGATCTTCCTGGTCCTGCCCTGTCCCCTATATCATACCCAGGTGATTTGAACTTTGCATGTTGTCCAAATTTATTATTTTCCTGTGACAAGCAGTTTGGAGCCCAGAGTCTCTTTCTCAGGCCAGCTTTCTGTCCTGAAAAGTAATTTCAGCATATTGCCACACATTGTAGGTTACTCTGAAACTGTCAAACCACAGACTGGATTTGGGTTTCATCCAACACAGTGTAACATGCTACACTTAACTGTTGTCTTCCCGGGAGGACACTGCACGTAAAATTCCCTCTCCCAATCCAGGTCACGCTAGGTTCCATACCACAATCACCTCTCAATACCCCAAAGCCCTGTACATTAAGTAGCAGCTTGGGAACTGTTTATGACTTCTGCTAAGCCAATGCTCTGACTGGGCCGGAGCTTCACTGTCAAAGGCAGGAGAAGCACAGAGGGAATTATGCAAACAAAAAAGAGTTCGTATATAACTTTTAACTTATTCCTGCCAAATCTTGCTCTTGGATTTGAAAGCATATAATTGTTCTGTCTGATAACTTACACTGCCAGGACAATCCTAGTGCCATTTTATGTCAATGTTTCAAGAGACTTGCTTCTTTGTGTAAACCACAGGAAACTTGGAAATATGTCACACAGCTTTTTTGTGGCAAATATACTTTTAAAAAAGTTCAATAAGTTTATGGGGAGCAGGTGGTGTTTGGTTACATGAATAAGTTCTTCAGAAGTGATTTCTGAGATTTTGGTGCACCCATCACCCGAGCAGTGTACACTGTACCCAATGTGTAGTCTTTTATCCTTCACCCCCCTCCCACCCTTTACCCTGCGTCTCCAAAGTCCATTGTATCACTCTTATGCCTTTGCGTCCTCATAGCTTAGCTCCCACTTATGAGTGAGAACATACGATGTTTGGTTTCTCCATTCCTGAGTTACTTCACTTAGAATAATAGTCTCCAATTCCATCCAGGTTGCATTATTTCCTTCGTTTTTATGGCCAAGTAGTATTTTCTTTGTTCATTTGTTGATTGATGGGCATTTGGGCTGGTTCCATATTTTTGCAATTGCAAATTGTGCTGCTATAAACATGAGTGTGCAAGTATCTTTTTCATATAATGACTTCTTTTCCTCTGGGTAGATACCCAGGAGTGGAATTGCTGGATCAAATGGTAGTTCTAATTTTAGTTCTTTAAGGAATCTCCACAGTGTTTTTCACAGTGGTTGTACTAGTTTATTACATTCCCACCAACAGTGTAAAAGTGTGCCCTTTTCACCAAGTCTACACCAACATCTATTTTTTTAAAATTTTTTGATTATGGCCATTCTTGCAAGAGTAAGGTGGTGTCACATTGTAGTTTGGATTTGCATTTTCCTGATCATTAGTGATGTTGAGCATTTTTCCATATGCTTGTTGGCCATTTGTATCTTCTTTTGAGAATTGTCTATTCATATACTTAGCCCACATTTGGATGGGATTGTTTGTTTTTTTCTTGCTGATTTGTTTGAGTTCTTTGTAGATTCTGGGCATTAGTCCTTTGTTGGATGTATAGATTGTGAAGATTTCCTCCCACTCTGTAGGTTGTCTGTTAACTCTGCTGATTATTTCTTTTGCTGTGCAGAAGCTTTTTAGTTTAATTAAGTCCCATCTATTTATCTTTGTTTTTGTTGCATTTGCTTTTGGGTTCTTGGTCATGAAGTCTTTGCCTAAGCCAATGTCTAGAAGGGTTTTTCTGATGTTATCTTCTAGAATTTTTATGGTTTTAGGTCTTAGATTTAAGTCTTTGCTCCATCTTGAGTTGATTTTTGTATAAGTTGAGAGATGAGGCAAATCTGATGTTTGACTTTAATTTAGACCAAATGTCTACATTTTGAAGACATTTTAATTTTACCAATAATCTTTAAAACTGTCTTTATTTCCAGGTTACTAAAGTCATGTGAATAAGAGGCATTAAAGTTTCTATTTTTCTGACAAAATATGATATAAGCGCTTATTTTTTCTAAGCCAATTAGAGCTCTTTTATATATAAATATCACACACACAACACATAAATAGACAGACAGACAGACAGACAGAAGATCCAGTAGTTGTAAGGTTTTTCATTTGCCAGTTTCTTAATTGGATTACTGGCTTCAGGGTGGAGCCTTTGTAGGAAAAGGGCCAGGAAAGCACACAGCTTCTAGGGCCTAATAAGAAGGCTTTGTGGCAAATACACTTTTAAAACCTAACTCTGCCAAGTGCACTGGTGCATACCTATAGTCCCAGCTACTCAAGACGCTGAGACAGGAGGATCGCTTGAGCCCAGGAATTCTGGGCTATAGTGCAATATGTTGATCGGGTGTCTGCACTAAGTGTGGCATTGATATGGTGACCTCCTGGGAGTGTGGGACCATCAGGTTGCCTAAGGAGGAGTGAACTGGCCCAGGTCAGATATGGAACAGGAAAAAACTCATGTGCTGATCAGGAGTGGGATTGCATCTGTGAAGAGCCACTGCACTCCAGCCTGGGCAACATAGAGAGATCCTGCCTCTTAAAAAAAAAAAAAAAAAAAAAAGACAAAACCTGGCTCTTTGGTGTGGAACATTTTGAGTGACAACATAAATAATGATGACAATGGATCAAAACCCATAAAATAAAATAAATTCCTATGAGTCCATACTGATACAAATAAATAATTGAATAAATAAATAAACGGGAGAGGGAAGGCAACAGAATCCCAATTAATAAATGTAGAAGGAATGATGCAATTGGAAAACTATCATTTAGCAAGACACATAGTAATAATTGTTCTAGACCAGAAACATCCATGGGAAAGCCGGGTGCAGTGGCTCACACCTGGAATCCCAGCACTTTGGGAGGCAGAGGTAAGGGGGAGTGCTTCAGCCCGGGAATTCAAGACCAGCCTGGGAAGCATAGCAAGACCCCATCTCTACAAAAAATAAAAATAAAAAATTAACCAGGTGTAGTGGCACACGCCTGTGGTCCTAGCTACTTGGGAGGCTGAGATAGGAGGATCACTTGAGCCTGGGAGGTTGAGGCTACAGTGAGCCATGATTATGCCACTACACTCCTGCCTGGGGACAGAGTGAGACCCTGTCTCAAAAACAATAAAAATAGAAACAAATAAGCTGACTCTTTCACTAAATACCATCTCCCTATACATTTAAGACATGATTTGATATAAGTGGATTTGCATAACTTAAATTCTGTTGCACTTCTGATACATTTCTGTTTGTCTATTCTCTACATGATCAGTCTCTTCATTTCAATTTGCTATATGAAAGCAGATTTTCAAACTATTCACATGGTAACATCTTGAAGTCTCGCTCGCTTTCCGATTCTCTAACACTTTCAGATAGGACCCTGCATTATTTTTTCCTTCTCATACCTCTCTCATCCTTCTCAATCAAAATAGTTGAATGGGTTAGTCAATGGGTGGATTAATAAAGCTACAGAATCACTCTCCAAGAGTACATAATACATGATGTACCCGAGGGAGAAAACCAGGGGGGCAGGTCACAGGGGAAGCACTCTCAAGTAGCCTGAAGTAACAGATGCTACATGTCTCCCCCAGCATCCACTGCAGACAGTCCCCTACAGTGCCACCCACAGCTTCCTGAAATAGCTTCCGGCACCTTTGTGCCCAAGGGCATTTTCTGGCATGGAAGGTGATTACCCAGCATGGGGCAGTTTGTAAGTGCCAGGAAGTTGGATTTAATGCACAGGGCACAAACTTCAGCCACTGAGGGAAGGAATTGGTGGATAAATATCCCAGCTTCCCTGCCCCTCAGGAGGGCAATAATGAGTTGTGTTCCACACAGTTCCTTGAGGGTCTCCAGTGGGATAGAGCTCCTGTTGCCCACGGGACAACCTGCTCACTGACACATCTTATGTAGGGCTTCCCTGGTCAGTTTCCCATTCTTCACTGTGCTTCCTGCAATCATCTTCCAAATCAATTACTTGCATCTGAATCTCTCTCAGGGTCTGTCTTTGGGGAGAATCCCAGATAAGACACACTGGGAAAAGGGGGGTCGTCCAATTGCACATGAACAAACACCTTAGGCTCTCTCTGTCTCTGATGGAATGGGCCACTTCTAATCCCACGTTTTCTCTCATATGTCATAGCCCTCTGGGGACAGGCCACAGCATTTGATCTTGCCTACCTCCCCACTCCCTAAATTTTAGAAACAAGAGTTTGATTCTCTCTAAGACCCTGGTCCAGCCTAGCTAAGCTGTCATAGGGACACACAGCTTAGATCCTTGATAGGCGCTCATGGTAGTAAACCCACTTGAGGGAGAACTAAAGAGCCACCCCGGACAGCCTTAGTGCCGGTGAACTCCTTAACTCCCCTAGAAAAAGAGTGAATGCGGCATAACCATATGGTGCTCCTGTAGTTTAGGATGATCTGGTTATGCTTGATCAGCATATACTACAGGGGCACTTATTAAGGAGGTGGAGACACTAATTACCCTGTTGGAAGTTAGTCATGACACCTCCTGTCAGCAGGTGTTAATATGAATCTTAGTGTCCACCTAACTTCTCTATTAAGCTGATTGAAAGTTTCATTTTCTTTACGGACCTGTACAGGCTTGAAAAGGAAGATATTTTAACAAAGAACTCAAAGATCTAGGACGGTAGTAAGTTACCAAGCTTTACCCTTATACTTATTTTGTTTTTTAAAAGAGAATTCTATTTAAGTTCTCATATGTTTTACCTTAAATGATTTTTTTCCTAGTTATCAAAAGTAATACATGCTCATGTAGTGATTCCACAGCCTTGAAAATAAATAAAAATCATTGCCTGCATAAAATCCAGGTATATATTTTGGGGTTGTGTTTTCTTTCCTCTGCATTATGTAGAATTATAGATGCATTCATGTGCTGATGAAGTTGTAAAATCTGTATCATATTGTACATACAATTTTCTCTTCTTTCTTTTTAAATCTAACATTATGATATTAACATTTCCCTTGTCTTGATAAGAGTCATAAATAATTTTAGTGGCTGCATGCATGATATTCCAAAGAATGAATATTCTATAATCTTATTTTCTTATTACACACTTAAGTTAGTTATAATTTTTGATATCATTAAGCAGTGCTGTGATATCTGCATATAAATAATGTTGTGATGAAATATGCATATATTTCAATTTTTTCAAATTTTAAAAAATTTAAAAATACTTCCTTAGGATAGTTCCTACATAGAAAATTATAGGGACAATGGATACAGATTTATTTGAATTTCTTATTAGAAAGGCTGTTCCAATTTATATTTGGATTAGTATTATATCAGCATCTCATTCAACTATTAATTTTAAAGCCCTTTGCTAATTTGATGGGAAAAAATAGTATCCCAATTTTGTTTAATTTGTAATTCATTGCTGGTTAGATTTATTCTGTATTTCTTCCATCAATTTTTTTTGTTTATATCCTTTGCCTATTTTAAAATTATTTATTTATCTATTTTTAATTGACAAAAAAGTGTGTAAATTTTGGGGTACGTGTGATGTTTTGATCTACGTGTACATTGTTGGAAAGATTCACTCAAGCTAATTAATATATCCATTACCTCAACAACTTAGCATTTTTTTGTGCATGGAGAGGTCATTAAAAACCTATTCTTTTAGCAATTTTAAACTATACATTTTTATTAACTGTGGTCACCATGTAGTACAATAGATCACTAAAACCTTTGCCCATTTTTCTATTAGAAATTTGGTGATTTTCTTATCAAGATGTTTAAGGTCGATATACACTAGAAATAGACACATGTGGTCTATCACATCTACTGCAAATATTTTTCTCGTTTGTCGTCAGACTGTAACTTACTGTGCTTTTAAACAAAGTTGCCCACATGTATTTCTAGTTTTAAAAAAAGATTTGTTTTTACATTTCATTCCTTACCATCTCCAGAATTTATTTTGCTATAAATGGTTTACTTCTATTTTTCTAATAAGTTACTGTAGGTTTAACAACCATTTAGTTACATATTTCAGGCAAAAAGCACTAGAACTTTTCTTTTTGAAACTAGTAGCTGAAGTTGCACTTTGTCCAAAGCCAAAAAGAACCCGCAGATGCCCTTTGTTACCTTAGAAGTGTTGATTCAGATTTTGGAAAGTGAATGATCAAAAAGTGTTGCAGGAAGCTTCAGTGTTTCCAAAGCATTAGCATTAAGGAGAGTGGAAAGGCCTGTTTGTGTCTCTGGGTAAGTAGAGATGACTTAGGGCTTTGGTCTGGGGATTTTCTGTGAGTGCATGAAAACCCTTAAGCAGGGTGGCATTCAAACGCCACTTCCTCTGCATGCTTTCCATAGGTCTGCGGTCACAATTCTGCCAAGAGGTTAGTGAATGGAGGAAGCCCTTTTATCAGGCAATTTTCTAACACAAAAGTGTTTGCCCTTCCTGAAATGAAGTGATGATATACTTGTGTAAAAGAGGAAGCAGCAGGCAGGGTAACTGAATGTTTGTCACTCCTCTCTGGCAGGTTTTAGATGCTTCAGCAAGAAGATACAATTAAAAACATTTCTCACACAAAAATCTCCCCAGCCCACCAACTTGGAGGTAGCCGGTATCAGAAAATGTGTTTTCTTGGCATTCAGTACAGCCAATGGCGGCATTTAAGTAGTTTGTGAAGAGCCAGATTTGACCTGTCATTTGTTCTCCTATTGCAGAGGCCTTTTGCGGCTTTTTGCTCCCCACCAGTCATTCACTGTATTTTGTGACAGTCCCCAATTCTCCTTTAGGGACATCTTGTCCCCTACCCACTCACAAGTGTCTTGGTCTTTCTCCATCACCTGCCACAGTGATTGGCAGGGGCCCAGTGAAGGTCAACCCAGTTTTCTTGTTTGAGCCCCTGAACTGCCTGGCCATCCTGCCATAGGAAGAGCCCAGGGGTGAGTCAGCTACAGAAAGGCCCAGTAGGAGCTCAGCCTTGCACCCTAAAGTCAACTCCCTTCCTGGACATCTCAGTTGCATGAATTAATACATTCCCTTTTCTCTCTTACAGCAGCTTAAGTTGGCCTTCTTCAGGGTTACATTTTTTTTTAAGTCTTTTTTTTCTTTTCTGATATGTAGTCTCACTCTGTCACCCAGGCTGGAGTACAGTGGCATGATCTCGGCTCACTGAAACCTCTTTCTCTTGGGTTCAAGTGATATTCTGCCTCGGCCTCCTGAGTAGCTGGGATTGCAAGTGCACGCCACCATGCCCAGATAATTTTTTTGTATTTTTTTAGTAGAGACGGGGTTTTGCCATGCTGGCCAGACTGGTCTTGAACTCCTGACCACAGGTGATCCGCCTGCCTTGGCCTCCCAAAGCACTGGGATTACAGGCATGAGCCACTGTAATCCTATAAAAGTCTTAACTGATAGAGTTACTCTGTTTTACTCCACATACACACTAGCAATTTTACTCCCTCCTTGCAATGAAAGGTATTGCTTTATAAAGGTATTGCTTTATCTCATTGTTTTACCCTTGGATTATTGAGAATAGGCTTTTTTTTTGTTTTGAGACAGGGTCTTGCTCTGTTGCCCAGGCTGGAGTGCAGTGGTGCAACACAGCTCACTGCAGCCTTGACCTCCCAGGTTCAAGCAATCCTATGACCTCAGCCTCCTGAGGAGCTGGGACTACAGGCATGCATCACCATGTCTGGCTACTTTTTTTACTTTTTGTAGAGATGAGGTCTCGCTATGTTCCCTAGGCTAGTCTCAAACTCCTGGGCTTGAGCAATCCTCCTGCCTTGGCCTCCCAAAGTGCTAGAATTACAGGTATCAGCCGCCGCACCTGGCTGAGAATGGACTTTGTAATAACTTTCCCTATGCAGGCCCATTTGAGATGAACGGGAGATGCCAGAAGTGCCCTTGTACTGATGCCCCCACCACCAAGCACTTTCCAGACCCAGGCTCAGCTTCATCTCCACCCCTGGGATCTCCAGGTTTAATACTTTAGGGAAACTTCACTTTGCTGGCACTCAGAGTCGGACTTGGAACAATTCTGCAGGTCAGCCCTTGCACAGCCATGAGAGTGAGTTACCTACTTCTCTTCAAATCTGGCGCCCTAGGTGCCTGGCTTGCCTTGCTCAAAGCCAGACCCTGGCCCTCCCGGAGGGGAACCAATTTTCTTTTTGTAGCCCCACACTGGGGTTTTGCCCTGGGATTTCACCTCTCACTGGGGTTTCATAGCAGAAGGTTTGATCCTCTGCCAAGAATCACAGTCAGTCATGTCAGAACCTGGTGATTTGCTAGAGAAAAAGTATCATTTGAATTTAGATTCTGAAAGCATCCACGCTGGTGGCTCCTCACCTATCTTTTCTTATTGTTTTGCTCTGAAGCAGAAGAACCAGGATCGTTTCTAATTCCAAGCCACTCAAAAACAGCTGATAATTTTTGTCTTTTCTCTTTTCTGGAAGAATATGGATGTATTTTGCCTCCTTCTTCTAACTTATTTGATCTTCTGATGGCCTTTATCTCTGCATGAGGAGCAGAGCCTTTCTGTATATAAATCCATGAAAACTGTAACAGTAATTCACACATATGATGGGCTTTATGAATTTTAGCTATTAGTATTTTTTACATATTATTTCTACTGAGTAAAGACAGACTGTTGATTACTATTGATAGAAGTACCTGAGGTTCTCATATATATTTTAAAACACTCTGAGATTTCTAAAGTAGAGGGAACATCAAAAGAGAAAATTTTTTATGATTCAGGGTATCACCTCTAAATAGCAGCAGTTGTTACGGCCTTGATTAGGTAATCAGTGCCTGCACAACCGCTGAATCATAGCCCTCTTTCTTCTTAATGGAAACTCACATGGTCATTGTGTTCACTTTCTATTTTTGAAATATACCTTCATGGGTGGAATTTTTGGTGAGGAAGTGAGGGAAAACTAGGGCTATCTAATTCAGAAATCTTGTGTGCAATCACATCAATCTGGTGAAAATAATTTTTTTTTGCTCTAAGTCAACTGATTGGAGGTGAGAAAGGAATAATGGTCATTTTATCTAATTTCCAGCAAGAATAATAAAGAGATAAAAAGGAATCAAATAAGCCAAATTAATCTGCCATTATTTTAATCAAGAAGACAGAGCAAGCCAGATCCTGAGTCACCTTCCTCCCAACTATTTTTATTGACTTGAAATAACAAAGGATGGAAGCCTGAAATGACCCAGATCAGTTTTCTTGGTTTTAGTGCCCAGTGGATAAAGCATATCCTGGAATTCTCCGAGGTGGGGACTGTTTATATAAGTCACTTTTCTGAAAATGGATTTTTTTTAAAGCTGGGGAGAAAGAAAAAAACCTAAAGTCAGAGAAAAACTTTCTGTTGGCCACAGATTAAACAACACTTTTTAAAAATTGATGGTTTTGCTAACTTTGCAGAAAACGAATTCGGTATTTCTTTAGTATGTGCTTCTTGGAGGCATCAGTCACTCCAGCATGCTTGAGAAAAACTCTTAACAAGTAAAAACAGTAAAGCAGAGCCAGAAAAGGGTTGTATCTGGGCCGATTCAAAGCCAGAGTGTATTCAGGCATTTTTAAATTATGAACAACGCATTTTGGACATACAAAGAAGGACAGAAATGATGAAATCAACACCCATCAAACAATTACATTCTCTCAAGGACCCACTAATGGCCCTCCTCACCATCGGAGGTGACCACTATGGTGGATTTGGTGTTTTCCACTCAGCAAGCCCACTCCCACGTCCCTCTGCATATGTGTCCT
The DNA here is from genome assembly GCF_000001405.40 of Homo sapiens. Taxonomy (NCBI): domain Eukaryota; kingdom Metazoa; phylum Chordata; class Mammalia; order Primates; family Hominidae; genus Homo; species Homo sapiens. The sequence goes on along the minus strand of NC_000020.11, from coordinate 20,731,241 downwards.
GGGGCTAGGCACAGACAGCATGAACTGCAATCGTGAGATATTAGAACAGCCTGGCCGGGTGCGGTGATTCACTCCTGTAATCCCAGCACTTTGGGAGGCCAAGGTGGGTGGATCACTTGAGGTCAGGAGTTTGAGATCAGCCTGGCCAACATGGTGAAGCCCTGTCTCTACTAAAATATAAAAATTAGCCGGTTATGGTGGAACACACCTGTAATTCCAGCTACTTGGGAGGCTGAGGCAAGAGAATTGCTTGAACCTGGGAGGCAGAGGTTGCAGTGAGCCGAGATCGTGCCACTGCACTCCAGCCTGGGCAACAGAGCAAAACTCTGTTTAAAGAAAAAAAAAAAGCTCACTCAACAAGTCCATTTTCAAAGTTGGTTTTTACAAGATATTTTCTATGGTAGATTGATTAATTGATTAATTAATGGTCTTCTTTTTTTATGGAGACAAGGTCTTGTTTCATCACCCAGGCTGGATGATGCAGTGGCATGATCATAGCTCACTGCAGCCTCAACTCCTGAGCCCAAGTGATCCTCCCACCTCAGCCTCCTTCATAGCTGAGACCACAGGTGTGCATCACTACACTCAGCTAAGGCCACCCTAGATCAGCCAATAGCTACTGAACTCCTAGATAGATAAGTGATCTCAGTCAAGACCAGCCAAGCCCAACCCAGATCAGATGAACCCCATAGACTCATGAGCTGAATAAATGTGTGTTGGTGTATGCCAATGAAGTTCTGTGGCTGCGTTTTAGTGGCACAGAGAGCGGACACGCCCTCTTCCCAACTGTTCTGGAGACTCCATCCATGTTCCTACCTCCCTGCCAGCTGCAAGTAATTAGTAATAACTTGAGTTATCTCAAATAACTCAAGTTTTTTGAGACAGAGTCTTGCTGTGTCATCAAGGCTGGAATGGAGTGGTACAATCATGCCTCATAGGATCTCGCTCTGCAGCCCAGGCTGTTCTCAAATTCCTGGCCTCTAGCGATCTTCCTGCCTTGGACTCCCAAAGTGCTAGGATTATAGGTGTGAGCCCTAGTGTCCAGCCCCAAATGAACTTTTTTTTTTTTAAGACAGGGTCTCACTCTTTCGCCCAGGCTGGAGTGCAGTGGTGTGATCTCCACTCACTGCAGCCTCTGCCCCCAGGTCCAAGCAATTCTCATGCCTCAGCCTCCTGAGTAGTTGGGATTACAGGTGTGCGCCACCACACCTGGCTAGTGTTTTTTGTATTTTTAGTAGAGACACAGTTGAGCTTTTATACAGCTTGACTGCACTGAAAAATCAGAGGTTTGTTTAATCCAATATAGTAAAATCATATGCCCCAACTTTTTTTTAAAGCTTCATCTAGGAACTGAAGACCAACTGATACCTAGGACTCTGCATTTAGAGCTAGAAGCTACATGAAAATTCATCCAGGCCAGAAAACTTACAGTTTAGATGGCTTCAAGTCTCTAAAGCTAATTAATAACCAGGCTAGGTCAAAAGCTCAGGTGTCTCCTAGGACAATGTTCGACTAACCATATTATTTGCTGGCCTGAAAATTTCAGTGGAAGCTCAATATTTGGTGAAAGCGGGAAAATTAGTGAGCTAATTTTTTATAATGATGGTTCTCAATGAATCACACTTACCAATATTCATGTCCTTGGATTGTTCCCCGCTCCTTGAATCTGGGCTGGTTCTGTGACCTTCTTTAACCAATAGATCATGGAGGAAGTGACAGGGTGCCAGTTCAATTCTAAGCCTTACAAAGGCCTGGCAGCTTTCATTTTTGTATTTTAGAAGAAGCCAGCCACCATGTAAGAAGTTTGAATATCCAGAGACTGCCTCCCTGTGAGAAGTCCAATCTAGCCATGTGGAGAGGCCAAGCAGAAAGGAAGTGAGGCCACTGGTTAACAGCCCCAGCTGAGCTTCAAGCCAACAGTCAACACCAGCTTGCCAGCCATGTTAGTGAGGCCATCTTGCAAGTCCATTCTTCAGCCCCAGTCAAACATCAGCCATGTAAACCTGAGATGAACTGTCCCAGACAAGCCTTGCAAATTGCAGGATTGTGAGCAAATAAACAAAATGTTTTTTTCAGCCACTAAGATTGGAGATAGTTTGTTACATAGCAATAAGTAGTTGAAACACAGAGGGTATCAGCTTGTGGCCTCAGGCATCTGAAATGAAAACAAAAAACAAAACAAACAAAACAAAAAACCAAAACACTGATCTCCTTAGACTCATCTCCTGTATCCGGTAACTTATCTCTAACATCCTTCCAATTCTAAAATTCTTTAAGCCTGTGACTCCTTGGCTCATTCCTTTTAATATCATACTAGCCTTGTGTCTACATGATCAAATGATTTTAGTTTACAGAAGCTGACTGGCCTGACAGGGATTGCTTTTCCCACCAACGAGCAGGAATGCAGCTGGCAAAGGGGAGGAAGAATGGTCTTCCAGAGGTAGAGGCAGAGAGTAGAAGAAGCCCCAATAGTTGAAGTGCTGGCAGCAAGGAAAGAAAACCCAAAGTTTGTCTCCATGGAGGATAGTGAGGGTATGTATAGAGTAGTAAACAGAATATCCACAGGAAAAGCACCAGGCATGCTTGAAACAGGCAGGTCAGAAATTGACTTGAGAAATAGACTTCTGATTCATCTAGTCGAACAAAAAGCACTTAAAAATATACTGGGCCAAACTCGTTAACATAGTGAGACCCCATGCCTACAAAAAAGAAAAATAAAAAAGTAGCCAGGTATAGTGGCACACCTGTAGTCCCAGCTAGGAGGGAGGCTAAGGTGGGAGGATCACTTGAACCCAGAAATTCGAAGTTGCGGTCAGCTATGATCACACCACTATACTCCATCCTGGGTGACAGAGTGAGACCCCATCTCTAAAAACAAACAAAAAACCCCTTTTTAAAAGAAATTCAACTGATTGAAGCATAAAAAAAGGGTAATGGGACATCAGATCATGTCAAGTCTTGTTGGTCATTGTAAGGACTTTGGCTTTTTAATTTTTTTTAGTTGACACATAATAATTGTGCATATTTATGGGGTACATAGTGATGTTTCAATACATATATTTATAGTTATCAGATCAGAGTAATTAGCATATCCGTCATCTTAAACATTTATTATTTCTTTGTGTTGGGAACATTCAATATCCTCCTTCTAGCTATTTGGAACTATCTAATGTATTATTGTTAACTATAGTCATCGTACAGCACCATAGAACATGAGAATTTATCCCTGCTATCTAGCTGTAATTTCGTATCCTTCAGCAAATCTCTTCCTATCCCCCTCTTCCCTCTGTCCTTCCAGCCTCCAATATCCTCTGTTCTACTTTTTACTTCTATGAGATCTTTTTTTTAGCTTCCACATATGAGTGAGAACATACGGTGTTTAACTTTCTGTGCCCAACTTATTTCACTTCACATCATGTCCCCCAGTTCCATCCCTGTGGCCATGAATGCCTGGAGTTCATTCTTTCTATGGCTAAATCGTATTCTATTGTGCATAAATATCACATTTTCTTTATCCAGTCGTCTTCTTCAGGAGCCTTTCCTACTCTCTCTGAACTGGTCTATCTTGACTTCCAGCTTCCAGAGGACAAACTGAGGCATGTATTTACTTCCTTCCTGCTTTTCCAAGTGCCGTTCTGGTTTGTCTTTTTACCTGCCTTGTGTGAGCTGGATGACCTTGTGCCAGCCATACAACTTTTCTGAGTGTTGGTGAAATAAGTGCATGGAACTGCTTTACAAAACGGCATTCAGATGTGATGGCATTTTCCAGCCATCCTAATGAGGCCAGAAGCATCATGGCAAAGCCAGGCAAGTGGTTTCCTCCCTAGTTCTGGGAACAACCAGTCACTAACCAGCTTTGGTTACTTTTTCTCTTTACAATGGAGGACTACATCTGTCAGTTGCATTCCACTCTCGAAACCTTCTATGATTCCAGAATGTTCTTGCTAATACTCTTGACAATTATGTAAAATCATTTAACCTAGGCTGTATCATGGCCAGTGTTGGCATGGGGTAGGGTAGAATTACACAGGCAAAGCAAATGAGGGGCTTTCCTTTTTTCTTTTTTTAAGAGACATGTTCTCACTTTGTTGTCCAGGCTGGAGTAGAGTGGCATGATTATAGCTCACTGCAGCTTTCAATTCCTGGGCTCAAGTGATCCTCCTGCCTCAGCCTTCCAAAGTGTTGGGATTACAGGTGAGAGCCACCAGGCCCGGCCTTGGCCAGCTTTCTTCACATTTATGGTCCAGAAAGAAGGGGATATTTCACCTCATATAATGGGGCATCAGTGAAAGTGCCCCTCCTTGCCAAAGAGTGCACATAACAAAAGTGGAGAATCAAGGGTTCTGGGACGTTGCCTTGACTTGTTCTGATGGTGTCCAGTATGAGCTATGCAGAACCACGGGAAACCACAGGTGTGTAAATCCTTCACATTCAACACATTTAAAAATCAAGTGAGCACACAAATGAGCAATCTTAGCAAACAGAAATGGCCTTGTTCTAATTTTCTGGAGAGTAGGAAAAAAAACCCTATGTATTGAACATTTTTGTGCCACTTATTGTGTTCAATTCTTTTTATGCTCATTTACTCCTTAGATAGAATAAATAGCCCAACGCAGGTTTATCTCCATTTTATAGGTGAGGAAAACTGAGTCTTGGAGAGTCTTGGAGAATTCAGTCACCCATTGAACACTGCACAGCTAGTAATGGGAAAAGACTGGGAATTGGAGCCTTTAGGTCTGCTGTCATCCTATCCTGCCTTCCACACATTCCAGGGAAGTTCACTTGTCTCCCCATTTTGGCATCATTGCCTTTTATGATCATTTGGCCCTGCTGTTCTTTCTGTTTTCACAGGGCTACAAGAACACATACACATTTCCGTAACCCCTGTAGTACGTGGAATACAGCCACAAGCACAAACCTGGGTGATAACCACACAAAACCAATCTGCTTCTGGTGAGCCTCACAGAGCCCATTGCATCTCACCTCCTTGCCTTGACCTTGGGTGCATTCAGCTCCTTTCCCCAATTCAGGTGTCATCTCCACCAGGAAGCCTTCTCTGAGCTCCCCTCTTATTCCCACTGCCCAGTTCTCCCTGGTCTCTCCTATACTGCCAAGTACATGTCGCTATTGTTAATTACTATTATTTAGTTAGGTGTCTGTCTCCTACACTGGCCTGTGAGTTCTCTGAGGTCAGGGCTGTGAATGTCTCCTCTATTAGACTGTGGTGTCTCTGGGGCTTGGGGCCGTATTCTTATGATCTTTATAACTTCATTGCCATGCATGAAACTAGCACAGGGTAGGGACTCAAGACTACTGACTGGATCAAAAAGATTGCCAAGAAGGACAATAAAAAGTGATAAATATTAGGGTGGCTTATAAAGGGAAAGCTCAATTCAGAGAAAAGAAGAAAAATAAGAACAGACAAAGAAGAATAATATAAAGAGAAAGGTTCCTGAAGGGCAGTGTTTTGAAGATGTCAAGGGAATGTCTTAGTGATGCTCTGTGACATATGAATTCGTAAATTCTTAAAAATATGATCCACATCTTTCCAATTATTTACTATGATGAGTCTAATATTTGCATAATTCATATATACCCTAAGTATAAGTAACATCAGGGATTTCCCAGTTAAAATTCAGAAAAAAACTATCAAATATAATTCTTGCTCAAGGATTTACTGAAAGGAGTAAACTATGTATTTCAATCATCTTACTAAAGTACAAGATCTTAATTATAAATCAGCCCGATTAAGTGGGCAATTCCCATATTCCAGGACAGACATTAATTTATGCCAAGTGAATGGTAAATAATAAGGATTCCATTCTCTTTATTGCTTTGTGGAAGATGTATTGATTTGTAATTGTTGCTGTTATTTTAGCTATTCAGCATCCAAAAGCCCTTCCTCCAACAAAACTCCCCATTTTTGGGAGGTAGGGGATTTCCTATCCTGTATAGTTTTGCTTGGAAGTGGTGCCCACCTCCTACTACAAAGGGGTCTAGTACCTCAGATTTTCTGTCCCATGGCAGCCAGCAGGGTGAATGTATAGACTGGGCATCTGACCAATATTTAGCCAACTGGTCATTCTTTGTTGAGACTTTGAATTTGAGGATGTGAGGGATGGCTAGGGGTCCTTTGTTGTTATGAAAGCTATAGTATGCTGATACTACACAGCATATTCTGTGACGTGTCCAGGCCACCTGGAGCTTGCTGAGTTTCTACTTTTCTAATTATTGGTTCTCCAATCTCCCACTGATTTTGTGAGCCTGACATTCTTCCAGTGAATTGTCTTTCACTTAAAAAGCCAGTTTCTGTTGCTTACAACTAAGGATTCTGTCTGAAACACCAGGTAAAAAGAGTCTCAATTTAAGACATATATGTGGATCCATATGTGGATTAGTAAAAAATTTGTATTATTGTATTATGTTTCCCAACAATTACTATGTTTCCCAAGAATTACTTTGAGATTTTTTTTCTAGAAAATTATAGGAATTACCAAATAAAACAAACCGTGTGATGAATGTCTCCATTTTGAATGAATAGTTTTTGTTGATATTCCATTATCTGTTTTTGTTTTTAGAAAACCTAACACCTAGTTCTAAATCAAGGAGAACATCTTATCTAATATTAAATCTAATGGTGGCACCTTGTCTACCAGGGACAGTGTGAGGTAATGAACACACTTTTGCAGGCTTCTCACCTTGTGTAACTTCATCTTTCTCTAGACTTTGTGAATCGTCTTCTATTCAGTCTTATTTATTGCTTAGACGGTTTCCATGATTCCTGATTTTCCCAACATTATCATTCAAAGATATGTTTTTTCACTTATAAACGTTCTCATGGTATGTACCCTTGGGGTTATATTTTTCTAACGTTGATGTATATCCATGATTCAATGTTGATATACTGACACTGCTCTGATGATTAAAAAATGAAAATATATCCAAAGCAGATGACATTGTGGTTGAAATGTACAGCTGTGAATACATCTGCTTGAATAAATTTAGAAAAATGATTGGTTTTCTTTTCCCTCAGGCATTACTCTGTTATCAGGCATCCATCAGACATATCAAAATGGCTAGTACATTTTCAAAAACTTTTAAAAGTCTGCCTTAAGTGATATTCTCATATAAAATTATTTATAGTCAAGTTTAAAGTATTAAATTTTCTTGCTCGACAGATATTTGGAAAGAAAAGAAACTAGTAGTTTCCCGTTATAAAATAAACTAATAGGAGATATTTTTGGAGATAATATATATTTTCAGTGTATACAGTTATAGTGCCATCTGGAAAACAGAGACATTAGGGTCTCTTTTTTTTTTTTTTTTTTTTTTTTGAGATGGAGTTTCCCTCTTGTTGCCCAGGCTAGAGTGCAATGGTGCGATCTAGGCTCACTGCAACCTCCGCCTCCTGGGTTCAAGTGATTCTCCTGCCTCAGCCTCTTGAATAGCTGAGATTACAGGCATATGCCACCACACCCGGCTAATTTTGTACTTTTGTTCGTGATGGGGTTTCTCCATGTTGATCAGGCTGGTCTCTAACTCCTGACTGCAGGTGATCCGCCCACCTCAGCCTCCAAAAGTGCTGGGATTACAGGCATGAGGGACCGCGCCCGGCCAAGGGTATCATTCTTATGAAACGTCATCGTCCTTTCTTTCTTAGGAATTTTAGGCAGGTATATATTCTCGGACACAACATAGATATTGAGGAGATGTTAGGTCAAAATTTCAGAGTGAAAGCTGATACAAGAAAAAAACCTTGAATTTATTGGACTATAATTTCTGTTTTATAGAAAATAAGGACCAAATGCAGTGGCTGACATCTCTAGTTCCAGTGCTTTGGGAGGCTGAGGTGGGAGGCTCACTGGAGCCCGGGATTTTGAGACTTCAGTGAGCTACAATTATGCCACTATACTCCAGCATGGGTGACAGAGTGAGGCCTTGTTTAAAAAAGAAAAAACAAAAAGAAAATCAGATTGCAAAGTGGCATCCAAATGAGGACACACAGCATGCATGACATCCTAAAAGATCTTGCTCCTAAGGACAGACACAATGAGCTTATCCAATAGGAAAATTTCTGGCTAAAAATGGAATTTTCCCACACACTCAAATTAACATAATATTCATGATAATTGGGATTAACATGCAAGCACAAGATATTTTTGTCAGTCTGAAAAAGTAAATCCTCCCAAGCTAAAAAAACTCTCCGATGAAAGAAAAATCGAAAAATAAAACAGTAACTTTTAATGTATTTTTAAAATTTATTTTTATACACAAAATATCTTTTATTCTGAATTATACAGAATCAAAACCCCACACAAGCATTGTTTATAAGATCCACTAATGTTATATTATTATTATTATTATTTTTTGAGATTGAGTCTCGCCCTGTCACCGAGACTGGAATGCAGTGGCACGATCTCAGCTCACTGCAACCTCCACCTCCTGGGTTCAAGCGATTCTCCTGCCTCAGCCTCCTGAGTAGCTGGGATTATAGGCATGTGCCACCATGCCCGGCTAATTTTTGTATTTTTAGTAGAGACAGGGTTTCATCATGTTGGGCAGGTTGGTCTTGAACTCCTGACCTCAAGTGATCTGTCTGCCTCGGCCTCCCAAAATGTTATATTTTTATAAATTTTATGCTTTTTATAATAACTGATATGCTTACATAACAGCTTTCTTTAAATCTGAGTTAAGAAAATTTGTCAGTATATCATTGTTTTATGTTTCCTGACTATAATTACTTAGTTGTAAGGACAATTACAACCACATTAATACTTGACAGAATTTTGATGCTTGATACCTGAATACTGAGTAGCATCCAATTAAAATATCAATGTGATTTTCATGTGCCAAAGATAATATTTTATTCAAGTTCCCAAAACAAACTTGAGGAGTTACATTGGGTTTGAATTCAATAAAAAAGGCCAAGTTAAAATATGAAAAGAAATGGTTTTCATTTGGTGGGAGCTGAAATCAAAGTATGCATTTGTATACATTCTCCTCAATCATCTGTCTCATGGCATTTTCCAAATTTTTGTTTATTTGTTTTAGAATAGGATCTTGCTCTGTCACCCAGGCTGGAGTGCAGTGGCACGATCTCAACTCACTGCAATCTCTGCCTCCTGGGTTCAAGCGATTCTCCTGCCTCAGCCTCCCAAGTAGCTGGGACTACAGGCGTGCATCACCAAGACTGGCTAATTTATTTTGTAATTTTTTGTAGAGATGGGTTTTCACCATGTTGCCCAGGTTGGTCTCTAACTCCTGAGCTCAAAGCAATCTGCCTGCCTAGGCCTCCCAAAGTGTTGTGATTACAGGCATGAGCTATGGCGCCTGGCCCCAGCCCCAAGTTTTTAAGGGTCTACCAGGCCAAACCCTTCTCTGCCTTCACTGCATTTGGTTTGCTTTTCCCCTTTCTTTTATCTTGCTTTGCCTTTGTCCTTTTTCTTTGCCTTTGGTTAATCCATATTGGGTACTGTCCATTCTGGTCTAGAAGTCTTTTTGTTTCTCTTAATCTCAGTTTCCATTTTCATGTCCTCTTTTTCATCTTTTAGCTGACAGTGCATTTTCTTTCTTTCTTTTCTTTTCTCCTCTCTCTCTCTTTCTTTCTTTTTTGAGACACGATCACTCAGGCTGGAGTGCAGTGGCGCCACCATCGTTCACTGCAGCCTTGAACTCCTGGGCTCAGGTGATCCTCCTTCTTCAGACTTCTGGTAACTGGGACTACAGGAGCGTGCCACCACACCCAGCTAATTCTCTTAACTTTTTGTAGGGACAGGGTCTTGCCATGTTGCCCAGGCTGGTCTCTAACTCCTGGCCTCGAGTAATCCTCCCACCTTGGCCTCCTAAAGTGCTGGGATTACAGGCCTGAGCCACTGCACCCAGCCTAGGTCAATGTTTGGACACCACCACAGTTGCTATCCTTAAACGTCTTTCATTAAGACATCACTGTCTACTTGGAGAATATTTTTAAGCCTGCTGAACTCCTCTGGGACATTCTTTTTTCTCTTTTCAGCCTGCGTCTTTCTTTTCCACTTACTCTGTATGCTTTTAGCTATGTTTTACCTGAGAAACTCACAAACACACATGCCACAAGATCTTTTAAATTATTTTTATATTTTTTTTTTTAGAGACAAGATTTTTGCTCTGTCACCCAGGCTGGAGTGCAGTGGCACGATCATACCTCAGTGCACCCTCAAAGTCCTGGACTCAAGTGATCCTCCCACCTCAGCCTCTCCAGTAACTAGGACTACAGGTACATGCTACCTTGCCCAACTAATTTTTCATTTTTTTGTACACATGGAGTCTTGCTAAATTGTCCAGGCTGGTCTTGAATTCCTGGTTTCAAGTGATCTTCTGCCTCAGGCTCCCAAAGTGCTGGGATTACAGACATGAGCCACTGTGCCCCATCCAGTAACTTTTAGGTTATCTGGAAACTACAGTGCTTGAAATTCTGTGCATCTAGAATGATTCCAATTATTGAAGTTAAAAAGGCAAACAAATTGTCTGTGATAGCAGTGATTGAGTGTTTGGGAAAGAGATGGTTGACATTAGATGGGGAGGGCCTACCAGGCATTTCTCCCTTGTTGCAAGTAGTAACAACAATTTATAAAAAGACAGAGGGGGGTGGAGTGGGGAGGGGAAGGATAAATTATGGTTTCACAAATGACGAATTTGCTTAAGCAGACAGGAAGCCCAAGGCATATTTTAGAAAAAGTTCTAGGAAAAGAAGAGTAGAATTTTAAAATTTAGGTGCATAAAACTTTAATTAATTTGAAAACATTGTACTGAACTGTAATTCCCTAATTACAATACTGAGATATTAATGAGCAAGTAAGTGAATGAATTTTTTCATTCAGCAATTATTGATTGAGTGTTGACTCTGGTGCTGTGATGGGCGCAAGCCTGGCAACAATGAATTGTAGAGTTGTTTGATAAATATTTAATCTCAAAGATTACCCAAGTTGCAGTTGTCACATAGGGCCCTGAAAGACCATTTTTTCAGTACAATAGAAAAGAATGGGAAAATGCAAAACTATGGTCATCACAATTTAGCTATGGCATTTGTTCAATAACTCTTCATTGGTTTGAATTTATACACAAAAACAAAAAATCTGAAATTTTACTCCAGACAACATCAGATATTGATGAGTTTATTGATGAATAAATGGAAGAATTGATTAATGAATTGAGGCCTTCTTGATCTCTCATCCCATTTTGCTTACTTTGTCATGTTTACTGTTTTCCTGAAAGATCAAATCCAATTTGGTGTTATCAGGAAAGCATGATGCTTCTCTGGTATGTGATGAAGAGAGAGGATGACAGATCTCTGCATTGTCCTGTGGTTAGGAACTTTTTTCTTTTTCTTTGTTGCTTTTATTTATTTATTTATTTATTTTGAGACAGGGTCTTGCTCTGTCACCCAGTCTGGTGTGCAGTGGTGGGATCATGGCTCACTGCACCTCAGGCTCAAGCAATCCACCTGCCTCAGCCTCCCAAGTGGCTAATTTTTTAAATTTTAAATTTTTTTTTGTAGAGATGGGGTCTCACTATATTACCCAGTCTGGTCTTGAACTCCTGAGCTCAAATGATCCTCCTACCTCAGTCTCTCAAAGTGTTGGTGTGAGTCACTGTGCCTGGCTGATTAGGACCTTAAAGTACACACCCAGTTCAGATCAAGTTTCCAACTTGTTACTGAGAAAAGATTTTAGCCAGATGAAAGTCTGCTGAAATCAACAAAGGTGTAAGAAATGTCCTTTGCTTGAAATATTTACCTAGTACATTAAAAAAATCTTTTGAGGCCAGGCACAGTGGCTCATGCCTGTAATTCCAGGACTTTGGGAGGCCGAGGTGGGTGGATCATGAGGTCAGGAGATCGAGACCATCCTGGCTAACACAGTGAAACCCTGTCTCTACTAAAAATACAAAAAAAAAACAAAATTAGCCGGGCGTGGTGGTGGGTGCCTGTAGTCCCAGCTACTCAGGAGGCTGAGGCGAGAGAATGGTGTGAACCCGGAAGGCTGAGCTTGCAGTGAGCCGAGATCGTACCACTGCACTCCAGCCTGGGCAACAGAGCAAGACACAGTCTCAAAAAAAAAAAAAAGTCTTTTGAATATCATTATAGATTCCTGAATTTTTATTTATGTATTTATTACATTTAAAAATTTTATTTTATGGAGACACAGGGTCTTCCTATGTTGTCCAGTTCAGTCTCAAACTCCTGGGCTCAAGTTATCTTCTTGCCTCAGGCTCCCAAAGTGTTGGGATTACTGGCATGAGCCATCATGCCAGGACTGAATTTTTATTTATAATCAATCACAGTCATTATTCTTTTTGACGATCAAATTATCCCACATTTGGCCATAGACTCCTTTGTTTTGAGTCTTTCCCGTTGACCTTTGAGTACAGTTTTTTATGTATTCCCTGTATTTTCCTTGCCCCAGACCTGGAATCAGCCATTTTTCTAAAGAACTCTGATTATGGCTGTGTGTGTGCTGGCTCACGCCTGTAATCCTAGCATTTTGAGAGGCCGAGGTGTGCAGATTGCTTGAGTCCAGGAGTTCGAGACCAGTCTGGGCAACATGACAAAACCCTCTCTCTACTTTTTTTAAAAATTAATTCATTAAAAAAAAAAAGAACCTGATTACTTAGGATGGAGAATGGTATTTGGAAACCAATATTCCATTACCACTGGGGATGATTGCTTCTAGCACTTACAGAGATTAGAAGAACAAGAACACACAGCAGATTTTTTTTTTTAAGGAAATAGGCAAACTGATTCTAAAATTTATATGGAATTGGAGAGGACCTAGATACCCAAAATAATCTTGAACAAAGATAATATACATTACCTGAAATCAAGACTTTCAATAAAGCTTAAGACAGAGGGGTAATGGTCTAGGATTAAACAACTGGATCAATGAAACAGAACAGAGAATCCAGAAATAGATACGTACACGGTTGATTGATAACTGACCAATGCTCCAAGTTAATTCAATGTGGGAAAGAAAGTCTTTTTATAGGCCGGGTGCGGTGGCTCACGCCTATAATCCCAGCACTTTGGGAGGCCAAGGCGGATGGATCACGAGGTCAGGAGATCGAGACCATCCTGGCTAACACAGTGAAACTCCGTCTCTACTAAAAAAACAAAAATTAGCCGGGCATGGTGGCCGGCGCCTGTAGTCCCAGCTACTTGGGAGGCTGAGGCAGGAGAATGGCATGAACCCAGGAGGAGGAGCTTGCAGTGAGCCGAGATGTGCCACTGCACTCCAGCCTGGGCTACAGAGCAAGACTCCATCTCAAAAAAAAAAAAAAAAGTCTTTTTATAAATATTGTTGGACAACTGCATATCTGTTTTTTTTCTTTTTCTTTTCTTTTTTTTTTTTTTAGATGAAGTCTTGCTCTGTGGCCCAGGCTGGAGTGCCCTGGCGTGTTCTTGGCTCACTGCAACCTCTGACTCTCAGTTCAAGCAATCCAGCCTCAGCCTCCCAAGTAGCTGGGATTACAGGTGCCTGCCACCACACCCAGCTAACTTTTGTATTTTTAGTAGAGACAGGGTTTCACCATGTTGGCCAGGCTGATCTCGAACTCCTGACCTCAAGTGATCCGTCTGCCTCGGCCTCCCAAAGTGCTGGGGTTACAGGTGTGGGCCACTGCGTCCAGCAAATAGAAAAGAATGTATGGCCTTCTTTTTATTCATTCATTTCATTCATGTATGACATTTGTTTGTTTGTTTTTGTTTAGTTTTTTTTTTTTTTTTTTTTGAGATGGAGTCTCGCTTTGTCACCAGACTGAGTGCAGTGGTGCCATCTCGGCTTACTGCAACCTCCAACTCCCTGGTTCAAACGATTCTCCTGCCTCAGTCTCCCCAGTAGCTGAGATTACAGGCATGCATCACCACGCCCAGCTAATTTTTGCATTTGTAGTAAAGACAGGGTTTCACCATCTTGCCCAGGATAGTCTCAGCCACCTGCCTTGGCCTTCCAAAGTGCTGGGATTACAGGCGTGAGCCACCACGCCTGGCCAACACATGCTGTATTTTTAAATTATGAGTTCAAATGGATATTTGAAGTAAAATCTAGTATTACAGAGTTTTCACATTTTCTTTGATGTGATATTTTTGTATCTCCTTTCTCTTACACTGAAAATCTTGGTTCTTAATAATAATTATTAATTCTTTGCAGATCTTTTTGCCCTTAGAATACATCCCTCTAAGGAGGTACAATCAGAATACTGTTTTCAAAAATCACTTGAAATAATTATTTTCTCTATATAGTTATGCTACCAATTACATATACGGTTGGGTTTATTTTTTCATTTATTTTTGATTTTCAGGTTTGTCTTTTTCTATTTTAATTTTTGAATATGTAAAACATTTATATGGTTCAAAAGTGAAAAAAATATAAAAAGGTATACTCAGAGAGGACCCTGTTTCATTCCTTTCCACCTCATCCTCCATCCCACTTAGGTAGGAATTGATGTTAGCTTTTTATTTATCCTTCCAGTGTTTCTTTTTGAAAAAAAAATTTTTAATATTCTGTTCCTTTTATATTTAACAACGTATCTGGAAAATTATGTCAAGTCAGTACACGCGAAATTTTCCCATTATTTTTAAACAGCTGCATAGTACTCCATAGTGCTACACTGTGTGGATGAACTGGATTAAATTAGCCACTTATAGATGTATGTGTATATAAGTACCTTGTTAGACAATCACAGGGTTCTCTCTGGTATCTGGTCATACTCGTTTTCTAGAGTGGCTGCAACAGATTACCACAAATTGCGTGGCTTAAAACAACAGAAATTTATTTTCTCACGGTTCTGGAATCCTGAAGTCTGAAATCAAGGTGTTGGGCTTCCTCTGGAAGACTCCAAGGGAGAATCCTTTCTTGCCTCTTCCAGTTTCTCTTGGCTATAAGGGTCTTTTCGTTTGTGGCTCCATAACCTCAATCTCTACCTTGGTCTTCATGTGCCCTTCTCCTTTGTTTCTATGTTTTCACTTCTTTTGTTTCTTACAAGCACATTTGTCATTGGATTTAGGGTCTACCCAGATAACTGAGGATCTTATTATATTTGCAAAGATCCTTCTGCCAAATAAAGTCTCAGTCACAGTTTTCAGGGATTAGGACATAGACATATCTTTTTGGGGGGAAGGGTGGGCACTGTTCAACCCACTACATTGGCTATTATAAATAGTGGTGAAAGGAATAAACTTCCATGCATGGTTTTATATTTATTTCTCCATAGAGTTATCCTACCAATTACATATATTGTTAGTTTTATTTTTTCCATTTATTTTTTATTTTCAGGCTTGTCTTTTTCTGTTTCAATTTTTGAATATGGAAAACATTTACATGGTTCAAAAATGAAAAAAATATAAAAAGATATACTCAGAGAGGACACTGAGTCCTTTCCACCTCATCCTCTATCCCACTTAGGTAGGCATTAATGTTAAGGTTTTTTTTTAAATCCTTCCAGTGTTATATATTAGAATATCTGCAGGGTAGATTCCTAGAAGTCAAAATTCTGGCTGGGTGTGGTGGTTCACACCTGTAATCCCAGCATTCTGGGAGGCTGAGGCCCGTGGATCACTTGAGGTCAGGCGTTCAAGAGCAGCCTGGCCAACATGGTGAAACTCTGTCTCTACTAAAAATACAAAAATTAGCCAGGCATGGTGGCACATGCCTGTAATTCCAGCTACTCAGGAGGCTGAGGCAGGAGAATCGCTTGAACCTGATAGGCAGAAGTTGCAGTGAGCTGAAATCACACCACTGCACTCCAGCCTGGGGGACAGAGCAAGACTGTCAAAAAAAAAAAAAAACAACAAAACATGGGAGGCCAAAGCCCATGGATCACCTGAGGTCAGATGTTCAAGACCAGCCTGGCCAACATGACAAAACCCCCTCTCCACTAAAAATACAAAAAAATTAGCCAGTCGTGGTTGCGCACGCCTGTAATCCCGGCTAATCGGGAGGCTGAGGCAGGAGAATCGTTTGGACCTGGCGAGATAGCTCCACTGCACTCCAGCCTGGGTGACAGAGCCAGACTTCATCTCAAAAAAAAAAAAAAAAAAAAGAAAAAGAAAAAAGAAAAAAAGAAATTGAAATTCTGGGTCAAAAGGCAAATATTTATTTTTGCCAAATTTCCTTCCATAAGAGTTGTAGCATCTAACATTTCTACCAGCTATGTTTTCTATAGCTCTGCCACCAGACTAGAGTGTGTTATCACACCTTGTCTCTGTAGAGGTTTTTTGTTTGCTTGTTTTTTCTAATTCAAATGATATTTCAGAGTAGTTTTAATTTGCATTGCAAGTTTTAAACTTTTGATCTCATTATTCTTATTTGCTGATTACTGTAGGACATTTATTCAACAACACTTAATGTCTGCATAACACTCGGCACTCTATAACTCCAGGGATAAAGAATTCAGTGCAAAGCAAGTGAAGCCCTCAAAGAGTTCACAGCCCAGCAGGAACGAGTTTAGAAAGAACAACAGAAAATAAGAAGAGCCATATGGAATATGCAAGTGGGTGAAAAAGTACCAACATAATAATACTATATGTTTCTTCCTTTTTAAGAGAAGAATTGGAGTTCTACATTTTCATTACTGGGTAAAGGCTAGATATGATGGGTGCGATGAATTTATATGCACAGATGCCTGTTTCTGGCATTACCAAGCTTGATAGTATCACATGTTCACTGTACACTGTCATTTATTCCCACATGTATCTAATCGCTCAGCCTCCTTAACTGGATTGGAAGCATTGGAGGTCAGGAGGATGCACCTTATACATCTTTTATCTCCAGGGTTTAGAATCATGCCTTACACATTGCAGGTGCTCAATAAATGTTTGATGATGATGGCAGCTTGCTTTGCAATTAAAAAAATGGAGTTTCCTAAGACAAGTATATTCTATTTTTTCAATCAGTGTAAGGAAAAGTATCTTCTCCTAAAGGAATTGGACAGTGAACATTGTGGTTTACTATGTGTAATCAGGTACAAGCTCAATTGCTGTAACGAAGACTCTCAAAATGCCTTGACTTAAGATAAGACATTATTTTGCTCTCTTGTTACACTTTTAGAAGTTTGTGGTCCTGATCTGTTATCATCTGGGGACTCAGGCTGGTAGGGCCGCTCTGCCATCATCTTGAGCATGGGGCTTTCATCTCCGGGTCTGAGAGTGATCCATGTTATTGGGTTTATCAGTAGTCTGTTCTTTTTTATTGCTGAGTAATATTCCTTTGTATGAATGTGTCTATACAAAGGAATATTACACAAATCTAAAAATAGAGAGACGCTCTAAAACTGTGAGTTTATTTATTTATTTTTTCCTTTTCGCCTGCCTGGTTGAAATATGTAGGACTACTTTAGCTTTTTATTGTATTTCATTTAATAAACTTTTATTGAGTGACCCTATGGGCCAAATACTGTGCTGAGGGATGGGGATACAAAGGCGTGTAAATCCTTGTCTCTTCCCTCAAGTTACAGTTCAGCTAGAGGAGAAAAAGACAGTTGTGTTGTCCCAATTTGGATGGAAACCACGTGATTCTACCTTAAGTACTTGCTGAAAAAGCTGAAAGGATGTCAAAACTTGCAGGATTCGGATGCCACTATACAATCCTACAGTGTAAGAAATCTCCTGACCATCTTTCAGCTCAAAGTCTTGCCCCAGGGAATAAGCGCCTGGCTTTAAAAAGTATACAGGCCTGAGTCAGATCCCTCAGGTTCTATTTCTGGTTCTGCTACTGGATCGCCATGTGGCTTGCACAACAGAGAACGCACCCTTCCTACAAAGAGGCAAGATCCCAAGGAGCCCTCTGAGCGAGCGACCTCCATACCCCAAGTGAGGTTGGGTTCCAGGAACCTA
This sequence comes from Homo sapiens, assembly GCF_000001405.40. Lineage (NCBI taxonomy): Eukaryota > Metazoa > Chordata > Mammalia > Primates > Hominidae > Homo > Homo sapiens. The sequence goes on along the minus strand of NC_000020.11, from coordinate 20,713,378 downwards.
GGGGCCGGCTGAACTCCTCACCGGGGCACGCTCTTCCCTAGTGCCAAAGCAACTCATTTTAGTGTGAAATTAGAGCTGCGATTTCGGCACGGTCAGAGGGGCTTCGACTCGCTCCCTTGTGTGAATCCAGAAGCTAAACCTAAAAATAGTTTGCATTTGAAAAGCCTTGACACTTTTCTTACTGAGATTTTTGGGCGTGTGTGGTTCACGTTGCACTAGAGGAAAATGGGGTGGGCGCGCAGGAGGGAGAGTGAAACCACGGGCGATCTAGGCTGCCGGGGCAGGGGACGGACAGAGGCCGCCCTGCGCTTCTGCGACCCTGGAAAAGAGGTCGCAGCGCGTCGCCTGCTGGAGAACTTCATTTCCCAGGAGCACTTGCGGCCCGCGGCAGGGCGGGGCGACGTGCCCAATGCCGGCCCACTGACTCCCATCGTGCCGAAGACCGCCAGCCTGATTGGAGGACTGTCTCGCGGTGCATCTCGGGACTTGTAGTACAACGTGTGCGTGAGAGAAGCTCCTTTGTGATTCGAGGCGCCTTCTCGGCCCTCTGAGCGCGTCCCCGCTAGGTTTTGGCGCGGACGGGCTAGTGTCCCGCCAGGAGAGTTCGGCCTGTGTGCGCGTGCGTAGCGCCCAAGGGGCCGGCCGGCACCTCCCGCGGGGCGGGGCCTTCGGTTCCCCGTCGACACCGCCTTCCTGCCCCGCCCCTCGCCGTGACCGGCCCGCCCCTCCTTCCTGGAGACACAGCTGAGGCGGCGGCGGCGGCGGCGGCGGCGGCAGCAGCGGGGCTGGGGGCGGCGAGTGGCCCGCGCGACACGCGCCGGCCTCGACCCTATGCTTTGATTCGCGTGGCGCAGGCGCCTACTGCCCCGCCGGCGGGGCCCGGGCTTCCTGCCGCGGGATGTTCTCCCGAAGGAGCCACGGGGATGTGAAGAAGTCCACCCAGAAGGTGCTGGACCCGAAGAAGGACGTGCTGACCCGCCTGAAGCACCTGCGGGCGCTGCTGGGTGAGGCGCGCGCCGGGCGCGGGGGTCGGGGCGCCGGGTTAGGGGCACCTGCCGGGAGGGCGCTCCTCTGTGCAGGGGTCGGTGGCTGGGAGGCTGGGGAGGGGGATGGGTGGGCGTCCGACCCCCTTCCCTGGATCTGGGCTTGGACCCCCGGGGCTTTGTTTCCAGAAAGCCGCAGCCTGGCCCTCGGGCACTGCTCCCGTCGCCCTCGAGTTAAACTTAGCCCAGATTCTCGCTGGGCGCCTGCGCTCCCGGAGAACCTGGAGGCCGGGCACAGAGGTACCTGTCCCCTGTCCTCCCAGCAAGTGAACTGGATCCCAAGTGGTCATCACGTGCACACATTGAACTGTCACCTCCCCCTTTCATTTTTAAAATTTTATTTTTGAGTCTGAGACCCTAAGTAGACCGAGACCCCAAGTGAACCCAGCACAGACCTAATTGGGCTCTCATCTCTGTCATCCCCCTTTTAAATTTTATTTTTACTTTTGAGTGTGAGACCCCCATATAGACCGAGATTCCAGGCGATCCCAGCACAGATTTGTCATCTGTCTTCCCATGCTGCTTTTTAAATTTAATTTTTATTTTGGGTCTGGCTGCTTCAGTTTCTTTGTGTCCTTGGTGTGAAGGGGCCTTCTCTTCCTGCTTGGAGAGAGGGGTGGTTTTCTTGGGTTCAGGGAGGCTGCTTCTCCTTTATTACCGGCATGACAGTGATGCTGTCTGCCACCTTCTGGTTTATGGCCTGCCAGGTGGAGGTTCTGAGGAGCTCAGGTGGGCTTGGAGTTGACCTGTGATGAAGCTCGCCCCTGTGGGTGTGAGGTGTCCACAAGGCTTCCTGTCACCTGCTGCATGTGATCTGTAGCTGGTTCGCCTAGGCTATGTTTTGTTTTCTGTATTTTTTTACATCCTAAGTCTTAACTTTTCTTTGGGATGAAAACACCTTTGCTATCTATAGACACACTTACCTGTGTATTTGGTGGCGAAGGAAAGAACACCTTATGTTTCTTCCAGGTGTCTTTTAGTCCCAAAATTCACAAAAATCGCCTAGTGCTAATGTGTCTGTCACTTGAAAGAATATTGCATAAAATGATTTAACGTGTGAAGATTTTAAATAAAGATCTTGTTCATGAGATCAGAAGTTGCTGATTATTTCTATTTATATTCTACCTCTGAGGGGGAGAAGAACCCAAGCCAAACCAAACCACACCTGATTTTGCCAAGTGAAGTTATTCACAATCTCACATACCTTGAGGTTACACTGACTTGTTCAGTTTGAAATGAAATGTAAATTAGTTGCTGTTACAGGGATTCGTTTTCAAGACTTTTGAGAGTGAAGTGTGGAGAGTGAAGTGTGGCGTTCTTGGTAAACTGAATTTTCTACTTCCTGTAGATACCATGCACGCACAGGTTGCACAATACACAGGTTGCATTGTGTGGAGTTCCTGGTAGTGACTGATTAACACCTACTGCAGGGACATTTTTGATAAAGGAGAGTTGAGCTGTGTTTTAAAGCGTTTGATACTTTGAGCCTTTTTCTGTGCTTTAGCGTTTAAATTTTTGTTCTGTCCAGGTCTGCAAGATTAAGTTGGCTACATTTTATAAAGGCAGAATCAAGTAAACCTAGATCAGGTTATTTCTTAGCACACAGTACATTGTTCCCATTCTGAGAAAGTTGATTCTTTTCAAGTTTGTAAAATTGTAGTTTCACTCTAAGGTGTAGGTCTTATTTTAGGGAACTTTCTTTTATCATTTCACTGAACTCATCATGACCTCAGTTTTGTAACATGGAGAGGTTCTTTTATATTTCCTTAGGTGTATGTTTTTTGTTGATATACTTACTAGTGGAGTGGCCCAGTTTGCTTTGTTTATTACTGTGATCTTTGTAGGGACTAGATTTTTGTAAAATGTGTCTGAGGAATTCTAGTCATAATATTTAATGTAAACTTTCACTTGCTCCTGTGATTTATTAAAGACTTAAAAAGTAGTACGTAATGCACTAGTTCCTACCTAATCACATATTCTATTTCATTGCTACTCGAAAAAAAGTCTACTTAGAAAACAAAGGCCTCTTGAACTGAAAGTTAGGAATTAAGCCAAGATTAAGGAAACTATTTGAAGGAAATGAATAGTAATTACTATTGTATTTTTATGTGTGTATTTATATAACACTTTTGCTTTTCATATATTTTATCTTCAAGTGATAATAAAGTTTTTTTTTAAGTATGCAAAGATTATGCCACTTACTTGGGTATTTGCAGCCTGTCCCTGCCGCCTGCAGCTTCATGACTTGAGCTAGTTACGTAGCCTGTCTCTGAACCTCGGTTTCTTTGCTCTGTAAAATGGGTATGGTAATGTTTGCTTTTTAAAGGATTATTGTGAGTATGATGAATAAATGACTTCAGCTTGAAGTAGGCCTTTAACAGTTTCTTTCCCATTACATATCTCCCACCATTAATAGGATAGGACCAGTATTTTGATAGGTAATTTTTCTCCGTCTTTCTTATTTTTGATAATAGTGATGAATTTGTTCTCTTTTCCTAAAAAGTAGTCTGTATTTAAAACAACTGGGTGAGAAACATAAAATTAGCTGTGGAAGTAGAGTATTTCTTAGTATCATGGTAATAACTCCAATTTGGATGTAGATACTTTCACCTGGCTATAGACTGGTCTGGTATGATTAACTTTATTTTACAGAGGGGTAAGCTGAGGCACAGGCAGGCTTGACACGTATCAAGCCATGTAGCAGACGGTTTACTTATGTTAGAGGAAGAACGAAGAGCTGTTAGGTCCTGTGACTTCCAGTTCTTCCTACACTGTTGACAAAACAAAAACCAAAAAACCCTGTGTATTACCATATTGCTCCAGCAAAGATTCCATGTCTTTTTTTTAACAGGATCTTTGCTCTGTTGTCCACGTTGGAGTACAGTAGTTTGACCTTGCCTCAACTGCTGCAGCCTTGGCCTCCCTGGCTCGAGTAATCTCCCACCTCAGCCCCTGGAGTAGCTGGGGCTACAGGCATGTACCACCACACTAGGCTCATTTTTGTATTTTTTTTTTTTGAGATGGAGTCTCACTCTGTTACCCACGCTGGAGTGCAGTGGTGCCGTCTTGGCTCACTGCAACCTCCGCCTCCTGGGCTCAAGCAATTCTCATGCCTCAGCCTCCTGAGTGGCTGGGATTACAGGTGTGTACCACCATGCCTGGCTAATTTTTGTATTTTTAGTAGAGACAGGGGTTCACCGTGTTGGCCAGGCTGGTCTTGAACTCCTGGCTTCAGGTGATCTGCCCGACTCGGCCTCCCAAAGAGCTGGGATTACAGGTGTGAGCCACCATGTCCGGCCAGATTTTTGTATTTTTTGTAGAAGACGGGGTTTTGCCATGTTGCCCAGGCTGGTCTTGAGCTCACAGACTCAAACGATCCTCCCACTTCAGCCTCCCAAAGTGCTGGGCTTACAGGCATAAGCCACCATGCCTGGCCAGATTCTAATTAAAAGTTGAGTGCTTACTATGAGTCCTAAATTAGGATATAGAACTGGCATTGATGTAGTGAGAAGAATAGATACAAAATAATAGTAAATTTATGGTGTGTTATGTAATTAGATGGTCAGGTATATGGTAGAATCCATTATAGGATTTCAGAGAACAAAAGAGATAATTAAGAATGTCATAAAAATAGGGGCATCTTTAAGGAGATTTGTAGTAGTCTGTTCTCACTCTGCTAATAAAGACATACCTGAGACTGGGTAATTTATAAAGGAAGGAGGTTTAATTGACTCACAGTTCCACATGCCTCGGGAGGCCTCACAATCATGGCAGAAGGTGAATGAGAAGCAAAGTCATGTCTTACATGGTGGCAGGCAAGAGAGCTTGTGCAGGGGAAATCCCATTTATAAAACCATCAGATCTTGTGAGATTCATTCACTACCATGAGAACAGTATGGGGGAAGCCACCCTCATGATTCAATTATCTCCACCCGGCCCTTGACATATGGGGATTATTACAATTCCAGGTGAGATTTGGATGGGGACACAGCCAAATCATATCAACGTTTTACTTACGCTGGGTTCCAAAGAATGGTTAGACTAGTTCTGTCCAATAGAGATATAATGTAAGCCACATGTGCAATTTTAATCTTTTTTAGTGACCACATGTTAAAAAGTAAAAAGAATCAGGTGAAATTAATTTTAATAGTGCATTTTATTTAACTCCATGTATTTAATATATATTATATCTGCAGGTAATCAATATAAAATGCTATCAGTATTTTTTACATCTTTTTTTCATATGAAGTTTTTGAAATTCAGTGTATATTGTATACTTACAGCACATATCAGTTCACACTAGCTGTTTTTCAAGTGCTCATTAGCCATATGTCACTAGTGGCTGCACACTGGACATAGCAAGGTTAGAATCTGGGAAAGTAGAGGGGAAGGTCAATTACAACCAGGGGAAGATGGAAGAGCTGGTGGCAGAAGTAACATGACAGTGATGGTAAGTAACATGGCGAGGTGTGGTGTTGGGCACTGAGGACCCTTGCCCAGAGGATGTCCCCAGTGTCCTGCATAGGCCAGGGGTAGGGTAGGTTCCTGGGGAAGGAGTGGAACAGTAGCCTGACAAGCAGAAGCTGAGGCTGGCTGGGGGATCAGAAGCCAGACTCAGGTCAAATCAAGTGACCTGGGTTTGGACCAGAGAGTAGAGAACCGTCTCTCACAAATGCTGTATATACAAACAGAGCAAAACATAGCATTGTCGTATAGTTCCTTTTGTGCATATGTTGCTCATGTTGCTCTAGGTAGGAACAAATTGACTTACAGTTGTAACTGTTGTCTTTATTTTATCATTAGCATTTTTGATGTTTTGTTCCTCTCATTTTTAAGTACAAACATTTGTTGAGACCATATCCCATAATTTAGCTTACCATTTCCTGGATTGTGAAATTTTGTTCTTTTCTCTCCTTCCTTCTTTCCTTTTTTTTCTTCCTTCCCTTTTCCTGATAGAAGTAATACTGCAGTAAACATCTTGAGAAGCAGCTTTTTCGATATTTCCTTAGATTTTATTGAAGTAAGATTGCTGGGTTTGAACATTCGATGACTTGTTTCACAGTGCTTTTCTAAGTGTTGCTCCATTGGCCCTGCTAGCAGCAAGGATTGAGGCTGCCATTTTCACTGTAGTCTGACTACCAATAAACACCTTTTTATAATTTGATAATTGGTGGTAGGTATTTGGGATAATAGGAGTGTCATCTACAGAGTGAGAACAATTGGGAAGGGGGAAGGGATCCTGGGCAAGGACGGGGAAGATGAGTTTGGTGTTCTACATGTTGAGTTTAAGAAAAGGCAAGATCCAAGTGGCGTGTCTGGGGGGTTGTGGGACATGGGATCTGGACCTTAATGAAATGATAGAATGCTATCATATATTTAGTTTTATTGGTTATTATCATCATGACATCATTGAATCTTTTTGCAACTGTGACAAAGGAAGTGTTCCTATCCCCAGCTGAGGAAACTGAAGCTCAGTGAGAATAGCTACTTGTCTGCCAGCAAGTGGGAAAGCTGAGACTTATCTGATTATGAAGGCCATGTTATGCTTCTGCTAGTTATCTGATTCAAAAGGAAATTTACATATCAGAAAATGTATTTATCTAGTAGAATGAATGATAACATAGAAACAAAATCACAACAGTTTTTGCATGCCTCCCAGAAATGTTGCTGTGATATTGGCCTCTCTCTTTCTGGTCCATTTTTCTGCATTTTTCTAGGGAGACTTGGGATTATCATATTTGATTTGAGCATGGGCAGACGATAAACAATCTCCTCCGGTGTTTTAGTGTTCATTGCCTTCCCTGTAACCTTGGCAGGCCTAGCAGGTGATAAATATTTGCGTGGACATTAATGCCACGTGGACATTCTACAACTAGAACAAAGCTGGGAGGTGTAATTTCAAACTCTTCAGGCAGTCTTAGTATGGTCTCTCTCTGTTGACCTTATTTGGTACAAAGTGATTTTGTCGTAATGCTTCCTTTGCTGTTTTTTCATCAATTACATTTATAACCTCTAGAATGTAAATGGAACTTTGGACACGTATATGTAGCACAAATACACCATCCATCCCTCTAAGGCTTGAGGTTGTCTAGACTTCTGATGTGAGAAAAGTGAACACAGGGTAAATGTCCAAACTCGTTTAAGATAACTGAAAAAGGTTGGCTTCCATCTTTTACTCTGAGAAGGGAGATAATTGGTAGGTCTAGAATATTTTGCTGTAAACTTTTATAATTTGGATTTTTATTTTGTAAGTACTTTATTTGTGGACAGGCATAATACTTTTACTAGGTATGTAGAGTACTGATTTTTGGTTACCAAACGGGGTATCAATATAAAACTATAGAGAATTTTTTATTTAGAAAAAACCTTGGCGGGGTGCGGTGGCTCACGCCTATAATCCCAACACTTTGGGAGGCCGAGGTGGGCAGATCACGAGGTCAGGAGTTGAAGGCCAGCCTGGCCAACATGGTGAAACACCGTCTCTAGTAAAAATACAAAAATTAGCCAGGGGTGGTTGCGCGTGCCTGTAATCCCAGCTGCTCGGGAGGCTGAGGCAGGAGAACTGCTTGAATCTGGGAGGTGGAGGTTGCAGTGAGCAGAGATCGCACCACTGCACTCCAGCCTAGGCAACAGAGTAAGACTCTCAAAAACAAAACAAAACAAAACAAAACAACAACAACAACAAAACTTGACTTTCAAAATAGCAAGTTGTTTCAATTTGAATTTTAAAAATTTTTTAAAAGAAGGCATATAAATTATTGTTCTGTGAAATTAAGAATAACGAATATAAGGTATTAAACAACTATTCTTGTACTTGAATTAAAAAAAAATCAAGCTGGGTGCAATTGCTCATGGCTGTAATCCCAACACTTTGCTAGGGTTAAGTGAGAGGATCAGCCCAGAAGTTCAGTACTAGCCTGGGCAATATAGTGAGACCCCTTCTCTACAAAAAAAATGAAGAAATTAGCTGGGTATGGTTGCATGTGCTGTGGTCCCAGCTCCTCGGGAGGCTGAGGCTGGAGGATCACTTGGGCCCAGAAGGTCAAGGCTACAGTGAACCTTGATCATGCCACTGCACTCCAGCTTAGGTGACAGAGCAAGACCCTGTATCAACAACAACAAAAATCAAGTCACAAACATTGTTTTAAAGACTGTGTGAGTGCATGCCTGATATAAGTAAGTCTGTGTTTGGATGTTAATAAGGCACAAGCCCAGGATTTATGGTTTGGTAGGAGAAATAGCCATGTAAACAATGAAATTTACCGTGAGGGTTTTGAGTGGCACAGAGGAGTGTGGTGGAACCATAGAGGTGGGCACAGGTGCAGAGGAGGAACAGCAGCAAAGCCTCCTGGAGACACCAGCCAGTGCTTCTTTAGGGAGCTTAGGTCTGAGGTAGGTTTTGAATAATGGATAAAGGATTTTACCAGATGGACAAGTTGGGGATGAGGGTTCTGTAGAGAGAGGAGCTTGTGCAAAGGTAATGGTGTGTAGCACCATGGAGTTAAGTGCACAATGGCTTTTATCCTGTGGCGTAAGTAGATGTTGGGACTCCAGTGAAGGGTTTTAAGCAGAAGAGGAGCCACATCCTATCTCTTCCCATTTAGTGTCTGAGAATCCCATTCTCCTCTGAGATTTGAAACATAGATGCTGGGAGAGAGAGAGCTCCCTTCCTTTGGATTGCAAGCCCTGAAGATATAGTCTGGGCTGCTGGCATTTGTTTTTCCCACCATGTGGGGAGCATGTGCCTTAAATTGAATCCTACTCTCAGAGGGAATGACAATAGAGAGGTGGAGAGTGAGAGGAAGCCCATGAGTCCTGAGTTTGGCCATGTCTTTGCCAGGACCTTCTTGAGCTGCTCAGTTGCAGGAACTGGTAACATGTTAACTAGCTTGAGTCATATTTCTGGGTCTTGGAGTTGAAAGAGTACCTAACATGGAGGTGTTTGTGTATATGGAGATTTGACTTTTATATTTTTTTAGAACTGGAGGAATTTGAGTTTATATAGGAGAAGTAGCTAATGAAGAGCAAAACTGAAGAAACGGGGGATAATAATGCAGAACGGTGTGATCTGCAGTGAGACTGAGAGCCTGGGGTGGGAGATCAGGCTTAACAAGAGGGACACCTCTTCCTCTAAGGCCACTTGAAAGAAGCAGGAATGGGGTGCTAGATGATGGGGACATGGAGGGAGTTCTCACACCATGGCTTCTGTACCCTCTGTGAAGGTAGCAGGTGAAGTCATTTGCTGAGCCAGTTTTCTTACTCATGTGGTGATAGGAACTTGAATATGTCTTGCTCCCTCTTCTGTGCCACATAACCTCTTAAAAAAAGGACATCTGTTATCTGGAAGGCTTTGTTTTTTTTCCTTAGGGAGTGACTGAAAAATGCATTTAACGTTTATGTTAAATATTCATCAAGAAGGCGGAAAATCTATATAGAATGAGGCCAGTTTAAGTAGCACAGATGTTGTGTGCCCTTCCACTCAATGAACATGTGCCCTAGAGTGGACCTAAGGTGGGACATAGGAACCCGCCATGTCGTCCATAGTCTTCTTTCCTTTATGCCTTTCATTGTGAGAACATCCCCCTGCTGGGTATGACTCCAGAGTTAAAGGATCATTTTAATTTTTTCTACTTTTGCCTTTCTTGTGACTTAACCGCATATAAAATGTAACTCTGTTGATATCTCATGTTCATGTACCAGTTTACACTTTTGCAAAATGTCTTCTCATAGTCTCATTTAATCAAATTACTACCTTAAGCAATCAGTTCATATTAATTATAAAAGAAATTTATTAAATATCTATTTGTGAATGTATTTTAGGTGGTCTCTAATACAGGTTATCTTTACATAGTTAAAGCCTCCTGGATGTGTCAATACAAATAGCATTTTCAGGTGAGAGGATCCAGAATCCGCTAGCAAAATCTAGCAATTGAGAATTTGATAAAGTTAAAATAGGAATTTTAGAGAGATTATGTCATTTAAAGGATTTACCATATAGATTCTTAGTAGATTTGTTTCTGAGTTCATTCTGAATCCTCAATTCAGGGTTTTAGCCTTAATTTTCAGAAAAGTGATGTTTCATAACCATTTTATGTCTTTTATGTTGTTTTAGAAACTGAAGCCACAGCTATTTTAAAAATAGTTGTAATCTCTTTTTTTTTTTGAGATGGAGTCTTGGTTTGTCACGCAGGCTGGAGTTCAGTGGTGCAATTTCGCCTCACTGCAACCTCTGCCTCCTGGGTTGAAGTGATTCTCATGCCTCAGCCACCTGAGTAGCTGGGATCACAGGCTTGTGCCACCATGCCTGGCTAATTTTTGTGTTTTTAGTAGAGACAAGGTTTTGCCACGTTGGCTATGCTGGTCTTGAAATCCTCGCCTCCAGTGATTAGTCCGCCTCGGCCTCCCAAACTGCTGGGATTACAGGCCTGAGCCACCATGCCTGGACAAAGTAGTAATCAAATTTTGATATTACAATTATGGTTAAGTTAAAAAAATCCCTTTTGATAAAGTTCAGGAGCCCATGGATATTGTGTTTGATTTCAGGTGATGACACATATTCATTGAACCTTAACCATGCCTGAAAGTACAAGCATGGTACTTGTGACATTGCTTGTGCCTGACTATGAGAGCCATAAGAATGTGCTGCTTCTCCTGTTGTGGGGAGCATGATTGACTGATGGCCCCAGCTGCTGCTCCCTGAATCTACCAATTTTGAGCCAAAGCTTAGTTTCCCTTGGGAAGCTCTTAGCCCATTACTGAGCACTGCAGGAGTATTAATGCTGCCTGTTCCTGCACACTTCAGATGCCTCTGAAGGGCCACTTTGGCTTGAGGACTTCCTATTGGCCTAAGACCTTCTCAGACCTATGTTGAAGTCTGACACTTCCTACTCAACCTTCCTTCATTCCCCTTCTCCTTCCCAGGGGTCAGACCTGCATCGTGGTCTAAATCCTCTCCCTGCCTTCACCAGCTCCTTCTCATTTATCCTTCATGGGCATTTACCCCAATAAATCTCTTGCATGTCTAATCCTGTCTTGGCCTCTACTTCTCAGAGAACCCACACTAATCTACCATCCATTTCCTGGATGGTGTTGTCCATCCTGCCATCTACAGTTTTTCCAGGAGACATTGCCAACACTTTTTATCTTCCATGTGGGCTTTCTTCATCCTCTTGCCCTGAATGTATCTCTTCTCAGAATTCCCACAGCACTTTGTAGCTTTTGTTTGGTATTAATGGCCTTTGGCTTTGCACCATGCTTCTTTTCTTTTCTTTCTTTCTTTCTTTTTTTTTTTTTATTGAGATGGAGTCTTGCTCTGTCGCCCAGGCTAGAGTGCAGTGGTGCGATCTTGGCTCACTGCAACCTCTGCCTCCCAGGTTCAAGCGATTCTCCTGCCTCAGCCTCCCGAGTAGCTAGGATTACAAACACCTGCCGCCGCGCCTGGCTAATTTTTGTATTTTTAGTAGAGACGGGGTTTCACCATCTTGGCCAGGCTGGTCTCGAACTCCTGACCTTGTGATCCACCCACTTCAGCCTCCCAGAGTGCTGGGATTACAGGTGTCAGCCACTGCGCCTGGCCGCACCATGCTTATTTATTTATTTATTCTTTGAGATGAAGTCCTGCTCTGTCGCCCAGGCTGGAGTGCAGTGGCACAATCTCCACTCACTGCAACCTTCACCTCCCCCGTTCTAGCAATTCTCCTGCCTCAGCCTCTCCAGTAGCTGGGATTACAGGCATGTGCCGGCTAATTTTTTTGTATTACTAGTAGAGATGGGGTTTCACCATGTTGGCCAGGCTCTTCTTGAACTCCTGACCTCGTGATCTGCCCGCCTTGGCCTCCCAAAGTGCTGGGATTACAGGCGTGAGCCACCGCGCCCGGCCCACACCATGTTTATTTGTGTTCATGCCTTATCCGTGTTCTTTCCCACTAAATGATAAGTGCATAGAGAACCTGAGCAGCTTCTTTTTCATCTTGATTTCTGTTGGTAACTTACTCCCTTATTTCAATAATAATAATATTTATTTAGTACTTTTTATGTGCTGAACAGTGCCCTAAATATTTCTACATTTATTAATGCATTTAATCTGCCCCAAAGAGATAGGGAATATCATTATCCCTATTTTACACATGAGATACAGACAGGTTAAGAACCTTGTTCAAGGTTACACATCCAATGAGTGGCAGAATCAGCATTTGAACCCAGGGAGCTGGCTCGAGTTCCTTTATTTATTCAGCAGTTATATGTCCAACACAAACTACGTGGCAGACATTGTGCATAGCACTAGGCATACCAGAGCTTGCAATCTTAGTTTAGAATAAGTAACTTTTTAAAAAAAACCCACAACAACCAAAAATGTGATTTCAGAATAGCTAGATCTAAGTCTACTGGGGAGTTGAGCTGGTCCGTCATGGCTTAAACAATTCCTGAAAGCCTTCCTGCCCCAAAGGCTTGTTTTCATCAGTCAGAATTTCCCAACATTAAATTAATGATTCAAGATCATGAATTAAGAGTGGTGGTTTCTCCCAAATGAATTCTCTAATCTCCTTTGCTTACACACATTCATTATCAGACCAATCCCTTGGATTCTAAGGGGAATAGATATAAGAAAGGACTATTTCTGTGAACCAAAGGGAGAAGAGATTGGTGTTCGTAAACCTTGATGGGGTTCGGGGGAAAGAGGGGCAGTAATGCTGGAGAGCTGTTGGCAAGGGCAGGCTTAGGCAAATTCCCCAGATAGTCTTTCATGAGAACAAAATTGGAGAGACATTATTGTAAAGTTTTAAATTTATGAAAACCAAAACTGAGTCACATTCCCCACCCCATCCCCCAATCAAAGACCTGTTACAGCTAGTGAGGAAATTGTTTTTTTACATTTCAACTTTTATTTTAGGTACAGGGGGTACATGTGCAGGTTTGTTACGTGGGTATGTTGTGTGATGCTGAGATTTGGGGTATGGATCCCGTCATCCACATAGTGAGCATAGTGCCCAATAGGTTGTTTTTCAACTCATACCCCACTCCCTCCATCCCCCCTCTAGGTAGTGTACGGTGTCTCTTATTGCCATGTCCCCTTGTGCTTGGTGTTTAGCTCTCAATTACAAGTGAGAACATATGGTATTTGGTTTTCAGTTCCTGCATTAATTCGCTTAGGTTTATGGCCTCCAGCTGCATTCACGTTGCTGTAGAAGACATGATTTCATTCTTTTTTATGGCTGTGTAGTATTCCATGGTGTATATGTACCACATTTTCTTTATCCAATCCACCACTAATGGGCAGTTAGGTTGATTCCATGTTTTTCTGTTGTGAATCGCATGGCAATGAACATATGAGTGCATGTGTTTTTTTTGGTAGAATGATTTATTTTTCCTTTGGGTATATACCCAGTAATGGAATTGCTGGGTCAAATGGTAACTCTGTTTTAAGTTCTTTGAGAAACTCAAAACTGCTTTCCACATTGGCTGAGCTAATTTACATTCCCACCAACAGTGTATAAGTGTTCCCTTTTCTCCACAGCCTCACCAGCATCTGTCATTTTTTTTAACTATTTAATAACCATTCTGACTGGTGTGAGATGGTATCTCATTGTGGTTTTGATTTGCATTTCTTTGATGATTAGTGATGATGAGCACTTTTTTATATGTTTGTTGGCCGCTTGTATGTCTTCTTTTGTGACATATCTGTTCATGTCTTTGCCCATTTTTTAAATGGGGTTATTTGGAAAAATTTTTAAATGAAATCTTTGATAGTGTTTTCAGAACTGCATGGAAGAGAGGGGAACTGAAGACATACATTGCTTCTTTACAACTTCTGTTAGGGATTACCGTGTTTTATTTCTGTCTGGTCATATTCCTGGTGTAAACAGTGCAGACTCTCTCTCGATTCCATGGACTCTATAGTATCTAATAAGATGAGGATGCATTTGGCCAGTTAGGCTTGACGTGGTATAGCTTATGCTGAACTCCTGGAGTGGAAGTAAAATATCCTCTAGTCTTTCTCAACATGTGTCTGTGTCTTTGTCTGTGTGTGTCATATTGCAAATATTTATTTTGGAAAGAATTGTTCCATTTCTCTTTCCCTGCTCCTAAAATAAATAAATATAGAAACAGACACATCACCTTTGAAGTAAAAAGTAAATAATGAACTGGAAAAATATTTGAAATTTATAAGAGGAGAAATAGTTACATACATAATACATAAAAAACGTGTAATTAACCAGAAAAATTGTGATAAATAAATGTTCAAAATATATGTATATGTAAATTGCAAATGGACAAATGCCAAGACCCATAAGAATGTTTTCAGTGTTTATTCCTCACTAGTAATCTAAATATATAAACTTAGAGATTAAAATATATTCATCCATTATATTAGCAAATTTGCTGTTGTCTTTTTTCTCTGATGATAGTATACTGTGTAAGCTGTCTCCATTTTTGATAGGACTGTAACTTGGAACAATCTTTCTGAAAAGTCATTTGTTAATACAGATCAATGATCTTTGAAATGTATATCCCATTTGACCCAGTTTCCTCTTTCGCAAAAGCCTATTCTACCATCAAGAAGTGCTTTGCAGCATTGTTTGAATGTTAATTTTTTTTATTGATGTGAAATTCACATAACATAAAATTAATCATTTTAGACCAGGCACGGTAGCTCACGCCTGTAATCCCAGCACTTTGGGAGGCTGAGGTGGGCAGATCACCTGAGGTCAGGAGTTTGAGGCCAGCCTGACCAACATGGTAAAACTAAAAATACAAAATACTCTACTAAAAATACAAAAATAAGTCAGGCGTGGTGGTGGGTGCCTGTAATCCCAGCTACTTGGGAGGCTGAGGCAGGAGAATCACTTGAACCCGGGATATGGAGGTTGCAGTGAGCCAAGATCGTGCCACCACACTCCAGTCTGGTGACAGAGCGAGACTCCATCTCAAACAAAACAAAACAAAGAAACCAAAAACCAAAAACCTTGAACCCAGGAGGTGGAGGATGCAGTGAGCCGAGATTGAGCCACTGCACTCCAGCCTGGACGACAGAGTGAGACTCTGTCTCAAAAAAAAAAAAAAATCATTTAAAAGTAAACAATTCAGTGGTGCTTAATACATTAACAGCATTTTGCAACTGCTACCTCTATCTTCTTCCAAAACATTTTCATCACCCCTGGAAAACTAACCATTAAGCATTCACTGCTTATTCCCTCCTCTCCCCAGCTCTTGACAGCCACCTGTATGTATATGTTTAACCAGACTAGGCTTTTTTTTTTCTTTTCTTAATTATTCTGCTCCACCAGGAGGGTAGTATATGTTGAGTACATTTGTATTTGTAATTCTTAGGACTTTTAGGTTGCAAGTGGCAGAAACCCATGCCAAAGAGGATTTAATGACATACGTAACTAAACAGTCTAAGGGAGCGTTTGGCTTTAGAGATGACTGTCCACAGGGATGTATGTGGTCAGGGTACTTACCCAGTCTCATATCCACTCTCTTTTCCCACCTCCCAACTTGGTGGAAAATTGTCTCTACCTTTGGTTCCGTGTTTTTTGTTTTCTGTGCTTCTGCTTCATTCTCAGGCCAACTCTGCCAGGTACAGGTGTGGTGGTCTCTAGCATTGCCAGCCTGACATGTCCTGGCAGCTAGTAACCCTTGAGAGGAGTGTGGCCACTCCCCTAGGGCCTGTACCCATTCCTGTACCAATCGCTGGGTGAGGGAGATGGGGTACTGTGATTGGTCAGCCTGGATCACTTGTCCTGTTCCTAGAGATAGAACCTCATTCTGGCTCCTGTCTTTCCGAGAAAGTAGAGGAAAGGCATTCTGGCACATTACCTCCCACAACAGAACTGCTTATAGCTCTGCCCACGCCCATTTGTACCACATGACATTCATTGACTTTTGTGCTAATAATCATAAAACATTGAGCAAACCTTAGATGACATTCTGTAAATTCTATTTAAGATTATGGGAGTCATATTTGAGGATTATTTTTCTATTTTTTTAATTAAAAAATTTTTTTTGAGATGGAGGTCTCACTCTGTCACCCAGGCTGGAGTGCAGTGGTGTGATCACAGCTCACTGCAGCCTTGCTCTCCCAGGCTCAAGTGAGAGGATTATTTTTCTAGTTTGATGGAAGTAAAGCGTTGCCCTTTTAACAAATGGGATTGACCACTCTTTAAGTCTACATAGCTTAGACTGTTTCCACTGTTTTTAAAGTCATTCCACATATAGTGACTGAGTGTCTGCTATTTGCAGATGAAGCCCTAGCACTTATGGGACTTTCATTCTATTAGGGTGGATGGACAATAAATAACAGGCTGGGTGCAGTGGCTCATGCCTGTAATCCTAGTACTTTGTGAGGCCCAGGCAGGTGGATTGCTTGAGGCCAGGAGTTCAAGACCAACCTGGCCAACACAGTGAGACCCCATCTCTAAAAATCAAGAACAAAAAAACCAAATAATAAATATATGATACAATTTCAGGTAATGATGATAGAAAAATTAAGCTTGATAAGGGTATGTGTATGCTTATTTAGATATTGGGGTGAGGGAAGGCCTCTCTGAAGGGAGGTTTGGACTGAGACCTGGGTTAAGCAAGGGAGCAGCTTTGTGATTATTTTTGGGGAATAGTGTTCTAAGCAGAAGGAACAGTAAGTACCAGGATCTGAGTCATAAATAGACTGGAAATCTCATGGAAGTCAATAGGGGTGGAGGGGTGGAGGATAGAAGGAACTGGGAAAGGAGCGGGGGTGGGAGAGGGGAAATAGGGATAAGATGGTGTGGAACTTTGGCATCCCAGTAAGGACTTGGGATGTTACTCTAAGTAAGATAAGATGGGGCACTCCAGTGAAGCAAAGAGCAGAGGAGTGATCTGAACTGACCTTTAGGTGTAAAGGAATCAATGTGGTTCCCTCATAGAGACTACACTTGCTTGGTTAGCTTGCCAGAGATAGGTTTTCTGACCACAAGCTTTGTAACAAAGCTTTCTTTGGCTTACTTTATAAAAGGTCAGATCTTTGGCCCAAAAACCGACCAGTGACTGGAGGCAGACAAGAGAAGAGGGAAGAGAGAGAAAGAAGTGCCAGAGAAGAGGAATGAGTGGCTGTGGAATCTGTAGCAAGCAAAGGTGTTAAGGAAGATGGGGACAGGCAGCCTGTGTCCCTCCTTACTGCAGCAGCGAGTAGTGATGAGAAGACAGGACGGAAACACTTTGTGGCCAGTGGGACAGGAAAGCTGGAGTACATTGGGCCATGTAATGGGCCCACACAGCGGCCTGAGCTTGTAACAATATGGAGACGGGCTTGCTGTTATCCCCAAATCTACTGACAGGCAGAGAGCAGGCATATTAAAAAGTGCCCTTGATGCTGACAAAAAAAAAATGGAGATCTGTCAGTGGCTGGAGAAGAATGAGACCAGAAAAATGTTGATGGGTCAGTACAACAACAATTTAATATGAATGGTTGCAAAGGCAGCAAACACTGCAGATTGGCTCCACATCAGATATCCACCCAAATTAGGACCCCAGTTGTGCTTTATGTTGGTCTTTTCTCAATGGAAAGACCTGAGGGAATCTTAATCTTTGGCTCAGTGTTAATTGCAAAGATGTAATTCTATGAACCAGTGTTGCTAACTGAACCTTATGTCTTACTCAGAAAGGTGGCTGTGGTGTTTCAAAATATGACAGTATTAGGTTAGCTACATACAGGAGGACAATCATTTGTATTCTTCCAGAGACATCATTTCTGAGCATAAACCAGGTCTTTAGCACTTTTATAGTGTGCTATGAAGAAGCTTCTGTTCTGTCAGTTGACAGTCAGTCAGCGTCAGGTTTAAGCACAACAAGGAAAGGTTGACTCATATGGACTAAGGCTCCCAGGTCTTGGGAATGGGTCTCATTGTGACTGGAAATTTCATCACATCTTTGCATTCAAAAGTGTCAAACATTTGCTCATGCCTACTCAGTGCTAGCTGCTGAATGGCTGGACAGAGAAATGTCTTTCTGCCCAGTTCTATTATTTTTTATCCTTTTCAGTGAATGATGTCTAGAGAAACACAAAAACAGCAAAGCTTCTCCAGATAACTAGGTCATTCTAAGGCATTATGTACCATGTATGTGCTGTTACAGAAGGAGTAATTTAAAAGTTGGATAGAGAAAATTTAAGTCATTTGCTGTTTTTTACAACATTTTAGAATTGGTAAAGATACTCTTTTATATATTGTTTGGGTCTTAAGATTTCTTCAAAGTTGAAAAGTAAGACAGGTTTGGAAAAAAGTATGGCCTGGTGTCATGATTGATGAGTTTTTTGCAGTAAATATTCAGGCTTTGAAAAAAATCCCTTTCTCGAACGCCCTGGAAGTACCCCCCAAAACAGCTTTATAGCTTTTTCTGGTTCTACAATTTTACATACTCATTATAAACATTTGGATAATATGAATATATGAAAAATAATTTAGGTATCAAGGGGTTCTCAAATTCTGCAGTCCCCTGCCAAGCATTACTGAAATCCCGGTGAACGTGCTTTCCAGGCTGGCTCTTGCTTGGGTGCATTCCTTTCTCTCTCTCTTCCCTGCACCTGCCTCGCTTACACACACAAACACGGTTTTACATGAATAGTCATCTGCATGGTCTAACACTGTGTTTTTGACTTAAAGCCTTGGATATTTTTCCACATCAGTAAGTGAAGAATTACATAAGACTTCAATGGCTGTAGTGTGTTCCACTGGACTCCTATAACAAAATTCCCTATCACCCATCCTTCAGGTCATGAGTTTCAGGCCTTCACATGCTGTTAGCAGATTGTGTGCCTGTGAGT